>NC_000004.12:62671381-63921381 GCF_000001405.40 Homo sapiens
TTGCTTGAGGGTGACTAGGGGCAACTGTGAGATTTTGGAAAAAATTCTGTCCACATGTTTCTTAAACTCAACTCAGTGATACTTCATTGTCAGAAACTGTAATTTCTAGCACATTCACACACGTGCTAGAATATCCTGTTAGTGTGAAATATTAGTTAAAATATGGTGTAATAAAGGCAACCACTCATATGAAAATCCATTATGTAAGAACATACAGAGGTCTTTCTATTCTGATAATTCTGAAGATGACAATTTTGAAATTCACGGGTTGCTGAGTGTACCCTACACTGACTACTTCCTCCAGCTTTTGCAAATGAGTTCAAATGACATCTGTTAAATATGTCACAGTGTATGTAATTAATGAAACATTTCAAATTGGGATTGAATCAAACTTCTTTTGATGTAAGTGCATTGATAATTATTTCTTTAAAGGAACAATGAAAGAGATGCCTTTGATATAAAATTATTTTGAAATATGAAGATTTTTTTCTTATTTTTTTCTGTCTTACATCAAAATACATATACATTTCTTATTACTATGTTTGATTAATGCTATTTCATTTGTCTTTAGTGCCAAATTTAGTTTGTTTGTTTCAAGGAGTGTAAGACTCTATACTTTAGGCTGCCTTGTTCACAATGCCCAACACAGCATCCCCAGCAGCTGATCTCCATGTGGATTTAATGAATGCCTTTGATTAAGCTAATATACTTATCTAGTTACTATTTACAGAACATTTAGCAACAGTGACGACTTTTCAATTCTCTAGCATACCTTGTGGTTTTATGCAAATTGGAATAAGTACAATAAAAAAACCATTTGTTTGTTTGTTTTTTGAGATGGAGTCTTGCTCTGTTGCCCAGGCTGTAGTGCAGTGGCACAGTCTTTGCTTACTGCCACCTCTGCCTCCCAGGTTCAAGCGACTCTCCTGCCTCAGCCTCCCGAGTGCTGGAATTACAGGTAACTGCTAGCACGCCTGGCTAATTTTTGTATAAAAAACTGTTTTGATCTTAATCTTTATGATTTGGCTGCCTCCACGGATTCTGGAAGCCATTTCTTGGACTTGGATGTCACCTAAAGTTGATATTAGATGTGTTTACATAGTTTTGGACTCAATTCAATTCTTGGTGAACAATTTTTCTTCCTTTATTCTCACTGGTATTCAATTAGAAACTCATGACCATAGGGTAGAGAAAATAAAATTTCTTTCAATGGCTTGAACATAAATTTTAGCTATTGTCACCACTGCAAGTAGTTGTACTTGGTTCATTAGACAGTGTTCACTAAGGTTAGCTTTACTTTTGCCTAGTAAATAATGGGTTCCTAGTGAACCTGTTTCAGTGGTTTAGTAAAACTTTAATTCTCTGCTTCCACTAATCAAATTATTACATTTCACTTTCATAATAATGGTGGTATTAAGTGGGGTCTAGAATGTGCTATTGCTACTTCAATAAATCATCATTCAGATATAATAGAGGTAAATTTTCAAAATAATAGATATTACTACTACTGTAATAATAGTTATTATGCATTAAATATTTGCTCTGAAACTTACCCACAGTGTTCTAGTTAAGGTAATCCTTTTATTTATCTATGAGGTAGAAACTTTTGTCCAAATTTTTTAGATGAAACCACAGATTTAAAAGTTTGAGTAACGTGACAAATCTCATTGAATGAGGAAGTAACAGAGCTGGTGTTTAAGTCCAGGTTGGGAGAAATCCAAATGTTATTTTCTTAGCCCCTATATTTTACCCTGTGTTTGAACATAGACAAAAGTTTGAATAGAAGAAAATTTTACACATCTGGTAGTTATGTTTCAAAATGCGGTTTCAGGGAGCAATCATTATCTAATACTACTCTATCAGAGTGGCAATTGCTTGAGGGTGACTAGAGGCAACTGTGAGATTTTGGAAAAAATTCTGTCCACATGTTTCTTAAACTCAACTCAGTGATACTTCATTGTCAGAAACTGTAATTTCTGGCTATCTAATTGGTATTCAAATAACTGATGTAGATTGGGGATTGTAGAGACAGAAGTTAGAGAGAGGATATGGAAATTTTCCAGTCTGCTTGAGATGACACTTACCTTAAGCGATGTATCCCTTCCTCTAATAATTCAACATTAATATGGATTCTTAACTAAAGTTTGAAAAATTAAACAATTGTGCATAGAAGCGTGGCATGTAATTACAATCTTTTCAATATCAGAATCAATTCCAAGCAACGCATCTAGGTTTTATTCAATACTTTTTCATAAAAGTTCCCATATACATGCCCCAAGTAATGTGAGGACTAGCTTCTGATCTTGTTAAAAAGTATTATTCATACGCAAAATATAGATGATTTAAAATTTATGCCTTCTACATGAAATGGTTGAGAATTGCATTTTTTCCACAAATAATGCTCCAAACCTTCCCACTAACATGTAAAAAATTATTTTTGGAAAATAAAAATAATGCAAGCAAATCTAAAGTTTTTATATTATTCATGAGTTTCCTTAACTTTCTATTCCCACTGCACCCTTTCCCAGGGATATAAAACTCTACTGTTTCTTTTGTCCAACATAAACATTTTCTCCCCATTGTCATCTGAATCCTATCAAGAAGACACAATTTTTAAAGTGGGAATTTAAATTATAGCTAAAAGGAAATGAGACAAGATAAATAAAGATGGTGAAATGTGGATCCTTTAGAAAATAAAACATTTCCTGGATGAATAAGGTCAATGGATAAAATTTCTAGAATATAAAAAAGTAAGAACTGTGAGTTTGAAAGCCAACCAATATCCCCTAACAGGGATAAAATGGAATTATTGGCCATAACATGTTGGAACTCGATTCATAGCTTGACTATCTGATTCTGTAGCCTATCCTCTTGACAGCTATCTGGCTACCAATGCTTATTTTCTGTATCACATCAACTTTTCTTTATCAGCTGAAGATTCGCTTTCTTTTTCTATGTCCTTGATTGATATTTTCAAATAGATTTCCTCATATTTAATGCAATTATCTTGCTCAAAATAACCCAACTGCTGTATTGCTCCAAATACTGTTATGTTTTACTCTTGATTTATATTCTACCTGCTTTTCTATATCTGGGTTATAATGAACACCTTTGGCCCAAATGTTACGCTTCTGGATATAGTTTTGTCCTTCATTTTCATGCTTTATATAACCAGCCGAGTACAATTGTTGTCTTGTTTCCTCAGCACTATTAAGTCTGTGATGGCCAGCCTCTGCTTCTTCAATAGGGCAGAAGAGTAGAAACCTACCCTGAAATTATTACCAAATTACACTTCCACCACAAAAATATGACTGAATTACATTCTCATTAGACTTTGTTGTACCACAATCTTACCGGATTTGAATGATGCCAATTTTTAATGTTCTTCTAATTTCTAATTTGAAATGTATCATTTGTTATGTTAATTCAAATTTCTTTGATTGCTAAGGAGATTGAACTAGTGAGTGGTTATTTGCCATTTATGGATTAAAATTTTTATACATATTTGCCTATTTAACTGTTGGGGTTGTCATGTTCTAGTAGTGCTTTAGAATGTTTTAATGTTAGAAATATAATTTTGTTTTAAATTTGATACGGTACATTTATTAAATTAACACTGTAAATAGTCTTCAAAAAACAACAAAAAAATTAAGAAATTCAGTGTTGTTTATAGTTAAAATTCTACAAGTTTCAACAGCAATTCAGCTAAATTTCCAAGGCCAAAGTTAAGAGCTTAAGAAAATGTTATGAAGTATGATGTTTTAGTATATAGATAGATATGTTGTAGAACAACAGTGTTTGTGGTCATGATTAAATGATGGTAAAAATGCAAGACTGTGAGTTATTGACCTTTAATTAGCATTAGATATTTGACAATTCCCTTTCTTTCATGCTTTCTTTCAGGCTAAGGCTCATCTCGTAGAAAGAGCTTGCAAATATTCCATCCTCCTTAAGTTTTTGAAGACTTACAGGAGGATTGGTGTTACTTCTTTCTTAAATGTTTGATAAAATCCTCCAGTGAGTCTACCTTCTCCTGAACTTTTTGAGGAGGTGTGGGGACAATTAGAGCACTCATTCAAATGCCTTACTAGTGCAGATTTTCTCTTTCTTCAGAATTCAGTCTTAATAAGATTTATATTTCTAGGCTTTTATTTCTTATGGGTTATCCAGTTTATTGGCATATAATTGTTCATAGTATTCTCTTACAATCCATTTTATATCTGTGGCATTAATTGTAATATCCCTTTTGTTTCTGCTTTAGTTAATCTAGCTAAGGGCTTGACAATTTTGTCAATCTTTTCCGAAAAAGAACTCTTAATGTCTTTGTTCTTTTCTATTGCTTTCCTATTTTCTACTTCATTTGTCGCTGCACAAATCTTTATTATTACCTTCCTTCTGTAGGCTTTGGGTCTAGTTTGTTCTTTTTCTGATTTATTGAGTATAAAGTTATGTTTTGATATTAAGTCTGGGACTGCCCAGATATTTCTATTTTTAATATGCATATTTATAGCTATAAACCCTCATCTTACCACTGCTTTCACTGCATTCCAAGTTTTGATATGTTGTGTTTTTATTTTTCTGTTTGCATCAAGGCATTTTCTAATTTCTCTTGTGACTTCTTTGACCCATTGACTATGTAAGACTGTGTTGTTTTATTTCTACATATTTATGGATTTTCCAGTTGTCCTTCTGCTATGAATTTCTAGTTTCATTTTATTTTGATAACACTAGATATTTTGTGTGATTTCAACCTTCTTGTATTTGTAAAGATTTTTTTTGTGGCCTAAATGTGGTCTATCCTAGAAAATGCTCCCTGCATACTTTAGAAAAATGTGTAACCTGCTGTTGGTGGGTGGAAGGTTCTGGATATGGATGCTAGGTCGAATTAATCTATAGTATTGTTCAAGCCTTCTATTTACTAATTGATCTTCTGTCTGATTGTTCTATCCATTATTTAAAGTGGAGTATTAAAGTATCCTTCTATTATTGTGCTGCTGTCCATTTCTCCCTTTAATTCTGTTTGCTTTATTTATTTAGGAGTTTTAAGGTTTGGGGCATACATATTTATATTTGTTATATCTTCTTGGCAAATTGACTGGTTTATTATTATATAATGTCTTTATTTATTTTAATTTAACTTAGGTCCAATTTTATCTGCTATTAGTATAGCTGTCCCTGCTCTCTTTTGGTTAACATTTTTGTAGAACATCTTTTTCTATCCTTTCACTTTCTTTTTTTTTTTTTTTGGACACAAAGGAAAACTTTTTTCAACAAATTAGTTTTTTTTGCCTCCTAGGCAAATGGCTTCTGTGAAAACACTTGGATGAAAAGCAATACACCATTTGTTTTTACTTATTAATCACTATCATTAGGTTTTGATGCAAATGGGAATTTACAATAAAATGAAACAAATAAGATCAGGGATTATATACAATACTGTGATCAAGTGATTTGTGATTCAGGCAACGTACTACTTGAAACACATATCTGGATTTCTCATTGCAATTGCTGCAGATGCTGTTTGAGGAAGCAAAGAATACAGAAAGAAAAATAATTAGGTTCATTAGGCTAAGACTAATACAAATAATATAAACAACAAATACATAATGTACTGCATTGCAAGTAAACAATGTTTTTAGTATAAAAATTGCATTTCCACAAAGAAGCTAATAACAAATATGATTAAACTACTTCAGAAACACGTCAAAGTTGTATGAGTCACACATATACAGTGTCACAGTCTACATAAAGCTTTACTGAGAATAAGCCATCTGAAGGCCATGTCCCGGACTGAAGCAATCAAAGGGCTTTTCAACTGAATCTCTTGCTTCAGGAAAGCTGTTTAAAAAGCTGCCCCATCAGGTTCAGCAGGCTTGATGACTCCAAATTTGACTTTTTAAGACAAGCTAAAATCTACTCCAGAGAATCAAAATGTAGGACTGAGGTAAAGAGATATTACACAAGAAGGAACTTTTCTGATGGCATAAGAGATCTGAATGAATTCTTTCGAAAATGTTGGTACATTTGACAGGATGGGTCAACCACATATTTATAATACTGACAGAAATAACACTGCAACACCAAGATGAAGGACACAGATAGCCTATTGATATGAGCAAGAGAACCAGCCTCCCTCTTGTTTCTCTCACTTTATACTAAAAATTTTGTGCTGAAATCTCAGGTTTACCCTATCCTTTCACTTTTAGCCTGGGTATGTCCTCAGATCTAAAATGAGTCTCTTTATATATGTCTCTTAACATAAATTCAAATCCTGTTTTCTTTCTAAAAAAATTCAGCCACCCATGCCTTTTGATTGTATTGTTTAATTACTGATAGTGAACTTACCATTTTCATTTTGTTCATTGTTTTCTCTTAGTCTTGTAATAGTTTGTTCTTCTTTTCCTTTTTACTGCCTAATATGGTTTGGCTGTGTCCCCATCCAAACCTCATCTTGAATTGTACCTCCCATAATTCCCATGTGTAATGGGACGGATCCAGTGGGAGGTAACTAAATCATGGGGGTGGGTCTTTCCCATGATGTTATGATAATAAATAAGTCTCATGAGATCTGATGGTTTTATAAAGGGGCATTCCCCTGCACACATTATCTTTCCTACAACCATGTAAGATGTGACTTTGCTCCTCATTTACCTTCTGCCATGATTGTGAGGCCTCCCCCGTCATGGAACTGTGAGTCAATTAAATTTCTTTCCTTTAGAAATTACCCAGTCTCTGGTATGTCTTTATTAGCAGCATGAGGACAGACTAATGCATTGCCTTTCTTTATGTGTTGTTGATGTTTTGTAGTGATAAGCTTTCTGTAGATATATTCTTTGTGGTTATCATTGCAATTGCATAAAATAGCTTAACTTTATAGCATTCTATTTTAAACTTATAACAACTTAACTTTAATTGCATACAAAATCTCTACACTTTTACATAGCCATTCCCACCACATCATGTTACTAATGTCCCAAATGATGTTTTTGTATATTACATTTATCAACTTGGATTTATAGTTTAAAATATTTTGTTGTTTAAATTATATGAATCAAAATTATAAGAATTCAGATTATTATATTTGTCTGTAATTTATCTTTACTTGAGAGCTATAAGTTTTCATTAGGTTTCATGTTGCTATCTAGCATCCTTTTTTCAACTTAAAAGAATACCTTTATCATGTATTTCAGAGCAGATCTAGTGTTAATGGACTCCCTCAACTTTTGTTTATCTGAGAAAGTTCTAATTTTTCCCTCAATTTTGAAAACCAGTTTTGTCAGATACAGTATTCTTGGTTTACATTTTTTTTCCCTTTAAGCACTTTGAATATATCATCCCAATGTATCCTGGACTGCAAGTTTTCTGCTGAGAAATCTGCTGATAATTTTTTGAAATCTTTATTGTATGTGATGAATCACTGTGCCCTTGCTGCTTTCAAGATTGTCTTTTTGTTTTTGAGTTAGTTTGATCATAATGTGTTTTGTGTGTAGGCTATGTCATGTAGAAAGAGGAGCACAGACTGTGTGAAAAAAGCATCTAATTTTTATACTTTCTTGCTGGAATGCTTTCTTGGTTTTACAATGGCCTTGGTGCAGTAGCTTCTCAGTTGGTCTCTAGAGTTTTCACGGAGGTATTCTTGTTGGCGTATCGTTGTTAACTCCATTTGCTTGTGAAGAAAAAAGGCCTGAATTTTCCTTATTCTCCATCTTGCTGATGTCATCTCTTTAATACAAATTTCAGTAAAATGGTTATACTGAAAATATTAACACTTGTATGAAAGCTTATTGAATTTTTACATATTGTTTATTGATGATTGGTTGATTGATATATCACAGTGGTATATATTTTGGGGTACATGTGATATTTTGATACATGTATACAATGTGTAATGATCACATTAGAGTAATTGGAATATCTATCACCTCAAACATTTATCTTTTCTTTGTGTTAGAAACATTACAAGTTTTATCTTTTAGCTATTTTGAAATATACAATAAATTATTAACTGTAATTTTCCTATTGCACTGTTGAATACTAGATCTTGTTCCTTCTATCGAGCTGTATTTTTGTACCCATTAATACTGTTCTTTGTCTTTAAGTTTTGTTTAGAATTTTTGCAATATACAGACACTTAATTTTTATTATAATTGCATATATCAATAATTTCTGTACAATGTTTCATTGCTTTAAGATTAAATACAACTCCTCATTCCAATGATTATTTTATATAACCACCACATTTTTTCTTTAATTTTTTTATATCTGTCATTCCATTATTTCATTTGTGATGTTGTATAGCTAATAATTTGAGTTGAAGATCAAATCAATTTTGTTCAAATAGAAGCAGATTCAATGTAATCTGTAATATTCTCTTTATTATAAGGATAAAGTTTAATAATATTAGAATCTGTTACTGAAAGCTTATAATAATTCATTTGCCTTACTCCTGTGTATTTTGCTTATCATAGCTTATAGTTTATTGATATGTTTAATAACTAATATGCTAATAACTAAGCATAAAATCCTCTTTGCAGTTTACCTTTTAAATTTTTCTAGGCCATTATTAAATGCAATCCTACATCAAAGATTGATAATCTATCACTGTGAGTTCAAACTCTCTGAGAAATAGATACCAAGATGGAATTAAGAACACAAAAGATTTAGTTGGGGACATGCCTGTAAATGATAAAGACAGAGTGAACAGAAGTAGGTAGAGAAAATCTTCAGACTGCAATGCAGATCTGACGCTTGTGATATAAGACAGGTTGGAGGAAAAATTGGGTAGAAAGAACCTCAGGTTGCGACGCAGCTCTGAGAAAGTCTTGGCCAAGCTTGTGGGGATGGGGACCTTCAGAACAAAGATTGCTCACTAGAAGAGGCCTGCACTGGGCCTAAATGACAGGCTGTGATACTGTTTCAGTGCTCAGACTTTGGCTGGAAGCAATCCAGGCAATAGGTGACTTCAGAGTAAACATCAGTGAATTCTGAATTGGCAGTGACTGGAGATGATCAGCTAACTACACTTCTCACAGCAGTTTCCCTCTCGAAGAAAGATATGAGTTATGCATGTCAATGGCTGCAACATCATCCTTTTGAAATTCCTTCAAATGTCTGCTATTATCTATAATAAGTGACTGCTTTTGCACACATTTTCCTATGTTTTTCTTTCAATATTCAAAGAAATGTTTATCTTACTGAATATTACCAACCACTTTTCTATGTAAGTCTGTGTGCATTATTATGGATGTGATTCAAATTCAGCTCCTTAAACCCCTTGCCAGATCTTCAATACCTCTTTTTCTACCAAATTCTTCCCATAAGTACATAAATATTTTGACGTCCAACAATGACAACAGCAAAATAAAACATCATTCTTTTCAAAATCCCACTTCAACTGAATTTTTTTTTCTGATTTTATCTTCCTTTTACTTGATCTTTATAGCCAAACTTCTTTGCAAGAGTAAATTATGTTCATTTCCCCTTTCTGTACTTTGTATTATCATACTCCATTTCTGCAGCGGCTATTTTCTTAGAACTTCTTCTAAAATCTTCTGTGACATTGAATTGTATCACCACTGTTTTTTCTCTTTCTGTTTCTTGATTTATCAAGTTTGATTCTTTGTACTTTCCATATATCTATTGAATATATTATATATGCATAAAACATATTTATAAGCATGTTTATATGCATGTTTCTATATACACATACATGTACACACACTGTCCTCCATTCTCTTGCTATTACCTTTACCCAAATTCCTTTTATCTCTTGCCTGAATTATATCAAAGCCACTAACAGGAGAAATTTGACTAGGTATTCAATTTATTGAGATATATAGTTGAGGTAATATTAGTATAACCCAACATGAGAAGATTAGTACATAGTAAAATGTTCTCAAAGTTGGCGAAATTCTGGAATTGAGGAGCAGGATAAGCTTTAGAGAAAGTAAACCAATTATCTGTCTTCACACAAGAGAATGATGTAGCACTTTGTATCAGGAAAATCAAAGTATACCAATTTGATTGCATTTATATTATCTGTAAATTTGGAGCATTGTTTTAGAACTGATAAAACTTTGGATTGCTGCAGTAACATGTGTAACACAGATACTCCATGTGAGATTGGTAACAAACTGTATAATCTCAGTTCTTAGGGTGTAGCTTTTTCTAAAAAATAAATAAATAAATAAATTAGGCTTCTTGGTACAGACAAGAAGAAAATAAGTGTTGAATTTTTTTAGTTGATTTTTAAATTTCTTCTTTGGGGCATATTCTAATATTCTCTGCTTCTAATACTGGATGACATGCTTCATTTGTGGTTTGTGTAAATAATACCGTAACTGGTCTGGATTTCCTACTCACCTTCTTCTAATACATGAACACACCAAATATGGATTGTACAAGGATTTGTAATCTGACTGTAGACGAGATTATACTACTGCCCTACTTAAAAATCTTCACATAACTTTCTATTTTCATATGAAATGATCATACTCTTTAATAAGGATGACAAGGCTCTCAGCTTGTACCTATCTTTTTAATGTATCCACAATCTTTCCTCTCACTACAATAGAGCAACACTTTCCTTCTATTTCTTTTTATTTAAAGTCTCTGCATGCCTAACTCCTTTGTATTTTTCCCTTAAAATATCATCTACTCAGTAACTCCATACCTGACCAACTTATCTTACTCATTGTCTATAACCTTGTCCTGTATGACTATTTTACTAAATTTATTACAAATAATTATATCTTTGTTTTTGTTTAATTACCTTCTTCACTATAATGTAAATTTCAAGAAAATAAGATTTTTTTCAGCACTGTATTTCCAAAACCTAAATCATCGGAGACATTCAATTAAATATTTGGTAACTATTGAATTAATGATGACAATATGACTAGAATCTCAAGTAGCATCTATGCAAATAAGAAGAAAATATGATCTAAAAACATACTTTTTTGGCAGGAACATTATCTTTAATATTTTAGTTAATTCTTATAAGAGATTTGCAAATAAAAAAGTACCATTGTTGTTTTTAAATTAGAAAAATGACATTCAGAGAAATGGCAAGTTCCCATTTGTCACACAGCTAGCTAGTCAAAGAACAAGGATATAACCCCAAGTCTTTTAACCTCAAATTCAGAACTTTTGGAATGATACTGACTTGAACGCTGTGCACCCAATTATTGCCTATGAAAATAACATTGACTTTATTACTGGATGTGAAAGCAGAAAGAGGAAAGATTTCTATTTAAGCCACTAATGACCACTGGGTATTAGGAAAAATTCTACAAGGGATGCAAAACAGAAAAATTTTGTTTTTGTTATTAATCTAGATGCTTATAACATAAGAGTTAAAATGGCATTCTGATGTAAAGCTTATATTTGGTTGATCACTTTTTTCTACAAAAAACTAGGGTAAACAGATAGTGTATTTCAACCAATAATTTTGTTTAACGTAGAATGCTTTTCATTTTTTTGTTTATTTTTATAATGTTTAATTCATATATTATCTGAAGCAAGTTTGCTTATGCAAACACACACAAATACACACACACAAACACACCCCTTCCCTAATTCCTTCCTTTGAAGCATGTTTTGTTTTGTTTTAATTTCTGAAGAATTGTCAAATGCACAAATATATAGTGAATAAATTTTTTGTATTATAATTTTGATCTTGTGACATGCACATTATTCTCCAAACTTTGTGTTATGTCCATAGTTAGCATTATACACAATCATTAAGATTACTTGTAAACTGAAAATTGCAGCTAAATTATAAGTCACTTAAGGAGTGCTTTTTATACAACAGTAATGAATGGCTTGTGAAGACAGTTCAGGGATGTTCATTCTGTATAAACACAATATTCGTACAAACTTTTATCACAACGTAGTGGTCTGTCGGAGTGCAAATTTACAATTCAGATAATGTTATTGGTTAATGAGGGACAAATAGTTATTGGTTTAACTCTGGTTTATTCTATTTTTATGCCTAAATTTCTGTCATTTTTTTTCTTTGATTTCAATGCGTTTCTCTAGTTAATTATAAAAATCATCAGTTAACCAAGACATTCTAATTTTAAAATCTAAATTCTTAATATAAAAGTACATCTTAACCCATCATAAATATCTTCACTAGAAAAAAATTTGTGGGGGGTGGGGCCAAAATTGACGACTAGAAGAAGTGGTGGTCGGAGGCTCCCACTTTTTCTTTGGAGAAGAACGAGAAGAAAGTGCGAATCCTGCACCGGCAACCGAGATATCCAGGTTCCATCATCAGGATTGACTAGGCAGTTGGCGCGACCCTTGGAGATCAAGGAAAAGCAGGGTGGTACTTGGGCCCACCTGAGAGCCACATGGAGCAGGGGAGTCCCTACTCCCAGCCAAAGGAGGCGGTGAGTGAGCATGCTACCCAACCTTGGAAACCGTGTTGTTTCCGCAGAATTGTGCAGCCCACAGATCAGAAGATCCCACTTACGACCCCATGCCACCAGAGGCTTGGTCTCCAACCACAGAGCCGTGCAGATTCTCAACAGCCACTCAGCTGGAATCTCCTTAAGATCACCAAGTTCTTGGAGGGAGGGGCGGCCATCATCACTGCGAGTGCCTGCTGCCTAAGCCTTCTGAGCTCAGTGGGGCAGGGGCTCTGAGATCCCAAGGGAGGGGCAGCCGGCATCACTGTGGCTGCTAACTGCCTAAGTCACTGAACTACTGGAGGGGGAAGGGTGGCAGCCATCACTATAGCTCCGGGACAAGATTTTCCCCTGCTGTAGCTGGGGAGACTGGATGGCTTGGTCTGAAGAGCTATTCCCCACAGCATAGCACATTGGTTGTGGCAGATGGTGGCCAGACTGCCTCTTTAGTCCAGACCCTGAGCCATCTCTCCTCACTGGGTGGGGCCTCCCTACAGGAACTCCAGCCAGGGGCTTAGGGACAGAGCTCTGATCTCCAGGGGCCTGAGCCTCTAAGGGAGGGTTGGCCGTAGTCTCCGCAGACCAGCAGGCTTAGTCTTTCCCCCTGTTAGTGCTGAGGAATCCAGGCAGCCCAGGCGCGTGGAGTTCCCCCCAGCGCAGCACACCCCCTCCACCAAGAGACAACCAAAGCTCTTTCTTAAATGGGTCCTGGTTCCCATGTACCCCAACTGGGTGAGACCCCCTCAACAGGGATTGCCAGACACCCTATACAGCAGCATTCCTACTGGCATCGAGTTGGTGCCCTCGAGGTCAGAGACCCCAGAGGAAGGAGCAGGCACCCATCTTTGTTGTTCTCCAGCCTCCTTGGGTGACATCTCCAGGTGCAGGAGTGCCCCAGATGAATAGGGCCTGAAGTGAACCCCCAGCAAACTGCAGCAGTCGTATAGAAGAGGGGACTGACTATTGAAAGAGAAACAAACAGAAAGCAACAACAACAGGACCAACCATAAAGTACCCACGAAAACCTCCTCCAACGGTCAGCACCCTCAAAGATTGAAACTAGATAAACTTATGAAGATGAGAAAGAATCAATGGAAAAACACAGGAAACTCAAAGGGCCAGAGTGCCTCTTCTCCAAATAATCACACCATTCCAGCAAGGGCACATAACTGAACAGATGATGAAATGGACGAATTGACAGGAAGCAGCTTCAGATGATGGGTAATAACAAACTTCGCTGAGGTAAAGGAGTATGTTCTAACCCAATGCAAAAAAGCTAATAACCATGATAAAAGGTTATAGGAGCTGCTAACTAGAATAACCAGTTTAGAGAGAAACATAAATAACCTGATGGAGCTGAAAAACAGCACAAGAACTTCTTGATACATATGCAAGTATGAACAGCTGAATCAATCAAGAAGAAGAAAGAGAATCAGAGCTTGAAGACTATCTCTCTGAAATAAAGCAGGCAGACAAGTTTAGAGAAAAAAAGAATGAAAAGGAACAAACATAACCTCCAAGAACTATGGAACTATGTAAAAAGACTGAACCTGCAACTGATTGGGGTACCTGAAGGAGATGGGGAGAATGGAACCAAGTTGGCAAACACACTTCAGGATATCATCCAAGAGAACTTCCCCAACCTAGCAACACAGGCCAACATTCAAATTCAGGAAATATAGAGAGCCCCAGTAAGATACTCCAGGAGAAGATCAACCCAAAGACACATAATTTTCAGATTCTCCAAGCTCAAAATGAAGGAAAAAGTGTTGAGGGCAGCCAGAGAGAAAGGCCAGCTCACCTATAAAGGGAAGCCCATCAGACTAACAAAGAGTGGACCTGTCAGCAGAAACCTTGCAAACCAGGATAGAGGGGGTGCCAATATTCAAAGTTCTTAAAATAGTTTTCAACCCAGAATTTCATATCTGGCCAATCTAAGCTTGATAAGCAGAGGAGAAATAAAATCCTTTACAGACAAGCAAATGATGAAGGATTTCATCACTGCCAGGCCTGCCTTGCAAGAGCTCCTGAAGGAAGCACTAAATATGGAAAAAAAAAAAAAATCCGGAACCAGCCACCGCAAAAACGTACTGAAATACGAAGACTAATGACACTATGAAGAAACTGCATCAACTAATGTACAAAATAACCAGCTAGAATCATGATGACAGGATCAATACACATAATAATATTAACCTTAAATGTAAATTGGCTAAATGTCCCAATTAAAAGACACAGACTGGCAAATTGAATAAAGAGTGAAGACTCATCAGTGTGCTGTGTTCAAGAAACACATCTAACATGCAAAGACACACAGAGGCTCAAAATATAGGGATGGGAGAAAATTTATCAAGCAAATCAAAAGCAGAAAAAAAGCAGGGGATGCAATCCTAGTTTCTGACAAAACAGACTTTAAACCAACAAAGATCAAAAACAATAAGGAAGGGCATTACATAATGGCAAAGGGATCAATTCAACAAGAAAAGCTAACTATCCTAAATACATATGCACCCAATACAGGAACACTCAGGTTCATAAAACAAGTTCTTAGAGACCTGCAAAGAGACTGACACCCACACAATAATAGTGGGAGATTTTAACACCCCACTATCAATATTAGATCATCAAGACAGAAAATTAACAAGGATATTTAAGACTTGAACTCAGCTCTGGATCAGGTGGACCTGATAGATATATACACAACTCTCTACCTCAAAACAACAGAATATGTATTCTCAGTGCCACATGGCATTTACTCTAAGAACAATCACATAATTAGAAGTAAAATAATCCTCAGCACATGCAAAAGAACTGAAATCATAACAGTCTCTCAGACCACAGTGTAATCAAAGTAGAACTCAAGATTAAGAAACTCACTCAAAGCCACACTACATGGAAATTGAACAACCTGCTCCTGAATGACTCCTAAGTAAATAATGAAATTAAGGCAGAAATCAAAAGTTTTTTGCAACCAATGAGAACAAAGAGACAATGTACCAGACTCTCTGGGATGCAGCTAGATCAGTGTTACAAGGGAAATTTACAGCACTAAATGCTCACGTCGGAAAGCTACAAAGATCTCAAATTGACACCCTAACATTGCAACTAAAAGAACTATAGAAGCAAGAGCAAACAAATCCAAAAGCTAGCAGAAGACACGAAATAACTAAGATCAGAGCAGAACTGAAGGAGATAGAGACGCAAAAATATCCTTCAGAAAATAAATGAATCCACATGCTAATTTTTTGAAAAAAATACTGAAATAGATAGAATGCTAGCTAGACTAATAAAGAAGAAAAGAGAGAAGAATCAAATAGACACAATCAAAAATGATAAAGGGGATATCCTCACTGACCCCACAGACATAGAAACTACCACCGGAGAATACTATAAACACCTCTACGCAAATAAACTAGAAAATCTAGAAGAAATGGATACATTATTTGACACACACATTCCCCCAAGATTAAACCAGAGAGAAGCCAAATCCTTGAAAAGACCAATAACAAGTTGTAAAATTGGGACAGTAGTAAGTAATCTACCAACCAAAAAAAAAAAAAAAAACAAAAAAAAAACAAAAGCCCGGGACCAGATGGATTCACAGCCCAATTCTACGAGATGTACAAAGAGGAGTTGGTACTATTCCTTCTGAAACTATTCTAAACAACAGAAAACAAAGGACTTCTCCGTAGCTCATATTATGAGGCCAGCATCATCCTGATACCAAAACCTAGTAGAGACACAACAAAAATAGAAAACTTCAGGCCAGTATCCCTGATGCACATCTATGTGAAAATCCTCAATAAAATACTGCCAATAATAACCAGCAGCACTTCAGAAAGCTTACCCATCATGATCAAGTCAACTTCCTGACCGAGATGTAAGGCTGGTCCAACATATGCAAATCAATAAACATAATTCATCACATAAACAGAAGCAATGACAAAAACCACATGATTATCTCAATAGGTGCAGAAAACACCTTCAATAAAATTCAACATCTCTTCATGTTAAAAAACCTCAATAAAGTAGATATTGATGGAACATATCAAAATAATAAGAGCTATTTATGACAAACCCACAGCCAATATCATACTGAATGAGCAAAAGCAGGAAGCATTCCCTTTGAAATCCAGATGTATTAGTCAGGGTTCTCTAGAAGGACTGAAGTAATAGGATATATATATATATCCATATATATATATATATCCATATATATCCATATATATATCCATATATATATATCCATATATATATCCATATATATATATCCATATATATATATCCATATATATATCCATATATATATATCCATATATATATCCATATATATATATCCATATATATATCCATATATATATCCATATATATCCATATATATATCCATATATATCCATATATATATATCCATATATATCCATATATATATATCCATATATATATCCATATATATATATCCATATATATATCCATATATATATATCCATATATATATCCATATATATATCCATATATATATATCCATATATATATCCATATATATATATCCATATATATATCCATATATATATATCCATATATATATCCATATATATATATCCATATATATATCCATATATATATATCCATATATATATCCATATATATATATATCCATATATATATCCATATATATATATCCATATATATATCCATATATATATATCCATATATATATCCATATATATATATCCATATATATATCCATATATATATATCCATATATATATCCATATATATATCCATATATATATCCATATATATATATCCATATATATATCCATATATATATATCCATATATATATCCATATATATATATCCATATATATATCCATATATATATATCCATATATATATCCATATATATATATCCATATATATATCCATATATATATATCCATATATATATATCCATATATATATCCATATATATATATCCATATATATATCCATATATATATATCCATATATATATCCATATATATATATCCATATATATATCCATATATATATATCCATATATATATCCATATATATATATCCATATATATATCCATATATATATCCATATATATATCCATATATATCCATATATATATATATCTCGATATATATATATATATATGAGTTTATTAAGTATTCACACATGATCACAAGGTCCCACAATAGGCCATGTGCAACCTGAGGAGCAAGGAAAGACAGTCCTAGTCCCCAAACTGAAGAACTTGGAGTCCGATGTTTGAGGGTAGGAAGCATCCAGCAGGGGAGAAAGATGTAGGCTGGAAGGCTAGGCCAGTCTTGCCTCTTCACATTTTTCTGCCTGCTTTATATTCTAGCCACAATGGCAGCTGATTAGACAATGCCCACCCAGACTACGGGAGGGTCTGCCTTTCCTAGCCCACTGACTCAAATGTTAATCTCTTTTGGCAACACCCTCACAGACACATCAAGGATCAATACTTCGTATCCTTCAATCTAATCGAGTTGACACTCAGTATTAACCATCTCAAGTTCACCCCTTGTCAACTTGAACACATAACACGTCTCCTGAGATTATACATAATCTTCAAATAAAGACAATAGTAAGGTCATAATTATGCCTAATGTAATACAACTATCCTTCATAAAACTGGAAACACACCATCCTCATCCTAAATACTATTACATAAAGTTAATTATACTTAAACGCTGATATGAAGCTAATAAATCTTATGTCACATGATAAAGGAAAAAGGAAATAAACAAAAGGAAATATAGAAAAAAAATCTTGTGTTACCCCTCTTTTCCACTACCTGTCATGTACACACATGCAAATACAAAATATACATTATCCTATATAAAATTATAATGCATGTAAGCTTGTCATAAAAATTAAAAGGAGCAAAAATAAATACAACAATAGTGGAATTAATTGTGTAATGCAAGGGAGAAATTGGGTTGATACTTAACAAGGAACTGAAATTCTATACTGGAAAGTTAGCCAATCTTTCTCCCTGGACTTCAATTTTTCTACTTTCTGCATATTTTCTCAATTTTCTTTCTCTGAAAACAGCACTTTTTGCTTCTTTGTCCAAAGTGGGGGGAAAACTAGCCCAGTAATGGCTTCCAGGTTTAGATTATCTTCACTTAAAGGACTAGCTCATGTTGGGCTTGCTGTTTTCCAACTTAAACTTCCAAGAGATAGAATAAAAATGTCCCAATTTGGGTGTTATTTCTTCCTATAGTCAGTCGCATGCATCCAGGGGAATAGAATCATACAGAAGAAACATTGACACAAGGAACCAACCTTACGGTTAGGACAGGCCGTCCCCAGGAGAGAGGCTGGACTGACGCTCACTTTGGTGACCATTGCACTTTCTTACTATTTGCTGCTACATTATCATCTAACAAGTTCAGATTAGCTGAAGATAGCTTGATTACCATTTTCTCAAACTTTTGTACATGCAATTTTAGGAATACAGAAATGGTATTTCAGGGAGTATTCAAAACCATAGGATAAACCTGGTTCATCTTCTGTGAATGCCAAATTTTCTTTATGGCACTTAGGTTAACATGGTTTTATTTATATTAAAAAGATGTAGGAGACTAGAATACCAATCAATTTAATAAATATTTTATCTCTGCATCCCATACTTAAAGAAATGTAAACAAATCACAAGTATAAAGCTTGATGAATTATCATGAAGTGAACCACTCTTTAACTTGCATGAAGCAATTCCTTAACCATCCTTCATTCTCCCTGTAGTCTCGTCTGCAAAGATAAACACTGCCATAGATTAATTTTTCCTGTTTTGTGTTTTATTTCAGTGAAATGAAAAAATTATATATTCTTTTGTTATTGGCCTCTTTCACAGCATATTTTTCAGTTGCACACAAGTCATTGAATAGTTCAGTTATTATATTGTATAATGGGGCATAGTGTGAACATACTACCTTTCCTTGTTTATTTATCCATTTTTCTGTGAATGGATATTTGAGTCGTCTTAAGACTTTTGGTAGTTATTATTGATGTTATGCACATTCTTACGTATATATTTTGGTATGTACTTCTCTTAGATATATACTCACAGTGGAGTTACTGGGATATAGAGTTTATATATTTTTAGCTTTAGTATACCATCAGCTTCCCAAAGTGTTAGTACCACCTTATTCTCCCACCAGCAACGTATAAAAGTTGTAGTCACTTTACAATCTTCCTAAAACTAGACTTGTCTATTTTTGCATTGGTGAATGTAAGATAGGATCAAGTGTTTGATATTAAACTGCATTTCTCTGATGAGTTGGAGCATACTTTAGTTTGTTTGTCACTTTAATATCTTTTGCTTTGAAGTGTCTGCTCATATCGTTTCTTTTATTTTTGCTTATATTTTTGACTTAGGAATTTTTCTTCATATTTTTAGTATTCAAATACTTTGTTGGATATAAGCATTGCAAATTTTTTTTCCATTCTGTGACTTGACCTTTTACTTTTTAATAATGTCTTTTGAAAATCAGAGTTTTACAAATTTTTACATAGTACAGTTTATTATAGTATTTTTTCTTATAAATAGCATTTTTTGTGGTGTTTAAAAATAAACTTTATATTTGTCAACATAAAAGTATACAAGGTGGATTTACTGTATATTAATTATATCTAATAAAATTCATATTCCTCTACCCCCAAAAAACTTTTGCCCTCTTTTCCATTGAAGCTTTGTAGTTTTCTATATACCTTGTTGGTTATATATATTGTAAATATCTTCTATCATTCTGTGACTTGCTTTTTTACTCCCTTAATTGTATATTTTGATGAGCAAAAGATTTTAAAATAAAAATTTAATCTTATATACACCCATTTACTATTATTTTCTTTTGTTATTGCTATTTTTCTAGAAGCATGATGCCTTACCTCTCACATTTTTATGTACAATTCACATATAACTAATTTTTTGTTTGTATATGGTGGGAGTTAGGAGTTAATGGATATATAGTCCATTGATATGATTTATTGTAAAGACTTCTCCCATTGCTCTGGTATGCCATATTTGACATAAACTAAATGTTGTGTTTCATTAGTTCATTTTGACTCTCCTTGCATCAACAGCTTCAGTCCCAATTAATAAAGTAATAAAATATATCTTGATATACATCATTTTAAGTCTTTTATCGAGTTTGATTTATCATTATTGCCTTGGCATTTTTTATCTATTTCATTTACATATAAATTTAGGAAAAAAACTAAACAAATTTCAACACATATGTACACACACATTTAAAAAAAGACATTGTTTGTGTTTGCATTGAATCTATAGATCACTTTTTTAATAAAACTGAATCTTTTCATCCATGGACATATTATATTCTTAAATTTTTAAGGAAGTTTAATCTTTTTGAAAATATTCACAGTTTTCTGTATTGCATGTGTGTGAAATTCCTAACAACTAGATTTGTTCACAAGACTCTTGTGACATTGAATGAATTACAAATATTATTATACTTTAATTTTTTAAATATTTTTGCTGGTATGTGGAAACACAGTTGCTTTTTGTATATTGAACTTAAGTAAAATGACCTTACTCTATTGCCTTTTAATTGCCTATTGATGTAATTTAGATAATAAATTTTTAGTATAAATAATCATCCCAGCTACAAATGATGACAGTTTAATTTATTTCTTTGAAATTCTTATTTTTGTCTTACATTTCATGGAACATTGAATATGATATTGATTACAGGTGCTGATAGGCCTTATTATACTTTCAACTTAAAATTTTCTTTTTTAACATCAACTATGCTGTTATTTGTGGATACCCATTTCTAGATATTCAATATTAATCTAATGAAGTTATCTCTGTTACTAGGTTGTTAATAGCTTTATTATAAATTAAATTTTGAATTTTATTAAATGTTTTTCCTTAATCTATCATGATAATTATATAGATTGTTCTATTTGACTTTGTTGATATGGCAGTTGTTATGTTTTATTTATTTTTATTTATTTATTTTTTTGAGACAGCGTCTCACTCTGTCATCCAGGCAGGAGTGCAGTGGCATGATCTCAACTCACTGCTCTGCCTCCCAGGTTCAAGCGATTCTCCTGCCTCAGCCTCCCAAGTAGCTGGGACCACAGGCATGCACCACCATGCCCAGCTAATTTTTGTGTTTTCAGTAGAGATGGTGTTTCACCATGTTGCCCAGGTTGGTCTCGAACCCCTGACCTCAAGTGATCCACCCGCCTCGGCCTCCCAAAGTGCTAGGATTACAGGCGTGAGCCACCACGCTTGGCTGTATGTTTTATTTTTAAGTGTAAAACCAAATGTCTTATAGTGTCCTGAAACAGCAGTGCTTAGACTATGATTAAAATGCTTAGGCTTTACTAAGGAGACATAAGGCCAGAACATTGAGGGTGATTTAAAAAGGGGAAGCAAGGCAAGAAAATACTCGCAGGAATGTGATACAATGCCTTATCTAATTGGCTTCCACTTCATAATGTCAGGAGGACATCCAGAACTTCACTCAGCAGATCTATTTGCTTGGCACATCAACACCTAATGATAGAAGTGCCTGTATAGCATAGGTGTGTGTAAAGTTACTTTTCACCTCATGGTGAGGTACATGAATCTTTAAGAGCATCCAATTTTTTTTCAAATTTTCTTTTTTTCTATTAATTAATTTTTATTAGTATTGATTCATATTTTCATATTTCATTCATAGCACTACAAACTTACTGTTTTTAACTATTCTGAAACTAACTTTCCCCCAGATTTGACAAGTAAAATCACCTTTAAGCTAGTTTCAGAATCATTTTGAATGTTTTCCATCATTCTTAAGCACTTCCTTAATTTGGGGGAAAAAAAAATGTTCCAGGATTATCTTGGTCTTTCCCTGCCCCAGACTTGGACTTAGGCATTTCTCCAAGGAGTTCTAGTCCCTTTTAGTAAATAATAGTATTAAAACACCAAGACCTAGGTGGTAGGTATGCTTTTGCTGTTAGTCACAATTTAAAGACTGATCTTCCACCATGTTTGTCTCTGAATTTGAATTATTTTCCTTTCTGGCCTGAAACTGAGAAAGCATTGTTTAGCTGCTTAACCATTCATCCACCGATTTTTTTCAGACTTTCAGACTTTCAGCTATTGTTTATGAAGGAGTCAGAAACCGACTTTTTTAAGATAAAAAGAAGATCAATCTATTATCATTCAATATTGCATATTTTGAAAATAAGAATGCTTCCTTTCTCTGTGTGTGTGTGTGTGTGTGTGTGTGTGTGTGTGTGTATGTAGACTGGTTAGTTGTAAATGTTTATGGATACGGAGGAGGAGAGATCTTGACTTGTTAGGCTTCACACTGAGCATCTGACAATGTCGGAAATTCCTTTAAAAAACAGAAGCATTCAGTTGTTCAAAGATAAAGTTAAATTAATCAGAGACCTGAGTTCAAATGTCTGTTTTGCCTATTATCAGATGTGTCTCCTTGGCCATCTGTTTTTCTTGTGAGAATAGTAAAAATAATTTGAACCTGTCAGAGTTTGGCATGCTATTCATACTAAATTAATAATCCTTATATTCATGCAGACTTAATGTCACACAAAGTCATCAATGAGACAGAGGAAGAAAATAACATGAGAGTTTTGAAACTGTGATGGATTATAAATTATGAAATACTTACATGGAAAAGAGAAGCCGAGTATTTGAAAATTAAGCTTCTCATTTTCTCATTTTCTCATTTTAATAGTTTTGTCAAGGGTCTGCCTGGAATTACCTATGGATTATATGCACAAACAGATTACCTTAAATAAATGAGATGTTCTTTAAGGTTACAAAGCATATGAGTAATAAGGGTAAATAAAATATGACAAGTTATATCTTCTATTTGGACAAATGGGCTGGGTTAAATCTGAATATAAAGGTAACTAACTCTTTACCTACTCCTAGTTTACTTTACAGAAAGCAATGTCTCAGTATTTTGGACTGTCTCATTTGACTATGTTTGGATTCTAAGCCTTTGCTCTAGGCATACTCTTTGATCCTCCCCAAGAATGCACAAAAGGTATTAATCGTTGCATGCAGAATATAAGCTATTCAAAATAATCCTGATAGAAGTTAAAACTGCATTAGGAAAATTCTTAATAGAATTAAAACTGACAGAAAAATCTCATCTAATTAGTAATGTTAAAAAATACAAACAATTATCTGGTAAAATACATTGGTACATCAATATAAAATAAAATAGACAACCATTAAAGGAGCAAAAATAGTTATTGATCACTGTAAATGAAAGAAAATTATTATGTATTATTTTAATCTGCCCAATGTATTCAGATAAAATTTTACTTCAAAGAAATAATGACCTAAAAATAACAGAAGTATAAAATGTTAAAATTTTGAAATAGATATGGAGTGATTAATCAAATCTCCATCATAAAATTCACACAGAATATTTGATCTCTGGTTAAAATGATTTTAACTCACTAAGAATGAGAATAGAAAATATTAGAAATGTTTATCTATTAAGTATTTTTTCTTGATAGAATTTCATTGACTTTACATCATTCTGTATGTATAATGTATAATGTTTTATGTATAATGTATAATGCATATGTATAATGTATAACGCATATGTATAATGTATAACGTTTTATATTTTACCATTTTACATATACAGGACCTGAGGTCTTATTTAATATGAATTCCAGAGATGAAAAAATGTTAGTAGAAACTGACTCCCTATTAGTAACTCAGTATTTTCATTTGTTTGTTTGTTTTTTTGTTTTGTTTTGTTTTGAGACGGAGTCTCACTCGCTCTGTGGCCCAGGATGGAGTGCAGTAGTGCCATCTCGGCTCACTGCTAGCTCCGCCTCCCCAGTTCACGCCATTCTCCTGCCTCAGCCTCCCGAGTAGCTGGGACTACAGGCGCCCACCACCACGCTCGGCTAATGTTTTGTATTTTTAGTAGAAACGAGGTTTCACCATGTTGGCCAGGCTGGTCTCTAACTCCTGACCTCGTGATCTGCCAGTTCAACATCCCAAAGTGCTGGGATTACAAACGTGAGCCACAGCACCCGGCCTGTAAGTCAGTATCTTAAAATACACTTACTTTTATATGTCAAATGTGTAAAATCCATTTAAAATTACAGTATTCTACTTTATAGAAATAGAAGAATAAAATGAGATCCCTGGATTTTTTTCATCTTTCGTGTTTTAATGGTTAACTTCCCTTGGGAACAATGGAAGATATAATGATTATAATTACAAAAAATATAATTAAGTAGATAAATACAGAGAAATATAACATAATTAGAATTTCATAGAAGTTTTAAAATAAAAATTTGCATTGCAGATTTTAATGAACTCTGGGATTGTTGTCTTGGTAGCAACAAGTATCATTACCAATTACATATATTTTTAACTCAAAGAATAATGACTAGAAATGGCTAAGATAAAACCTTGCTCTTATCTTGTATAATTAATCCAATGTGTTGAACTGTCAGCAGTAAGTAAGTTATTTAAGTGTACAAATATTAACCTGTAAAAGGAGGACATTAATAAATTCTCCTTAGCTTGCTGCTACTTAGTAACACCTAGTGATAAAAGAGACATTCTTCTGGGCAATAACAGCATCAAAAAGAAGAAAAAGGCAATTAATCAAAATATGAATTTACTAAAAGAATTGGAAGCAGCACAACCTTATTGGTATCCTAATTACTAATTATTTTAGCATCTGCCTAATGAGTAAAAAACTTCCAATTTACAAGTAACGTAAGTGATCATTAGATTGTATGATGTTTTATACCATTTCTACGTTTGAAAATGTTATACGAAAAACAAGCTGGCAGCCTTTTAAAGTGTTTAAAGCTGTGTTTACCATGTAAGACTTTAATGCCTCCTTTAAATGCCTTTTAAACCTATTACAAACACACTCATGTAGCATCTCTATGCTAGTAGGGGATGTAACTGAAAATGAGATTGTACTCTGAAACTATTACACAGTTTCAGTGATTCTTTCTCTTTGCATTTTATTCCAAGTTTAAATTTTAGTAAATTTATATCACTTTAGATCCATTGTTCTGCTTATGTCAGTCCTTTTACTTAATATTTGATCTCAGTTTTGTTGGTTTCATAACTCAGCATGTACTGTGGGAAGTAAGAGGTTATTTTTTTCATTCTGCGATTAAAATTAAAGGTGACAAGTGGCCTATGTTTACTAACATTGTTACCACCAATAATTTGTAAGTCTAAACAGTCTAATATTGAGCCCTGCAAGCTCTTTATTTCTCAGCAACCTTTCTCTGCCTGTGTATACAAGGGATAGAAGATAGATGGTATTGTTGGTTTTGTGCCCTGAGGAGGAAATTAAATATTTATTTAATGTACGTCTTTTGCCTTGGTATCAAATCTAATAAACAAGTGCTTTGATTAATGAATTTTAGCATTTCGTATTGTAAGAGGTATGGATTACTTATAGCTTGAGGGCAATTTTAAGCCCAGCTTTGTGGAGGAAGAAGTGGCATTTGTTCTGGCCTTGAAGATTTTAGGAAAAGGTTTCTGGGGCAGCAGTAGAAAAGTTTCTTGACCTAGCACTGACATCTTTTGGCTAAGTGACCTTGAACATGTCACTTAACCATTTTAAAGTCAGTTTCTTCATTTTAAAATTGAGATTAAGGTAATACTCAAAACAGAAACACATAACACATCCTGGCACTGTATAATTCAAGGGAAAATATTGATATAATGCACATAACATATGCTGTTTAAGATGAAAAATAAACAATGTTGGCACAATGGGTTTATGTGTGAACCTTTCCATGGCTTTAGTAGTGTATTTTCTTTCTGTTTGACTTTGCATTTTATTTATGAACACATAACTTAATATCTTTTATATACATTTTTGATCAGGTGAAAGACTTATTTTTCCATCATTGTTATAAAAACTTTTGAGAAAGAGAGGAAACCATTTCATTATTGCTATTATTATTTACTCCTTAGTTTTGTAAAAATATCAGACTTTCTAAAGGAAATGCAATTTAAATCTTGGTTCTACCACTCTCTACTAATACCACTTTAAACAAGTTACTTACCAGTTCTTTGTTCCACTCATTTGTTTTATAAAACAGGGGTAACACCAACTTTTTAGGATGGATGTGAGGGTGACTTAAGAACATTTAGCCTGTATAATTCCCTTCTGTGTACTGTAAATTAATATGGGGGTTCCTTTCAATATGCATATTTTATAAGTGTCTTTAAGACTCAGATCATAATTGAGAAATTATGAAAAAAGACATTCCCTTTAATAAATCAGCTAGATGACAAAAACTTTTTTTAGCTCATTTATTTTGATCAGTATGGAGATAAACTACAAGAGATTAAAATAATAGCAAATTAATTACCTGGGAAGAAGTATTGGACAATATAGTTAATTTACTATAGAGGTAGAGGTCTCCTTTTCAGGAAGAATTCCTACTAAATGCTTGAACGTCTTTTTGGTTTTTATTTTAAACTTTGAAGTCCAAATTCACATGTCAATAAAATATTAGGAAGATTCAATCTCAGAGTAGCTTCACCAAAGAAATATCTTCTTACATGCTGTTCTCACTGTAGGTTCCTTAGAGGAGCTATAGCTATGTTTTTGTGGTTCAAAGCTTTCTTAAGTGATATAATCTGGCTCTCAAAAACACACTCTGGTTAAAATACGTTAAGTAGAACAAATTTTGTAATGGAAGTATAAAACTGGAGGTGGCTCAATTCTAAGTAGAATCGTTGGCAACCAGTGGGATTTTTAATAGACTCTGCATTTGCATCTGCACATCATTTAGCTAAGTCTTAAATGCCAAATGCAGTTTTCCTCCACAATTTATTAATATTAATTTGGATTTGGTAAACTAATTATACACATTCAACTAGCAGAGTTATTTTAGTGTGGGGTTAATTCTTGAAGAATATTAAATAGAGTGTAATATCCACTATATTATATAAAGTTTAATTGGGTTTGCCTTAGCTCTGGGTGCCATCATAAAACACCATAGACTTAGTGGCCTACACAACAGAAATTTATTTTCTAACAGTTCTGGAGGGTGGAAAATCTAAAATCAAGGTGCCTATTCATATGGCAGAGAGGGAGAGAACTCTAGTGTCTCTTCTTCTTAAGGACATCAGTCCTATGAAATTAGGGCCCCATTCTTAAGATCTCACTTAACGTTTATAACTTCCTCACAGATCCTATCTCCAAAAAGAATCACACTGGGGGTTGGGGCTTCAACAAATGGATTTAAGAAGGACACAAACATTCAGTCCATTTTAGATTTCAAAAAATTATTTGTAATACTACACACTAGTAAAGCATGTCAGAAGAGTTCTATGTATTTCACTGTGAACACTTCTAATTTTATTTCATCAATTATTTATTTAGGGCTGATTGTCCAGGCTTTATCCTAAATATGAGAGGATAGAGATAGAGAAATAACTCCCATCTCAAGAAACTCCTGGTAGACACTGTTCTGCAAGATAGCAACGTAATTGCTTTTCTGGGAAAACAAATTAACATATGCACTATACTTAGAGAAAAGAGTGTGCTTCAAACAGCTGAAGAGAAGTGGAGAGGGAGGAGTAGAAAGAGAAAATAGCATCTACAGAGAGAGAGAGTAATAATACAATGAGAAAAATCAAATTACATTTGTTATGAGTGTGAAAGAATGATGAAAAATATTGCTAATGAAACTGGGCAAGATCATATAAAATGAGATATCTGCCAAGTTAAGGTTTTGCATTTTCTGTTTTTAAAAGCAACTATGGAAAATCATTTATTTTGGAATCTAGCAATAAGTGTACCCAAACAAAATTATTTTTCTAATGTTATTTCAAATGACTATTCATTTAAAATGTTGCCATTATAGTAAGTGAAAAGTGATGAGGCATAATATGTCTGTGATTTATTAGCTAAGATTAAATGGTTAATTAACTAACCATCACAATTTTCTGATGTTGAGGACATAGAAAGATGGAGACTAAGTGGGTACAAGGATAGTTTTATTAATTCCTGAGAAAATCTGAAAATTATTGAGGTGAATTTATATGTGTGAGACACTGTGTTCAATGAATTACATATATTATCTCATTCCAGACTGGCCATAACTCTATTAAGGAGATATTGTTGTTTCCATTTTACAGATGAGGAATTTAAGCCTCAAAAATTTCACCAAGCTCTCTCAGCTAACAAGTGTAATTCTTGTCACATCCATCTGAATTTAAAGTCCGCTCATTTTTCATCACCCTATGCTGTTCCTCTTGAGAAAGGGTCTTAGGTTATGTTAATTTTCATCATGTAATTGACTGATGGTTTTATCCCAGATGATGTCCTCAGTGGAGTGACTTAATGTGTCACCATTCAGGACTATTTGAAGCTTATCAGTGGAAAGAGAGTTGGTAAAGGAAATATTAACTGCAATGTTTCCTTTTACTTTTGAAAGGAAATGAATGACAATGAGACACTACTGATTTTTCGGGTTATTTCATGCCTTTAATACTGTAATTTCCCTTTAGGTAAACAAAAATAATTAAATTTTTCTCTAAAATAACATCTGATCATTTTAAATTTAAGATATTTTACTTGAAAGCCAAATATTATTATCACTGTGAATGTTACCTTTCATTTAAAGAGATAAGATTCAGTTTTATTAAATATTATTAGTGTCACACTATGCTATTTGTAAAAATTGTATACAAATTAAGACTGTATTGAAAATACATTAATATTTTTGAGCACCCTTGTATGTCTTAGAACATCTCCAATTTTTAGGGAGAATGTTTAGGGACTGTGAAATACACTAAGATGACCTCAGAGGATTCACATCCTTGTATAATCCCTTCTTGATTACAAATGGAATCTGTGACTTGCCGTCAAAGCAATCAGTGTTGGCCCCCTTGAGTCTATCACATCACCGCATTATAAATCTTCACCTCTGATTTAATCGGATGTATTGTTTGTTTGTCTAAATATAATTTTCATAAAGGTGAAGATTTTTTGTCTGTTATGTTACAGTATGTATTTTTTACAAGTGAGCACCTAAACAATGCTCAGAATGTTGAAAATCAACACATTTTTGTTAAATGAATTATTTTTTGCATATTATTTACTTGTTCTGCTTTTTTATCTAAACTTAATAGAATTATTTACAGAATACTCCTTAAGTGCAGGGTAATTACTGTCTTTTTCACTTCTATTTTAAACACACCTAGAGCAGTCCTTAGCATATTGTACATGAAAATTTAAAAAATTGTTCAATAAATAAATATTTCTAATAGCAATAACATTTATTATTAATATTTAATAATAATTTTATATATTACTATGTTGAAACATATAAAGTTGCCAATATTTTTACAAGAATGGCTATTTTGATGGTTATAACTATATAAAGTCCCTTTTTATCTGATTTATTTCTCACAGTGAGGAATGTATTACTATTAAAGGAAAACTATAAACCATAAGAGCATTGATCAATGAAAGAGTAGACTGGAGAACAGTTAATCTTGGGAAATGAAACTTGGGAAATGGAGAAAGATATTGCTATCACCTTTTTCATTTTAGTCTTGAGTACAACCTGGACTCATCTTCCATCATCCTAGCCCTGAAGTGACTCTTGAATGTTTCATAAACACACATTACATATCTGATGTGGCCTTAATTATAGATACCTAAATTTACTTATATTCCTCAGTTAATGACACCCTTCATTCATACTCTTTCCTATTTCAAAGCTCTGGAATCATCTTTGAGTTCTCTCTTTCCATCATCTACACCATCAATCCTATTAGTGAGTACCTGCACCTCTATCTATATGCTTAACCACACGTAGAGATGAAAATCATCCCCTCCTTTACCACTTAGGAAAAACCACCACTATCTCTCACCTGGAGGCTTCTAGTATCTACCTAATTAATTTCCCAGTTTCTATATGGGCTCATTCACAATCCATTCAGTTGCTGAAAGTATGTTTTAAACACAAAATTAAAATCATATTGCTCCATTTTAAAACATCAGTAGATTCACATTCTTAAAATAAAACTGGAGACTTCCCTATGTCGTATGCTATGACACAGTACATAAGCTGTATTGTAAATAGCTTTTAACCTCCTCTTGTGCAAGTCTAATTCTCATGCAATTTGCTGTAACCACATTGGCTCACTTTTTATTCTTCTAACATGCCTAGCTTGTTTTCTTGCCTCCAGTTCTTTGCATTTGCTTCAGGCCTTCAAGTGGTGACTTCCTTCTCTGTATTCCAGTCTCAAATCTGATAGTTCTCTTCAAAAGATCTTACCACACTATTTAGTGCTGATTATTCCCACTAAGCAGGCTGTACCACTTAATTTGGCTATATATTTTATGATATTATGACCATGTGGAATGTTATTACTTATATATGTACTTGTTTCTTGTCAAATTTTCCTGATAGATTGTCAGCTCCATGAAAAAGATTGGTTTTTGTCCTGTTAACCTTGCTGTCTCAAGCATCTTGAGCAGTACATAGCATATATAACAACACAATGAACATTTGTTAAATAAATGAATATGCTCAATTGAATGGATTTAAAGTACCTTTTTTATTTATTTATTTTTGACACGAAGTTTCACTCTTGTTGCCCAGTCTAGAGTGCAATGGCATGACCTCAGCTCCCGCAACCTCTGCCTCCCAGGTTCAAGCGATTCTCCTACCTCAGCCTCCTGAGTAGCTGGGATTACAGGCGCACACCACCACACCCAGCTAATTTTTTGTATTTTTAGTAGAGACGGGGTTTCACCATGTTGGCCAGGCCAGTCTTGAACTCCTGACCTCAGGTGATCCATCTGCCTCAGCCTCCCAAAGTGCTGGGATTACAGGCATAAGCCACTGCGCTGGGCTTAAAGTACCTTCTTTAAAATGCAATCGGATGTTACTATCTGCTTAAAATCTTACAGTGGTTCCCCATTACTGGTAGAAATATTCTTTAATTTGTGTTATTCTGCCTCTCATGATTGGTCTCGCACCTACCACTCATCCAAAACTCTAGCCTTATTAATCCATGTGCAGTTTCCTTAATACAAGTCCAGTTGAATATCCTTGTATGCAGTTCCATTGAAGAGAGACTGATTAAGAGCAACAGAAAATTTCCCGGGTACTCAGTCTGTAGAGAACAAAACTGGAGAAATTTACAAAACATTCAGTTGTGGCTGACTTTTCTAACTTACTCCTATTAAATATTTTTCATTACCCCACCTCCTTTTTTCTTTTGCTTTCTCCTCTACGAAATTTTCTTGTATTCCCTGATAAAATATATTAGATATTTGTTTCTTTTTATCAAGAATTTTTGGTTGTTGCAAATAAGTTGAAATGAAACCTTGAAACAACATTGTCCAAATTAAACTCAACCTAGTATTCAAAGGAGAACACAACACAACCAAAATTAATCAAAGGTAATTAAATCTCTATTTTGTTCTTTAAACAAATACCAGAGAGAGAGAGAGAGATGAGATAGGTGTTTTTTGTTTGTTTGTTTTTTCTTTCTTTCTTTCTTTTCTTTTTTTTTTTTTTGAGACAGAGTTTCACTCTGTCGCCCAGGCTGGAGTGCAGTGGCACCATCTTGGCTCATTGCAACCTGCGCCTCCCAGATTCAAGTGATTCTCATGCCTCAGCGTCCATAGTAGCTGGGATTACAGGCATGTGCCACTACACCTGGCTAATTTTTGTATGTTCAGTAGAGACGGGGTTTTGCCATGTTATGCTGGTCTTGAATTCCTGGCTTCAAGTGATTTGCCCCCCTCAGCCACCGCAAAGTGCGGTGTTCTTTAGGCAAGTAAATACCTGTCTTGATTGATACCTGCTTTAATATCCTTCACGCTATTGACAGCTAACCTCTGAAATCAACTTATTTTGTCTTAATTATGCAGGCTTAAAACCTAGATGGCAAGTTGATAGGTGCAGCAAACCACCATGGCACATGTATACCTATGTAACGAAACTACGTGTTCTGTACTTGTATCCCGGAACTTAAAATAAAATAAAAAATAAAAATAAAAAAATAGCAATCACATGGAAAGTACTTACTGTGTGCCATTCACTGTTGTATTCTCACCTCTTTACATATATTAATTATTAATCTTTGTAATGTTATGGAATAATTCTTTTATAATTTTTAAAAACAAATGTAAAAATTCATCTACTTTTTTTTCTTTAGTTTTGGATTGTTGTCGTATGGGATAAAACCAAATTACAATAAGTAGCTCATTACTTTAAAGAGTTAAAAATTTTAGCTGGAAACATTATAAAGGCAGACATACTTATGTATTCATGCTCTCACCATCTTAATTTATAGTCAAATATTAGATCCTATGGTACAGATATAAAGAAAGATGTTTGTTTGGCATGGTATGCCTAGGTGAGAATTTCCATAAATTGGAGCAGTGCCAGACATGAAGTTCCTTACAGCAACAGGTGATAAATCCTATTCAGCAATGGGAGAAGAAACTTGAGGTTGGCAGACAGGGTCCTTTCTAGTTTCTGGTATGAACTTCTCTATTTACCTTAATTTTCTAAGGACACTTTTTGCAAGTTTCTTGTATTGTAACTCCCAGAGATTGCTTAGATACAAAAATTGGCTTTAATTACTTCAATATATGAAGTCTCATGTATCCAAGGCAACAGTATATGGCAGGTAGGACATTCTCTGGCCTTTAGAAGATGGTTAGAGATGGGAAATGTGAAGGATCAAGCTAGATAGAATAACAGGACTAGTTTAAACATCAATAAAGGCATATGAAGTATCAGTAACATATTAAATCTTACTAGAGAAGTCTTTGTTGGAAACAGTATAAATTTGTATATGGCTATACTATCCATATCATTCATTTAAGTGTGTGTATTAAAACACATTTTTTGAAATATACTGGAGTAAAAAGATGCATATTTAAAAATGAAGGTATACTTTAAAAATATTAAACCTACTTTGATAACCTCAAGGTTCTCCTTTAAGGATCCTCAAATTTCATGTTAGCAAAAACGATTAACTGTTGTGGAAATTATTCATTAAAATCAAGTATAGACATGTTCACATTGAAGTCATATGTTTTCCTTAAATATATGAATATTAAGGCCTGTTAAAATCTAATCATATGTCCACACAAAAAAATCGTTCAAGTCTCTTTATCATATGTTGACAGCAATTTATAAAATTAATGCAAATATTTTTAGCAAGCAATTTTTTCTCTTTTTCTTCCTCGTGGAAGAATAATTACTAGTAAAGTTAAATGTTAGTGCAGGAATTAAAATAATCAAATTTTACGTTGTTCCTGTTTAGAATCTACACAGTCTGACTCAGTGAGTAAAAGAGATACTGATACAAATGTGAGTGGACTTACATTGACTTAAATATTAAATATAAGAAAGTCCAGATTCTGTAAAGACCTATGTGGAATAAAGATATTCTGGAGTTTAAATAGTAATATTGAATACATGCTAGTGTAGAAAATAATTATAATAAATATATAACAAATATATTGAGTATTTTGTATTGTTATAGTTGAATGCTATGTGTATAGATCCCACAATACCTAATTCAATAAAAACTGCTATAGGAATAAAAAGCATAAGCGTGATGTAATTAATTACTATTTTCAATTAGGTATATCTCAGACAATACATTTAGTTCAATGAAAGTAATCTTTTACATTGGATTTTTTTTTTTATTTCTTAGGACTTATTGACTGCCATCTATATTGTTTAAAACATAGAGCTTCATGGCATCTATTATTTAAAAAATGAATTTTAGTTGAAGGAAACTTTCAATTATGAATCAGTAAAATATGTATTATGACAGGATTATAGTCCACTCTGTTTATGAATGTGTTTCATACTTGAAAAACACTCAAACAGCACTTAGGTAGATTTAATTGCTTAATCAATACATTTTACCATAAAGATTATTACATTGTTTTATTGTGATCTACAGTGAGATCATGCTTGTAAGGAATCAGATTTAATGTTTTTAAATATATAATACTTTCTAAAAATTGCAAAAATCAGTTTGTTATTTAATTTTTTCTCACATAAACTTTAATATTAGAAACTTGAATCTAGTATTAGAAAATTGCACTATGAATATTTATTGTGTAAGCATGTGTGATACAGTAAGAAATACATATTTGGTCTTTGTCCCTTGTTCCTGAGACAGAGCTTCTAAAGATTCTTGGAATTTCCTGAGTGATAGTATCATCTTTATTATTTAGAAGTCCCTAAGAACCATGTCTGAGTTGATTCTAATAAAGTTATGCCTGGGGGCCCCTGGATAGCTTCAGGATGGGGACTGGTTGCCAGAAAGATCAAGGCATGATTAGAGAGCTGGAACTTTCAACCCCACTCCTCCACCTCTGGGGAGGGGAAAGGAGCTGGAAATTAAATCAATTGCCAATGGACAATGATTAAATCAATAATGTCTATATGATTAAGGCTTCATGAAAACGCCTAAACAATGACATTCAGAGGGCTTCTGGTTGGTGAACAGAGCAAGACGCTGTCAGGGTGAAACATGTGGAGAGGGTGTGAAACACTCTCTCCCCAGTATTTTGCCCTGTGCCTTTCTTCCATTTGGCTGTTCCTGAGTTATATCCTTTATAATTTACTGGTAATACTAACTAAAAAACTTCCCTAAGTTGTGAGGATTGTCCCAGCAAATGACCAAAACTTGAGGAAGGAGTTGTTGAAGCCCCTAATGCATAGCCAGTCAGAACTACAGGAGGCCCAAGACTTGGGATTGGAGTCTGAAGTAGGGGGCAGTCTTGTGGGACTTAGCCTCTAACCTGTGGGGATTGTACTAACTCCAAGTGGTTAGTGACAGAATTGAATTGAATTGTAGTACACCCAGTTGGTGTCCAAATAGTTAGAGAACTGGTTGCTGTGAGAAAAAAATCCCACGTTTAATAACCGATGTGTTGTTAGTAAAAACACTTTGTAACATCTCACACTCTATTTATGGAAATATTGTACATGAAGAAGTAAATGTGGAGAACTATTCCTGCAATTTAAGATAGTCCAAATGGAACAGGAGGCCCTGGGTCAAGAAATCATCAAAAAATCATATATTTTGAATATGTCTCAGACGGCAAACTATTTAGTAAAAAAAAAATTTCTTCTACATTGTTAGGAGAAATGTTTCATTTGTCTAGTCTCACCCTTTAAAAAATGTCAAGGTATACAAGCACTTTTAGTGTGCTTACTGAGTATAGATACAATAAATGCAAAATTACAAAAATCATTATATCTTTTCCTTGCCAAGATAAATGGTTTCATACTGAGGTCAATATACAACTGTACATTTTGAGGTTTAGACTAACCATTCTTAAAGCCCTTGAGAAAGGTAATCTTTTTTTTTGAATATTGAAGAGAGTTACTGTGTTAATTATTTCAAAAAGATTACAAATAGGAAAAATGTCATTTTCACATTTTTCTCTATTATTTATTAGATATTGGCAAATTATAATTGTATATGTTTATGGGATACAAAGTGATGCTGTGATATATATATATATATACATATATATATACATATATATATACACACATATATATACACACACACTCAATATGGAATAATTGAATAAAGGTAATTAACATATCCATTAACACAAATGTTTACCATTTATTTTTCTGGTATAACTGAAACACTGTACTCTTTGACCAACATCTCATTCCCCCCAACTCCTCAGCCTCTGCTAATCATTCTGTTCACTGCTTCTGAGTGATTATTTTGGATTTCACATATAACTGAGACCATGCAGTATTTGTTGTTTTGTGCCTGGCTTATTTCTCTTGGTATAATGTCCTCCGAGTTCATCCATGTTTTCGTTACATGATTTCCCTCTTCTTAAAGGCTGAATAGTATGCATTAGAAGAACACTGATCTTTCATAGCTTAACTCATTTGTATTGTAATTTGAGAAATAAGACCCCTATGTAAGCAATTCTAAAAAATAATTAGCCTATGAATGCTATTGATATGATCATTTGATTATTACTACAAGAAGTTTTAGGGAAATAAAACAAAATGTATACAATAAAACCAGAGAATGTCAACCATACTTGTCCAAAAGCTCAAGAAAGATTTCTTGAGTTTATGATTAAAGCAGTATTTCAATTCCACAGGAAAAGGATCAACTTTTAAATAAATATCTGGAAAACTAGCTATTTATTTGAGAAAAAGTTTAATTCCCTCCCACAAGCCATATACAAAATTAAATTTTAGAAGAATTAGAGGGAAAAATATAATAACCTGAACTATAAAAGTACTAGTAAAAAAATGCAAATATCTTAAACAATTTGGGGTGAAAAAAGCTTTCTTAAGCAAGATACAAAGTCAGAATTCATAAAGAAAAAAATGGTAGAGATGACAATCATTATGATCATCAACAATGATGTAAACAATGCTAATAGACAAAAGACAGGCTGGGGACAATATTTGCATTTTCTATTATTAACAAAAAGTAAGTATACATGATACAAATGTCTGTTATAATGCTATATATGCAAAAATAGAATTAACCCAGTATCAAGATGTTTAAACATGATGTGAATGTGCAATTCTAAAAAGAAAGCCCATAAATTTCAATAAAAATATAAAACAATCCACAATCTCTATATAATCAATCAACAATGAAAACAGCCAAGACATAGCACCCCAACCTTCAAATATGAGAGAAAAAAAGACTGATACTGTTCATTGCTGCCAAGAACTGGGGAAGAATTCCAACAAGACACTCTACTGCATTGTTGGAGCAAATGTGAAATTCGACTAGCTTTTTAGGAAGTTGTACCTTCCTTTTGCCTCAGCAATTCTACTTCTAAAATTCATCCAACAGAAATATACACATACACAGAGAAGTGTGTACAAGGATGTTTACTGTGCCATTGTTTATAATAAAGGAGAAAGAAACCTAAAAATCAAAACTCTAAAAATTCAATGAGAAAAACAGTTAAAAATGTATGGCTTACTCATGCTATAGAATATCATGCTACTGTTGAAAAGAATCAAACCTTTATGAGGACATAGAAAAATACTTCAGGTCTGTTTTTAATTGAAAGAACAATGTGTTGATCAATATGCATAGTATGATCTTGTTAATATACAATAGAATTTGTGCATGTATACAAAAGTGGATTTTATGCAGGTAAAAAGGATTGAATGTATACATAAACTTTTATCTCTGAGTTTGGAGTGTAATTGGTGGCAAGGGAGGGTGCTGGTGGAAGAAGAATTCATATGCTAATATGTTCTTTATTCAATAATTTTTTCAAGATGTATACTAATATATATCACTTATAAGAGAAAAATGAAAAGCTTCTTCCCCAAAATAGATTTTATATTTCTTTTATTATTTTAATAAAAGATTCTAATATTTTATCAGTAAATTCTTCCAATGTACTTTTTTTGTCTTCAATTGTATAACAGATACTGTGTTAAAATTTCCAAAAACCTTTATATGTATTCCTTTAGGATATAAATGCCTTGGTATCCAATTTCCTGAAAAAAAAATAGCTCAATTATTTATGTGAGTGACTCTATGAGTGATCTAGGTCAGTAAATTAAATAACTTCCATGTCACATTTAATGATTTATTGCATCACTGTTTATAACTAGGTAATAGAAAATGTGATGCTACTTTGGAATTCACTGGCTATGCAAATTTGTAATTCACTTAATGTTTCCCTCCAACAAATATCCTCAGTCATCGACATGAGGGACAAATGCTTCTCTATCACATGATTTTATTTTCTTCCAGTTTATTTCTCATAATGCTTTATCACGAACATGCTACCTAGTTGGAGCAACATGGTTGACATTTCTTTGCTAATAGCCCAGTTTGCACCAGACATTTGTGTGAGTGGAATATCAGAAGGACTCACAAAATAATATGCAATGATAGTTGATATCAAGACTGCAAAAATGAACTGAAACTAAAAATATAGATAGTCATGCTAAATAAAGATTTTTTTGTTAGTATATAGCGCCACCCAGTGTTAAAGAATTCTCCATGGAGCACTCTGCACAGTAGGCTATTGTACCAAGGTAAAAAGGGACACAAAAAGGGACTCTGTGAGCTCCATATTAATATGTTCATTTGAAGTTTGTTTAGAGATACTGCACTTGTTAGCTTATTAGAAAACATTACATTGAAATCAAACCACAATAAAAACAAACAGGAAATGATCACTCCAATCTTCATTTACTGGTAATTCTTCTCTTTTCGTATCTTAGTTGTTTGGAAAAAAAAATCTGGAAAAATTGTTACAATTTTACTAATTCACCATGTATTGCATGATACTTTAAGACATTTTAAAGAGATAATTTCAGAGGCCATTGTAGATTTAGATGTAATTTATGTTTCTGCATCTCTAAAATGATGTTTTCTTTTGAATTAAATTACAGACGAAAATGAGAAATGGTTTATAGAGAGAAGCAAAGGAATTTTTGGTTTTCTATAGTGACTGTTACCATAGGGTTGTGGTGCTTTAGAGAGATACTATATAGCAATGAAGCAATTCAATTAAAGCATAAATATTTATATTAAGGAAAATCTAGAAAATAAAAAATAAAAAAATATATTCTTCCATTACCTCTTTGCTCAAGTGATAAAGAGAATGTAAAATCTTCTTTTCCTCTCTAAGTCTTCAGAACTTATATAGATTTGATTTAAAAAATCACTAAATCTTCTAAGGTAATAAGCTACTCAGTTTATTTCTCATTTTATTAAGACTCTTTGCTCCCTCCTTACTGTACTACTTTTTAAGCTTTGACTTCCTTGATGCCTGAAATGTATACCTCTTCTACAGATCAATGTTTTCCTTTATCATGGCCCACAATCACATGAAACTTGGAATTTCTGTGACCCAATAATAATTTTTCTCATTAAAATGGATCTCTTTCCAGGTTCTGTCACTGTTACTAACATTGTATTGGTTTCTTGTGTTTGAAGTATTTTAGCAGTTAGCAAATTTCACGTGTTGTTACTGTTCTTGCTCTTTTTATTATTGTTGTGTTTAACTCCTTGTTCTTTTCTTTCACAGGTTCTGTCCCATGGTATGATAACTCCTTTTTGTTTTGTTTCTTGGTTTGCTCCTTCCATTCCCAAGCCATCACTATCATTTAGGCCCTAGTTATTTCATATTGCCATTACAATTTTCTCCTATCCAATCTCTCTGTTGCTCACATCTCCTTCTTTGGATCCAATCTGCAACAACAAAATATTGAAAGCTTTTCTCATTGTCCTTTCCAAACAGCCTGCCAACTCCTTAAAAGAATTATGCCTTTCAATGTATACCCCTAAGTCAGCATTTGACGCTGTGCCTACTTAGATGACCTATGTGATGTTGATCATCGAGTAGCTAACAGTAATGCAGGGAAAACTACTAGCTGATCATGAGAAAATGTGATAGCATTAGGTAGGCAGATTCATGGTACATAGATTTTTTTTTTGCCATTGGAGATCACTCTTTAGATTCAAGTGCATGTTTGTAGTGACATTTTCCACTACAGTTGTTTTATAAAGTTCACCTATCCAGAGCAGAGCAGAAATGCAGTCTCCAACAGATATAAATAGACTTCCAGGAATCTGGCTAGAAAGGAAGAGGGAGCAGTATCGTACAGCCATTTCAAAGCTTAAGAAGAAAAATAATGACTATCTGTGATGAATGACGAACGACTCAATGTAAGACATATGGCAAGACAACCAGGGATGCACAAGAGGATCAGAAATGTACAAAATTGACACTAGTCAGATTCCAAAGCAGACTCTCAGTTCAACTAGTTAAAAACTATTCCCTGTTTTTGGTAATGAAACAGGAAATGGAGGTTGCTCTTAGAACACATTTTATTGTTATTATTCATTTTATAGCTTTTTATACCAGGAACTTTACCTCTTTCAGTAAGTGTGTGTAAACTGTTTCCTTTTCAATGAACCTTTTTATTGTCCGTTTACATTCCCTGACTAAGAATCCTTTAGGGCATATGGATATCTGGAAACAATGATTGTTGCCTGATATTTGAAGTCAAGGCTTTGAGGTTTAAATGGGAAGGTGGGGGAAGGTAGGCATTAGTGAGTTCTTAGGGAATTTCTGGTCAAAATGATAAATTCATACTTTACTTCCTTTTTTTTCCCAAACATGACAAAACTAAATTTTTTAAAAATTATTCATTTGTGTAAGTTACTTCTTATACCATGATACCATGAATATGCTGATCTGAAGGATTCTAAGTAAGCCAGAGACATCATGACATTTCATCTTCTGTGGGGTAGACATATTGAATGGCAAATCACTGGAACAGAGGACAAGAACTAGCCACTCTGCATAAAAATGAAGGCTGAATTAAGACCCCCTATCTCTGGAAGAAAGGAGACTATAAAAGCTTAAACCATTTCCAGGAGTTATTGTCTTTTTTTTTTTTTTTAGCAGCACAGTTAAGACCCTGTCTGGGATGAACTGTATGTTACCTCAATGACTAGATCTAGAATACCCTGGAACATTACAGTATGAGAGCCAATATAATTCCTGATTCCAGATGGGATCTCGGCAGCCAGTTGGAGGAAAAAGCAAAACTGCTGGACAAAGAAGGAAGGGGAGTAGCGGGGGAAAAAGGGGGGGAGAGAGAGAGAGATTTCTCACCTGAGATCAGCAAAATCAACAGTTGAAACATAGGAGCAAGTCAATGAAATGCACATGTTACAGTAAGTTTGAATTGATTTTACAAGAGGTTTAAGATTCTAAAAGAGAAATGGGAAAGAATTCTTAGAAACAATGAGAATTATAAAACAAAGACAAAGTCATATAGAACTGATAGATATCAAAATCAAATTACAGATCTTGGATATTAAAATATGGTATAAAAATAAGACTCTCTAAGGCACCATAATAACTAGACATCATGTTGGGATTCAGAAAACAAAACCCCAAATATGATGCCTTAGTGTGTTGAGCATTTTGAATTAAAAATAATTAAAAGGCTCAGAAGCCTTTTCTCTCATCCTCCTGTTCCCTGCCTGTCTTCCTTCCCTGAAGTGAATAATAATAACCAGAATTCCGCTTCTACAAGACAGGTCACAGAAACTAGAACTCCTCTCTGCCAAAGAAAACCACGGATCCTAGAAAAACTATTCTTCTCCCTTGAAGACCTTCACTGCAAAGGGGTCTTGCCCTATACCTGGGAGGTAGAAATGCTACATAGAGAGGTCAAAAAGAACCCGAACAGATAGGGCTTGCTGGGTTCTCCAATCAGTCTCTTATAATTAAATCATACCCTCTGTCCAATCACATTTCTACATGACTGCCCATTCTTCATTGAACTTGAGCATAAAAATAGATAGTCTTGGCAGGGCTCGTTGGGTCACTCCTGTAATCCCAGCACTTTGGGAGGCTGAGGTGGGTGGATCACGAGGTCAGGAGATCGAGACCATCCTGGCACGGTGAAACCCCGTCTCTACTAAAAATACAAAAAATTGGCTGGGTGTGGTGATGGGAGCCTGTAGTCCCAGCTACTCGGGAGGCTGAGGCAGGAGAATGGCATGAACCCGGGAGGTGGAGTTTGCAGTGAGCCGAGATAGCGCCACTGCACTCCAGCCTGGGTGACAGAGTGAGACTCAGTCTCAAAAAAAAAAAAAAAAAAAAAAAAAAAAAAATTTAGAGCTGTTAGAGAAAGAAAAGACAAATTGATTATAAAAGAATGACAGATAGTTTGAAAACAAACTTATCAACAAAAATGGATGCCAGACAGAAATAGAATACTATATGCAAAGGACTGAGAAAAAACATACAGAAACATACGTACAGGTGCACATGATTTTAAATCTTACAATGGTTGTGTCACCTGTTAGTCTTACTAATATTTTACTCAGCTTGCTTTAAATATAAGAAAACACAAATAAAGACGATAACATTACAAAATATGAATTCTTATATATAAGTAACATATATATTTGGAAAATATAAAACTGTCCTGAAATCCAGTTATTCAGTTACTGAATCTACATGCTATTTATGGTTTAGATATTTCCATAACCTTAAATTGTACATTTAGAACCAGTTTTCTAACTTACTTTCTGCAATTAAAAAATTAATGATCTATTTAAATTATAGTTACATAGATAAAACAGTAATTCGGTTCTGGTTATTTGTTGCTGCATAAAAACACTTGAAACTAAGTGGCTTAAAATAATTTATTTTTGCTTACAATTTAAAGAGGATGAATTTGCAGGGTGGTAATTGAGTGATGTGTATCTGAACGTGTTGTCATTTGGGGCTACTGAAGCTGGAAGATCTGCTTTCAATATAGTCTTTTACTAATGTGTCAGGTGCCTTGGGGCTCCTTAGATTTTTTCTTTCTCTACAAAGTTTCATCCTCCAGGACCTCTGTAAATTCTTTTATTTCTTAATAGCTTCACAAAACACTTGACATTTTCAACTTCCTATCTGAATATCTCCTTCTCTAGGTCTATCGATTTGCTAAAAACAATTTTCTATTTTCCATGTTACCACAGGTACCAGCTTCACTAGACTTTGCAATAATGCTGAAGATGGCCATCTTTCTCTAGTCTGAATACAATTTCCTGACTTTCTTTCTAGTCTCCCCAATAGTTTCCTATGTCCCTTCCAGGTTCCTCTCACTGGCTTATTATGGTAACATCTTTCTTCCAGTTAAAATGTACCATATGGATAATTAATAACAAAACACTCTGAAACGTAAGGATTTAAAATTATTTTATTTTTCCTAAATAATTATGAGTTAGAGATTCAGAAAGAGTTCATCTGACTTATTTATGTCTGAATTTGTGAAACTGGCTTCAGAGGACTGGAAAATGAGGTTTGGGTAACATGGACATTGTAACAATATTGACCTAATCCATGAACACAAGAATATCTTTCCATCTTATTTGTGCCCTCTCTAATTTTTGGTATCAATGTTCTTTTAACAGTTTTCATAGCTGATATTTATAATCTCCTTGATTAAGTTAATTTCAAGGTATTTTACTTTTTTGTAGCTATTGTAAATTGGATTATTTTCTTGATTTCCTTTTTAGGTAGTTTACTGTTGGAACATAGGAACTCATTACTGATTTTTGTATGTTGATTTTATAACCTGAAAATTTACTAAATTTACTTATTATTTCTGACAGGTTTTTGGTAGAATCTTTAGGGATTTCTGCACATATGATAAAGTCATATGCAAACAGGGACAATTTTGTTTCCTCATTTTCAATTTGGATATCATTTTTTTCTTTCTCTTACCTAATTATGCTGGCTAGGACTTCCAGTACTATGTTGAATGAAAATCATGAAAGTGGACATCCTTGTCTTGTTCCAGATCTTAGAGGACAAGCTTTTTCAAAATTTCCACATTTAGTGTGATGTTAGATGTGAGTTTTTCATATGTTGGTTTTATTGTGTTTAGGTATGTTCTTTCTATACCAAGTTTGCTGAAAGTTTTTATCATAAAGGGATGCTAAATTTTATCAAATCCTTTCTCAGCATTTGTTAAAATAATCATATGGTTTTGTCCTTGATTTTATTAATGTGAGGTATCACACTTATGGATTTATGTCTATTGAGCCATGCTAGCATTCTTGAGGTGAAATCCACTTGATCATGGTGATGAGTTCTTTAATGTGTGGTTTAAGTTGGTTTGCTAATATTTTCTTGAGGATATTTGCATCTCTGTTCATCAGGACATTAGCCTGCAGTTTTCTTTTTTTTGTTATGTCCTTGACTGGTACTGGGGGAAACATTGATCTCATTGAATTAGTTTGGAAGTGTTCCGTCCTCTTCAATTTTTTGAAATAGTTCCAGTAGTGTCTCTATTTGTTCTTTAAATCTTTGGTAAAATTCAGCAGTGAAGCCATCATGTCCTGAGATTTTCTTTGTTAGGAGACATTTTATTACTACTTTGATATCATTATTCATTATTGATCTGTTTGAATTTTATGTTTCTTCATGATTCCATCTTGGTAAGTTGTATGTGTCAAACATTTATCAATTTCTTCTGTTTCCCAATTTATTGTGTGTAATTGTAGTAATCTGTTATGGTACTTTATATTTTTGTGGTATCAGTCACAATATCTCCTTTTCAATTTCTGACTTTATTTGAGTTTTCTTTTTTCATAGTTGTCGTAGCTAAAGGTTTGTTGATTTTGAGGAAGAAAGGAAGAGAGGAGTTAATACAACAAACAGAAAACATGTAACAGAATGGCAATAGTAATTCTTTAACTACCAAAAATAACCTTGGACATAAATGAACTTTTCCACTTAAAAGACAGAGTTGCTGAATGGATACAAAGACAAGACTCTACTATGTGCTGCCTACAAGAAACTTAACTTTGCCAATAAAGACACACATAAACTAAAAATGAAAAGATGGAAGGAAAGAAAGATGGAAAAAGATATTCCATGCAACATAAAACAAAGAAGATCAGGAGTAGCTCTACTTAGATAAGATAGACTGTAATTCAAAAATAATAAAAATAGAGAAAGAAGGTGATCACATAATGATAAAGGTGTGAATACACAGGCATAACAATTGTGAATATATATGCACCAATACCAGAGCACATCAATATATAACTAAATATTAACAGATCTAAAGGGAGAGATACTCTGCAGTACAATAATGGTAGGAGACTTCAAAACACTGCTTTTAGCGATGGACAGATCATTCACACAGAAAATCAATAAAGAAACATAGGAGTCAAACTACTCTAGACCCAATGGACCTAATGGACATTTACAGAACATTCCACCCAACGCCTGCAGAATACAAATTCTTCTCAACAGCACATAGAACATTCTCTAAGGTAAACCATATATTAAGCCACAAAACAAATCTTTTTTAAATTGAAATCTTATCAAGTATATTTTCCATTTATAATGGAATAATACTATAAATCAATAGCAGGAGGAACTTTGGAAACTGCACAAATACATGGGAATTAAACAAAATGTTCATGAGCAACCAATGGGTCAATGAAGTAATTTTTTATTAATTTTGTTTCTTTGGAAAAATGGAAATGAAAACACAACATACCCAAACCTATGGGATACAGCAACAGCAGTTCTAAGAATGAAGTTTATAGCAATAAACACCTATATAAAAAAGCTAAAAAGATCAAATAAATTAATGTTAGACTTCAAGAAACTAGAAAAACAAGAACAACCCAGACCCCAAATAATTAGAAAAGAGGGACTATAAAGACCAGAAAGACCAGACCATAAATAAACAAAATAGGGACTAACAAAATACAAAAGAGCAACAAAATAAGATGATTTTTTAATTTACTAACAAAATACAAAAGAGCAACAAAATAAGATGATTTTTTAATTTAAATGTCTGGCATCTTGATGATTTTGCTTTCTATCTTTCTCTGTCTCCATCTGCCACTCTCTGCCTTTTTGTCTTTGTCTTCCTCTCTTTTTGTCTCTCCACATGACAGCTCACCCTTTACGATCCTTTCCATGAACCTGAACTTTGAACTTTTTACAGCATAGTGGTGTTAGGGTAATTGCACTTCATAAAATTGAACAGCTTTGATGTATCAGGTAGCAAAAGCTTCCAGGCTACTTAATGTCGACCCCTGAAACTGACACAGCATCAATTCTGTTGTATTTTATTGGTCAGTGCAGTCACAGGACCTACCAGGTTAAAAGTGTTGGAGAAATAGATTCTGTCTCTTAATGAGTGGGTGATAAGGTCACATTACAGAAAACTTGTTTCATAAGAGACAAAATTGTGACCTTCTTTTGAAAATGCAATTTTTCACAATTATTATACTTTAATATAGCTCAAATAATTCAGGTAAAGAATTATAATAAACAACTTAATTTATTAATATAATTATTCTCAGAAAGTTAGAACTTTTTAAGCAAACTTTATGAAAATTGGCTGATATTCAATGTATTTTTTCTAAGTGTAATGTCAGCTGGGATATTAGTATAAAGTCAAATATTAGAATATAAATTAAACTACCTATAATATAGAATAGAAGAATCTATACATAGTAAATGTTAAAATATACAAAAATAGATGTATTAGTTATAAAAATAATCTCTTAAAAACAAAAAAGTATTAAATGATACTAACATTTCTGGTTTTTCCCAGTAACTAAAGAACTATTTTTTCAATTGTATGATTTCATTGAATTTTTAAAAAGAATTGATGAGTTAATGTGAATAGTTAAAAAGCAGAATCCAGGCCGGGCGCGGTGGCTCACGCCTGTAACCCCAGCACTTTGGGAGGCCAAGGCAGGTGGATCATGAGGAGAGGAGATCGAGACCATACTGGCTAATATGGTGAAACCCCATCTCTATTAAAAAATACAAAAAATTAGCTGGGCGTGGTGGTGGGTGCCTGTAGTCCCAGCTACTTGGAAGGCTGAGGCAGGAAAATGGCGTGAACCCAGGAGGCGGAGCTTGCAGTGAGCTGAGATCGTGCCACTGCACTCCAGCCTGGGTGACACAGCAAGACTCCGTCTAAAAAATAAAAAATAAAGCAGAATCCACAACATATATCACATCATTATTGAAATAATTCTGTGAATGACATTTTATAGTGTTATTTAAATAACAATTAATTAGATTTACCTAATTTAAAAGAATAGTTGACTGCTTTTATGGTTGAAAAATGCTCTTTTTATGCTAAATGTTTATTATTCTTCAAGATGTAGTCATAATAGTAGATATAGGATTTATTTTCCTGCATTTAGAGTTAAGTTTTCTATATTTAACCTCCTTTTTTTCAGTTCTGTAATACATGAATATTATTGCAGCATTATTGTTGTGTTTCACTTTGTCATTGATCTTGGTCATAATATATCATCATACTGTAGAGTTGCAGCAGTTGATTAATATTGCAGGGCTACTTAATTTCTTATGTGCCCAGTAAAACTCTTTTATGTTCAGGGTTTTATCAATGCGGTTATTCAATAATGGTTCCATTTAAGATTTATTCAGGTTAGTAAAATATGTTATATGCCATTATTGAAAAAATTCACTTACCTGAAATACAATAGCAGAGTAAGCAAACAAACATTAAAAATCAAATCTTTAAAATCTTACTCGAAATGGTCCTAAAAAACAGTGAAAACGAGATAAATTTAAATTCCTTTTTTAGGCTCTGCTGTGTTCCAGGTAATTCACCAAGGGAATGTGGTGATTTAATTGTCTGTATGACACAGCATGAGATCCTCTGAAGTTGGCTCTATGGTATCTTGCTTCTTTTTCACACAAATACACACTTTCTTTGGATACTCAGCATGATATTCAGTAAGCATAGATATGAGAGACTAACAAAGAAGAAATGTTGTTATTTATTATTCAGTACTCTCCTTGGGTCCCTTGCCACTTGGAGTTAACATACATTCATATAAAATATTAATACTCAAAGGTTCATTCCAGGTAAAGCCAAATCAGACAATGTGCATATGTCAGGAAAAACAAGATTAAAACCTGGAACTTTTATCAATTTAAATTCTTTTATCAAAATGTGTCTAAACAATAGGCTACATAGGACAATTCCTATGTACCTTGAAACGACATGAGAATTCATCTGCTGAAATCTTTTACGGTCAATTCTCAAATTTAGATAGGTACATTTATTCACATTCTTAAAATTTCTTCAGTAAAGCAAATATTCTTGATTGTTACTTGTTTGCTTTGTTAGTATTTCTTCACTCTTTATTTACATACATGTAGCATAGACCCTAAAAGCAAACGGGGGGGAAAACAAACAGTACTAACCCCAGTGTTTCATCAAAAAATGTAAGAAAGCCAGAGTTCTATACGTATGTGCCTGAGAGAGCACTGTTTGGTCTTCACATGCCTATTTTTAATTATTACGAGAGGTAGAGGGTCTGTATTTTGATGTAAAATTTTTTGTTTTCATTGTGTCAAAAGACAAAATTAACACAAATTTAATTTAAAGAATCAATTGGCTTTTATTTGCAACTGTAGAATCAGACAACACCTCATGATTCAATTATCTTCCACCAGGTCCCTCCCACAACACATGCAAATTATGGGAATACACAATGAGATTTGGGTGGGGACACAGAGCCAAACCATATCAGTAAATAACAGTTATAATCAACATGTTTATCTTTGCTTATAATTATGCATTTATCAAATATATGTAGAATGAATGCAAAAAATTGACTACATTTTCACCTGATTTTCAGTAATAAGAATATCAATGATAAGACTTTCTACATCAAGTAATGGGTTGCAAAAGCACAGCAACAAAAACAATGATGACAAAAGCTGAAAAATTTAATTCCTTGACCTTACCTATTTTTATTTAGTATGCTAAACTTGAAACAGTCTGACTTTATTTTTTCTTCTACTATTTTCCATCCTCCACGTTTGCTACATTCCAACTGAACTTCTTGGCAGTATTGCATGTAAATAGAATATTTTGCTCTGTGTGTCCAAGTCCTACCTCTTTTTAAGCTTTAAAACAAGTTATCTTGAGACACCTTTTTGGAATACACTCCTGCCAATAAAAATATCTTCCTCTTCTGAACTTTCAGTGTTCTTTTTTGGGATATGACTTTTATGCACTTATAACTTTACCATTTTACGGATGTTTGTATTTGCATGAGAGAATGTACACAAGAAGTTTAATAAAACTTATAAGCACTCAATGAATTATAACTTTAAAAAGCACATGCATGTTTGTGTTTCTTCCATACTACTGTGTCAAATTTCTAGAGGCAGAAGTTTTATATTCCATAGCACCTGTTACATTGCCTTATATAATCATAAGTAAGACACAAAAATGATTGATTTGTTTGCATTTAATAGTAATACACAGCAATGTACCATATTTTAAAATAGGATATTTTATTAATATTTATTATAAAATACATTTTGTAGTAAGGTGAACATGGAAAAACTATATTATTAGCTGTTTTTCAAAATAATGGGCTAAAAGGTATAATGGAACTTTGGAAGTAAATCATAGGATAAATCAATAAATGTTTTCTTTCATCTCTGGCTTACACTGATTTATCATTGCTCCTTTATAACCTGTAGCAGCACTAAAAGTTAATTATTTTCAATTGTTAAAAAAAATTAACTTGGGCTTTTAAAAAAATTACTTCCCTTAAGGTACCCTGTTCCATTACATTACTAATAGTACATATATATAAAGAGTATAATGGCTCCCAAGAAGTGATTTTGTAAACATGGCTTAATAGTAGGTTTTGTACAACATTTTTAAAATTTATTTACTTTTTATTGACCTTTTACCTTTAGTGAGAACAATGCTTTCTGCTATTTTAGACTGTTATAATATTCTACTCTTTTGATCATTACCTCTTGGATTTTGCCATCATTTAAAGTCCAAAATTCATTAGGTAAAAAATATGGTAACTCTGCATATGTGTGTGTGTGTGTTTGTGTGTATGTGTGTGTGTGTATAATTTATTTTGACCTTTCTCACATTTATATCAACACTTCCACTAACAACTATCTCTATATTCACATTCTAAGTAGCAAGTTTGCTACCTTATCTTCTACTAGACCTCACCCAACTCACCGATATTAACCTAGATAGCACTTTAAAATGGGCACTTTTTCACTGTTTCTCTCTGCTGATAAATTTTGCCCATTTGGCTTTTAGATCACTTTTTCCAAAATCCTAGATTTTATATTTTTCTCTATAATGTTACTATTAAGGGATTTTAAATTGTTTCTATAGTTGTTGTTTTTTAATATTACCTCTAAAGGAGGAAAATGACAGAAACTGATTATTTTCCTGCTAGGCCAATCTTTATTTTCTGATTCAACTAGTTATTTCTTAAGACTCATATACTTTTGAACAAATGTATTAGTATTTTTGATATTCACATTTTTTGGTTCACAGTTATTCCATTCCTCTTAATTATTCCATTCCTCTTTAATTATTCTACTTTATAACATTCTTATATCTCTCAGTGCTCTTACATAATTTAATTTATACTTCTGTAGATCCCTATGCATCATTCCATTTTTTTCCAATATTTGTTTGATTATTTTTGCCCCTTATCCGCAATTTCCTTTCTTTTTTTTTTTTTTTTTTCCTTGACATGGAGTCTCGCTCTGTCGCCCAGGCTGGAGTGCAGTGGCGCGATCTGGGCTCACTGCAAGCTCCGCCTCCCGGTTCACGCCATTCTCCTGCCTCAGCCTCCCAAGTAGCTGGGACTACAGGCACCTGCCACCACGCCCAGCTAATTTTTTGTATTTTTTAGTAGTGACGGGGTTTCTCATTGTTAGCCAGGATGGTCTCGATTTCCTGACCTCGTGATCCGCCTGCCTCAGCCTCCCAGAGTGCTAGGATTACAGGCGTGAGCCACTGCACCCAACCTATTTCCTCTTATTCTTGTATTTTCTTTTGCTCACTTTTGTACCTGAAATAGTCAGTCAATTAAAATATGTCAAGCTGTCAAAGTTAGTTTCCTTCTGCTAGCGAAATATGCCAAGTTTCCTTCTTTACAAAATTACTAACAATTATTCTTTGCAAGTATAGCATTCACTCTGTGTTCAAGAGTAGGCTTCTGTGAACGAAATGCAGTCTATTGACATCCTTACTCTGGTAGATCCTGAGATGCTGCATTGCTGTGGTAGAGTAACACAATCATGCCATAGTAAATATGTTTCTAAAAAGATCAGCATCTTATTCACAATAAAAGTTTGATTTTTTAGTGCAAGTCTGCATTAAGGATCCTAATGATTAAATTGACTTTTCTAATAAATAACAGAAACTATTATAATTTCTTGTAAAAAATTTCTATAAAAAATATCACCACACACATGTTGTAAGCACTCAAATATAAATGCCTACTGATAATCAAATTTATGTTCCTGAAGTCATGAGAAAGATATGTATCATAAATATTAACTCAATTATTCAGTTGCTGATTTAATAGGAATTCCTTCTTCTCATATAGCTTCCATTTTTACATAAAAGATGAAAACAAACAAACGAATTACTACATACGTAAGTAAAATGTGTAGTGGGCCAAATGGTTGTAAAATGTGGAGAAATATAAGGCAAGGGAGGTGAAGTATGAAACTTTAGCAATACAGATCAGGGCAATGGCCCTTTACAGTTGTAAATAGGGTATTCATTGATAATGTGAAGCTGCCTCAAAGACTTAGAGAAAGTTAAGGAGAAAAGGAATAACTTTGGAAATAATGTTTGGGGAAGAGAAATGAAGTGGAAAGCCCAAAAATGGAATTATGTGTTCAACAAACAGCAAGAAGGTCATTATATGAAGAGTAGAATGTGGAAAATAAAGTCAGCAAGGTAATTCTGACCACATAAGGTAAATCCTTGCACATGCCTGTGGGTATTTCTAGCTTAACTCAAGTGGAAGTTGGAGGCACTGCAGGCTTTCTGTAAGAGAATGAACATAATTTAACTTTATTTGTTTCAAAATTATATATATACACACACACGTCTAACACAGACACACACACACACACACACACACAGAAAAAAATACATGAGATATAAGTGCTACATTGTAGAACAAATACCTGTGTAAACACAGGAGAATTTTGCAAGCTCTCCCCAGTTATCGATGGCCTTTGAAATCAAAATCTCCTTTCTACCCCTAGAGTAACCATCATCTTGACTCTTAATGTAATCACCTCATTGCTTTATAGTTATATCAAATAAATATGTATATCTAAGCAATATTAATTATTTGTTCTTGTTTTAAAATGTTTATCAGTGGGAATTAAACTCTGTGTTGTTTGATGCAAATTTCTTTAACTCAAAATTTGATTTTTAAGATGCTTCCTATCCCTGCTATGATGCAGTTATATGTAGGTGTAATTTGTTCATTTTCATTGCTCTGTAAAATGCATCTTATATTTATCTTTTCTAATATTATGAATATTTTCAATGTTTCTAGCTTGAGGGTCATATGAACTATGCTGCTGTCCACATTTTTGTATATGAATTCTGGTTTAAACATCATGTTTCTGCTGGTTAACACCCGGGGGTAGAATTAAAGACTCATAGCACTTGTGTAGTTGCACATTTATTAGATTTGATAAACTGTTTCTCAAAGTGATTTTTAATCACTTTCTCATTAGCATTAAATAACAGATACATTTGGTCCAAATTTTCTAAAACACTTGGTATTATCAGGCTTCCTTTCGTTCTCTCTTTTCTTCTTCCTTTGTTTCTTTCTTTCTCTTTTTTATGTGTGTGTCAGTTTGGAGAGGAGCTTTTAGTTTAATTTGCTTTTTTTAATATGTGTGTCATTTTGGAGAGGAGAGTTTAGTTTAATTGACATTTTCCTGGTTACTAATGAGGCCGACTACTACTTTCTACTTGTTAATTAAATTTGTTCTTTATTAAAATTAATATTGCTTAGCAAATTTTCTATTGAGTAGTCTGACTTCTTGGACACTAATAGGAGTTCTTTATTTACATAAATATATTGCAAGTATATATATCTATATAACTATATATATGTATATATGTTGCAAGTATATTCGCTCAGTCTGAACCTTGCCTTTTCACATTTTTTGCTTTCTTTAAATTCAGCCAAGATGGACTTTTCATATTCTAATGTGATTTTTTAAATAAATATATCATAAAGATCCTCTCCTATCTTATCTTCTAGGATCTTTACTATACTTTGCTTTTTATATTTAGAAATCTAAATAATAATATTTTTGAAGGCCACTGATTTATCCTAGTATCATATACTGAAAAGATGATTATATCATCAATTTTCAAAACTATCTCTTACATATATGAAGCATTCATATATGCTTAAATATAGACCTATTTCTGAACTTTCTGTTTTGTTTCCTATTCTATTTAGTTTTCTCCAACACCCAGTGTTTGTATCAGTTTCTAACCGTTGACATTACAGACAACTACACACTCAGTTGTTGAAAACACCACAAATGTATTATCGTATATTTCTGTAGATCAGAAGTCTGATGCCAGTCTCACTGGGCTAAAATAAACGTGTTGGCAGCCTGCCTTCCCTTCTGGGGTCTCTAGAAGAGAATCAATTGTCTTGTTTACGTTGTTGGTATATTTGTTTCTTGTTGTTATAGCACTGAGGGCTGTTCTGAGTTCCAGAGGCTCCCTGCATTGCTCTGCTCCATCTTTGTCAGCAATGTTAAGTCGAGACTTTCTCAGGCTTTGAATCTCTCCTGCTTCTTTTTCCAACGTCTCTCAGCAACTTTTCTTCCTTCCTCTTCCATTAGATTGGTCCCACCTAATCTGAATAATCTCCCTATTTTAAGGTTTCTAACCTTAATCAAATCTTGACAATCTATTTTACCATATAAAACAACATCTTCATAGAATATAGAGATATGATTAGTGAGGCCATTATTTCAGCTATCACATCGTCTACATTACTGTGTAACTTTGTAGTATGTCTAGAACCTAGTAGAGTTAGTTCATCCACTTGTTTTCTTCTTAGAAGTTTACCTACTCTTAAATTTTAGAATAAGCTTGCTTAATTCCACAAAAGTGGTTATTTTAATTGGGATTACATTGAATCTGTAGAGAAATTTCAGGATAATTGGTACTTTTACACTATTGAGACCTAATTATAAATTTTGTTTTCTCTTCACAATTATTTATATCTTTTTCAGGTTCTGAAGAGAGTTTCTTTAATTTATCTGAACAAAGTTGTCCGGTTTCCCTTAGAATGGCAGCCGTACCTTTTTGGCACCAGGGATTGGTTTCATGGAAAACAATTTTTCCACAGACCAGGTGAAGTGGGGGGTGGTTTTCGAGATAATTCAAGCACATTATATTTATTCTGCATTTCATTTCTATTATTATTCTATTGCAATATATAATGAAATAATTATACAATTTATCATAATGTAGAATCAGTGGGAAACTTGAGCTTATTTTCTTGCAACTATATGGTTCCATCTGGGGAAGATGAGGGACAGTGACAGATCATCAGGCATTAGATCCTCATATGGGGCAAGTAACCTAGATTCTTTGCATGTGCAGTTCACAATAGGGTTCATACTCCTATGAGAATCTCATGCCGCCACTGATCTGACAGGAGGCAGAGTTCAGGCACTAATGCAAGCTGTGGGGAGCAACTGTAAATACAAATGACACTTTGCTCCTTCACCCACTGCTCACCTCCTGCTGTGTGGCCTGGTTCCTAACAGGCCACGGACCAGTACCCATCTGTGGCCTGGGTTCCTAATAGGCCACAGACCAGTACTGGACTGTGGCGGGGGGCTGGGGAACCCTGACTTACAGAGATCATGTTTTCTTAGGTTTGTTCCTAAGGATTTCATATTTTTTATTCTATGCACAAAACATGGCTTTTTGTTGCTGTTGTTGTTGGTTTTTGAGATGGAGTCTTGCTCTGTTGCCCAGGATGGAGTGCAGTGGCACGATCTTGGCTCACTGCTACCTCCGCCTCCTGGGTTCAAGCAATTCTCCTGCCTCAGCCTCCCATGTAGCTGGAACTATAGGCATGTGCCACCATGCCCAGCTAATTTTTGTGTTTTTGGTAGAGACGGGGTTTCACCATGTTGGCCAGTCTGGTCTCAAACTCCTGACCTCAGGTGATCTGCCCACCTCGGCCTCCCAAAGTGTTAGGATTACAGGCGTAAGCCACTGCACCCAGCCTTTGTTTGCTTTTACAAATTGTATTTAGACTCTCTGACTTAATACTGGAGATTTATAATCTGTTACTGAGACTCACTCTGCTTCCAGTTGGAAAACCTCGCCTTTACAATCTAATCTCATAATGCTTTACCTAGCCTAACTTTGGCACTTTACTGCATTTTAGCGCTGGGTTAATGAGTTGATATCATTGCCTTGTATGAATTTTTGACCAAATTATATCTGTAGTTTCCTGAAATGAGTGATGCAGTATCTTTAGAGTGACATCGTCAGTAACAAGTTTATATACCAAAAGAATCTCATTCAAGGGCTATTATTTAATGACTAAATTATAAGTAAGAATATAAGTAAAGAAAAAACGTGACATTAGTGCTACCATTATTACCCCAAATGTAATGATGTCATTCACTTAAAATTTTATTGATATTCAAGTCCTTAATCATTACACTTTTTTTTTTTTAATTTTTTTTTTATTATACTCTAAGTTTTAGGGTACATGTGCACATTGTGCAGGTTAGTTACATATGTATACATGTGCCATGCTGGTGCGCTGCACCCACTAACGTGTCATCTAGCATTAGGTATATCTCCCAATGCTATCCCTCCCCCCTACCCCGACCCCACCACAGTCCCCAGAGTGTGATATTCCCCTTCCTGTGTCCATGTGATCTCATTGTTCAATTCCCACCTATGAGTGAGAATATGCGGTGTTTGGTTTTTTGTTCTTGCGATAGTTTACTGAGAATGATGGTTTCCAATTTCATCCATGTCCCTACAAAGGACATGAACTCATCATTTTTTATGGCTGCATAGTATTCCATGGTGTATATGTGCCACATTTTCTTAATCCAGTCTATCATTGTTGGACATTTGGGTTGGTTCCAAGTCTTTGCTATTGTGAATAGTGCCGCAATAAACATACGTGTGCATGTGTCTTTATAACAGCATGATTTATGGTCCTTTGGGTATATACCCAGTAATGGGATGGCTGGGTCAAATGGTATTTCTAGTTCTAGATCCCTGAGGAATCGCCACACTGACTTCCACAATGGTTGAACTAGTTTACAGTCCCACCAACAGTGTAAAAGTGTTCCTATTTCTCCACATCCTCTCCAGCACCTGTTGTTTCCTGACTTTTTAATGATTGCCATTCTAACTGGTGTGAGATGATATCTCATTGTGGTTTTGATTTGCATTTCCCTGATGGCCAGTGATGATGAGCATTTCTTCATGTGTTTTTTGGCTGCATAAATGTCTTCTTTTGAGAAGTGTCTGTTCATGTCCTTCGCCCACTTTTTGATGGGGTTGTTTGTTTTTTTCTTGTAAATTTGTTTGAGTTCATTGTAGATTCTGGATATTAGCCCTTTGTCAGATGAGTAGGTTGCGAAAATTTTCTCTCATTTTGTAGGTTGCCTGTTCACTCTGATGGTAGTTTCTTTTACTGTGCAGAAGCTCTTTAGTTTAATTAGATCCCATTTGTCAATTTTGGCTTTTGTTGCCATTGCTTTTGGTGTTTTGGACATGAAGTCCTTGCCCACGCCTGTGTCCTGAATGGTAATGCCTAGGTTTTCTTCTAGGGTTTTTATGGTTTTAGGTCTAACGTTTAAATCTTTAATCCATCTTGAATTCATTTTTGTATAAGGTGTAAGGAAGGGATCCAGTTTCAGCTTTCTACATATGGCTAGCCAGTTTTCCCAGCACGATTTGTTAAATAGGGAATCCTTTCCCCATTGCTTGTTTTTCTCAGGTTTGTCAAAGATCACATAGTTGTAGATATGCGGCATTATTTCTGAGGGCTCTGTTCTGTTCCATTGATCTATATCTCTGTTTTGGTACCAGTACCATGCTGTTTTGGTTACTGTAGCCTTGTAGTATAGTTTGAAGTCAGGTAGTGTGATGCCTCCAGCTTTGTTCTTTTGGCTTAGGATTGACTTGGCGATGCGGGCTCTTTTTTGGTTCCATATGAACTTTAAAGTAGTTTTTTCCAATTCTGTGAAGAAAGTCATTGGTAGCTTGATGGGGATGGCATTGAATCTGTAAATTACCTTGGGCAGTATGGCCATTTTCACGATATTGATTCTTCCTACCCATGAGCATGGAATGTTCTTCCATTTGTTTGTGTCCTCTTTTATTTCCTTGAGCAGTGGTTTGTAGTTCTCCTTGAAGAGGTCCTTCACATCCCTTGTAAGTTGGATTCCTAGGTATTTTATTCTCTTTGAAGCAATTGTGAATGGGAGTTCACTCATGATTTGGCTCTCTGTTTGTCTGTTGTTGGTGTATAAGAATGCTTGTGATTTTTGTACATTGATTTTGTATCCTGAGACTTTGCTGAAGTTGCTTATCAGCTTAAGGAGATTTTGGGCTGAGACGATGGGGTTTTCTAGATAAACAATCATGTCGTCTGCAAACAGGGACAATTTGACTTCCTCTTTTCCTAATTGAATACCCTTTATTTCCTTCTCCTGCCTAATTGCCCTGGCCAGAACTTCCAACACTATGTTGAAAAGGAGCGGTGAGAGAGGGCATCCCTGTCTTGTGCCAGTTTTCAAAGGGAATGCTTCCAGTTTTTGCCCATTCAGTATGATATTGGCTGTGGGTTTGTCATAGATAGCTCTTATTATTTTGAAATACGTCCCATCAATACCTAATTTATTGAGAGTTTTTAGCATGAAGGGTTGTTGAATTTTGTCAAAGGCTTTTTCTGCATCTATTGAGATAATCATGTGGTTTTTGTCATTGGCTCTGTTTATATGCTGGATTACATTTATTGATTTGCGTATATTGAACCAGCCTTGCATCCCAGGGATGAAGCCCACTTGATCATGGTGGATAAGCTTTTTGATGTGCTGCTGGATTCGGTTTGCCAGTATTTTATTGAGGATTTTTGCATCAATGTTCATCAAGGATATTGGTCTAAAATTCTCTTTTTTGGTTGTGTCTCTGCCTGGCTTTGGTATCAGAATGATGCTGGTCTCATAAAATGAGTTAGGGAGGATTCCCTCTTTTTCTATTGATTGGAATAGTTTCAGAAGGAATGGTACCAGCTCCTCCTTATACCTCTGGTAGAATTCAGCTGTGAATCCATCTGGTCCTGGACTCTTTTTGGTTGGTAAACTATTGATTATTGCCACAATTTCAGAGCCTGTTATTGGTCTATTCAGAGATTCAACTTCTTCCTGGTTTAGTCTTGGGAGAGTGTATGTGTCGAGAAATGTATCCATTTCTTCTAGATTTTCTAATTTATTTGCGTAGAGGTGTTTGTAGTATTCTCTGATGGTAGTTTGTATTTCTGTGGGATCGGTGGTGATATCCCCTTTATCATTTTTTATTGTGTCTATTTGATTCTTCTCTCTTTTTTTCTTTATTAGTCTTGCTACCGGACTATCAATTTTGTTGATCCTTTCAAAAAAACAGCTCCTGGATTCATTGATTTTTTGAAGGGTTTTTTTGTGTCTCTATTTCCTTCAGTTCTGCTCTGATTTTAGTTATTTCTTGCCTTCTGCTAGCTTTTGATTGTGTTTGCTCTTGCTTTTCTAGTTCTTTTAATTGTGATGTTAGGGTGTCAATCTTGGATCTTTCCTGCTTTCTCTTGTAGGCATTTAGTGCTATAAATTTCCCTCTACACACTGCTTTGAATGCGTCCCAGAGATTCTGGTATGTGGTGTCTTTGTTCTCGTTGGTTTCAAAGAACATCTTTATTTCTGCCTTCATTTCGTTATGTACCCAGTAGTCATTCAGGAGCAGGTTGTTCAGTTTCCATGTAGTTGAGCGGCTTTGAGTGAGATTCTTAATCCTGAGTTCTAGTTTGATTGCACTGTGGTCTGAGAGATAGTTTGTTATAATTTCTGTTCTTTTACATTTGCTGAGGAGAGCTTTACTTCCAAGTATGTGGTCAATTTTGGAATAGGTGTGGTGTGGTGCTGAAAAAAATGTATAATCTGTTGATTTGGGGTGGAGAGTTCTGTAGATGTCTATTAGGTCTGCTTGGTGCAGAGCTGAGTTCAATTCCTGGGTATCCTTGTTGACTTTCTGTCTCCTTGATCTGTCTAATGTTGACAGTGGGGTGTTAAAGTCTCCCATTATTAATGCGTGGGAGTCTAAGTCTCTTTGTAGGTCACTCAGGACTTGCTTTATGAATCTGGGTGCTCCTGTATTGGGTGCATAAATATTTAGGATAGTTAGCTCCTCTTGTTGAATTGATCCCTTTACCATTATGTAATGGCCTTCTTTGTCTCTTTTGATCTTTGTTGGTTTAAAGTCTGTTTTATCAGAGACTAGGATTGCAACCCCTGCCTTTTTTTGTTTTCCATTGGCTTGGTAGATCTTCCTCCATCCTTTTATTTTGAGCCTATGTGTGTCTCTGCACGTGAGATGGGTTTCCTGAATACAGCACACTGATGGGTCTTGACTCTTTATCCAACTTGCCAGTCTGTGTCTTTTAATTGCAGAATTTAGTCTATTTACATTTAAAGTTAATATTGTTATGTGTGAATTTGATCCTGTCATTATGATGTTAGCTGGTGATTTTGCTCATTAGTTGATGCAGTTTCTTCCTAGTCTCGATGGTCTTTACATTTTGGCATGATTTTGCAGCGGCTGGTACCGGTTGTTCCTTTCCATGTTTAGCGCTTCCTTCAGGAGCTCTTTTAGGGCAGGCCTGGTGGTGACAAAATCTCTCAGCATTTGCTTGTCTATAAAGTATTTTATTTCTCCTTCACTTATGAAGCTTAGTTTGGCTGGATATGAAATTCTGGGTTGAAAATTCTTTTCTTTAAGAATGTTGAATATTGGCCCCCACTCTCTTCTGGCTTCTAGGGTTTCTGCCGAGAGATCCGCTGTTAGTCTGATGGGCTTTCCTTTGAGGGTAACCCGACCTTTCTCTCTGGCTGCCCTTAACATTTTTTCCTTCATTTCAACTTTGGTGAATCTGACAATTATGTGTCTTGGAGTTGCTCTTCTCGAGGAGTATCTTTGTGGCGTTCTCTGTATTTCCTGAATCTGAACGTTGGCCTGCCTTGCTAGATTGGGGAAGTTCTCCTGGATAATATCCTGCAGAGTGTTTTCCAACTTGGTTCCATTCTCCACATCACTTTCAGGTACACCAATCAGACGTATATTTGGTCTTTTCACATAGTCCCATATTTCTTGGAGGCTTTGCTCATTTCTTTTTATTCTTTTTTCTCTAAACTTCCCTTCTCGCTTCATTTCATTCATTTCTTCTTCCATTGCTGATACCCTTTCTTCCAGTTGATCGCATCGGCTCCTGAGGCCTCTGCATTCTTCACGTAGTTCTCGAGCCTTGGTTTTCAGCTCCATCAGCTCCTTTAAGCACTTCTCTGTATTGGTTATTCTAGTTATACATTCTTCTAAATTTTTTTCAAAGTTTTCAACTTCTTTGTCTTTTGTTTGAATGTCCTCCTGTAGCTCAGAGTAATTTGATCGTCTGAAGCCTTCTTCTCTCAGCTCGTCAAAATCATTCTCCATCCAGCTTTGTTCTGTTGCTGGTGAGGAACTGCGTTCCTTTGGAGGAGAGAGGCGCTCTGCGTTTTAGAGTTTCCAGTTTTTCTGTTCTGTTTTTACCCCATCTTTGTGGTTTTATCTACTTTTTGTCTTTGATGATGGTGATGTACAGATGGGTTTCCGGTGTAGATGTCCTTTCTGGTTGTTAGTTTTCCTTCTAACAGACAGGACCCTCAGCTGCAGGTCTGTTGGAATACCCTGCCATGTGAGGTGTCAGTGTGCCCCTGCTGGGGGGTGCCTCCCAGTTAGGCTACTCGCGGGCCAGGGACCCACTTGAGGAGGCAGTCTGCCCGTTCTCAGATCTCCAGCTGCGTGCTGGGAGAACCACTGCTCTCTTCAAAGCTGTCAGACAGGGACACTTAAGTCTGCAGAGGTTACTGCTGTCTTTTTGTTTGTCTGTGCCCTGCCCCCAGAGGTGGAGCCTACAGAGGCAGGCAGGCCTCCTTGAGCTGTGGTGGGCTCCACCCAGTTGGAGCTTCCCAGCTGCTTTGTTTACCTAATCAAGCCTGGGCAATGGCGGGCGCCCCTCCCCCAGCCTCGTTGCCACCTTGCAGTTTGATCTCAGACTGCTGTGCTAGCAATCAGCGAGATTCCGTGGGCGTAGGACCCTCCGAGCCAGGTGTGGGATATAGTCTCGTGGTGCGCCGTTTCTTAAGCCGGTCTGAAAAGCGCAATATTCGGGTGGGAGTGACCCGATTTTCCAGGTGCGTCCGTCACCCCTTTCTTTGACTCGGAAAGGGAACTCCCTGACCCCTTGCGCTTCCCAGGTGAGGCAATGCCTCGCCCTGCTTCGGCTCGCGCACGGTGCGCACACACACTGGCCTGCGCCCACTGTCTGGCACTCCCTAGTGAGATGAACCCGGTACCTCAGATGGAAATGCAGAAATCACCCGTCTTCTGCGTCGCTCACGCTGGGAGCTGTAGACCAGAGCTGTTCCTATTCGGCCATCTTGGCTCCCCCCCTACACTTTTTTTTTTGAGATGGAGTCTCGCTCTGTCGCCCAGGCTGGAGTGAAGTGGCGCGATCTCGGCTCACTGCAAGCTCCGCCTCCTGGGTTCACGCCATTCTCCTGCCTCAGCCTTCCCAGTAGCTGCGACTACAGGTGCATGCCATCATGCTCGGCTATTTATTTATTTATTTATTTATTCATTTATTTATTTATTTTTGGTAGTTTTAGTAGAGACGGGGTTTCACCGTGTTAGCCAGGATGGTGTCAATCTCCTGACCTTGTGATCCACCTACCTCGGCCTCCCAAAGTGCTGGGATTATAGGCATGAGCCACCACACCCGGCCAACTTGTTTTTGTAATTAAGGACACTATCCAAATACTTTCAAAATATTCACAGTAAACACACTATAAAATCTAATTTCTTAAATTTGTAATTTAAGTTTCTAAAAATATATGGCTTCAACCAATTCACTCAATTTTCTTTCACCAACTTTTTCTTGTCCATAGATCTCTTCATGACACTCACAATGGGTATCTATGCAATTCTCTAATAATCTGAGCAAGTTCATGTTTATATCCTATTTTATTCTGCTCAGAATGCTGTAACAAAATATCTTAGACTGGATAATTTATAAACAACATAAATTTCTTGCTCATAATTCTGGAGGAGAGAAGTGTAAGATCAAGTCACCAACAGATTCTATGTCTGGTGTTGGCTTCCTCTCTGCATTTAAAAGGGCACATTCTAGTTGTGTCTTTATATGACAGAAGAGGAAAGGGAGCGTCCTCAGCCTCTTTTATAAGACCACTAATCTGATTCATGAAGGTGGGACTTAATCACTTCCCAAAGGTCGCACTTTGTAATATTATCACATCAGGTATTAGGTTCCAACATATAAATTTTAGGGGGATGCCAACATTTATATCACCAATATGCCTTTTCCATGTCATTTATTTTAGCTAAAATCCTTTACCTCATCCACCAAAATCACAAAGACTAATCAGTGCTTTAGGAAGTGCACCCTTCTCTATAATGCCTCTACTTATCTCTACAGTCAGAATTAAACAGTCCCTCTTTTTTTATCCCCTATAAACCTATTTTTTCTTTGGTTTATAAAAAATAATAGACTCTTAAGAACGACGTTTTTTCCTTATTCAACTTTTTATTCTCTGGGAACAGTGGCGGTGATTTGTGTATACTAGTCACTTACTTTATTTTTTTGTAAAATAAACTTGTTTGGTATGTTTAACTGAACTTAAGAAAGTGAGATGTCTGTATGGTTATTTCAGATTTCATTGTTCATAGTTATGTATAAGCTAGACACAGATCAACTCCTAAGTTATTCTCAATAAAACAAACTGTGCCTTTTATTCTCATTTCTTTGAACTTGAATTCTATCAGATTTCCGAGAACAAAGAGACAGAATCTGCCTATTCTGGGATTTCTATGAAACATTTGTTTTTCCAAGAAATATGTCCATGGCTTAGCTGAGGCTAATATTACCTCCAGACCAAAAAAATATATTGAGCCAGTTTGGAAGGGTCAGGGATAAAGAGGGGTGTAGTCACCCTAAAAGCAATATTTCATAAAAAATCCTAAATATACATGTCTTCAACAATTTTAAATGTTTCTCTTTCTGTACATTATGTAAATGCAAGACACATCCTAGTGAGACATCTTTTAAAATTAAAGGCATACATATCTGAAATACAGCATTATGTTGAAAAGAAATAAAATAAATTCTATGGAATCCAAGGAGAGTACCAGCCTTACATCTCTTAGATAAGTTAGAAAATTTGATGAATATGAATTTCTGAGTTTGAATATCTAAAACCCCCCCTGACTTTATATCTTTTGCTCTCAAATAGGCAGTTCTTGTCATGAAAATATTTCTAATATTTTATTTAACAAAAAAGTATTCTGAACAACCTTATGGATAAGAGATTGACATGTTAAACAGTATCCGCAAATATACACATGGAGAGACAAATAAGTCTCACAAAGCAATTCGTGAGTTAAGGGAAACACCTAGAAATACTTAGTGATGTTGTGTAAGTGGCTATTGTTAATGCTACTGGGGGATAAGTAACAATTCCAGATTAGACTAGTACTTCTTTTGTGTGTGGGACATTTTATTGTTCTGGTGTTTGCTTGTTTGTAAATGTTTAAATAGTGTCAATTTTCAACCTTTTTTAACACCTATTCTGGGTAATATTCGCAGCAGATCACTTATTTAAATCCTTAAGTTTAAAAGCAAAGATTACATTCATTCGAGAGCAAACATTTTTGAATGCATAGATATATCAAGCACTTTTTAAACTGTTTGGAATATATCAGTGAATAAAACAAAACAACAAAATAAATTTGATTACTTGGGACCTAGAGTCTAGAAATAAATTACAGATAGAAATAAGAAATATAATAAGTAGGTAAAATATATTGCATGTTAAAAGGAGATAGGTGCCATGAAAAAAAAATAGACCAAGTTAAGAGGGATGATGAATACTAAGGATAGGTATGGGTCAATAAATTTTAGAATTCAGGTAGGCATTGCTAAGGTAAGTTTGAACAAAAGCTTATAGGATGTGATGGAGTTGGTCATATAAATCAAAAGGGATAACATGGCATTACACAACTTGATATATGTAAACTATTTGAAGAAAATATATTGACTATATAGAGCAAGATTCTCATGTAAATATTTTGTATTTGCAGTCCACTTTTGAGAGTTTATTAAGAAAGTGGCTTGATACAATACTTTTGTATTTCCAGTCTAATAACTACACTTGAAGGTGGGTATTATTATTCCTGTTTAACAGGTGAGAAAATTAGTTTTATACAAATGAAAGATAGTTCAATGAGTCAAAACTAGTAAGTGGTATGGTTAACTTTCCAACAAATCCAAGTGTGTGTTGAGTGTTTTTAAAATTTTTGCAATCCTTTTATTATGCAAACTTTTTGTTATGCAAATCCAATTAATATAGCTTGTTCTGACTCTTAGTGCTAAGATTTTGCCAGGACAATTTGTAGTTTGTTTTCAGTAGTTTTAAAATTCCTTAGTGAGAAACTATTTAGTGGGATTTTTTTTCAAGTCATCCTGTATAGACACAAAGGCCTTGTTCTTTATTTTATCTTTATCTGTATGAATTAAAACATAACATAACTTCAAAACAAAACCCTATATTTAGGTCTCTTTTAACTTAGATAGGGAACATTATTAATGCCGTTGATCACATTAGTCATTTTGGCAATAGATTTGAAGTCAATTATCATGTCCCCTTCCCAATTGGCTATATTTATAGAAATAACAAGGTATTTCCAATTTGTACAATTAATCAGTCATCTATATAACACACAAGACTGTAGATCCTTTTAATGCATGTACCTAGAAAGCCACTTTCCTTCTCTTAACTTGTTCTTTATGCACTATATAATATTGTGTTTTACATGATTATGCTTTGATTCTATTTTGTCTTTGTATTTTAACTTAACCTGGGAAATAGCTATTTTGTACAACAATGGATAGGTAGTGATATACTTGAATTAAAATTGATTTTAACCAGTGAAACTCTAAGAATGAAATCATATTTCTATCTTTGAGACAATTCCATTTTGAACTATGAAATGCTGACTAATATTTTGTGTATTATTTGTCTAGGCAATGAAAAATTTCAATTTTAAGGATTTTTTATACATATAGTTAAACACATTCATTTAAGATAAATTGGATCACTGAGGGTTCTGGAGTAGTAGGAACGAAAAGGAAATTTGATCTGTCTTAAATGGTTTCATGATGGATTCAATGGCTGAAACGTTTTCAATTTTTTACAGGGTTTCTTAGACAGTGACAATGATAGATGACTACTTTGCCATACTGTTCTCTAAGTAACAAATGCTGCAAATTTAAATCCTTTTGTATGGTAAAGAAAAAAATGTTCAATTTTCCCTCATTTGTCACCCATTAATCTTTACTATTTATAATTTTATTAAAGGAAGCATTAGACTATCAATTCATATTTTCTAAGTGTCAAGTTACATCACTTTTGACAAATATATCATCATAAAAACGACCCTGAAGTACTGATTTCTCTTCATTATACTGTATTTGATGTTTCAAATAATACATTTTAAGTTACATTCAGGCTAATATCCCTGATGAACATCAATGAGAAAATCCTCAATAAAATACTGGCAAACTGAATCCAGCAGGACATCAAAAAGCTTATCCACCATGATCAGGTTGGCTTCATCCCTGGGATACAAGGCTGGTCCAATATAAGCAAATTAATAAATGTAATCCATCACATAAACAGAACCAATGACAAAAACCACATGATTATCTCAATAGATGCAGAAAAGACTTTCAATAAAATTCAACACCCCTTCAGGCTAAAAACTCTCAAGAAACAAGGTATCGATAGAACGTGTCTCCAAACAGTAAGAGCTATTTGTGACAAACCACAGCTAATATCATACTGAATGGGCAAAAGCTGGAAGCATTCCCTTTGAAAACTGGCACAAGACAAGATGCCCTCTCTCACCACTCCCATTCAACATAGTATTGGAAGTTCTGGCCAGGGCAATCAGGCAAGAGAAAGAATAAATGGTATTCAAACAGGAAGAGAGGAAGTTAAATTGTCTCTGCTTGCAGATGACATGATTGTATTATGTAGAAAACCCCATCGTCTCAGCCCAAAATCTCCTTAAGCTGATACGCAAATTCTTCAAAGTCTCAGGATACAAAATCAATGTGCAAAAATCACAAGCATTCCTATACACCAATAATATACAAGCAGAGAGCCAAATCATGAGTTAACTCCCATTCACAGTTGCTACAAAGAGAATAAAATACCTAAGAATACAATTTACAAGGGATATGAAGGACCTCTTCAAGAAGAACTACAAACCACTGCTAAAAGAAAGAAGACAGGACACAAACAAATGGAAAAACATTCCATGCTCATCAATAGGAAGAATAAATATCATGAAAATGGCCATACCGCCCAAAGTAATTTATAGATTCAATCCTATTCCCATCAAGCTAACATTGACTTTCTTCACAGACTTAGAAAAAACTACTTTAAATTTCATATGGAACGAAAAAAAAGTCCACATAGCCAAGACAATTCTAAGCAAAAAGAACAAAGCTGGAGGCATCATGCTACCTGACTTCAAACTATACTGCAAGGCTACAGTAACCAAAACAGTATAGTACTGGTACCAAAACAGAGATATAGACTATTGGAACAGAATAGAGGCCTCAAAAATAACACCACACATCTACAACCATCTGATCTTTGACAAACCTGACAAAAACAAGAAATGGGGAAAAAATTTCTACTTAATAAATGGTGTTGGAAAAACTGGCTAGCCATATGCAGAAAACTGAAATTGGACCCCTTCCCTACACCTTATACAAAAATTAACTTAAGATGGATTAAAGAGTTAAACTAAGACCTAAAACTATAAAAACCCTAGAAGAAAACCTAGACAATACCATTCAGGACATAGGCATGGGCAAAGACTTCATGACTAAAATACCAAAAGCAATGGCAACAAAAGCCAAAATTGACAAATGGGATCTAATTAAACTAAAGAGCTTCTGCACAGCAAAAGAAACTACCATCAGAGTGAACAGGCAACCTACAGAATGGAGGAAAAATTTTGCAATCTATCCATCTGACAAAGGGCAAATATCCAGAAGCGACAAGGAACTTAAAAAAAATTTACAAGAAAAAAAAACATCAAAAAGTAGGTGAAGGATATGAACAGACATTTCTCAAAAGAAGACATTTATATGGCCAAGAAACATATGAAAAAAAGCTCATCATCACTGGTCATTGGAGAAATGCAAATCAAAACCACAATGGGATACCATCTTATGCCAGTTAGAGTGGTGATCATTAAAAATTCAGGAAACAACAGATGCTGGAGAAGATGTGGAGAAATAGGAACGCTTTTACACTGTTGGTGGGAGTATAAATTTATTTCAACCATTATGAAAGACAGTGTGGCAATTCCTCAAGGCTCTAGAACCAGAAATACCATTTGACTTAGCAAGCCCATTACTGAGTATATACCTAAAGGATTAGAAATCATTCTACTATAAAGACACATGCACACATATGTTTATTGTGGCACTGTTCACAATAGCAAAGACTTGGAACCAACCCAAATGCCCATCAATGATAGGCTGGATAAAGAAAATGTGGTACATATATACCATGGAATGCTATGCAGCCATAAAAAAGGATGAGTTCATGTCCTTTGCAGGGACATGGATGAAGCTGAAACTATCATTCTCAGAAAACTAACACAGGAACAGAAAACCAAACACCACATGTTCTCACTCATAAGTGGTAGTTGAACAATGAGAACATTACCCACCGGGGCCTGTCGAGGGGTGGGGAGGGTAGGGGAAGGACAGCATTAGGAGAAATACATAATGTAGATGTTGGGTTGATGGGTGCAGCAAACCACCATGGCACATGTATACCTATACAACAAACCTGCAGGTTCCGCACATGTATTCCAGAACTTAAAGTATAACAAAAAACATAACAAAAAAATTACATACCCAAATGAAAATATGGTTAACTTAAAACTAAAAATAGCTTTAGCACTTGAGGTCTCTGGCTGAAATTATTTAAGTTTCTTTCCTTTGTTTTCTATTTATTTTTTCTAAAAACATCTAGAAACTGGTTATTTGATTTTTAAATTTTCAGTTCCTTCTATTAAAACCAATCTGTCAGTGATTACTTCTCTTCCTGATTTATCTTTTATTAGAGATTTGTGATTCATTGTCTCTATGTCCTCAGAGTGACTAGATTTCATGAAACACCTTTCCTCCACCTCTTCCCATGAGACTTTCAGTTTATCATAATACCTGTTTAGGGAATGGTAACATCATCCATCATTTTCTCCAGAAATGTTCTAGAAGTCATTATGTATTTATAATTTTTAATTGATTATACATTATGTAAGCAAGTCTTATGTTACTATTCAGCATACACACATTTGTATTATATCATATATAAGAAAAAATATTAAATCTTTGAATTGGTATTGAGGCTTTTCATGATCTAAGTCCTGATTGTATCACTCCTTCTCTCCTGCCTCTATCAGATATGACCCATGTAGGTCTAGTTTCTTAAATATGTTGTGTTGTAATTATTTTTTAAAATATAGTTTATTTACTATTAGTCTTTGAGTTTAATTGGGGACGTACTTTTATTCTGTCCGTTTTTGGATACAGGTCTACCATTCAGTGCCTTACAGGGTTGCCTTGGCATGTTAATTTTTCTTATTCTTTTAAATATTATATTTTGAGTAAACAAGCATTTTTAAAGGTCATTGTAGCTTAGCTGAATTTGATAAAGCAAAATGAACAGCGATATGGGAATCAGAAGTGTTGGATTATCATTTCAGCACTGCTACTTACTGGCCACGTGACTGTCTAAAGCCCAAATTCATTATCTGTGGAGGAGGAAGAATATCCATACCCGGCCTATTGCCGGGTTGTTGTGAGGATCACAGGTTACGCAATTTATGATGATACTTTGTGCTTGGTAGCGTTCAATAAAAGGAAGATGTATTAAAATTAGGTGAAAGTACTGAAATTTGTTTTACCTTCTCAGTAAACACAGTAATATAAATGATAATATATTTATTTGAACAACAGTTTTACTCAAATCTATTCATTCTATGGAAAGAAATTTTCTGCCTTAAGACACTTTTGAATTTTTTTTCTTTGTTCTCATGGAGAATGTTGGTGTGTGTTTGTGTGTGCATGGGGCTGTCTGTGTATGTGGTTATTACTTACTATGATAGAGCACAGTTATGAATTTATCCAGTATTTTTTCCGGGATTACATTAAACTATGTTCATTTGCTTTATGATTTGCACACATAGAAAAAAGAGCATTTTTATGATTCCCTTATTATGTCTTCTATATAAAATGCATACTATTAAATAGTAAAGTTAAAGTTATATGGAGTGAAAATTTCAGGATCACAATACTGATTCATTTACAACTATTTCAATGATAATGAAAATACGAGAAAAGAAATGAAAAAATCATTCTTTGAATTTCATCAGTACATTTCTAAATATCAAAGATTGAAAAAGTTCTTGCCTCTCAAGTACTCATTTTTTTCATTTTTATTTTAAAGGAAGGAGACAGATGGACGAGGTGGTTGAGACATCATTGATGGATGTTTTAATTCAGAAAGCAGGTTTACGAGTCCAGAATATATCCTGCCAAATATCAACAGTAGCTTTGCTTTTGCCCTTGATTCATTGCTTTAGTGTGAAAAAAGAACCAACAGATGATACTTGTGTTGCTTGCAGACACTGACATGACCCGAGAAGTGGTCCACCGACTGTGGAAAAGTGATGGTACTACCACATGCAACAGGCATGATTAACTGCTATGAGATAGCAGCAAAAGTATTTATCAGAATGTTAAATTTTGAGATGAATTTTGAGGGCAGGTGAGGAAGACACTGAGTTATAATAATCACTTCCTATCTTACCCAACATTGAATTTTATAATTTGCCAGTTTTACACTTTACTGTTCACTCCTGTAAATTTATTTTGCATTTGATAATATAAAGCAATAATACTTACTCTTGATCTACACTTTGAAAAGGCCAAGCCTACTCAATCTCTCTTTCCTTACATATTTTAATATTTTAAACAATATCCTTAATATTCATATATACTACACAGATTTTAAACAGTGTACTTAATATTCATATATACTAGCAGATTTTACAATAATGATAGTGATTTGATTTTGTGGCATTTTCATTTTAGTCACAATTTCCCAGGGAAATTACAATTTTTAAAAAATGATGTAAAACTGCTCAATTCTCTCATTCTTTCTCATCTTTCGGTTTTTCCCTTCTTGGGCCTTAGTTTTTAATTTAAGCAAAAAACTATATATAGTTATATATATATAGTTATAGTTATATATATAGTTATAGTTATATATATAGTTATAGTTATATATAGTTATAGTTATATATATAGTTATAGTTATATATAGTTATAGTTATATATATAGTTATAGATATATGTATATATACAAACACACACACATATAACAAAATGTCTCTTAGTGGAATATTTTTGAAGTCAAACCCATTTCTAAAATTGTTATTGTTGTCTTAATTGAAAATTGCTTTTGGAAAATAAATCAATATTGATATTTATATTCTCTTCACTTATTATTTTAACTTACCTTTCAGCAATAGCAGTTATATTAACCTTTTATTGAGCCCTCACTATTACCTGAGTCTACACTAGAGGTTTTATATGCAATTTCATATCTAATTCTCATAACTGTGTTACAGATGATAACATTGAGGCTCAGAGAGACCAAATAATTTCCCCATATTCACACTGTTCACCTGATTGATGGAATAGGATATTTATTAAGATCTGTCTGACTCCATCACTAAACAAAGCCTCTCAAGTTTTATCTTCTAAATTTTCTTTCTGCATCAGGACTCTATTTTGCACTTTGTGGGATTTTCAAATGACTTTTTTCTTCCATTTTTGCCACAAGATACTTAATGTAGAGAATGTTAGAGCAAACTGTACAACCAGACAAGAGAAAGAGATCTGGGGCTTCAGAGTGGGTTCCAATTATTATTCAACCACTTTCTTACTATCAATCCCTCAGCACAGCACAAGCACTCTAACCCTAGTTTTTACATGTAAACTGATCTTGCATGAGGAATCAATGGATAATATGTAAAATATTAATATAATATATAACATGGTAATTCAAACACTAGCATACTGAACAAAATTATTACGTAACATTCGATTTAACATTTCAACTTTTAATTAAAATATAATTTTGTATTTGCCTTTTGAATCATTGACAGATTCTGTTCATCGATGATACTTTTTAATGCAGAAATTTCTGGAAGTAGTTACGAAGAGAGACTGGAAAATAAACAGAAACTTACTTCCAGTACTGAGTCATAAATGACAGCACTATGGTAACTAGAGGTCTTTAGATAGAAAAGTGTGATTGAAAATCACTTCTGTCTTTGTTGAATGCAGTAATTTCTAGAAAGAAAGTCACTGGTTTACAGATTATATATTCAGGCCCCTTAAACTAATTTATATGTATTTTAGTTTAGCTAAGTGTCACAAACTTTCTACTAATTTCAACACATCAATTAATTTGGGGCACAACTTTATGAGGCATTGGAAAGATTTTATTTTTGCTAATATCACTCTATCTTATTTTTACTTTTGAAGATGTATTGATATAATGGTATAGTCTTTAAATGATCAATAGTAGGATATAGCCAGTCATGTGATGGTAATATTTAGCAACCTGTTCTTCAGGATAAAATAAACACACACACACACACACACACACACACACACACACACACACCTGCTTATATTGTTTGCTAATTTCTTTGGTGTAAATATTCCTACCGTCACTGATTTCCAGCTACCAATGTGATGTCACTAAACGTGGAGCTGGAGAGAACTCTAGCACATTACTAAATACAGCTATCAGCAAATATTCTTGTCAAGCCAACATATGCATTTGGTGTGACATCTTGGGTCATGTACATGGGTCTAAGAAAAATGACAGAGAATTTGGAGATAGGAACAAGTTGCTATAAAGCAAATAAAAATGGCAATATTCTTTAGTTATCAGATGACTCATGTTAAACTTTTTCTAACTAAAAATGTTATAATCTTAACTCATATATACTGACATACTCTATGCCAAGCTTCCCATGTTAGGAATGTAGTGATTTATATTGAACTAATTTAGAACACACAAACAAAGGCTCTTCTTTATAGAACAATACTGTTTTGAAATTTGCCAACCTATCTTATTTTATTTTCTCTTAAATTTAAGTAAATAATAAAAAGAGAAAATCATAGATAACAAAAATGCCCATTAGTCTTAAGAAAAAATAATCAACTATAGAAGACAAACCGTTAATTTATCTCACTAAATACAAGGGATTGCTGAGACTTCACAATAAAAAAAATTAGTAAATGTGTCCCCAAAGTTAGAAGCACACATACTTGAAAAAATTTGACTTAATTTTGACTTGAATTTTTTTCCTTTTATGACCCAATTGAGACAATAACAATTTTCCTTGTCTCTAAAGCATAAACAATTCCTAATAATAAAAATTCCTTGACTTAACTGGTTCTAACTATTTTTTGCTTCAGTTTTTATTTGCACAATTAAAATAAAATAAAGCTCAACATTGTAGAATGAGAGCAAATATGTGGTTAGGGTTGGTGATGTAATTTTTATGCTGCTTGCTGTACATATGCAAAGGTTGAATACATTTTGCCCTTTATATTCTGCTTTTGTATTTTTGAAGTTGATGGCAAGAATTTTCAACAAATGTTACTTCAATGGACAACCTGGGCATTAACTTTTATTTCTCTCACTTACTAAATCTTGCAAAGTTTATATCCACATATTTTAAAATTAACTCTCTCTAGGCTTTACTTAAAAACACTTTATTGGTGACAAAATCTCTCATCATTTGCTTGTCTGTAAAGATTTTGTCACCACCAGGCCTGCCTTACAAGAGCTCCTGATGAAGGAAACACTAAACATGGAAAGAAATAATCGGCACCAGCCACTGCAAAAAACATAGCAAATTTTAAAGACCATTGACACTATGAAAAAAGTGCATCAACTAAGAGGCAAAATAGCCAGCGAGCATCAAAATAACAGGATCAAATTCAAACATAACAATATTAACCTTAAATGTAAATGGGCTAAATGCCCCAATTAAAAGACACAGACTGGCAAATTGGATAAAGAGTCAAGACCCACCAGTGTGCTGTATTCAGGAGACCCATCTCAAGTGTAAAGACACACATAGGTTCAAAATAGAGGGATGGAGGAATATTTACCAAGCAAATGTAAAGCAATAAAAAGCAGGGGTTGCATTTCTAGTCTCTGATAAAACAGACTTTAAACCAACAAAGATCAAAAGAGACAAAGAAGGGCATTACATAATGGTAAAGGGATCAATGCAACAAGAAGAGTTAACTATCCTAAATATATATGCACCCAATACAGGGGCACCCAGATTCATAAAGCAAGTTCTTAGAGACCTACAAAGAGACTTAGACTCCCACACAATAATAGTGGAAGAGTTTAATACCCCACTGTCAATATTAGACAGATCAATGAGACAGAAAATAAATTAAGAAGAATATCCAGGACTTGAACTCAGCTCTGGACCAAGAAGACATAATAGACATCTACAGAATTCTCCACCCCAAATCAACAGAATACACATTCTTCTCAGCACCACACTGCACTTATTCTAAAATTGACCACATAATTGGAAGTAAAACACTCCTCAGCAAATGCAAAAGAACAAAAATCATAACAAACAGTCTCTCAGACCACAGTGCAAACAAATTAGGACTCAGGATTAAGAAACTCACTCAAAACTGCCCAACTACATGGAAACTGAACAACCTGCTCCTGAATGACTACTGGGTACATAACGAAATGAAGGCAGAAATAAAGACGTTATTTGAAACCAATGAGAACAAAGACACAACATACCAGAATCTCTGGGACACATTTAAAGCAGTTTTTAGAGGGAAACTTATAGCACTAAATGCCCACAAGAGAAAGTAGGAAAGATCTAAAATTGACCTCCTAACATCACAATTAAAAAAAGTAGAGAAGCAAGAGCAAACAAATTCAAAAGCTAGCAGAAGACAAGAAATAACTAACATCAGAGCAGAACTGAAGGAGATAGAGACACGAAAAACACTTCAAAAGAATCAATGAATCCAGGAGCTGGATTTTGAAAAGATCAACAAAATAGACTGCTAGCCAGACTAATAAAGAAAAAAAGACAGAAGCATCAAATAGATGCAATTAAAAAAAAAAACAGGATATCACCACTGATCCTACAGAAATACATACTAACATCAGAGAATACTATAAACACCTCTACACAAATAAACTATAAAATCTAGAAGAAATGGATAAATTGCTGGACACATACACCATCCCAAGACTAAATCAGGAAGAAGTCAAATCCCTGAACAGACCAATAACAAGTTCTGAAATTGAGGCAGCAATTAATAGCCTACAAACCAAAAAAAGCCCAGGACTGGACAAATTCACAGCCAAATTCTACCAGAGGTACAAAGAGAAGCTGGTAACATTCCTTCTCAAACCAAACACCGCATGTTCTCACTCATAAGTGGGAAGTTAACAATGAGAGCACATGGACACAAGAAGGGGAACATCACACACCAGGCCCTGTTGTGGGGTGGGGGGATGGGGTAGAGATAGCATTAGGAGATATACCTAATGTTAAATGATGAGTTAATGGGTGCAGCACACCAACATGGCACATGTATGCATATGTAACAAACCTGCACATTGTACACATGTACCCTAAAACTTAAAGTATAATAAAAAAAGAGAAATGAATATTCAACAAACATTAAAAAAAATTCCAAACAATAGAAAAAGAGGGAATTCTCCATAACTCATTTTATGAGGCCAGCATCATTCAGATACTAAAAGCTGACAGAGACACAACAAAAAAAGAAAATTTCAGGCCAATATCCCTGATGAACACCAATGCGAAAATCTTCAATAAAATACTGGTAAACTGAACCCAGCAGCACATCAAAAAGCTTATCCGCCACAATGAAGTCAAGTTCACACCTGAGATTCAAGACTGTTTCAACATACACAAATCAAGAAACGTAATCCATCACATAATCAGAACCAATGACAAAAACCACACGATTATCTCAATAGATGCAGAAAAGGCCTCCAACAAAATTCAACCCCGCTTTATGCTAAAAACTCTCAGTAAACTAGATATTGATGGAATATATCTCAACATAGTAACAGCTATTTATGACAAACCCCAGCCAATATCTTACTGAATGGGCAAAAACTGGAAGGATTCCCTTTGAAAACCGACACAAATAAGGATGGCCCTCTCCCAAAACTCCTCCTCAACACAGTATTGGAAGTTCTGGCTAGGGCAATCAGGCAAGAGAAAGAAAGAAAGCATATTCAGACAAGAAGAGAGGAAGTCAAATTGTCTCTGTTTGCAGATGACATGATTGTATATGTAGAAAATTCTATCATCTCATCCCAAAATCTCCTTAAGCTGATAAGCAACTTCAGCAAAGTCTCAGGATACAAAATCAATGTGCAAAAATCCAAGCATTCCTATACACTAATAACAGACAAACAGAAAGCGAAATCATGAGTGAATGCCCATTCCCAATTGCTACACAGAGAAGAAAATACCTAGGAATACAACTTACAAGGGATGTGAAGGACCTCTTCAAGGAGAACTGCAAAACACTCCTCGAGGAAATACAAGAGGACACAAATAAATGGAAAAATGTTCCATGCTCATACATAGGAAGAATAAATATTGTGAAAATGGCCATACTGACCAAAGTAATGTGTAGATTCAATCCTATCCCCATCAAGCTATCATTGACTGTCTTCACAGACTTAGAAAACATTACTTTAAATTTCATATGGAACCAAAAAAGAGCCTGCATAGCCAAGACAATTCTAAGCAAAAAGAACAAAGCTGGAGGCATCACATTACCTGACTTCAAACTATGCTACAAGTATACAGTAACCAAAACAGCATGGTACTGGAACCAAAACAGATATATAGTCCAATGGACCAGAATAGAGGCCTCAGATGTAACACCACACATCTACAACCATCAGATCTTTGACAAACCTGACAAAATCAAGCAATGGGGAAAGAATTCCTTATTTAATAAACGGTGTTGGGAAAACGGGCTAGCCCTATGCAGAAAACTGAAACTGGACCCCTTCCTTACACCTTATACAAAAATTAACTTAAGATGGAGTAAAGACTTAAACATAAGACCTAAAACCATAAAAACCCTAGAAGAAAACCTAGGCAATACCATTCAGGACATAGGCATGGGAAAATACTTCATGACTAAAACACCAAAAGCAATGCAACCAAAGCCAAAATTGACAAATGGGATCTAATTAAACTAAAGAGCTTCTGCACAGCAAAAGAAACTATCATCAGAGGGAACAGGCAACCTACAGAATGAAAGAAAAATTTTGCAATCTATCCATCTGACAAAGGGCTAATATCCAGAATCTACAGAGAACTTAAACAAATTTACAAGTAAAAAACAATTCCTTCAAAAAATTGAAGGATATGAACAGACACTTCTCAAAAGAAGACATTTATGTAGCCAACAAATATGAAAAAAATCTCATCATCACTGGTCATTAGAGAAATGCAAATCAAAACCACAATGAGATACCATCTCATGCCAGTTAGAATGACGATCATTAAAAAGTCAGGAAGCAACAGATGCTAGAAAGGTTGTGGAAAAATAGGAACACTTTTACGCTGTTGGTGGGAGTGTAAATTAGTTAAACTATTGTGGAAGACAATATGGCAATTCCTCAAGGATCTAGAACTAGAAATACCATTTGACCTAGCAATAGCAATCCCATTAGTGGGTATACACCCAAAGGATTATAAATCATTCTACTATAAAGACACATGCACATGAATGCTTATTGTGGCACTGTTCACAATAGCAAAGACTTGGAACTAACCCAAATGCCCATCAATGATAGACTGGATAAAGAAAATGTGGCACATATACACTATGGAATATTATGCAGCCATAAAAAAGGATGAGTTTATGTCCTTTACAGGGACATGGATGAAGCTGGAAACCATCATTCTCAGCAAACTAACACAAGAACAGAAAACCAAACACCACATATTCTCACTCATAAGTGGGAGTTTGAACAATGAGAACACATGGACACAGGTAGGGGAACATCACACACTGGAGCCTGTCAGGGGGGTAAGGGGCTAGGGTAGGGATAGCATTAGGAGAAATACCTAATGTAGGTGACGGGTTGATGGTTCAGCAAACCACCATGGCATGTGTATACCTATGTAACAAACCTGCACGTTCTGCACATGTACTCCAGAACTTAAAGTATAATAATATAAAAAAACTTTATTAAGCTTTTTTCCAATCCCTGTTGCATATATAAACAATTGTTATAGTATGATCATCAGGTTAGGATGATTGATTGAGATCACATATATTAAAGGCATAATTAAGACAATATGTGACACATGGTATGTGCTTAATAAATGCTAACAGTGATTGTCATTATTATTATTATTATTATTGTCATTCATTCACTCAATAATAGTTATTGAGTGTCTTTTATATGTCATACACCATTGCAGGTTCTGGAGATTCAGCAGCAAGTCAAACAAGTTTCCTTCTCTCATGGAAATTACATTATAGTAGGTGAACAAAGAAAATAAAATAATTTAGATTATGGCTGGTGACAAGAAGTGTTTTGTCGAGAAAGAAAGTGAGTACATAAATAGAGAATGATGCAGTATGGGGTTGCAGAGAGAGGGGTGCCATTTACACAGACTGTCCATAAAGTGAAATTTGAGTAATGCCCTGAATGATGTTCAGGAAAACATCTTCTGGGTGACTGAGGGAAGAACATTCCAGGATGAAGGATCAGAAAATGCAAAAGCTTTGAGTACATTTTGTGTTCATGAATGACTAGTGAAGCCAGGGTGGCTGGAACAGAGTATACTGGGCAGAGAAGGTGGAGAGGACATCCATAAAAGAAGGCAGGACACGGTCATTTAGGGCTGTATTTTAATGTTTCTGTTTGTCAGTCTTTCTGCTTTCTCCTTGCCCCACTCACATTTACAGGTTACAAAGCCACCCGGTATCTCTCTAAAATGCAATTCAACAACTCTACTCTTTTGCTGAACAGCTTTCTGGGGTGTACCTTCATTTACAGGTCACTTTCAATAACATTCAGGGGTGGCCATGGTTTGCCCTCTGACTTGTTCCTTGACACATATCTAGTCATGCAGTGCCTTGCATTTTAAGCTTTCAAAGCCCCATGTTGGGTTGCTTCCCCCCAGGCACAGCATGCTAAGTTTATTAGCATTTATTACATCTCATTTTCTCTTTCCTGTGTCTAAATAATCTTTACTCACCTACTGAAATTCAGTCCGCTGTCATTTCCTCTGGGAAGCCATTTGTAACTGACTTGGGTTTGAAATAGCTGTCCCTTCTTCCTTTTCATGTATTCTGTACATTTGCATTTGTGATTAATGCATTTATTCCCTCCATTAGTTTTGGTGCTCCTTGAAATTAGGTGATGGGAGTTCCTTTCAAGGTTAAGCACTGCAACTGACATATATTAGACAATATTTAATAGGTGAATAAATGATTAAGTAAAATATCCCTAAGAAAGTTTTCTGTCTCCCATTGGAACACAATAACTATATAAATTTCCAAATGTTTCAAAATTATTATAGAAAATGAGAACATTATGTTCACCTTTTTCATATAATATACTTTTATCTTTCCTTCAGAATTGAAATAAACTGAAGCCTTGCCTCAGATCATAAACTACTTTTGGTAACTTCAGTACACATGCATTTAAATTAGCTTTATAAAATCTTTGAACACACTTGCCAGTATTTATAGGGATATTCTTTTTTGGACAAGTACATTCACTGTTGAGGAGTACAAATTTTTTCTTCTTTAGAATAATCATTTTAGAACTCACTTTCTTATTCTAAGCAGTAAATCCCCTAAAGACTCATTCTAAATGGTCTCCAGTGATTCAAGAAACCAAGAGACAACTGATCATGTTGAAAAACAACACTTCTTTCTGGTTAAATAAGCATTTTGATAACCTTGACTAGAAGAACTCAATTCTATTGTTGAGCCCAAGCAACCTATTTCTATTCACATGTTTTTGCTTTTTAAAACGTTAGTTGCTTACCTTAGAAATAAGAAGTCAATAGGAAATAATGCCATCAATAAAAAAGTGCCATTTAATAAAAAATTACACTTGAGGACAGAAAAAAAATTTTAAGATTATTTTTCTATGGGTTTCTCAAGTAATCTTCTGAGTTCAATACTCATGTCAGTGAAGTATTTTGTAACAATCCAATTTAAAATCTACAGCAGAGCTTTCAATATCCACTCAAAACCTAATGCACTTTCAATCAACAGATAACACAAGATTTTAATAAAGAAATATTTATTATAATCATAAAATTGTATACCAGAAAAATTACCCTGAAGCTAGTCTTTATTTCTTTGTGTTATCTGGAATTGTATGCCATAACTCTGACATATGGGGTTATCACATCAAATAAAGGCATAAACTGTTTTCACTTCTACAGTTTAATTGGAAAAAGCTGATTTCAAAAAAGAAATGTTGCTGAATGCTTATTAAATGGCTTTAAAAATACATCATTGTCTTCCAGAATTTTATAAGGTATCTGGAATGTCAAGTTCAGGGTTTATTTATTTTATATGCTTGAATATCTAGGAAAATTGTGCACTGAACTTATCAATGCTTAGTAATTATTTATGGTACAGAATGTTCTTTTACTGTGTGTGTAAATACTAGAGTATTTCCTTCTGCAATTAAAGGTTTCCATACATTTTCCCTTTATGTTTAAAAATTACTATGATAGTAGTCATCATTTCTTACACTTAGTTTAACTCATTTAGAAAAATAATGACAATCACAACTTTATTATAGTAATTAACATATACAAATCATTATTAATATAAATGAAATGAAAATTTATAAAAGTAAATAAGCAGAGAAAGACAAATTAATATTGTTTCTGAAGTTAGACTGGCAGAAAGCTTAGAAATTGACTAGTTATACTTTTACTAATCTAGGGATATTAGAAAACTCTTTGAATATATCTTTCTCATATTAATTAGTAAAAGTCCTCATAAATGAGCAAAATTTAAATTTAACAAACCTATCGACCCCCGATATATCCAGATATGTGTGTTTAAAAGAACATAAATATGTGAAAGTCACAATACTTCCCTTTAATATAGTGGGAGAAAAAGGGCATTTTCCCAAATTGCCCTGAAGCTAGTCTTTTTTCCTTTGTGTTATTGGGATAAAATGTTAGTATACATGCTTGATGAAATACACACACATTCCCAAATCAGGGGGATGAAAATAAGAAAAAGTCATGGGTGAGGTGGATTTGAAAGAAGTAGAATTTGTTGAGGCAGTGATTATGGTAAGAGAGGAGCAGAAGATAATGAAATAGTAAAATCCCTGAGATAGGAAAACAGCCACATCCAGTTGAAAGCAATATCTTTATATAATTGATCCATATAATTCATTTTTCTGGGGAAGGTCATGGGGAAAGGCTGATTTAGATATGAAAATAGTGGGCCTTGACTGCCACAGTATGTCATCTGCACATTGTCTCTATCCAAGGAAGAGAACATAAAGCTTTTTGAGCACTGGTTTCAGGAGCCTTACTCTTGCTCTAGTAATGTTATATAGACTGGATTGTAAGAGATTATATAGTTCCTTACAGTCGGCAGACTATGGACAGGTTGTCTACACAGTGGCAAGCATACACATCAAGGTGTTTCTTATGTGTTCTATAGAAATAAAGGAAGATATATAAGAATATATTTCCTTAAACTCATAAACAAAGACAAATATCTCATGTTTTTATTTACAAATGGGACCTAAATAATGCGTACATACAGACATAGAGTGTGGAATCACAGATATTGGAGACTTGGAAGGGTCGAGGGGTTGGAGGGAGGGTAGATGATGAGAAATTACATAATGGGTACAATGTACATTATTTGGGTGACAGATACCTTAAAATTCCTGACTTAACTACTATGCAATCTATACATGTAACCAAATTGCACTTGTACTCCATATATTTATACAAAAAAAAAACATTAGGAGAGCATTTAGTTTTTACAACTCAATTTATGGCTTGTCATTGGGACTCTTGCTCATTTAGTAAAACGTGTATTCTCAGGGAGGCTTGAATTCCATAGGACAGAGGGTTCGTCATTGTTCCCTCGCTGTCACATAAACTTTCAGCTTATTTTGATATTATATAATTATGTACCAAAATATCCTAAATATGATTAGTGTTTTAATAGAACACATTTGGATTGTAAAGTTTTACCTCATTTGTTATTGACATAAGTTATTATCATTAAAATCTTTGCAGCCCAATATTTTACTTGCTACTTTCACGTAGTCCTTCAAAGAATTGTGAATCTTAAAGCTGAATTTTGTTATTTTTATTTTACAAAAATGGTGCTCTGAATTTGTTGACATTTTGTTGAATGACAAGCAACTGCCAGTAATAACCTATTGAGGTGTTATAAAATTGAGAATAAATATAAAAGTTCTGTTCTGTCAACAGAAAGGTGACCTTTTTACAATGAGTGGGAAAGTTATTTCTTTTCAAAACAAGCTTGTGCTATAGACATTGCCATTTTAAAAACAGGTGTTTGAAATTGTGCCAGTTATCACATAATTTTATTGTTATAATAAGGCTAGTAAGTTAGATTTAAATCCCTTATGTAACACATAAGAAAACCCAAAAAAGGTAATTGAAAATATAATTTTCTTATCTATGTAAAATCTTCTCAACAACTAGATTCAGGAGAAATTTAAACAAATTTACTATGCAATAATTTCCCATTCACTTCTAAGTGGTTATTATCAACTTTTTAATAAAGAACTGTGAATAGTTGGTTGTTTAGGTTAGATATGCTAATCAGCAGAAAGATATTGTCAATAGTGATAGCTTCCTTCCTTTTAGATCTATACATCTTTGATGGTATATTTTTCAGGCATGACAGCCATTAAAATATAGTTGTGAAATAAACTTATAACAAGGTTTATAAATTGCTAAACCACAAAACGAAGATGATCAAAAATAGAATAGCAGAATTAATGAAATTTCTTTCATTATTGTCGATATTATATTTTATTTGGCCTAAGGCCTTTTTCAATAATTTAAAACTAAAATATACATATGTTCCTTTAAGAATCTCCATCTATATAAATGCATTATTGTGCAGATAATATTTACAACAACATGACATTTATAACTAAATCCATATTAATATTTGAAGAGACCCCTGGTATAGCTTAGGAATTTCTGTATTTTCATATATATGGACTTTCTCCTTCAAATAAAATCTTCCTGAAGATTCAGCCACATATATTAATAACACACAAATTTTTGTTTTGAAGATGAATTTGCTATGGGCTTTGGGGCATATGTGAGAAATGGCAATCATTCAGCATCTTCTTTCCTGACTTCTCTCAACAGCTGGAAGCCCTGGATCTGATAGAACAGTTTGTAAAGCATGAATGTAAATGATGATTAAAGGTTACTTTGAACAGGGTAATGGCATATATGACTTGTTTCAACTTTTTAGTTAAAACTTCTTTCTTTTTAATTTAAGCTATATTGTTTCATTTTAATTGGAAGATATCTGACCACTTAATAATACACATATAAACACATATAAATATTGTGACAGATTAAAGGTGGTCACAAATTCTTTGACATCCCTCCTTTTGAAAGCGGGGGACTAAGTTCCATCCCCTCAAATCTAGGCTTTGAGCATGCGGAAGTGAGGTTTGTCACTTTGGGACCTAGTTTGTGAGAGGTTTGGAAGTTTCCACTTTCTTTTACTTGGAGCTCTGGACTTAGTGTCCAAACTGTGTGAAAGCCCATGGTAACCACATGAAGAGGCCATGAGAAGGGAGAGGAGAGTGGTGGGGTTAGGGGTGGGTTGAAAAGAGAGAGAGAGAGAGAGAGAGAGAGAGAGAGAGAGAGAGAGAGAGAGAAACACAGAGACAGAAAAACTTCACTAGAGAAACTTCACTAGCTTCAGCTGATTCAGCCCCAGCCATTCTAATTATCCCAGCAGAGGCCCCAAAGGTTGTGATGCTGAGAAAATCCAGGCTTTGCCCAGACTTCTGACCCAAAGAATATTGAAACACAATAATAAATTGTTGTTTGAATCTCTTCGTTTTGAGTAGTTAACAAAAACTACTCAAAAGCACTTGGTGAAATAATTCAAATGACATTTGAATAATTTTTTATTTTGAAAATGTTCTGTTCTTAGATGATATTATTTCTGCAGACAAACAAAAAGAAATGTTAGCTCATGCATGTTAATAATAAATTGCTTATTAGCTTTTAGTTGGCTTTATTACAGTTCTTAATTCCTATAACTGAGAATGCAGTCCCATTATTCTTTGCACTTACAGTAGATTGCTTCTAGTTTCACTTTATTTATGTCACTGCCAGAGAACACCCAGACTTTTCACACTGCTGTTTCCTTCCATGTATTTGCAAAATAATACCATATTTGTGAACATTGCCACACCATTTAAAACTTCTGCCATGTATTGTGGTCAATTCCTTGCCAATAAACATTCTTATACAAATGATTTCTATATCTTCATAGTATTTCATAATTGTGTTTAAATATGCTTTATTTTTTACTTTTAATCATTTTGGTCATGATTACTTTCCCTTATGATTTCAGGGAGGCTGCTATAGGTACAGCCATCATGCCTATGTTCAAGGCAAGAAGAGAAAAAGACAGCAACACGTGGATCTGTGGGATATTAACAAAAATATGTAGATTTTATAGAAATGGCCATAAATATATAATATTCCTCATTCTGTTGACCATTCTGCCTCCAGAACGTGATGGCCTGGTTTAGCTAGACACATTTTTTCCTCTCAAATTGAAGATTATTTTAACAGAGAAAACAAGGTTGTCGGTAATGGTTTTGCCACTGTTCACTCTTAATCTATTAGAAGTCAAAAAATATGCTTGGAAAGATAGATGACTGATAGATAGAAAGATAGATAGATAGACAGATAGATACATAAAATAGATGGATGAATAAATAGATAAAATACCCAGTACCCATGTAAGCTAGATTTCTGGAACATGTAATAAAAAGGATTTGGGGAATTTTAATTTTTTTCTCATAAATCTGTATAATTTGAAATATCCTACAGTCATATTTGATATTAACCATGTAGACTGACTTAGATGTTTAAAATAATGCAAATTGAATAGAAATGCTCATAGGAACATAAATAAGAGGCATTTGCCTGATTCAAATTTGGGTTTTAAAATTGAGCATAAAAGAAAAGGTTTGACTTGAATTTTTGTTTTTGCAAAGACTAGATACAGAATGAGCAACTTATCATTAGGTTAAAGTACAAGACCAAACTAAGAAACATCCAAACAAAAATATTTGTAGATTGACTAGGATATAACATATCATATCTCAATATTATTTCAGTTACTCAGTACTCCATATTGGAGCATATTTTCTGTTTATTTACTGTGAGTTTTTAAATGTTGATGTATATAATGCAATTCTCACACCCTCACTTCATTCTTGAAGACTTGGATGCTGTTAGTGTCTCATTTGCCAATCCAAATTTCTATTGCTGTATGCTATTACTTAATATTTCCGGCATTCATGTCATTGTCATATGTTTTTCTTTCCATTCAGAATATTCCCTACATTGAGAGTAAAAGTGACGTATTTTCTTTTTTCCTTCAGAAAAGTGATACAGTTTTTACTTTTTCAGTTGTTAAAAAAAAGCTAAGCTTCAATGTGTGTGTGTGTGTGTGTGTGTGTGTATATATATATATATATATAACTTCAATATGTAAGATTTACATTTATTAACATACCCTTAGCTTTAAAAGGTTTTCTGTCCCAAATATACATTACACAAACAAGCATTATACAACACCACGAGGTTTGTAGTCTGAGGAGGAATGCTTGATTTAAATTGTGACTGCAGCAGTTATTATCACAGATAACCCTGATAGAAATTGATAAAAAAGGAAACACTATTTTTTCCCTGTCTTTTCTTTTTAACTTTGTTTCTTCCATCAGGAGTCCTGTCAATTCCATGACTCAGTCTTTTCATATACACAGTAAGTATTTTTGAACTACTGTAAACAAAACTCTGGAAATACACTGGTGAACAAGATAATCCTTGTCCTGGGCCAGGCCATAGTGGTTCACGTCTGTAATCCTAGCACTTTGGGAGGCCAAGGTGGGTGGATGTCTTGACCAGGAATTTAAGACCAGCCTGGGCAAAATAGCAAGACCTTGTCTCCACTAAATACGTACATACATACACACATACACACATGCATACATATATACATACATACATACATAGCCTGGCATAGTAGTGTGCATCTATAGTCACAGCTACTTGGGAGGTTGAGGCAGGAGGGTCATTTTGAGCCCATGAGTTTGAGGCTGCAGGGAGCTATGATTGTGTCATTTCACTCCACCCTCGGTGGCAGGGAGAAGTCCTGTCTCTATAAAATAAAAGAATAATCCTTGTCTTAAGAAAATTTGTAGGCAAGTGATAAACACTTGAACTTAAGGATCTTGTATTTTTGTTCTCAGTGGTCTAAAAAACTGTTATGCTCAATTACTAATTAGGCTTTGTAATAGAGGTATGACCAATCTCTCCTGCAATCAAAATACTTTATCTTTTTTAGTTTTATTACTTTTGAGATATAAGCAAATTGATAAAATGATGAATGTTCAAACTAAGAGAGCTAAAACAGGAAAAGAAAGGATAAAATGTATATGAAAAATATATATATTTAAAATGTATATGAATTAATGTACGTTAGATGAGTTATTTAGAAAATTGGAGGAATTTAAGATGGCACCAATATCTAGATAGAATGACATGGTGGATCCTCATGCTATCTTCCAAGAAATGAAATAGTGGAAACAATTTTGGAGAGACGAAAGAAGAGCAGTTCTGGTTTGAACATTTAAGCTACATAGTAGTAGAGATACAACTCATGGTTTGAATTTCAAAATAGGAACCTGAATTATGAAATACATTGAGTGGTATAAAATGTAAATTATAATTAACAATAGAGGTAGTTAATAGAATCTTGGGAGAATGTAGAGTGAGAAGAGAGCAGAAACTTGGGAAGTGGCCACTTTAAAGGGACAAGCAAGGTGACAAAAGTATGTCTATTATAAAGACCAGAAGAGTCTTTCCCTGAGAGGTAGTAGGAACAGATGGAAAGAGAGTCTTCATAGAAGCCAGTGAATATGGAGTAGGGATAGACCACAGCATCATATACTGCCAAGGAGTTGAGAAATCTAAGGAGTGAAAAATCCATTTGGATTCAGCAACTGCATAATTATTCAGTCGAATTAGAATGGGTCAGTAGAACCCTATTGATAGAAGTGGTGCTGTTTAATGACCTCTTTTCTGGAAGACAATATACAAACCAAAGCATGAAACTCTGACTTGCAGCATTTACCAGATTCTAAGGTGTGAATACTCCCTCCATGGCTGATTTGAGGCTCTCAATTTTTGTGGAGATACAAATCATTATGGGGAACCATTCTGTGAAATTTAGACCATACAGATACAATAGATACTAACAACTTTGAGGGCATAGAATATAATGACTTATAGAAAGATAATTAGGAAGTGATAAGTTTTGAATAATTGCTGCCTTTGTTTTAATATAATTTATTTAATTGCAACTTTATATATACTAATTTATTTTTAATAATGCTGTGTTAGGCTCAAAGTGTTCCTGAAAATTTAACAACTGGCAAAGAGTACCAGTATGACCCAGCTCCAACACCCTACTGTCTAGAGGCCTAATAGGAATGGATTGAGGAATAAGTAGAGATGAGGAACTAGATAAAATAAAGATTAGACAACAAATTCCAGCAAATTGGTTGTAAAAAGCATCAAAATTATGAAGGTGTATGTGTGTATACTCATACGTGTACATGTACATGTACATGTTTTTAAAAGAAAAAAGTGTTGCTCATATGTGTGCAGTGAGTGTAATGAAGCCAGTGGAGAGAGAAAGTTTTACAAAAAAAGAATTAATGACTACATCATATCTCTACCTTGCTATTGGGTATCATCTGGATGAAATTATTTCATTCATATCATGTGTCAATGATATACCACTAATAATGTATTACTCTCTGTTGTTGTTATTGGTATTAGGCATTAAATGAGCTATTGCTTGCAATACACTAAACTGAAACTACTAATAAATAAATTGAAGGTTAAAATTTAGCTTATTACACAGTGAATACATGGATTAAATCTAGTTATACGTTCACGTTCTTATAAGGAATTATTAACATTATTTAGTCTCTTCCTTTCTCACCTTCCCTTCAATTCCAGAAGTAAGGGGTTTTATTTACCGAATCCAGCAGCACATCAAAAAGCTTATCCACCATGATCAAGTGGGCTTCATCCCTGGGATGCAAGACTGGTTCAATATACACAAATCAATAAATGTAATCCAACGTATAAACAGAACCAAAGACAAAAACCACATGATTATCTCAATAGATGCAGAAAAGGCCTTTGACAAAATTCAACAACCCTTCATGCTAAAAACTCTCAATAAATTAGGTATTGATGGTAGTTATCTCAAAATAATAAGAGCTATCTATGACAAACCCACAGCCAATATCATACTGAATGGGCAAAAACTGGAAGCATTCCCTTTGAAAACTGGCATAAGACAGGGCTGCCCTCTCTCACCACTCCTATTCAACATAGTGTTGGAAGTTCTGGCCAGGGCAATTAGGCAGGAGAAGGAAATAAAGGGTATTCAATTAGGAAAAGAGGAAGTCAAATTGTCCCTGTTTGCAGACGACATGATTGTATATGTAGAAAACCCCATTGTCTCAGCCCAAAATCTCCTTAAGCTGATAAGCAACTACAGCAAAGTCTCAGGATACAAAATCAATGTACAAAAATCACAAGCATTCTTATACACCAATAACAGACAAACAGAGAGCCAAATCATGAGTGAACTCCCATTCATAATTGCTTCAAAGAGAATAAAATACGTAGGAATCCAACTTACAAGGGATATGAAGGACCTCTTCAAGGAGAACTACAAACCACTGCTCAAGGAAATAAAAGAGGATACAAACAAATGGAAGAACATTCCATGCTAATGGGTAGGAAGAATCAATATCGTGAAAATGGCCATACCGCCCAAAGTAATTTATAGATTCAATGCCATCCCCATCAAGCTACCAACGACTTTCTTCACAGAATTGGAAAAAACTACTTTAAAGTTCATATGGAACCAAAAAAGAGCCTGCATCACCAAGTCAATCTTAAGCCAAAAGAACAAAGCTGGAGGCATCACGCTACCTGACTTCAAACTATACTACAAGGCTACAGTAACCAAAACAGCATGATACTGGTACCAAACAGAGATATAGATCAATGGAACAGAACAGAGCCCTCAGAAATAACACCATATATCTACAACTATCTGATCTTTGACAAACCTGAGAAAAACAAGCAATGGGGAAAGGATTCCCTACTTAATAAATGGTGTTGGGAAAACTGGCTAGCCAGATGTAGAAAGCTGAAACTGGATCCCTTCCTTACACCTTATACAAAAATTAATTCAAGATGGATTAAAGACTTAAATGTTAGACCTAAAACCATACAAACCCTAGAAGAAAACCTAGGCAATACCATTCAGGACATAGGCATGGGCAAGGACTTCATGTCTAAAACACCAAAAGCAATGGCAACAAAAGCCAAAATTCACAATGGTATCTAATTAAACTAAAGAGCTTCTGCACAGCAAAAGAAACTACCATCAGAGTGAACAGACAACCTACAGAATGAGGGAAAATTTTCGCAACCTACTCATCTGACAAAGGGCTAATATCCAGAATCTACAATGAACTCAAACAAATTTACAAGAAAAAAACAAACAAACCCATCAAAAAGTGGGCAAAGGATATGAACAGACACTTCTCAAAAGAAGACATTTATGCAGCCAAAAGACACATGAAAAAATGCTCATCATCACTGGCCATCAGAGAAATGCAAATCAAAACCACAATGAGATACCATCTCACACCAGTTAGAATGGTGATCATTAAAAAGTCAGGAAACAACAGGTGCTGGAGAGGATGTGGAGAAATAGGAACACTTTTACACTGCTGGTGAGACTGTAAACTAGTTCAACCATTGTGGAAGTCAGTGTGGCGATTCCTCAGGGATCTAGAACTAGAAATACCATTTGACCCAGCCATCCCATTACTGGGTATATACCCAAAGGACTATAAATCATGCTGCTATAAAGACACATGCACACGTATGTTTATTGCGGCATTATTCCCAATAGCAAAGACTTGGAACCAACCCAAATGTCCAACAATGATAGACTGGATTAAGAAAATGTGGCACATATACACCATGGAATACTATGCAGCCGTAAAAAACGATGAGTTCATGTCCTTTGTAGGGACATGGATGAAATTGGACATCATCATTCTCAGTAAACTATCGCAAGGACAAAAAACCAAACACCACATGTTCTCACTCATAGATGGGAATTGAACAATGAGAACACATGGACACAGGAAGGGGAACATCACACTCTGGGGACTGTTGTGGGGTCGGGAGACGGGGGAGGGATAGCATTAGGAGATATACCTAATGCTAAATGATGAGTTAATGGGTGCAGCACACCAGCATGGCACATGTATACATATGTAACTAACCTGCACATTGTGCACGTGTACCCTAAAACTTAAAGTATAATAATAATAAAAATAATAACCAGTTTATTCATTTAAATATGTATTTCTTTGTTTTTTAACAAATAAAATTTTCTTCACCTCTTTTCATATTTGTTTGGAGCTGACATAGATCTCACACCAAAATATGAGATCAACATTTTACAGAATTCACACTGATTACAGCTAATGAGCTATTCTTTTGTCCTATGATGTATGTATTATGATTTTTAAAGCTTTCTCTAAACTTTATAATCAAAATTGCATAGTACTGTCAAAGAAATTATTCTAAACTATGACTGTAATTAAAAGGAAATTCTATTTAAAGCAAAAACAGTTTATTATTAGGCACAAAATAAAATGTAGGCCAGGCGTGGGTCACGCCTGTAATTCCAACACTTTGGGAGGCTGAGGCTGGCAGATCATGAGGTCAGGAGATCGAGACCATCCTGGCAAATGTGGTGAAGCCCTGTCTCCACTAAAAATACAAAAATTAGCTGGGCGTGTTGGTGCACACCTGTAGTCCCAGACACTTGGGAGGCTGAGGCAGGAGAATCCCTTGAACCCAGGAGGCAGAGGTTGCAGTGAACAGAGATTGTGCCACTGCACTCCAGCCTGGCGACAGAGCTAGACTCCGTCTCAAAAAATAAATAAATACATAAATAAATACATAAATAAATAAAATACAAATAATTTAGAAAGCATGAAAGACCCTCAAGTAGCTTATCACATTGTAATTTCCAGATGTATTTCTTACTATTTTTCTTCATAAAGGATATATTACTAGCCAAGCAAAAGTAATGATTTCGGGACACAGGAGTATAACTGTAATATGTTATAAGATTATTGGAATCAGTTTTGGAGACTCCATTTATAAGAATTTAAACACAAGCTGGTAAATCTATATCTATCTATCTATAACATTTTTTGACCTGAAACAGCAAAAATGAAAAAATATTAACAATTGGTAAATTATTATACTAATATTAATTATGTAATGATTTTAATTATTTTTTCTGAAAATTTTTATAAAATATTTTTTAAATGGGGATCTAATGGAGAAAATGGTTTTCTAAATAAATGTTAAATTATAGGGTGCATATTTATTTATTCATAATTTTATAAGGGAGAAAATAGTTTCTTCATTTTTATAAACTTTTTACTTTAAAAATAAATAAAAGTGGTTCTGCTTCCAATCATGGTGGAGTAACTGGTACCAGATATACCCTTTTGATGCAATCATAAAGCTAGACAGAATATTTAAAATAATTTTTTTGGACATTAGTCAATAGGCAGTAAAAAGAAAATGACTGTGGAGACAGCTATAAGCTTGCCTCTGCACTTTTCCTACAAGTAGATTTTAGACCAAAGCACGTGAAGACAGACACGAAGCAGAGATGACAGTACTTCAAGGTGAGGAGGCAGACATAAATTAGGGGCTGCGGCAACAGTTGGAATTTGTGGAACAGCATATTGCAGAGAAGGGAACTGTGATGCAGGAAATCCTGGGTGTTGTATGAGATACACTGCCGGTGTTGTCAATAGAATTTTGAAATATGTATACACAGAGTCTGCAAGGCCTACCAGAGAGTAGTTACCACAAGGCTGAGAGGTAAATGGAAACATTTGCACTGTGATGAGAAATGTTGGACTTTTTACTTAGCCAGAGTACAGATATCTTACTGTGTACCTACGCACTTAGTTGATATTTGAGAAAGACCATATTTTAGGAAAAAGAGTGATACTCCCTAGGACTAAAGAAAAATTGAAATATATCTCACCAAATTAAAGTAGAACAAACCTGAAAGGTTTGAAAGAATCCATTAGTAATTTAACTGCTCTCTTTTAATGAACATAATTTAATGTCCTTTAAATAAAGGTCACATAATCTAGACTCTACTCAGTGTATCACACAATGTCAGGTATGTAATCACTAATTAGTATGCATTTAAAGAAGCAGGAAAATAAATTCCTCAGTTGAGGTAAAAAGATAAGAGAAACAAATTTCAGTATGAACCACTGTTATAATTGGCCCACCTGTTATAATTGGCACACACAGGCTTTAAAACACTCATTATAAATATATTCTGGAAATAAAAAGAATAGCATGACATAATGAAGTAATGAATAGAGAATGTCAGTGGAGATATTCAACAGTCAAATGAACAAAGCAGAAATTCTAGAACAGGAAATTACAGTATCTGAAATTTTTAAAATTTCATGTGAGCTTAATCAAAGATTTGACTTCAGAGGAAAAAAAAAACTTTTTGCGAATTTGGATGCAGACCAATAGAAATTATCCCACTGGAGATAAAAAAAGGTGAATATGAAAAAAACCTAAGTAGCTTATAGGCCAGTATCATGCATGCTTAGATATGCATAAGTAGAATTCCAGAAAGAGAGGAGATATTACGGGACAATAAAAAAATATTTAAAAAAATGGCTTAAAATTTCCCAAAGGTGGAGTAAAATATGAAGCCACAGGCCCAAGCAGTATAGTTAACACCAAGTAAAAGAAATACAAAGAAAATCATAGTCATGCACATTGTAATAAAACTATTATTAGCCACAGACAGAAATTTTTTAAAGCACTAATGGGAAAAAGTAACATTATACGAATGGGACTATGATACATTTACTAGCGAGATTCTCATTAGAAACAATGGAGATCAAAAGACAATTTAATGACATTGTTAAAGTGTTTGTTAAACAAAAATACTGTCATCCCAGATATTTAGTAAAAATATTCTTCAAAATTAAGGATAAAATATATACTTAAATAAATTAAATGTATGGAAATTTGTTACCAATTGACCTGAACTATCAGACATGATTAAGAAAGTTCTTCAGCCTGAAGGTACATGATACCAGATAAAAACTCAGATTTTCAGGAAGAATAAAAAGCACCGGAAAGTACACGCACGAATTAATATTTTTAAATAAACATATATACAACCTTTCTGTTTCTTACATTTGTAAGAGATAAGTGACTATTAATCCCCCAAATTATAAAATTGTATAAATATGTTTGTAAGATACATAGAAATAAAATATATGACAACATTAGAAAAAAAGAAAGAGTGGAAATGAAATTATATTGCTAATTTAGTATTACATGAAATGGTAAAATATGCACTATAACTAGACAGAATAAAACTAGCAAAATAAAATAAACGAAGAACAAATGCTAAAAGATAATAGAGGAAATTAATTCAACTGAAAATAATGAAAAATGAATCGAGTAAGTCACAGATAAGTTGAAAGTAAAGGGATGCATGGAAAAAGATGTATCAATGCAAAGAGTAGCTGTAAGTAAGCTCATATGTATGTACTATTATCAGTTGAAGTAGGCTTCAACACAAGAAGTGTTATCAGAGGTAGAGACTGACATTTCATTGTAACAAAAGGGAAACTTTCAACAATTTTAAGGCTGTTTGTCCCTAGTGTTAGAATACCAGTGTACATAAAACATACATTAACAAGTTAACAAAACTAAAGGGAAAAAGATGAATCCAGATTAATAGTTGAGTTAAACATAACTCTTTCAGTAATTGATAGGAGACAAGATCAGTGAGGAATTTATATTTATCGTCCCTTCCTATTCCCTTTCTTTTGAATATTTATTTCTCCTCTTCTCTTCAATTTTCTTCCTTTCTATTTTCTTCTCCTGAGGTTGTAGGGCTGGCAGCATCTGTATGGAAGTATAATCAAGGCTGCCGGACATGGCAGATGGATAGGTCTGTCCCTGGCTGACAAAGCAGGCAGGGCTGAGAAGGCTAGCAAAGTTGGCAATGCCTGCATTGAGCTATTTTTATATTTGTGTGTGCATGTGATTATTAAATTTTCAACAAAAGAGTCGAAGTAATTTTATGGTAAAAAATCTTTTCAAGAAAAATATTTGCTCGAACAACTGACTATCCACTTAAAAAAAGAAAAAGAAACCTTGACCTCCACCTCACAGATTTCACCAAAATTAATTTGATATATATATATATATCATATATATGTAATACATCTAAGCATAAAAGCAAAGCATGTCAAACTTCAGAATAAAACAAATGAGAAAATCTTAATGACTTTGAGGTAAACAATGATTTCTTAGATAGGGCACAAAAAGCAATTACCATAAAAGAAAAATGATAAATAGAAATTCATTGGAATAAAAAAAAAAACCTTCCTTTCAAGACATATCATTAAGAAAATTAAAAGTCAAGTTACAGGTTGAGTGAAAATACTCATAATATATCTCACAGAGAACTTGTACCCAGAATACATAAACAATTCCTATAAATCAATAAAAATCAATAACACTCTAAATAAAATATGAGCAAAGGACTTGAACAGAGTTCCATGAAAAGAGACACATTAATGGCCAAGGTTCGTAGGATATAATGCTCTCAATAGCATCAATCATCAGAGAAATGCCAAAAATACCCAAGGAAATCACTATTTCACAGCCAATAAAAATGACTAACCTCTCACCAACAAATATAAGTGTAGATGAGAAACAACTGGACCAATACCCTGTCATTGCTGATGACAGGGTAAGATGGTATAACCAGATGGGGAAACTGGCGATTCCTTGGCAACTTCAATACTAGCTTTTCACTCAAGAGGAAAAAATGCGTATGTCTGCAAAAAGACTTGTAGGAGAATATTTATATTAAATTTATTAATAATAGCTTGAAACAAACTTGAAATAACCCCAATGACTGTCAGTAGGTGACTGAATAAATACACTGTGGTAAATACATACAGTGGACTATGACTTAGCACTAAAAATTAACAAAATAATGACATATGCTACAAAATGAAAAAATACCCCCTGCCAAAAACACTATGTGGACAAAAAAGCCACCATAAAAATGTAAATACTGTTTGATTATATTTATATTATGTTTAGAAGAGGCAATGAAATTGTAGTAGTGTAAATTAAATTTGTGGTTGTCTGGTGTGTGGGTGGGTTGGTTGGGTGGGGACTGACCATAAAGGAGAATAGGAGAACTTTCTGGAAAAGAAAAAGGAAATATGTTATATCTTCATTATTATAGTGGTTACAAGGCTTTGTCAAATCATTTTGAACTTATAGTATGTGTATCTACACCTAAAGAGGGGATCTTATATATGTAAATTAGAGCTCAACAAAATTGATAAGATTACAGATGAAAAGGAAAATATACTGGCAAGTGTAGCATAATCTTTCTGACAAAAATGAGATTATTTTGAATCTTTAAATTCTAATTTGATTATTGTTGTGAGACTGTTAATAATTGAACCAGTGCATTAGAATGAATCAGCTCTTCTGATTAGCAACCAATTTCTCTTAAAGGAGGCATTGGTCTTTTGAAAAAATCTTATTTGCCCTTTTATCCTATAGCAGAATGTAGATATTCATTCTACTTTTAGCTATTAATTTGATAAATATTAACTGAGTACAAAAAATTGTTGATAATTTTGCCAGGAGCTGTAGATAAAATAATAAACAATGTTAAATGCATTTTCTGCCTTTGTGGAATTTACACTGTGTTGAATGAAGACAGACAATGATTAAGTAATAACAATATATGTGCAGCATCTCAACTGTGGTAAGTCACTGTGACTGAGTGGTACATGGTGCTAATGGCAACAGAAAATTTGACCCAGCCTGGGTGGCAATGTATAGGTTACGAGGATCTCATATCTGAGCTGAGACCTTAAAGAAGTAAGAATAAACTAAATATTAAAGTGTTGATAAAAGAATGTTCCAGAAAGAGGGACTGCCAAGTGTAGAAGACCTATAGTGAGAAGGAATATGATTTATATGAGAAAACTAAAGAAAGGTTGTGTAGAGCAAAGCATAAAAAGAACATGGTACAAGGTACATGTGGAGAGGTCCCCAGGATCTGACTAGTGCCGGTCTGTAGAGGTCGTGTTTAGAAACACATGATATAATGCTCTCAATAGCATCAATCATCAGAGAAATGCCAAAACTATCCAAGGAAATCACTATTTCACAGCCAATAAAAATGACTAAACTCTCACCAACAAATATAAGTGTAGACGAGAAACAACTGGACCAATACCCTGCTATTGCTGATGACAGGGTAAGATGTTATAACCAGATGGGGAAAGTGGCGATTCCTTGGCAATTTCAGTAATAGCCATTCACTCAAGAGGAAGGAATTATCTTTATATTAAGAAATATGGGGGGGACACCAATCACACATTTTTAGCAAAAGTCCATAGTGTGTTTTACAGGAAAATAATTTGCATTTTAGCAAATCACAAATACTGCCTTATGAACTATTTGAAGGGAATAAGCATGTGTACAAATAATATTTTTAGTCATTTACTTCAGTAGCATAACTGAGAGTTAATATGAGATGGCTAAAGTTGTGGTGGTAGAGACGGAATGATTTAGAGGAATTGCACAGTTTTTTTTTTTAAGGGAGCATATTGACCATATTCAAAGATACGTTGTATATTTAGACCTAAGTGTGTGAGGGTAGAGGAGTGGTGGGTTCACGTGAGAGAGATTGAAGTGTCAGGAATGATTCCACGATTCCATTTGCTTCGTGTTTACCAATGAGGAATTCATTTATTGACTTGGAGATCACTAAAAACTGGTCAGTAACTTTGTGCTTATTTGTTTATTTATTTATTTATTTTTGGCATGCTGGAATAGAAAAACATCACGAGTCTTTTACTGATATTGAATTGGCTTTGATATGCAGAATTCACAATGTCAATTAAAAAGTTGAACACTGAGGAATGGAACTTTCTAAGTATTCTGGGCTGGAGACAGAAATATATGACTCATTTGAGTATGGATGATAATTGAAGCAATATGAAAGATGATTTCTCCTAGGAAAAGTGTGGATAATGAAGTATAAAAAATAAATTAAAAATTAATGCAATTCAACTTTTTATATCCACATTGAGAAAATGAGCTTATCAGGTGACTTAGCAAAGTGGCCAGGAGAGTAATAAGGAACACAAAGAGAATATTGGGTCAGAGGGAATTCTCCCGGACTTGCTTTCTCTTTTTGGTCACCACTCTCAGCTTTTGAGCTTCACTCGTTCATGGATTAAATTTCTTCCTCTGGTTCTAGTTATAAACAAACATAGTGGTTTTCTAGACCCAAGCTGGATACTGCCTTGCTTGTGGAAATGTGAGTTAATTTAGTATTCTTTTAATAAATTCCCTTTACTGCCTAAGATGCTTTGAATTGAGCTTTTAATAATTTCAATAATATATTCCTGAGTAATATAGTTGTAATTTTGAGTGGTATATCTGGCTGTTCAAACTATGTTCAGTTTGTGAAATCTCAAAACAGCATACTCTACTACCTTTAATCAAAATTCCTGAAACGACATCTTCTTTAGACTTAAATTTACTAGCTAACAAAGTTGAAATAGAACTATTGTATGGTTTATAATGAATGTGAAATCAAAGATTCTTTACCTGTGTTTTTTCTTTAAACTGTTTTATTGTTCCAATAGTAATACTACATTTATGAAACTCTTATTAACAGCTATTAAGAGAAAAGTGGATATAAATTGAAGCTTCATACTCTCAAACTGCAATTTTAAAACGAAATAACCCGTATTCTCAGAAATCTAGGGCAGATTCTATAGAAATGCATATGAATTCATAAGACTGAGTTTTATTTGTGAAGATAATTATGTCTTACAATTTTTCTTATTAATTGTGAGAAAAGAGAAAAGAGAAAAGCCATGTTGGAATGGAAATGTCTACATAAAGTAGTAATATAAGTCCAATGTCTTTAAAAATGTACAAGAATTAATCAAAAAAGTGAAAAATAATCAAGGGTTTAAATAATTAAAATAAAATACATTTGAATGAAAAAATGGTACATGTACCCTTGAACATAAAAGATAAAAAATTTTTTGATATTAAAAAAGGATAATAGGTTATACATTTGAGCAAATTTAACAGACCTTTACTTTCATTTTATTTAAGATTGAAAATATATGCACAAAATATTCTTTTTGTATATCTCTTTTTTTTCCCCTCTAACCGTCTGGTTGAATTGAAATCTGGAAGCCACAGAAAGAATACTGAAGCTATTAATCTATCCCTGAGATATTTACTTACCGCTATTTTTGTAGATATATTCAGGGGCATTCTGTTTTTCTTGCCACAGTGTTATTTTATCTATTGGATTACTTCACAAAAAGGAAAACATGGCAAATTTTGTAGCTCTCCAAGTTTACTTTAAGTCATTTTTAAAAATCTCTCTAAACTATCAAAACTGAAACTTGACAATATTATTCCTAATATGGTTAGAGGATCAAATGGGATTAATAAAAAAAATATAGATGCTTTTGGTATTAAGAAAACTTGGTAATAATGTTCTATCTGTTTATTTAGTTATTCTTCTTATCTTGATATGTCAAAAGTCTGATAAAGTAAATAAATTTTCCACATAACTATATCAAAATTCGTGTTAGTGTTTGAGTAGACACAGGTACATATCAAGAAATGCCCTCTGATATTTTTGACAAAACATTTCAATGAAGAAAAAGGATATGTATACTTCAAGAGTTTGTACCATGTTTCATGTGCTTCTGCTTGTTAAATTACTAAATATTTTAAATAAGAATTGACATAAAACTAACACATTATAGTGTAGATCCTAAGTTTTTCTTTTTATGAAGTATTTAAATATATATTTTGACACCAAATGTACATTAACAACAGGCTACACCAAAATAATTTCAAATCACTTTTGAAATGGTCAGAGATAATTTATCATTTTACTGGATTATCCCAGTTTTTTCTGGGTCTCATTTTCAACCTTGTGTTCCTTCTCTGTCACATGTGGAAACACACACTCATCAATGAACAAATAAACTAAGACAGTTACTTATTCCAGTTTGCCTAGCCTTTTGATTTCTATGAGTTGGTAACATGAGTATGCAAAGCAGAAAACTGAATTCAGAATTCTAGGTTAAAGTGTTTCTTGCACATTTTATAACCCGGGAAACTCTTTTAAGGAGAAATTGAAGCTTCTCAGTGAAGCATGGAAGAAGCACTTAGATCTTGGTCTCCTTAGCTTGTTCGGCTCCCTTTAACCACTTTCATCACCATTATTATCTTAAAAAACAGAATCATCCACGGAAGTTGCAGGGAGAGCATTTTAAAGCCAAGTGTTCTGGTAGGATGTTATCACAACACAGTGTGCTGGCATTATGTTGCCACTGAGCGTCTGAAGGCATTATCTACCAAGAGATGAGCGTAGACACATTCATTATGAGCCTACCATGATTTTAGCCTTCACATATGCTTCACATAACCACTTAAATACCACAGTTTGAAGAGCCTTTTAAAATCATCATAGTTTAATGAGACTAGTGCTGCTTCTACAAACACAGATATAAGAAACTACTATAATTTACTATAAACACATTTTATGTAAAAAATGTTGCAGTTATTCAGTGCATAGGGATGAAGAGTTTTATAGAATTGTAGTAAGTTTCTTAAAATATTGTGTTAATTCAGATATTACAAGTGCAAGCCGTCTATTATGTGATGACAAGAAAATTCCTCCAGAAATAAGCCTGACATGTTTAACAGAGAGAAAAAAGTCACTTTTATATGCTAATTTTCTAGCTATGTAAATTTACTCAATCTTCTATTTTATATCAGAAACTTCTATAGCAAATTGGGATGTAGATCTCACTTAATAAAAATGTGATATTAGAATATTCTAACAGAACAGATAACGAAGAAAATTATTTGTATTGAAATTTTTTTTTTTTGCCAAAATAATTATTTTAGGGTTCCCTAAATAGCAAATTTATCTATGACTTTAATGGTGGGTTTGATGTAGGAGACATTTTGTGCACAACTTGTAGATAAAAAATGTAAAACTGTGTTTTACATAATTGTCCTTAAAATGAGCTCTTTAAGATGACTCTTTAAAACCTTATAGTTTTGCTATTTAAATCTTATTGTCTCATTTAATTATTAAGACTACTTCACTTTGATTTTTTCTATATATTAAATAATATTCAAATAATTATTATTTTCTTCATAAAAATCAAAGTATAAAATATAAGAAAATATTTTTAAAAGAGTAAAATAATGATAGGGACAGTGAGCACAGAAATTCTAGTCAGAAAAGGGTAGGTCCCTGGCGAAGAACCACTCTCAAGCTGAAAAGCCTGAGACCATGGCCCAAAGTAAGAACTTAACATCTCTGTTTTCCCCCTCTAATGGCGCCTTTTTGAAAACCACCCATTGCCCGCCCCACCCCCCATCCTGTACCCATAAAAATTCCTGACCCGACTGGCAGAGAGCAGAGAAGGGGAGAAGAGGAGAAGAAGCTGGATGTCAGAGCCTCTGGTTGATGTCGGAGAGAAGCAGCTTCCCTTCTGAGGGACAGGTTGATAGTGTTGCTTCAGAGAGGAGTCTGGCCGGGAAAGGCCAGATTCTGGGGGAAGATCAGCTTCCCACTCCATACCCCTTCCAGCTCTTCTTCCCATTGAGGGCTACTTTCATCGGCAATAAAATCCCCTGTATTCACCACCCTTCAATTTGTTTGTGCGACCTGATTTTTCCTGGATGCTGAACAAAAGCTCGGGTGCCACGGATGTGGATGCTAAAGGCTGTCACACTGACTCTCTGCCCTTGCCGGTGGAGAGCAACTGCCTCACGCCAAAAGACAGAGGGCCCACTGAGCTGTTTAACACTTAAGCTGTCAGTGGACAGCAAAGCTAAAAGAGCAGTGTAACACACACCCTCTGGAGATTTGGGGTTCACAGATACTCCCCTCTAGATTCTGCCACAGGGCCCGTACAAAGTTTTGTTCCTGGCAGTGCCCAAAAGCACTCACTCCAGCTCCCGCACCTGCTCGCCTGCAAGCTCTGCCTCTCACAAGGGGTTGAGAGCTGTGGGCTAAGTGAAGCACTCCTGTTTTGAGGCCCATGAAGGGGTCAAGGAAATTTCCTGTTTCATCAACAAGAGCAAGTCTGGTGCTGAACTTCTCAGGTTGCATTTAGCAGTATTCTGATCCAAAAATATGATATGTTTTCCTGTGTACAGGCATGTTCCCTTTAATAATCCAATGAACTGTTTTCAAAGAATTTCTGCTGTCTCTGAAATGCTACCTCACATAGATTATAATTCACTTAATTACTAGTTTCATCTGTATCAAAGACAGAGCTGAGACTAATTACCAGCACATTTCATTCATTTATTCAGCACCTGCTAATTGCTAGGCATTGCTCTTAGTATTGCTGTGTAAGAAATCAACTGACAAACAATCTGCCCTCAAAGATTTTACATTCTACTTGGCCAGAAAAAAAATGGTAGACATAATTACTAGGTACTTAATTCATTATGTCAGAAAGTAAAATGTGCTATGTAGAAAAATAAAGCAGAAGTGGCAATAAGGAGTGAAGATTAAGACTGGAAGTTTTAGTGTTAAATAGAATGGCCATTATAGACCCTACTGACAAGGTGATATTGTGTTAAAACAAAAACTTGGAAGCAGGGGGGAAGTAAATGAAGTGGATGTCTTAGGGGAAGAACTTGAGGCAATGTGTATTGTTTGTTTCAAGAAACAAGAAGGAGATTTGTGTGGCTGGATCATTTAGAACAATGGTCAGAGTAGTAGAAATGATGTCACAGAAGTACTGGGAGGTAACTGGATAGTTTTACTTTGAGAAAAGTGAGTTGCTAAAGAATGTTTTGATTTGAAGAATACTTTAATCTTAGTTAAGTATTATAGAACTCTTCTGGCTAGTCTGTTGTGCTAGATTAGGAACACCAGTTAGGAGGGTAATGCAATGATCCAGAATAGTGAGAAATGACTGGAATGCAGATGCATGTTGACATTAGAACTAACAAGATTTGGCCATAGGGTAGACATAGACGGTGAGAAAAAGAGAGGAGGCAAAAATGACTCTATTATTTTAGCCTGATAAACCAGAAGGATGGAGCTGCCTTTAACTTGATGGGAAAGGCCCAGATGAAGCGGGATTGTGGCAGGGCAGAACATGCCTGTTTGGTTTCTATGTGGATTACTCAGTATTCTCATATGCTAGAAGAGGTTTAGGGATGTGGTTGTATGAAATGAAGTCCAAACAAAGTTCATGATCATATGTCTTTTTATCTTTTAAACTTATTATTTTTAGCACATCTTTTGACATATTTTCATGTACAACTTAAGGGTTTATTGTTCAATGCCTAGTGTTGCTTTAGTATTTGTCTTATCTGTGAATACACACACACACACAAACACACACATACCATAAAACTCCTTGTGGGCATCATAGCCATTAAATGTATTATACCCCTATTGTGTGTCTAAAAGAGTCCTAGGCATAATGTGTACATTAAATAAATATTTGTTCTATTTAAATGAGTAAAAGGTTATTCTTAAAACCTACAAAAATACCAAGGTAAACCTTTCAATTAAATGCATATACATATGCAGTACACACACATTTAAAAGTATTTGAGATACTCCGTAGACTATAAGAGTTACATCACTACTGGAACTGGGTGGAAGGAATAACTGTTTAACAATTTGAATTACGCATTTTTAAGGAATGAGTTTCAATATAAAATAAACTTGGAACATTATAGTCTATATTTGTACACATTTTTCTTGGTTTTGCAAATAGAATACTACAAATTAAAATGTGCGGTTTACCCTTGAACAATGCAAGGGTTAGGGGCACTCAACTGTGTGCAGTAAAAAATCCTCATATAACTTTTGACTCCTCAAGAAATTAACTACTAATAGCCTACTGTTGACTGGAAGCCTTACTGATAACATAGTCAATTAATACATGTTTTGTATGTTATATGTACTATATATTGTATTCTTACAATAAAGTAAGATAGAAAACAGAAAATGTTATTAAGAAAACCATAAGGAAGGGAAAGTATATTTACCATCCATTCAGTGGAAGTGGATCATCATAAAGGTCTTCATCCTCATCATCTTCACATTGAGTAATAGGCTAAGGAGAAAGAAAAAGAAGGGTTGGTCTTGTCTCAGAGATAACAGAGGCAAAAGGAAATCTACGTATAAGCACCTATGTGATCAAACCTGTGTTGTTCAAAGGTCAACTCTACACAGGTTGTTTAATTACCTGTCTTTTTTTTCTGGTTAATTTATTTCATATTAAATACAACCAGAGTTGTTTGTAAGGTGTTGCAGAAGGAACAGAGTAACAGCCATTTCTTCTGATAATCACCATTATTACAGAGCTAAAATAAGACACCTGGGATGGAGCAAAGGGGTGGGTTTCACAGAGCGGCATATAGAACGTGACTTTTGTGTGTTTACATAGCAGCAGCAAAGTTATACTATTTCTTTCTTCTCTATTTCAGAATATTGGCCACTAACAGGGAATCTGTATAAAATGTGTGAAATTAGCATTCTCCTAGTGATTACAGTCAATGTAGTGAGAATTAGTTTTATATAGAATTAAACATGATCTAGTTAAAGTTTGTTACAAGAAGTCACATAGATGGGAAGGCTATAAAAGAGTCACCTCTAAGCCAGGATTGAAAATTTGGGAAATATATAATCCCATAAAAATTTATTCGTCATTTGACGCATGAAGAGTGAAGGAAATGTGAAGATTCTTTCTTTACATTTAGACTTCTAGAATTTATTTCTACAGTTTTCTTTCCTACGTAATAATTTGATTACTAATGATCATCAGCTTTGTGCGTCAGTTTTCTGATATGACTAGAAATGGTTCTATGTATAATTTATAAGCAGTTTCAACATTGGGACATTCAAAAATTACTAGATATATTTCTGCTTCCAAGAAAGGACACATTTTGCCTATAATCTTAATGTGATACTTTCAATATTTATTTAGAATAATACTTTATATTTAGACAATTTATTCCCAAAATACATATATACAGAAATTAAGTATTTTGCACTTTCTGGTAATTGTCAGCTCATTTTTCTATGATACATTTTTTGAAGTATAATATTTTTGAATGAGGTATGTCTAAAAACAAGTAGAATTTTTTTTGTGTCTCAGTATCTGTGCTAGATAGAACTAAATATTATGCATAAAATTGAGAAGTGGTTATTATTATAAAAAATGAGTAATCATCTACAGATGTTTATCCTAGTGCATTTTTCTTTTCTTTTTTTTATTTTTTGTCATCACTGGAGATACAGCTAAAAGGATGGCCTCAGCGTACATTAATAAAATGAATATAGTTTTATTTAACATGGATTTAAAAATTTTCTTACTTTCGCATATTTTCATGAGAATTAGAGACTAATGCATGATTTTATTCCCAGGTTAAAATAATATTTCAGAGAACAAAGACTCCACAACACTAATGGAAAAAAAAGGAAAAGAAAAAGGAATCAATAAAACTAAAAAGTTTAACCCAAATGCCATGGTAAAGATCATGAGGAAATTCTGCTCAAATACATAAAAGAATCATCTCTTTTAAGCATTTATAGTTTCCTCATTTCAAAGGCTTATATTAAATTCTTAACCCTCTAGAATCCTTATTCTTTCCTTAGGTAGGTTAAGACTGTAGGTCAACATGGAAAGTAGAACAGATAAAAACATAATAAAATTGAGATGTTTAATAAATATTTTTATAGTATTTTATGCTCCTGTGTAGAGAAAATGTTTTCTTCCTAAGGTGCGATATCTAGAAATAGCCATAGTTAGAACCATATTTGGCTGATTAATTTTGCAGTGAAAATACATTTAAGAAAGGTTAGATAGTAAATTATATATCAGATGCATTTTTGTGTACTTCATGGCATCAAATGTGTACTATCTTTAATTTATTCTGTGTAGCCCCAGGTTTATAGCAGCTCAAGCTTTTGGAAATTAAAGTAAAATGAATTTATATCAACACACTAATGAAATTATTTCAAATTGCTTTTCAGTTATAAAGTAGGCTTTTGGGGGAAGTGCCGAGTCTCCCACATTGTAGATGTTCCAATATAAACTGGTTAAATCTTCAGTAGGATTTTTTAGAAGAGAAATAAAAGTACAAACATCAAATGAGTAATTAGAATAGATTTACTTTTAAATTAGTCCCAATATTTAGATTTTTTCATTGGTTAAATAAAACTTTTTTTCAGTGTGAATGATGTGGTTTGGTTCTCTGTCCCCACCCAAATCTCATGTTGAATTATAATTTCCAATGTTGGGGGAGGGAACTGGTGGGAGGTGATTAGATCTTGGGAGTAGATTTCCCCGTTGCTGTTCTTGTAATAGTGAGTTCTCACAAGATCTGATGGTTTAAAAGTGTGCGGCATGTTCCCATTCACTCTCTCTTTCTCCTGCTTGGCCATGTGAAGAAGGTGCTTGCTTCCCCTTTGCCCTTCTGCCATGATTGTAAGTTTCCTGAGGCTCTTCCCCTACCATGCTTCTTATACAGAACTGTGAGTCAATTAAACTTCTTTTCTTCATAATTACCCAGTCTCAGGTAGTTCTTTATAGCATTGTGAGAATGGACTAATATGGTGAAATTCAATTTTCCCTAGCAGTAGTGACAATTACATTTCACAAATATTTATTTTACATTATTCTTAATTATTTTTAAGTTTTGCTATAATGAATTATTTTCATATTTTGTCTAGCTAATCTTGTTAGTGTTCAGTGAAGAACAGTAACACTAATTTATTTATGTGATAGTGTGTTCATCTTTTCATACTTAATCACTGTAATGAATGACATTGTTCAGTCAACACCAAAGTGCTAAGTTTTTCTAATTTTCTTTACTTCCATCTGTTAAACAAAATTTGAAGATCAAGTGTTTTGTGTTTAATTTAGTTCACAGGAATGCTTGTGTGTTCCTGATTCAATTTAGTCATTTTCCCTCAATGGCCATGAAGAGCTGTGTTAAATTGAAGTGTTATTAGAGTAAAGTGCTCTGGTATTTAGAATACACCATGGGGTTAGGGGAATGTTAATTGCTATCAAGTGAAAACATGGACTATAACATCTACGTGCAATGTGCTTTTATTATAAAAATGATAAAAATCTAGAGATATAATCCACGAAATTGGCCTAAAATTCAATTTATAAGCTAAGTAGTGTAATTTATTTTGATTGCACTTGCAGGGAGAATGTGAATTGCAAAGTGGGCATAATCTTCAAGGCAGTATTAATGAATTGTTCCCTTTTGCCCTATATGATAGAAGTGTTGTAATAATCAGCTAAAAAGCAAAAATAAAAAATAAACAAAAGCATTTATAAGCAATCGTCATATTATAAAATACCAACTTGAACATGCATAGGACTCTATTTTGCAATACAAAATTTATACTAAGAATATAATTAATATTATAAACAAAATAATTTGAATATATTTGGTATATTTGAATATGTTTCCCGAATGGTCAATCTTTTAAAATCTCAGCTAGCTTGTATATTCAGGAATTTGAGTTCTTTGAGAAACCATTCTAAATGTTATTATATGGATCTTAGCTAAAGTTGGAGAGATACCAGGACCATATATACCAATATAAAAAAATAACATGCTTTGTTAAATGATTTTAGCAGAGATATGTTTTTAATCAATTATTATTTTTAACAAGTTCAATAATATTCTATATTGTCTCCAAAGATGGTGATTTTGCATTGTTAGGAGGAGATATGGCTTTTCTACATTTTTTAAATGCAATAATATAGTCTTTTAGAGCTATGTATTTTGGAAACTATATATTTGTAACTTATAACCAGAGTAAGAAACAATCTTGAATTACCAAGGAAAAGGAAGTTTCCAGGGAAGTGAGAAAATAGAGCTGATTTGTGAATTTTCTGTGAAGGAAGAAGAGAAAAATGCAGACAGAGAATGAGTAGAAGAATTCTCTAAATTAAAAAAAAGTAAAATTGGACAGACTTTCAGCAGGTTTATGTATTTGGAAAAGAATTAGTATCAAGAAAAACTCTATGATTCTCAAAACAACTGGAATTGGAACTAAACATTGAAAGAAAAACAGTGACTAATCATTTGGGGATTATTGCTAAATAATGCAGTTATTTATTTCAGTCCGTTTGCATATATCCTACTACAGTAAACTAATTTTCTCAAAATACAGAGATCCTGGTCAAATTGCAGTGGAGCATGGCAGAAATTCACAGAAACAAATAACATCTGAATGAGTTTATGTAACAGTGAGGATTTCTTAAATTCTACAAATGAAACAAACTTGGGTAAAGAAAAATCAGACTTGCAACTAATTCTGTAATACATTCAGGCAGATTTTGTGAGATTAGGTTTCAATTAAATTTATACAAAGGCAGAAAAGATATGAAACCCTATTATATCTCTTTTTTCCTTTGTATTCTTTCTTATGATACATTGTCTTATTTGCACTTTCTTTGCCTCAGCCAAATTATTTTAAGGAGGCCCTTTTTTGTATGCTCCGAAGAAATGAAACCATGCATAACATATTTATTTATTAATATTAAATAGGAAAATAAATAAATGAATGAAAAAGGAGATGAACAAGTATTTGTCCAAGTCTTTATCAGCAATAACTTCAAAGAAATCCATGTGGGAAAATGTCCTATGAAAGGTGTTTCCACACTTATGACTTGAGAACTTGGCAATAAAGCTTCACTTGTAAATGAATGTAGAATGTAAAAGAAAACAAAGTGAACTTCTAGGGAAAACAGTATGATTCAAAACAAAGAAATAAAAGCTTTTCAAGAAACACCTTATAAAGCAGTTTTTTTTTTAATTTTTTTTTTTTTTTTTAGTATTCCTTCATGGTGTTCTTGAGTTTTATAGGGATTTTATTAATAGAAAACTGAGCCACTAAGGTCTTCAACCTTAGTTGATGTAAAGCACCATTCAGAACCATATGTATAAATCTTCTGAAGATTTATGTGACCCTGAAATCCAACCTGGAGAAAACGTAATGTTAAATTCTTGCTTAGCACTTACTGGCAGATCGAAGCAAAATTATGCAATTGATGAAGTTTATCTTTGGCGTACCATTCCTTCTTCCTGTTGAAACATCCATTTTCTGTGGTGATAACTCTCCCTTTCACTCCACCGGCCCAGGTGCTTCACATTTTCTCATCCGTTAAACACAAGCTACGGAAAAGGAAATCTGTGCTATCACCATTTTCAAAACCTTGATAAAACTGGTGCTTTTAACAGAGTAAATTCCATGATCATGACAATGATGATAATGGTGATGATGATAATGCTGATGATAGTGATGATGATGATAATGATGACTTTTGAAGTTTTCTCAGAACTGATAACGTTTTATATCCTAGTTTCTTCCACCACCCATTCAACCACTCTTCTCTTTTTTTGAATGCATCCTGTCAATTCCTGAATCTGCTACTAAGTGAACCTTGCTCTGTGGAGTAACATTCCTTTCACTTGATTTGTCAATGTGGTTTTCTGTCTTTAATACTTAAAAAATAAAAAAAAATAGGAATAATACATGCTAGTATCAAATTAAATGTTCTCTTTCTACCTCTTGTTCTTCATGCTCTCTCTTTCCCTCCTTCCGATAGTGCCAAAAATGTTTTTACGAAAAACTTCATTTTAGAATATTTGTATTCAGTCTGCCTAGGATTTTTCTAACGGTTTTGTTCATTAGTTATACAACAATTTGAAGGTAAAGGCTATTATTTTTCCTTTATATCTTCCAAATAGTATTAAATATACTAGGTGTATTAGTTATCGATTGCTTCAAAACAAATTACCACAAATTTATCAACTTATAAGCACACACATTTATTATCTCACAGTTTCTGTGGGTCAGGAATCCAGATACTGCATAACTGGGTCATTTTCTTCTGGGTCTCTTACAAGTCTGCCATCAAGGTGTCAGCCATAGCTGTTTCATCTGAAAGCTCAACTAGGAAAGGTTTCACTTCTGAGTTCATTTGGTTTTGGAAGGATTTGGTTTCCTTCCTGTTATTGGACTGAGGGCCTCAGTTTCTTGCTGATTGTTGGCAGTGGGCACCCAGAGAAAGGGAGATAATTTGTTAGTAAAATAAAAGTTACAGTCTTTATAAGCTAATCACAAAAGTGACACCCCTCAAGTTTGAGATATTTTATTGGTTAGGAACAAATTATTCAATAGACAGGGACTTACACAGCTCATAAATGGGGTTGGGGACACTGGGAGCCATCTTAGAAGTAACCTAACACAGTATTTGCTAAACTGTATATCAATCATTTACAATTTATTTTGGCCTAAAATCCTTATATGCTGCTTTAATGAATATTTGTGTTTTAGGCATTTCTATGAATCAGTTCTTGTTATAAAAATTCAAAGCATGTGAAGAAAAGATGTTAGAACATGAGAAGTAGTAGAGCTTTCTAAAACTCTGTTTTGTCTCATTACTTTTTCTTCATATTAAAAAATAGTTTAAAGATAATTCATAAACAAAACACTAGATCTTTAGTAATTTTGTATTTGGTGAAAAACTTATAATTTCCAAATATTTCCTCATTATTAATACTTTTCTTGGACACAATTTTTACTTCTTAATTAACTATGAACTTATTAAAAACCTCTCCAATTTTTAAGACACTTAAATTCAAGAGATTTCTCCTTTTCACTTATCTGTGCTTAGCTTAGGAGAAAAAGCAACAACAATCAAAATATTTTTGATTTTTGATCCTAATAATATTCCTCAGAAGCAGACTATGAGACCCATGATCCTGTGTAAATAACTTGTTATGAAGTTCCTCCCAGGAGAAAGAGGTGAAGAAGTAAAAGATGCATAAAAGGGGAGGAAGAGAATTGAAGCAAAACTACATTTAAGGCAAAGCCCCAGTCTCAGCCTGCCCCCACGGGCTGGCTCTGGGTAAATAATGGTTTAGAAACTTGTCCAACTGGAATGGAAGCAAAGGGGATGGAACTTCAGTACTTCTGGACCAATCAGACATTTGTTAAAAGCTTTCCTAGGAGACCTAACTCAGACGCTTTCGGTTGTCTACATGTGGGCAAGTTGGTTTCTGCAGCTTGAAGACAGTTTTGCAAAGAATGTTGCAGGTACTCACTATTATAAATAAATAAATAAATAAATAAATAAATAAATAGCACAGAAGTTGGAGGAAGAGCACACAGCCTTAGTAAATGTGATCAGAAGTATGAGGGGGGAGTACCCACAATTGGACAGTAACCAATTAAGGCACTATCAGTTACACTTGCCAGTCAAATTTTCCACTAATTTAGTTCTCTCCTGTTCTCTCCTTTTGGTATATTTCTTTTGTTTGTATTTTAATTTAAGCATATTTCTCGTAATTATACCTATATTTGTTCCCCTTCTCAAATCTTAGCTTTAATTGGAAACTGTTCTCCCAAAAAGACTCCTTACCCAAGAGAAAGTGCACCCTTTTTTTAAATCTTTCCTTCCTTACTGCCCCCCAACTCCATAAGTGATACCAAGATACAATGAAGAGTAAAATATTTGTTTTCTATTTTAAGAGCACCACAATGATACTTTCTTTGTCTACTTCAACAAAAATGTCATTTAATGCTGTGACCCAAGACTACATATCATCAACGTGAATTAGCTTCTCATAATAATCAACGTTACTCTGTATCCTGTTTCACTTTATTCCTATGTCTCCCATTTCTTCTTCTTCTTTCTTCTTCTCCTTCTTCTTCTCCTCTCCTCCTCCTCCTTCTTCTTCCTCTTCCTCTTCCTCTTCTTCTTCCTCCTCTTCTCCTCCTTCTTCTTCCTCTTCTTCTTCTTCTGGAAGGAAAGGCAAACAAATTTATTTAAAGTGTATACACGGGAGTCTTCATAATGAAGAGCCCTATTTCTCCCATTTCTATTGTTAACTTTGACAATCTGAACTTTAGCATATTATATTCCCACATGCTCGGAACCAAAGGAGCTATTCATTACCAAAATTATATCCAAACCTTTTGTTTCACAGGTGATAGCATTATTAAGTTAGTGTGTACTTTTATTATTTAAAGTATATTTTAAGGATGTGATTGTTTTGATAGTTAGGATTTTAGATGGATTATAGAATGTTTTTACTGTTTTCCCAGTGTCTAGCGTCAATTATTTTTAGGATACAGTCTTAGCATTTTTAAAATTTAAAATGCATAAATGAATATTAAAGAACCATGACATCTTAATTAATCCATGTCTTTTGTTTGCAAGGATTCCACAGGAAGAGGGAAATTTTATTTCCAAAAAGGGAGACATACAATTAACTTGAGTCCAATAGTAAAAAATCAGTATAATCAGGCTTCAAGTACATAAAATAAAGGCAAATTTAGATGGTTCCATTGCAATTGTAGATGATCATGAATCTTTTTATGGCATTTACACCATTAATGTGATCCAGTATCCAATTATTAAAAACAAATAAAGAAAACACAACAACAACAACAAAAAACAAAAACCTGTTGGGCACATTTTATGTGCCATGTTTTAGGTGCCCTATCTCTATTTGTTCACAACTTAATCTATCTTTTTCCACGAGCATAAACTTTCACAGATTCTATTATGTATATTTTTATTTACTTCATAATTTTTATTGACCTTTTACATTGGTTTGTGATTATATTGCTTTTTCATGACAGAAAAGAAATAGGTAAATGTCCATTAAAAGGAAGATGAGGCAGGGCACTGTGGCTCATGCGTGTAATCCAGCACTTTGGGAGGCCCAGATGGGCAGATCATGAAGTCAAGAGATCGAGACTATCCTGGCCAACATGGTGAAACTCTGTCTCTACTAAAAATACAAAAAATTAGCTAGGCATGGTGGTGTGCACGTGTAGTCGCAGCTACTCAGGAGGCTGAGGCAGGAGGATTGCTTGAACCTGGGAGGTGGAGGTTGCAGTGAGCCAAGATTGTGCCACTGCACTCTAGCCTGGTGACAGAGCAAGACTCTGTTGCAACAACAACACCAAAAAAAAAAAAAAAAAAAAAAAAAAGAAAGAAAAGAAAGGTGAATCCCATAAGCATTTATCCTCTACACGCTAGAAAAAGATCTTGTATTTAAAGAAAAGAAAGTACATGAAAATAGCAATAATTATTCTTTTTAACATTTACACTAATCTAATTCTCCCTTTTCTTGGAATATAGGAGAATTTAGGTCAGCCATGTGATTTTTGGCCCAGGGTTCATGAATAGGATTTAGATGAAAGTAGATGAAACAAAATTCCTCCCCTCACCAGCATTTTTAAGCTGAGCTGATTTTCTTATAAATGTACAGCTATAAGATATACATATAATCAGTCTTAAATACAGGTATATTGTATAAGTAATTGTGTGTCTTTGCTTGTGTTCGTGTGTGCATACTTAGCTCATTTTTAAAGAAACGTTCAGAGTAGTGGCATCTTGAAGTACATCGCATGATAGACATAGGATATAGCAGCAACAAAATCTATGTAAATTGTTGGTTTATCTACTACAAAAATTTAATTCTTCTTATTCTTCCATTCCCATTTTACAAGGACCAAGTCTGAAACTAAAGTCTGCTCCTTGTTTTTTGCTAAAAATTTTAACATATTGTCATAGTTTATCTCCGATCCTATTCTCGCAGTCATTCTCTATTTCCCACCATACAGTAATCCCCATGTTGAGTTCTCTAAACCACAGGAGAAGATAAAGATGTAATGCTATTCTGAATGTCTAATATAAAAGTGATTTTTCCTTTTTATATTATATTATGTATAATATTTTCAAATTAATATCTCTGCTCCTAAAAACGGTTTATTTTGTCTCAATCTAATGTTTAATCCACCTTTCAAAATGTTTTTGGAACTCAGCTTATGCAAATTAATAATCATTTATTTTGTAGACTGGTGAAGTACAATTAATTTCTAAAGGAATTACAAATCCTTTGAAGAAAGGATTTTTACAATTTTTTACAAATATTTTTGTATAACAATTATGTCTAAGCTGCCGTCATATTAAATTTCATTTTATGTTATTTTATTTTAAAAATAATCTGAGTTACCTCCCGTTTACTTGAAATATACCTCTCTACTGATTTGGAGAAAGATCTTAGAAGAGTGACTTAATGTGTTCACAACGGAGATGGTTAATGTTACAGCTTTCATAAATGGAAGGCTGCAATATAGTAATTTTTAAACCAAGATGTTGTACTCCTAATTATTGATGTGCTAATGCTGGTTCATAAGAGCAATTGTTACATTTTAGAAATTTTGTCATTTGATTCTTAAACACAGCCATTATTAAAAATTAAATTGCAAAAATGTGCTATTAAAATTTATATTATAAAGTCAATAAATATTCAACATTAATTTTTCTTAATTCTTTTACTAAATTCTACTTTTGCCTATGTTCTTGAGATCATGTCTAGTGGTTATGTATACTGTAAATATTACATAATGATTCAGTACTGCACATCTCTTCCAAATCTGTTTAATAGCAATTATCTTGGTAGCTTGAAATTGGTCATTGTTGAAGTATTTACACCATGAAACTGGGTGTACATTGCAAATCAGAGCCTGATTTACAGTTTGATTGTCTAAACTTAAGAAAATAATGAAGAATACATTAATGCAGATTCAACTTAAAGTCTTTTATATCTATACACATTATATTGTGAACACCACCAAAAATTGAGGGACTATTTACCTCACTTTGAAAACTACCGAATTTAGCAAATAATTTACTCATGCCGTTGACAAACAATTGAAGTTCTAATGTAGGCCTTTATTGTTTCGTGTTGCTTTACCCATCAGTGTAAAGAAAAATATCAATTATAGAATTCATGTTGGAACTACTCTTATTAACCACTTACTTGAGTGATTTCTCCTGATTCATTACTAATTAAGCATTATGCATAGTCTTACTTTGTTACATATTGTTGATGATAGAATGCTAAATACTGATAGCCGATTTTCTGAGTAGATACACTGAATTTATGAGTACACTTAAAAAAATAGTGTAAATGTATTTTAATTTTTACTTATAAAATTATGTAAAGACAGAAATAGACAAATAGTAACCCTCAAGTGGTATTATGAAATTTACTAGCATATATAGGTATACATACACACATATGCATGTTATACAAACCCACATGCACATACACACAAAACAAATGCCTCATCCCATACATCTTTCCTTTTTCAAAGAGCCATTATTAAACATTTACTAGCACACAATCGCCCAGCATTATACTTCAGGGACTCATTATCTCTCACTGGAGCATTGAAATAACCTTTCCTATCCTTTTCCAGTTCTCCACTTTACCACTGTATCTCATTTGTGCACTTTACAATCCAGTAATAAGGACCTGTTAATATTTCTTATACACATCCTTGGTGTTCAATAACTACATGACTTTTCTTCATGTTTCCTCCTGTTAAAATTCCTTTTCTCCTTTTTTCACTATCAAAACTCATTCATCATGACCTTGCTGAGGTGCGTTGTATACACAGTAGATTTCCATTATTCATCTCTTGGTCTCATATAATTGTGCTTTGTTTAAATTTATGTGAACGTCAGTTTATTTAGTTGTGTTTGTTATTTCCTCTGCCTATATTTATTCAAGTCTTCATATGTGCCAGATATTATTTCAGGAAGGAGGGTGGGATCAGAAAAAAAAAAGACATGGATCTCTGACCTCACAGAGACTAGCTATGAGGCATTATCTAGGCTAGTGATGAGGAATGTCAATTGTGGATTCATTATAGGTACTTGTTTTAGTCTGCTCAGGCTGCTATACAAAATACCATAGGCTGGATGGCTGAAACCACAGACATTTCTTACAATTCTGGGTGCCTTCTAGCTATAGTCTCATATGATGGAGCGAGGAAGCTCTGATATTTCTTCCTTTCTTTTTAGGATAATTAATTTCATCATAGGGCTCCACCCTTTTGACCTTATCAAATTGAGTCACTTCCAAAATCCCCACATCCTAATTCCATTATTACTACCATATTCGGAGTTGGGGCTTAGGAATATGAATTTTGGGGGAAGACAGTATTCAGTCCACAACAGCACTTAAACTTTAGCCATGATGAGGATGATGATAAGGATTCAAGATTAATTTCCCTTATAACTTGTGTTAGTTAGGATTTTATGTATTTATGTGACTTAAGATAAAATTTCTCTGTAAATTCTGAAGTGTCCTTTCTTTTCCTGGGTCCACCTGTTTGTGATTTATTACTGAGAGATAAATTGAATATTACAAGAGAAAAAATCAAATATTATGTATATTTTTATATTTTGTATGGTTACAGGAAATGAGGTTCTTATGCATTTACATTTTTAAAAATTCAGCTTATAGATCTAATTGTGAGTATTTTTGCTAAAAAATAAACAGTAGGAAATACAAGTAATCAATTTAAAAACTGTGAAGTGGAAATATATTATTGCCAACTTAGATCTCTGAAGTTTAAAAATAAATTTATGAGTTTGTTCTAAGATAGGACAGAATGGTGATGGCTATTATTTTCTTAGATTAGTGATCAAACTTTTGCTCGAAAAAAATAGTTCTATTTCTCTCTAACAACATGTTTCTAAAGGCTTTTTGATCTTGAAGATAAATTCTTACTTCCTATAAATAATACTTAATATATTTCTATTTACAATATTTGGACATGATCATTGCTTAAAGATATTTAATAGAGGTGAGACAATAGCCTCTAGAGTATTTTAAATATAGCTGCATTTACATTAACAAGTCATAGATTCTCTAATATATGATGTGTGTATGTGCATATATACACACATTTATATTTACTTTCATTTGCTTCACACATACTTATCATGCAGAGACTTTCATCACATTCTAGATAAAGAAAAATCAAGATGAACAAATTTTGAAAGCCTATTTCTGTGGAGTCCCACATCTCTTGCTTCATCCTGAAACAGGGTATATATAAAATTATAATTTGGTAATGAGATTTATTAAAGAGGATGCATGGTTTCCTTGAATGATGAGATCACAATTGTTTTGCATAAATAAGTTTAGCCAATGGTCATATGAAATAACACAAATTCAGTGGCAAATCAGATTTAATTTGGCAGAAAATATAAATAGAGAAGAACAAGAGATATTTTACACTTTGAAAATAAGTAAATATTTGAATTAATAGGTCTTGGGATTTTAAATTATTGGTTATAGACAAAATTGTACTAGAAATATTTATAGCATTTGATAAACAAAGCCCTGAGTTTGAAAAGTAACACAAAGTTGTAGTTTTAAATATTTATCTTTCTAGGCTGGACTCAGTGATTCACGCTTGTAACCCTAACATTTTGGGAGGCCAAGGTGGGCAGATTGCTTGAGCCCAGGAGTTCAAGACCAGCCTGGGCAACGTGATGAAACACCATCTCTACAAAAAAATACAAAATATTAGCCAGGCATTGTGGCATGAGTCTGTAGTCCCAGCTACTCAGGAGGCTGAGGTGGGAGGATCACCTGAGCCCAGGAGGAGGAGTCTGAAGTGGGCCAAGATCACACCACTGCACTCCAGTCTGGGCGATGGAGTGAGACTGTGTCAAAAAAAAAAAAATATCTTTCCAGGCCATTTATTAGAATTTTTCATTAATTTTATACAAATCTGCCTAAAGATCTATATAAGGTTTTTAAATATTTTGCATTTTATAATCTAAAGTGTTCTCAAGAACACTGATAATTTAAAACTAGTTCATCATTCAGATTAAAGATTTTTGAGAAAGTGAACTAAGTAAGAAGAATATCTTTGCAATAAGATTGACTGAGAAGCTTCAATATATGAAACTCCTGACTGTTATACCAAAGAGGATCAAGCAATGCTTGCTCTTCAGTTTCTCAGTTTTAAGTGGATTTGGGACTATTTTAATATCTTTGTTTATGTTATTGACAGAATCATTACATATTGTTATCAAAATCAACTTCTAACACTGTGATTCCACATTAGCCATATTTTAGGATTGCAGAATACATAAATTGCTAAAATTAACCATCTTACTATTCTACTTGAGTTTTCGTAATGGAAGAAAAGGATGCTTTATTGCTCCTTAATGTTTTGTAAACCTAATTTAGATAGAGCTAAGCAATATACAGAAGTCACGAGCTTGTTGTAGTTGAAAAGTGTCTTTTGTTGTTTAATTTTTATAAGTGTGGAAAAACATTTGAAACTTTTCCTGATACCCTTCTAACCTACTTACTAAGTTTGTTCTTTGTATTCTTATACTTAGGTATTCTTGTATTTTAGTGTGGTTTATTTGGTCCTAGTGCTTTGAATTTGTTTGAAGAAAAATCGTCATTTTATGAATCCAATCGTTTGCATAAAACAATTTTTTGAAATATCTCACAGAATAATTTATTATTTATTTATTTATTTTTTAGGATTCGGAAGGAATTTAGAAAAAATTTCTAGAAATGTTTCTTCTCTGTGTCCAATGGAGAGATCTTCAGAGTGGTGGTTAGAAATGCTGGATCCAGAGCCAGCCTTGCTAGAGAGGAATCTTGTCTCCATAACTAATGTGTTAACCTGGGACAACTAGTTTAACGTCTCTAAATTTCAAGTGGAGGTTTAGAAATGGAGCACTGGGAAGCAGTTGCAGGCCTCCTGTGAAATTCTCTTTTCTACAGCCTTCATGAAATGAGCGATTTGGTTAGATTACAGTATGTTATATGGATAAGAGTCATTCCTGAGGTCATGTTCCTCATTTATATATTAAATCAGTATTCATTGAGTTCTTTTTATGTTTTAGACACTGTTCAAATTGTGAATAAGAGAGACAAGATTCTTGCTCTGGAGTAGTATACATCTTAGGTGGGTTCGAAAAAATATAAGTGCCGGGCACGGTGGCTCACGCCTGTTATCCCGGTAATTTAGGAAGCTGAGACAGGCAGATCCCCTGAGGTCAGGAGTTTGAGACCAGCCTAGCCAACATGATGAAACCCTGTCTCTACTAAAAATACAAAAAAATTATCTGGGCTTGGTGGCAGGCGCCTGTAATCCCAGCTACTCGGAAGGCTGAGGCAGAAGAATAGCTTGTTCCAGGGAGGCGGAGTTTGCAGTGAGCCCAGATCATGCCATTGCACTCCAGCCCGAGCAAGAAGAGCAAAACTCCATCTCAAAAAAAAAAAAAAAAAAAAAGAAAGAAAAAAAAAAAGAAAGAAAAATATAAGCAAATCAATAATAAAAAAAGGTACTTTCACAGAGTGTTGTATTTAATGAAGGAAATAGGCAAATTTGAGAATAGAAGGTGAGAGAGACACTTTGGTTACAATAATCAGGATAAAACTCTTAGCTATAAGGACTTCTGAGCAGAGATTATCGACTAGAATAATCTATACATTTAAGGACTTGGGGAGAAAATCCGAGGTAGAAAGAAATTCAAGTCAATATCCATAGGCAGAGTTAAGTTTCTATTATATGAGAAAGAGAGATGTAGCTAATACAGTGGGGTTTAGTCAATAAAGAACAGAGCCATGAAGGCCAAAAGTCCAGACAGAAGATTATAGAGACTGGGATCAGGGAAGTGAAGAAGAGTTAGTGGCAAGGGTTCAGAGAAGAGTACAGAGACTGAGCAACTTGACATAGGTAGTGGTGCCACTAAAACTAGGGAAAAAGAAGGTTTGAGGTGAATATTCAAGACTGATTTTTACATAGCATTGTGGATTGAATTGTGTTCCCCTAAAATTCATATGTTGAAGTCATAACATCCAGTATCTTGGAATATGACAACATTTGGAGATAAGGCCTTTAAATATGTAATTAAGGTACACTGAAGTCATTAGAATGGAGCCCTAATCCATTGTGACTGGTGCCCTTTAGGAAGAAGGTGTCACCAGGAATGCACATGCCCAAAGGAAGGCCCATGTGAGAGCACAGTGAGGTGTCCAACTGCATGCTAAGGAGAGCGGCCTCAGAAGAAACCTTCCTTGCTGGGACCTTAATCTTGGACTTCCAGCTTCTAGAACTGTGACAAAATAAATTGTTGTTTTATAGCCACCCAGATGCTAGTATTTTTTATGGCAGCCCTAACAGATTAATTCACGCAGTAAGTATTTTGGGATGCACAGCACAACCAGCTAAAATGAAAAGTAAAATATTGAAATGAAGAGATGCTAGAGTGAGAAATTAAAATTTTAAAGACAACAGATTCAATATATAACCAAGATTACCTAGAACTATTTATGAATCTTAGTATAGTTTCTGCAGATGGGGAAGTGAATCATATTCCTCAAATTGCAGATAAGTTAAGAGGTAATCCCTGGAAAACTCACTGGTTCTGTTCATTGTTTCCACAATGCCATTTATAGAAAAACAACACTACTATTGGGCTCCAGAATTGATAAAAAGAGACACAGTCTAGTTTCAGAACTTGGATCCAATAATACATAGGTGACAGGCTTCTAATAATTAGGGATCCGTGTAAGAACGTTAATTGTTTATAAAGCTTGGGTATAAAGAGGACGTAAAAAAATTAGGTATTAATCATTGAGGAAATTGAAAACAAGAATAGTTTTCCAATTCTGAATCCAGGCAGTAAGACTTGAAGAAAAACTAGAACTGAATATGCTGAATGGAATTTTCAGATGCCTTGCTCAGTCTTTGGGACATTGATCAAAAGAGATTGAAGGCATGGCTTCCACACCTGAATGGGGAAGCAGAGACCTTCAAACCCACAAAGCCCTGAGTAAATATTATTTTAGCTTGAAAGGTTGAAATAAGCCAGGGGCCCTCATGCTATGAGAGAAAAACTGATTTAATTAGGCTAAAGTAAGGACTATTTATCAGATTCAGATTCTCAAATATCTATTCTCAAATAATACAATAACATATTTTTCTAATATCTCTTTTAACTTCTGAGAGGCCTGTGAACACAGAGAGATGGGCTCCTTGTATGATGAGGACATCATTTTGGGCCTGGTTTCCTTCACACATTCTCCTAAATGTAGACATTACCAAGTTGAAAATTTAAGGTAAGCTGGTACCTCATCCTTGTGGTGAATTTAGAAATTTAGAAAGGACTATCATTTCTAAGAAAGAGAGAGAATAAAAAAGAAAAAAAATGAAAGTAAAAGAAAAGTGATCCTTAAGGCAGTTATCTAAGGTCACTTATGATCTAATCCTCTCATCTTTTATCCCTCTAGTAAAGCCTCAAGTTTGCTCAGCTGTTGTCTCAGGGGAAGCAGATCCCCTCAACCCACCCCAGATGAGGACTGACTGGTCCAATGTGAAGCGAATTCCTCTCATTTGTGTTTGGTTCAGAGATGGACATGTGACCTATTTGTAACCAATAATTCATGAGAGAAGTCTGCTACAAGGTGTCTTCTGGAAAAGATTTTGCTGCACGAAGAGAATGTTTCTGTCTTTTTCAGGATACATTTATAGCTAGATATAATGCCTGGAACTGCTTCACACACAGAATATAAAACTAAATTGAGAATGACACTGCAAGAGAATGAAAAGAATCTGTATCTTTGATGGCCTCATGAAGTCACTTAAACAACTTAATCTGAAACTTGCCTACCTTGGGGCTTCGTGTTATAAGAGTATACATATTCTTTAAGCCACTTTGAGTCAGATCTTCTGTTACTTATGGCAAAACCATCCTATTTAATGCAGGAGAGGAGCTTACATTATTGGTTGACATATCAAAGAACTTGCTTTACTGGTAGACATGTATATATTTTTAAAGCTGGCATGCCTCATTCATCTTTGCTCATAGGGCTGGAGCCATCTCCTCCATAAGAGTGAAACACAGCTGCAACAAACTGTATTATTTGCCTGAAACCCTGGGCATGTATAAGATCACAAGACATAGAATTGAGTTAGAAAAGAATCTCTATTCCCAAGAAAACAGTATTCTTCTAGGGAAAGGAAACTGTTCAGTGTCTCACAAATAAATTGCAATGAAGTTTGCCAATGGAAATGGAATGGACAACTTGAACTTGAGGGAAAATGAACAAGATGAAGAGCAAAGGAAACCTTGCCCTGGAAATACACAGGGGATGCAAGCATGTCTTGAGAGTTCTCTCCAGAAGAATATTCAATGAAAAGTTCAAGTTACTTAGAAATTTAAACTTTGTTCCTGTAATTGGAAAATCATTCTGAGTTTTTTTATTTTTTATATATATTTTTAAGATTCTTACAGTTTGACTATACACTCTGGTAGGTAAAGGCTGAAGGAGTAAAGTGGCATCGAGAAAGGGCATCTTTTCTACCTTAGATCCCTACAGATACTAGACTTTGTCGCACCAGAAGAATTAAGAAATAAAAAAGTTTAGAAAAACTTTTAAGAGTGACATATACAAAAAAAAAAAAGATTAAAAGGATCAGCAAACTTCTTGTCTAAATAATAATAAAAAAAATAATTTAGAACACACAGTAATACTTAGATTTAGAATCATGACAAACTGCTAATCTCAGTGTTCACTTAAGTTTTAATTCTGGTTTTGAACTGGAGAGAAATGAATACAAGAAAAAGCAATATGTGGTATTCGGTGTAAGTTTTTTGCTTCGTTTTCCCCCACTCCCTGATCTTGATGTTAAACTATAAAATTCAGTACTTCTTTCAAGTGGATATTCTTCTTCTTAAAGGAGCTATGCTATCTTAGAGAGTGTCATATAATGTGTACACTGAGTCAGTTAGTTTTTAAAATTGGAGGATGTTGGGTAGTAAGACATATGTTCCTGTAGCAGAATAAAGAGCATAAAAGGAAATTCTACATCACAGAGACTCAAAATAGATTTTTAGAAAAAATAGTCTGAAGAGAAGATTGGAAGTCTCTTGTCTCTTCAAAATGAAAGATAACTCTTCAAAGTGAAAGATAACTCTAGTAGTAAGTGGAAAACAATGAAAAGTGACATCACAGGACCTATAAAACAACAAAAGAAGATAATATAATAAAAAGGATATGTAGGTAAAAGTAAAAATTAGGGTTTAAAGGAGAGAGAAATAACGTGGTAATTGATTAAGTTAAATAAAGTCTTAATGTAGTATCTATAACTCTTCTTGTATTGTACCTTGTTCAAAGTAAGCTGTAAGTAGCTGCCTTTTCAGTGTTAAACGAGTCAAGATAAACTGTTTCCTGTTTCTCTGACTTGAAAGAAAATTGAAGAAGCATATGTATCTAAAATAGGTTGGTTACTGCCAGCAATTTAGGCAGCATGTAGACACCCAGTGTATCCTGGCTGACTTTTCATTTTACAGATGAGGATACCTAGGCTTAGAAAACTTAAACAGATTTGCATATATCTAGTCGATTAGAGGAGCCCAAGACTAAATATGCAGTTCTCAACTCCTAGGTAACTTCCATCTGCTAAGTTTTCCAACGACAGTTCATTTTTGAACTGTGCAAATTCAATAGTTGTTTTCGTTTTAAGTGTGACTACCTTTCCTTTATAATCATTTTAATCAAGATTTCACATATAAAAGTACTAAGAGAGGTCCTAGACTGGCATGGGCTTATATTGTCATATAGAGGGATAGGATGGTTATCGAAATAATAATTTATGAGATGGTAAACTGGAATATACACTCTGCTTCTTTCAGGACCTTTTACTTGGTTAGCATTCTTCCCATTTATTGACCTTAAAGATCAGCAACTTTTTGAATATGTATCTTTACTGTTTTTCTAGGGGTCTTCCATGGAGCAGAAGTATATATTAAGTAATTACCTTCGGAGGATACCAAATAAAAATACTGTATTAGTTTCCTGGGTCTGCTGTGACAAATTACTACAAACTTCAGGGCTTAAAACAACATGATTTATTATCTCACCTTTCTGGAGACTAGAAGTCTAAACTCAAGATGTTGACAGGGCTAGCTCCTTTCGTGTGCTCACAGGAGGAATCTGTTTCATTTCCTTCTCCCAGTTTCTGGTGGTTGCCTAAAATTCTTTACTTACAGACTTATCACTCCAATCTCTGCCTCTGTCTTCACATGGGACTCTTGTCTGTGTGTTTGTGTCTCTTCTCTTTGTCCTATTGATAAGGCCATCATTCATAATGGATTATAAGCTATACTAGTCAGGAATGACTTCATCTTAACTTGATTACATATGCAAAGATGCTATTTTCAAATAAGGTCACATTCATAAATACGGGACTTAGAATGACAACATATCTTTTTGGGAAACACAGTTCACCTCATAACAAACACCAGTATATTTACTTTGGTCCTTGTTAGAGGTTTCAGAATTATATTTCTTTCCTATATCATTGAGGATTTCACACAGGACCTCTGAAAATTACACATTAAGGTTTCATTAGCTGCTACCTGTATTCAGCCACCTGAATACTGTTCCCCAATAACTTTTGATTAATTAGCAAAAATCAACTGATACCTTCTTAAAGGAAATATCACAAAGTGGAAAAGTGGGAGAAGGGAAATACTAAAATGAAGATGAAGCATCTAAGAGACCTCTCGATTTCTTGATTCACCTGACTGGCTTGAAACCTTAAAAAGTGCATCTTGTCTTCTCTGCAGGACATTTTAGAAAAGGATATTTGTTTACCTCATGCTTTTTAATTGAGACTAGATAGGGTGAATATATCCAAATAGCCTTGCAATAGAATATATAAGCAATAAATTACATTGGAAATTAATTTTTTTTTTCTAATTTCAAGTGTTATTTTGAGGAATTATAGGGGTAAAAAGTGTATCAAATGAAAAACTAGCAAAGACAGTTGGAAAGGCAATTATAATATTTTTGTGTTAGTCTATTTAACCTATCTAGAAAACATAGAAAAACATATTTTTTCAAATAAAGATAATTTATGTTTTGAAGATGTTATTAGATAAAAATCACTGATAAGTCTTCAAATATGAATTTTAAAGTATAGCTTTGAGATGTTTATCTCAGGAACTATTTTCAAAGTCAAAGTAAAGAGACTGTTCCATTCACAGGAGTCAAAACCATAAGGGGACTTCAGAATATAAGGTGATATTTAAATAGAGAAAATTAGCATCCCTGATATATTCTAAATCTGACTTCTAGAAATCGGCATTCAGATAGAGGATTAAAGTGGCCCTGCTGAGCCTATCGACTGTGAACTGGATGGGCATACTGATAAACAAAGTGTATTTTGAAGCAAGATAATTTTTTGTCCTTTCAGCTTGTCAGAGAGTAATAACCACAGGCATTTGGCTGAAATCTTTTATTCTAACTTCTTTTATTGTAAGTTCTTGACTAGAATCACATAGATATACATAAGGGTATATATACGTATATATACATAAGTGTGTATATACGTCAGTGTACATAACTGTGTATATACATATGTGTACATATGTGTATATATGTATATATGTACATATGTGTATATATGTATATATACATATATACATAAGCAGAAAAATATAAAATTCATATATATATATATATTTTTTTTATTTATTTATTTTTTTTTTTTTTGAGACGGAGTCTGGCTCTTGTCTCCCAGGCTGGAATGCAGTGGCACAACCTCGGCTCAGTTCAAGCTCCGCCTCCTGGGTTCACGCCATTCTCCTGCCTCAGCCTCCCGAGTAGCTGGGACTACAGGCGCCCACCACCATGTCCAGCTAATTATTTTTTGTAATTTTTTTTAGGAGAGGCAGGGTTTCATCGTGTTAGCCATGATGCTCTCGATCTCCTGACCTCGTGATCTGCCCGCCTCGGCCTCCCAAAGTGTTGAGACTACAGGCGTGAGCCACCGTGCCCACAGATATTTTCTTCTTAATAACTAGACTTCTCTGTTTTAAGCCTCCTCCTTTTAAAAGCTTTCTTTGCATAGTTTATTATTTTTAATGTCATTGTATTATACATTTTTATTTGTATATTTTCCTGCCACTCATTCTAAAATCATTTTGATGTTTTCTTTCTTATTCATTTTTTTCCATATTTTCATGTTTGATTTTTATTATATTTTTCTATTTATTCCATAATATTAAATCCATGTTTTCTTATTTATTTTATGAATGCTGGATCTCAGTGTCTAGACAATAATGCCAAGCATATTTCCAATAGGATGTAGGTAGTAGCTTATATTTGTAGAAAACAGCTTTATTTTTTCTCCCATTTTAAATGATTCTATTGCTTTGTTAAATTAAATTTACTTATATGTAGCAATTTAGCATATATTATTGTTAGTTCTATATGTAGGAAGCTTTGCTTTAACGCAAAGCTTCTTTAATTCATTTAAACTAACAAAGAAGAACTACAGTTCCATATTGTATTAGGTTGGTGCAAAAGCACTTGCGGTTTTTGCCGTTACTTTCAAACTATAAGTGAAGACAATACTAGCTTTTTCATAGGTAACCGCCCATATATGAAATATTTTGGAATGCCCAAGTAGAAAAGAATATTCTGCAAATTTTCTAATAAACACCATATTAAGAAGTCATTTGGAAGAACAGAATTCTTGAAGACATTCTTAATATTTCCGGGAAATATAGTTGTACTTCGCATTTCAAACTAGAAAATTGTCTTTTCTACAGTGATTTTAGATAAGATAAATATGAATTCATTTTTGAGGATGAAACTGTTTCACTATACAAGCACAAATGTATAACTTAAAAAGCTCATGTGCCCATGCAGGGTCCCTCCTCCCTAACACAATATTTGTCTGTGTGTGCATAGTCATACACCACTGTTGGATTGGTTTTGCCTCATCTTTGGATACCTAGGTGTAATTCCAGCAGCAGTACATTTAGTTCATCAATGTTAAGTAAGAAAATATAAAATGGAAGTCACAAGTTAGAGCTGGCAAGGAACAAGCACATGGTAGAATGCAACACTATTTTGAGGGGAGTCGCCCCTGAAATTCAGGGAATACTTCCAGCTTGACCTTTGGTGATGTCAGTGCTGGGCTTCAATCATATTTGACAATGTCTGGTGAGCTGATGGGGAAGATCTGCCAGAGCTAATTAAAATAAGACTCAAGAGCTTCCTGGAGAAAATTCCTCCTAAGATTCACATGTGGTAAATAACAAAGTCTCAGTCTCTCATAGGAAGGTTTTGGTGATTAGGAATGCAGTATTTGGAATGTATCACTAGGATTTTCCTTTCCCTCCAGCATCCTGTGGTTTTCCCATCCAGCATATCCGGGACTTATGAAGAAATAAAGAAAAAGTTATATGAAACCACAATAGCTTTTTTTCTCAAAGCTTTGTGTTTCAGTATTACTGCAGTAAATTACAACACAAAATCATAGAAAAATAAAATTGATTGACTTCTATAGGAAATATATCATATTGTACACATTAAGTACTTCATAGGCTTTACCACTTTGTTGCATAAAATCTCCAACATATAAGGGTGCTGGTGATCCCCAGTGGAAATGCCAGTGCTTGATTCAAAGGAAAATGAAAACAAAGCAAACACGCAAACAAAAAAACCTCAACGATATCAGTAATACCAGTAGGATGCAGACAAATTCCTAGGCAGACAGGGATGGGTCCCCAGTGAAACTAGACCTTCAAGCCAAGGATAGTCTGAAGCCTGAACACCCAACTACCAGTTCCGGATAGAGTCCACAGGCTGGAGTGAGAACTTCCATTCCTGTTTGGTGTACTCAGTCACTGACTGGTCCCAGGTCAAGCCTTCACTTCAGCCCTTGATAGGTTCCTTGCACTATTGTACCTCTTTATGAATGGTGCTTTTTCCAAGCCTACCCATAAACCAGTCAGCACACATTTCCCCATTCTAAGCCCTAAAAATTCCAGACTCAGCCTCACAGTCAGCTTTCTTTCTGTTACTCAATAAAATTCTACTATGTCCTACTCACTCTCAGGCATCTGCATACTTCATTCTTCTTGGTCGTAAAATAAGAACTCAAAACTTGCCAAACTGGGAGAATAAAAAAGCTGTAACACTTCCTCCTGCTCAACAAAATATGGGAGTGAAAAAGATGCAACACCAGTGTAAGCAGAAGTTTGCCTACGATGAACAGAAATATCACACAGACATGTTATCTGCAATACATTACAGTGCCCAGTGAAAGAGTCTGTTAGGAAATAGAGGGAACGTTGTAGCTGCTTCAAGGTAAGTTAACCTGAAAGTTCTCATTGGGGTCACGTAAGACATCTTCAAGCAACACAGGAGGGACATTTTTGGAAGCTAGTATACATTGTAGTAGGAACCAGGGCCGGAGAAAAGTGGGAGAGATAGATAAATAACGGATGATTGACAGATGACAGAGATAGATAGGTAGTTAGATAAAAGTAAGCTTAGTTTGGAAATTTTGGTACAGCTAGTGAGAAGGAAAAGGACAAAAAATCTATATCATGTATACACTATCCTATAATGACAAGAAATTCTAAATATAAGCCTTTTTCTGAGCTATGCAAATAGTTTTGTGATATATATGGAATATATGGTTGATGATGATATTTTTTAATGTCAATTTATATGGCATATGTAAAGAAATCTACTTCAAAACTAATAAGAATTTAGCAAACTATCTTCTGTGTTCATTTTCACTTTGTAAAATTAATGCAAGCATCATAAGCTCCATAAAGCACAGGAGCCTTCAATGTTTGAGAAATTGAAAAAGGATGGGGAAATATTAACCCCAAGGTAAGGTATACGCTGGTCTTCAGGCATCATACCATGCTTGTCCCAGAAGATGTTAACACATAGTATACATGTGTGTGACTAAGGAGACTGGATAAGGGAGGAGCTCAGGAGGAACAGGGAGGTATACAAGCTGTGAGTTGTCAAATAATTTTAACTCTACATAATCTTGAAATAGTTTTAACCAGTATCTGGGATTAAGGAAAGACATGGAGATCTCTGCTAACATCCAAGACAAATTGAAGAATTTTTTTCCAAATTACTCAGCACAGAAAATATCAGATCGTAGATTTTAGCTTTTCTTTATTTCTATATATTAGATATTGACTTTTTATATGTGAATATTTCCATCTAAACTACAAAGTTGATAAAAAGTCAAAAAACAAAACTCACTTTACTGATTAAAGTTCTCCAACAATCCCTTGTCTCTAGATAGAACCAAATTCCAAAAAGCAGTTTACATCATAGACATTTCTATGCTAACTTTTTACTGGTATTTGAAAATACCTTACCCAGTTTCTGAATGTGTTACTGATCACGTCCAGGTGTTTGAACCATCTGTGTCATTTGACTAGAATCAGTTTCCCCTCTTTGGCCTCCTTGAAAAATCTTATATTTTCATTACAGGTGATTAGGGTTTAACATGTTAATTTTGGGTGAAGCACAAGCATTCAGGCCACAGCAGTCAAAATATACCACTTATTGACAACGGGATTAAAAGTGTGAAAACATGTCCTGAAACAGTCTACATACAAGCAGGGTTAATTTTCTTGGAGCTGAACTATTCTAAAAAGTATTTACATAACTTTGTTCTGGTAAAATGCTAGTAAAACAATGCTGTCACTAACTGAATTACTCAGATACCTCCAAATTAGAAAGGAGATCTGGCTTATTAACATAATTACAGTATACCTCTATGATTTTTTAAAAATTTAGATCCAGAAGGTACATGTGGATATTTGTTACATGGATATATTGCATAATTGTGGATTGGGTTTCCTAGTGTACCCATCACCAAAATAGTGAACATAGTACCCAATAGGTAAATTTTCAACTCTCATTCCCCTCTGTACCTACCCTCTTTTGGAGTCCCCAGTGTCTACTATTTCCATCTTTATGTGAATGTGAACCTATTGTTTAGCGCTCACTTATAATGAGAACATGTGGTATTTAATTTTCTCTTTCTGAGTTATATAACTAAGAATAATGACCTCCAGCTCCATCTATGTTGCTGCAAAAGACATTATTTCATTCTTTTTTATGACTGCATGGTATGCCGTGCTGTACATGTAATGCATTTTCTTTATCCAGTCAACCATTGATGTGGATACCAAGTCCAACCATGGAGACAGGCTAGTTCTATGACTTGTTACTGTGAATAGTGCTGTAATAAACATGTGCGTCACATACAGGTATCTTTTTATGTAATAATTTCTTTTCCTTTGGATAGACGCTTAGTAGTGGGAGTCACGGGTTGAATGGCAGTTTTATTTTTAGTTCTTTGAGAAATTTCCATACCGTTTTCTACAGAAGTTGAACCGATTTACATTCCCACTGACAGTGTATAAGCTTTCTCTTTTCTCTGCATCCACACAAACATCTCTTGGTTTTTGATGTTTTGATAGTATCCATTGTGACTGGTGTAAGATGACAACTCATTGTGGTTTTAATTTACATTTCTCTGATAGTTGGTTATATTCAGCATTGTTTCATGTTTGTTGGCCACTTGCATGTCTTCTTTTAAGGAATATCTATTAATGTCCTTTGTCCAGTTTTTAATAATTTTTTTCAGTTTAATTAAGCCCCATTTGTCTATTTTTGTTTTTATTGCATTTGCTTTTGGGGTTTTTGACATAATTATTTTTTTGCCTAGGCCAATGTCTAGAAAAGATTTTTCCTAGATTTCCTTCTAGGATTTTTATAGTTTCAGGTCTGATGTTTAAGTCTTGAATCCACTTTGTGTTAATTTTTGTATATGGTGAGAGATAGAAGTCCAGTTTCATTCTTCTGCGTATAGCTAATCAACTTTTTTACAGCACCATTTATTGAATACGGTGTCCTTTCCACATTGTTTATTTTTCTTTGATTTTGTCAAAGATCAGTTGGTAGTAGACATATGACTTCATTTCTGGGTTCTCTATTCTTTCCCATTCATCTATGTGTCTACTTTTATACCATTACCATGCCGATTTGGTTATTACAGCCTTATAGTATAATTTGAAGTCAGGTAATGTGATGTCTTCGGATTTGTTCCTTTTGTTTAGGATCACTTTGGAGACTTTCAGTTCCATATGAACTTTAGAATTGTTTTCTCTAATATGTAAAAAATGATGTTGGTAATTTGATAAGAATTGCATTGAATTTGTAGATTGCTTTGGGCAGTATGTTTATTTTAGCAATAATGATATTTCTTTTTTTTAATTTCTGTATTTTGTTTTTATTATACTTTAAGTTTTAGGGTACATGTGCACATTGTGCAGGTTAGTTACATACATATACATCTGCCATGCTGGTGTGCTGCACCCACTAACTTGTCATCTAGCATTAGGTATATCTCCCAATGCTATCCCTCCCCCATCCCCCCACCCCACAATAGTCCCCAGAGTGTGATGTTCCCCTTCCTGTGTCCATGTGATCTCATTGTTCAATTCCCACCTATGAGTGAGAATATGCGGTGTTTGGTTTTTTGTTCTTGCGATAGTTTACTGAGAATGATGCTTTCCAATTTCATCCATGTCCCTACAAAGGACATGAAGTCATCATTTTTTATGGCTGCATAGTATTCCATGGTGTATATGTGCCACATTTTCTTAATCCAGTCTATCATTGTTGGACATTTGGGTTGGTTCCAAGTCTTTGCTATTGTGAATAATGCCGCAATAAACATACGTGTGCATGTGTCTTTATAGCAGCATGATTTATAGTCCTTTGGGTATATACCCAGTAATGGGATGGCTGGGTCAAATGGTATTTCTAGTTCTAGATCCCTGAGGAATCGCCACTATTTCTAATCCATAAACCTGAAATGTTTTCCATTTGTTTGTGTCATCTATAATTTCTCTCATTAGTGTTTTTTAGTTTTGCTAGTAGAAATATTTCACTTTTTTGGTTAAATGTATTCCTAGGTATTTTATTTTTTTGTGGCAATCTCAATTTGGTTCTCAGCTTCTCACTTTGAACATTATTGGTGTATAGAAATGCTACTAACTTTTGTATGTTGATTTTGTGTCCTAAAACTGTACTCAAGTCAATTACCAAGTATAGGAGAATTTTGGAGGAATCTGTAGGGTTTTCTAGGCATATTATCATGTCATCAGCAAACAGATAATTTGACTTCTTCTTTCCAATTTGATGTCCTTTATTTCTCTTGCCTGATTGCTGTGGCTAGGACTTCCAATATGATGTTTAATAGGAGGAGAGAGAGTGGACATCCTTGTCTTGCTCCAGTTCTTAGGGGAAATGCTTTTCACTATTCCCCATTCAGTATGATGTTGGCTATGAGTCTGTCATGTATAGCTCTTAGTATTTTGAGGTATGTTCCTTAGATGCTTAGTTTGATGACGGTTTTTATCATGAAGGGCTCTTGGATTTTATTGAATGCTTTTTCTGCGTCTATTGAGATAATCATATGGTTTTTGTTTTTTAATTGTGTTTAATATGGTAAATCACATTTATTGATTTGCAGATGTTGAACCATTCTTGCATCCTTGGAATAAAACCCACTCAGTTGTGATGAATTATCTTTTTGATGTTCTCATGAATTCAGTTTGCTAATATTTTATTGAGAATTTTTGCATCTATGTTCATCAGGAATATTCACCTGTAGTTTTTTTTTTGTTGTTGTTGTTGTTGTTGTTGTGTACTTGCCTGATTTGGAATCATGGTGATAATGGTTTAATAGAATAAGTTAGGGAGGAATCCCGCTTCCTCAAATTTTAGAATAGTTTCAGTAAGATTGGTACCAGTTCTTTTTTGTAGGCCTGATAAGATTTGGTTGTAAATCCATCTGGTCCTGGGCTTTTGTTTGTTGAAATAGTCCTTATTACTTATTTGATTTTATAAGTTATTACTGGTCTGTTCACGATTTCTACTTCTTCCTGGTTAAATCTTGGGAGGTTGTTTGTTTCTATGAATCTATCCAATTCCTCTGGGTTTTTAAATTTGTGTGCAAAGAGACATTCATAGTTGTCTCTGCTGATCTCTTGTATTTCTGTGGTGTCAATTGTAATGTCACCTTTATCATTTCTGATTGTACTATTTAAATCTTCTCTCTTTTTTTCTTGGTTAATCTAGCTAACAGGTTATAATTTGTTCTTTGTTTATCCTTTCTAAGAATCAACTTTTTGTTTCTTATATACTTTGTATCTTTCTTTTGCCCTTAATAACTTTAGTTTTGTGCTTATCTTTGCAATTTATTTGTCTTATTTTTGTTTTTCCAGTTCCTTGAGGTGTGAATTTAGGTTGTTAATTTGAGAGCTTTCTATCTTTGTGATGAAGGCGTTTTAACTGTAAACTTTCCTCTCAGCTCTGCTTTTTTAGTATCCCAGAGATTTTGGTGTGTTGTGTCTCTATTTTCATTTGTTTCATTTTTTTTAATTTCTGCCCTAATTTCTTTGTTTACCCAAAAGCCACTAACTCATTCACAAATTAATACCAAGAGGAACTATTAAAACTACAGAAGTACATGTTTAGTTTTTATGCACTTGTGTAGTTTTGATAGTGCCTCTTGGTATTAATTTCTACTTTTATTCCACTACGGTCTGAGAAGATGTACTTGATAAAATTTTGATTTTTAAAAATTTATTGAGACTTGCTTTATGACCAAGCATATGGTCAATTTCAGAGAATGTTCCATGTACAAATGAGAAAAACGTACATGCTGATGTTGTCAAGTAGAATGTTCTATAATTGTCTATTGTACCCATTTGGACTACAGTCCAGTTTAAGTCCAAATTTTCTGTTTTGATTTTTTTTTTTTCTCTTTCTTTTTCTGAGACAGTCTCACTCTCTGTTGCCAAGGCTGGAATGCAGTGTCATGATCTTGGCTCACTGTAGCCTCTACCTCTCAGGTTCAAACAACTCTCATGCCTCAGCCTCCCGAGTAGCTGGAATTACAGGTAAGCACCACCACCCCTAGCTAATTTTTGTATTTTTATTAGAGTCAGGGGTTTTACCATGTTGGTCAGGCTGGTCTCAAACTCTTGGCCTCAAGTGATCCACCCACCTCAGCCTCTCAAAGTTCTGGGAATACAGGCATAAGCCACCACGCCCAGCCTTCTCTGTTGATTTTCTGTCTCAATGATCTGTCCAGTGTTGACAGTGAAGTATATGGAATTTTCCCACTTTTATTGTCTTGCTATCAATCTGTTTTCTTAGCTCTAGTAGTATTTATTTTACGAATGTAGGTCCTCCAGTGTTAGTTGAATACATATTTAGGATAGTTAAATCTTGTTTTATTGAACACTTTATCATTATATAATCTCTTCCTTTGTCATTTTTCACTGTTGTTGACTTAGTCTGTTTTATCTAATATAATAATGGCTACTTCTGGTTGCTTTTGTTTTCTGTTTGCATGTATATCTTTTTGCACTCCTTTACTTTGAACCTGTGGGTGCCTTTAGTCATTAAGTAGGCCTCTTATAGGCAGAACATGTGTGACTTTTATTTTTTAGTATCCATTTGCTACTATCTTTTAAGTATTTAGCCTATTTATATTCAAGATTAATATCGACACATGAGGTTTTATTCCTTTCATAGTGTTGGTAAATAGTTGCCTTGAAGTATCAATTGTGTAATTGCTTTATAGAATGTGTGAGCTTTGTACTTACCTATCTTTTTACGATAGCGAGTTTCATCTTTTTGTTTCCATATTTAGAACTCCTTTGACCATTTCTTGTAGGAGCAGTCTAGTGGTAATAAATTCCCTTAGCATTTGCTTGTCTGGTAAAAACTTTATTTCTCTTTTGTTTTTGAAGCTAGTTGACAGAATATAAAATTCTTTGCTGGCATTGTTTTTTTCTCTTTAAGGAGACTAAAAATAGGCTTCCAGTCTTTTCTGGTTTATAAGATTTATGCTGAGAAGTCCACTGTTAGTCTGATGGAATTCCCTTTATAGGCAATTTTACACTTCTCTATAGCTGTCTCACCTTGTCACCCAGGCTGGAGTGCAGTGGTGCAAACCCAACTCACTGCAACCTCCACCTCCTAGGCTCAAGTGATTCTTCCACCTCAGCACTCCCTAATAGCTGCAACTACAGGCTTTATATATATATATATATATATTTTTTTTTTCTAGAGATGGGGTCTCGTCATGTTGCCCAGGCTAGTCTTGAACTCCTGAGCTCAAGCAATTCACTTGCCTTGGCTTCCCAAAGTACCACCATACCTGGCTATTCTAGCTGCCTTTAAGATTTGTGATTTCATGGTGATTTTGGTTAACTGATGAATACATGCCTTGGCGATGATCTGTCCAGTATCTTCCAGGTGTTCTCTGAAATTTTGTATCTGTAAGTCTACATTTCTAGCAAGATCAGGGAAATTTCCTGTGTTGTTCTCTCAAGTATGTTTTCCCAATTTTTTACTTTTTCTTCTTCCCTCTCAGGAATGCCTATAAATCATAGATTTTGTCAATTTACACAACCCCATATTTCTTGAATGCTTTGTTTCATTTTTAAAATTCTGTTTTCTTTATTTTTTGCTGCTTAGGTCAATTTGAAAGACCAGGCTTTAAACTCTGAAATTCTTTATCCTGCCTTATCTAGTCTATTGTTAAGGCTCTAAATAGTATTTTGAAATTCCTTAAGTGAAATTTTTTATTTCCATGATTTTTTTAGGAGATGTCTATCTCTTCCTTTATTACCTGGATTGATTTTGTGGTTTCTTTTTGTTGGTTTTCAACATTCTCTTGGGTCTCATTAAGCTGCCTTACAATCCATCCTTTGAATTTTGTTTTTCGTTTTCTCTTTTATTTATTTATTATTTTTTTTGAAGCAGAATTTCACTCTGTTACCATGCTGGAGTGCAACGGCGCGATCTTGGCTCACTGCAACCTCCAACTCCCTGCTTCAAGCAATTCCCCTGCCTCAACCTCCTGAGTAACTGGGATTACAGGCATGTACCACCACGCCTGGCTATTTTTTGTGTTTTCAGTAGAGATGGGGTTTCACTGTGTTGGCCAGGATGGTCTCTATCTGCTGACCTTGTGATCCACCCGCCTCAGCCTCTCAAAGTGCTGTGATTACAGGTGTGGAGCCACCGCGCCTGGTCCATCCTTTGACTTTTTAATCTGTCGTTTCTCAATTTTTATTTTGGTTAGGAACCATTGCTAGAGAGTTGGTGTGATACTTTGATGGGGTCATACTTTGATGATACCAGATTTCATACTGCCAGAATTCTTAAACTGGTTCCTTTTTATGCAGAAACGGTAGTACTTCTTATTTGTTAAGTTACTTTTGTTTAAATCAGATTTTTTTTCTCTATATTTATTTATTTTTTCTCCTTGAAGATGTTACTATGGAGTTTTCTGGGCAGGCTCTTTTGACTTCACTTCTACACTTCTGTCAGCGTGTTTTATATTGGGTTGTGCTGTTCAACCTACAGGCCAGTCAGTGGAGCTTGTGGGTAAGAACCAGCTGTGGCAAAAGCAGATGGGTATGTACTTGATCTTTGTTTACTGTGAGGTGCTCTCTGTTGCCTCAGGTGATAGACTGGGTGGTGGAATGCTTGGTGCCTTGAACTTCCTATTCATTGGAAGGGAGGGCATAGCTGGGCACAGCTTGGCCACCTGGTATGCCCACAACTACCCCAATGACAACCTCAGGAACAGCCCTGATAGGGGTGTAAAGGGAACTCCCAGTAAAACGAACAAAAGTCTCTGCAGGTGGAGAGGTGACTGCACCAACTCCACCTCCTAGATAGGTAGAAACTGATCTGTTTACCTATCACGGGCCTGTCCCAGGTGACTCTCAGTTCGAATGCACATTGTTGGCTATCTCCTGGCCACAGTGTCGATCATAGCGACAGAAAATGCCTGTGTTGTGGCACTCTGTGGGAGTGGTTTAGGGGTGGAGTCTGTTTACTCAGTTCAATCCAGGCAGCTCTGTGGCTTTCCTGTTCAATGACACGGTAACACTGCTGCTTCATGTAGAGAGGGGCAGGGGTGTTGCCTTTTGTCATGTGCAAGTGGGTGTCAGATGTGTTGCTGTAGGCTGAGGTCAACCTGACCTCAGTCCCTGGGGGAAGTGGTCAGGTGCCAGCAGTGTTAGACTGACCTAGGCAATCCCCCAATTCCCTGGCCCCTGGATGGCCCACCATACAATGTGCATGAAGATACTGACTGGGACCTGGCCGATGGACTTGTTCCCGGGGCCCTAGAATTCAAGTGTTGGCTGTGATAGGGCTGGGTGGACTGTCTCCAGATCACCAGCAGAAGTCTGTGATGGGGTCAAGCAGAATGCTCAGGGGGTGGCAGACTGCTCAGGTGAAGGGAGACTCAGGGCAGATTATAGGCCTGTGCAGGCTGGGCCCTCAGAAGGGCTCCAGGCCACAGTTGAAATGGTCAAGTGGAAGCAAGGTGGCTGTGCTGTGAGTCATTCACTGGGGAAGGCAGGCCCCTGCCAGCTGTAACAATGGAGACCTGCAGCTGTGGGGCTTGTGACCCACTTGCACTTCCCTTCCACAGAAGCGGCAGTGTATTTTGCTGTTGGGGGTTCATGAAGGTGCCTGGCTTCTTCACTCTTTCCCAGGCTTAGGGACAGCAGGAGTGGCACAGTGGTAGTGGCGACTGCAATGGGAACAAAAGGGGGCTGGGCTCTCAGAGGAACACCATGCCAATAGCCAAAGTACTCAAGTGTGGGCAGGGTGGCTGCAGGTGCTGGGGACCTGATGCCAAAGCAGGTGGGCTCCATTTAGTGGGAGAGCAGAGGGGGTAGGGAGTTGTGAAGTGCATTGTCTGCCCATTCTTTTGTACCATTGCTGCTATATCTGTCTTTGGAGCATGCGTAAGTTCCGTACCCCAGTCTCCCTCTTTGGTGGAGTCACGTCAGCTGGTACCAGGCCACTTAGGGATTTAAAGCCTGTGGGATTCTACTTGGGCTTGAGCAGTGCCTCTGTGAAGACTCCAGGCAGCTTCCTGTGTCCCTCTGGAGGCCTGGGGGTATTGAGGAGGCTCTCCTGTAGCTAGGATTGTAACAGTCCATGGCAGCAGTGTGGAACCCTGGAGAGGATCTCTCACTCATGCCTTCCCTGCTTTAGGGAGCCTCCCACAACTTCATGCAGGACCAAGCTCAGCAGGCAGCCTGGCTTTGTTCTCCTCTGCTTTCCGTAATTTGTATTGCTTCTCTGATTAATTCAAGTGTGCTCACTTAGAAGATGTCCTTGAAGTGCTATTATGTTTCATTTTAATTCTTCTCCATGACAGAGGTGCCACTAGCTTCTTCTAGTCTACTATCTTGAACAGTAACATTCCATTATAGTTTTTAATTGCAAATGAAAAGTTGATATTCTGGTTAAGGTATGTATTAGAGTTCTCTAGAGGCACAGAACTAATAGGATATATATGAGTTTATTAAGGAGTATTAACTCACAGGATCACAAGGTCCCACAACAGGCCATCTGCAAGCTGAGGGGCAAGGAAGCCAGTCGGAGTCCCAGAGGTGAAGAACTTGGAGTCTATCTTCCAGGCAGGAAGCATCCAGTGAAGGAGAAAGATGTAGGCTGGGAGGCTAAGCCAGTTTCATCTTTTCATGTTCTCATGCTTGGTTTTTATTCTGGCTACATGGGCAGCTGATTAGATTGTGCCCACCCAGATTAAGGGTGGGTCTGCCTTTCCCAGTCCACTGACTGAAATGTTAACCACCTTTGGCAACACCCTCATAGACACACCCAGGATCAATACTTTGCATCCTTCAATCCAATCAAGTTGACACTCAGTATTAACCGTCACAAGTTATAACTTTCTATAAATGTCTTTCAAATGTACATGAAATATAAATCACATTAAGACTCTGATCATTTATTTAAAAAACTGATACATGTGATTGTTTTACAATAAGACCCTAGTATTTTATCATTAAGAAAAAATAATCCAGCCGGGCGCGGTGGCTCACACCTGTAATCCCAGCACTTTGGGAGGCCGAGGCGGGTGGATCACGAGGTGAGGAGATCGAGACCATCCTGGCAAACACGGTCAAACCCTGTCTCTACTAAAAAGACAAAAAATTAGCCAGGTGTGGTGGCGGGCGCCTGTAGTCCCAGCTAGGCTGGAGGCTGAGGCAGGAGAACGGCGTGAACCCGGTAGGCGGAGCTTGCAGTGAGGGGAGATCGCACCGCTGCACTCCAGCCTGGGCCACAGAGCAAAACTCCATCTCAAAAAAAAAAAAAAAAAAAAAAAAAAAGAAAAAGAAAAAAAATCCTCTAATTCCTAGAATAAAGAAGTGCAGGATACTCATTATATTTTCTTTTGAGCTCATATCACTAAAATACTAGTCACATATTAGACATCAAGGGATAAATGTAATTACGTACCAAATATGCACATATGTAGCTAAGGAATATATTATTGCATATGGCTTTGATACACTCACACTTCTGTATTGGTAAAACTTCTTGTGACAGAAAATAATCATGATTATATTTTAATATCATTAAGTTTCACATTATTAAAATGCACTTTATAGGTAGTGGTGAATTTTTTTTTTTTTTTTTTTTTTTTTTTTTTTTGAGCCGGAGTCTCGCTCTGTCGCCCAGGCTGGAGTGCAGTGGCGCTATCTCTGAGCACTGCAAGCTCTGCCTCCCGGGTTCATGCCATTCTCCTGCCTTAGCCTCTGGAGTAGCTGGGACGCCAGGCGCCCGCCACCACGCCTGGCTAATTTTTTGTATTTTTAATAGAGACAGGGTTTCACCGTATTAGCCAGGATGGTCTCGATTTCCTGACCTTGTGATCCACCCTTCTTGGCCTCCCAAAGTGCTGGGATTACAGGCGTGAGCCACTGCGCCCAGTAGGTAGTGGTGAATTTAACACATGAAATAAAACTGAACAGAGAAGAAGAGTTCCTGTCAAGGGCAAAACTATGTTAGATATCTTACATACTTATTATGGTTGACACAGGCAAATCATCTATGAATTTAAGCTTTGGTTTAAAATCTGATGTCAGAGAAAACTTCTAGGCCATATTAGAAAGTCTGTATTTATTCAGCACTCCTTCTCATTCTGTTAAAAACTCCATGGACTAATATTAACCTTGAAAATATTCTAAAGTTGGCTATTACATGCTTTTCTGATGACTCATATATTCAACACCAAAGTAGGAAACATAAAACAGATTATATATGATATATATATGTTATAATATATAATTGTAAAAATTTTACATGTGTACCTGTGTGTAATATCTACAACTGCTAAAAAGTTATATTCATTTAATGTTAGATATTAACCTTGGCATGAAGATGTTTTATCATTTTAATTTTCTGTATAAATAGAGCACACTCCATTCATTAACAAAAAATGGCTGTGTGTACTGAACTAAAACTTGGATTTTCCTATTCATGAAAATTTGATACTTTGAAATTAGCTTAAAAATAACTTATTAAAAATAAACTTTAGAGCATAAAAATTTTAAATATAAAACCAGAGGAATTTTATTATTTAAAAATGAATGCACTGAAAATTATGTTTTTCTTTTTATTTCTTAGTTTTAGAATCCCAAGACAAAATTTATTTCTTCTATCCTTTACCCAATGCTTCCCTTACTATAGACTCCCAAGTTAAAATAGAATTTCTATAAGCGATTTGTTTTACCATAGTAAAATAAAATTATCTTTGCTTAGTTTAAAAGGAAAATGGAACAAACCTCTAGATTTAAGTTTCTTAGGTTATTTAATTTTAGGTAAACATCTAATTTTTATTGGCATCAGGGATAATTAATTATTGTGATGGTTAGTACTGAGTGTCAACTTGATTGGATTGAAGGATGCAACATATTGATCCTGGATGTGTCTGTGAGGGTGTTGCCAAAGAAGATTAACATTTGAGTCAGTGGGCTGGGAAAGACAGGCCCACCCTTAATCTGGGTGGGCACCATCTAATAAGCTGCCAGCAAATACAAAGCAGGCAGAAAAACGTGAAAAGACAAAACTGGCTTAGCCTCCCAGCCTACATCTTTCTCCCTTGCTGGATGCTTCTTGCCTTCAAACATAGGACTCCAAGTTCTTCAGCTTTGAGACTCAGACTGGCTTCTCTGTTCCTCAGCTTGCAGATGGCCTGTTGTGGGACCTTGTGATCCTGTGAGTTAATACTCCTAATAAACTCCCATATATACAGGATAGATATATATATAATAGGATATATATAATCTATCTATATATATAATAGGATATATATATCTTATTAGTTCTATCTTTCTTGAGAACCCTAATACAATTAAGAATTTTAAAAATGTAATAAATTTGTTCTCTAGAATCAGCCAATTTATAAATGATATGAACAATTGAATTATTTTAAAATTTTTGAAAAATAACCCCAACAATAATGATATTACTTTTTTTTTTTTTTTTTTTTTTTTGAGACAGAGTCTCACTCTGTCGCCAGGGCTGGAGTGCAGTGGTGCAATCTCAGCTCCCTGCAACCTCTGCTTCCCGGGTTCAAGTGATTCTCCTGCCTCAGCCTCCCAAGTAGCTGGGATCACAGGTGCCCACCATTATGCCCATCTAATTTTTTGTATTTTTAGTGGAGACAGGGTTTCACCATGTTGGTCAGGCTGGTCTCGAACTTCTGATCATGTGATTCACCTGCCTCAGCCTCCCAAAGTGCTGGGATTACAGGCGTGAACCACTGTGCCCGGCCAATTTTATTACTTATTATGTAATTATTAACTACCATACACTCTTTTAAGTTAATATGTACTAACTTATTTAATTCTCTCTACAACACTATGACCTAGTTTAATACAATTATTACCACTTTAAAAGTGATGAAATTGACACTGAAATAGTATCTTGCCCAATTGAATGCAACTATTGTGGGGAGGAATCAGTATTCAAATGGAAGCAGTCCAATTCCAGAGTTGATTATGGCTTCTTTGAAGGTCAACAAGGAGAAGTTTCAATACAGATAAACGCAAAAGAACTTCTTAAACGTATCACCTCTTACTTTTGCACACTTTCTACAATGACCTATTATTGTATAATATTTGTCAAAGGGAATTTTATCTTTGTTCACAAGGAACATACATGAAGAATTTCAAATTTTATTTCAATAAAGTCAGTTTATCCTGAATTGTTTTTGAAGTGGATGGGTAATAATTCATAAATTATAAATAATGTTTTAGTTCTTTTGATCTTTTTCATCTAAGAATTCTTGCCTTAAACTTTTCCATTACAGACTCAAGTCTTGAGTCTTCAGATCATCTATAGCCCACTGAATAAAAGTTTGTATGACTGACACTTAGAATTGAACTAAATACTGCTAGGTAAAGCAAAAATAAATAAATAAATAAAGTTTAAGATAAGGTTGGAATTGAAATTTGAAGTTTTATTTGGAAGAAAGCGGAAAATAGGAAAGGATAGCATAATGAGGAACAAACCAGAAATAAGAAATAAGAAGGATAACGAAGAAATATGTATTTTAAACACTTATCTCAGCTAAGGATTAGATGACACAGCATAAAGAAAGCAGGATATTTTCTGTCCATAACCATGGAAATGTGGGCATTTTATTTGAAAGTTATAGTCAAGCAAATAACAACTAAGAAAAATCTCTCTGATTAGTTGGCATAGATAGATAGCCAAGCAGATAGATCCACGTGCTTGGAAAGCATATGATTTCAATAAAAACGATATACAAAATAGTATTTTGATAGATCTTGTTAACATTTATTTTAGAAATCACAAACAACCTTCTGGAAACTGTACTTAAAATGCCATTTCTATCAAGAACTCAACTGACTTCCAATAAGTTCTAAATATTATTGCTTTGGGCATATGCAAATTACTTTTTACAGGTAGGCAAAGCAATATCTCCTGATAATTCCTTCTTCTTCAAAATTCTCCTAATTCCACTAAAAATAACATATCATTTATTATAGCTAATATATTATTATGATTATAATGCTCTTCTCTCATTTGTGTACCTTAATTCTATTTTAAATAATAGATTCAAATTCACTTACAAATAATGCCACATATATGATCTGCTGACAAACCCTTATTCCTTTAAATCAGGCAAAAGAATCTTGCTATAGGTTGTCATCTAGCAAATGACTTTCTTGGCTCCTTGTCTTTACCCTCACTGGATTCCCCAGAAGATTATATAATGCAATCAATTTGGAGTATAAGGAGAATATTCAATTTGGCATTAAAATATCCAGTTCAAAACAAAAAACAAAATCCAGTGCAACCTAAATCTAAACTTTGGTTGCACATTGAATAAAAAGGTGTTTCCCTTTACTTCTGGCTCAGGATTAGTATTTTATAAGGGGAATTAGGGTGAGAAAGTATCTATTTCTTGTATCTCCTGAATGAAGATTGCAATGTTATTATTCTCTGTGTTCACATTTTTGTTCTCTGTGTGACAGATAACCAAATGTTGGATATTTCTCATACAGTGCAACAATTAAAAAGCCTTGGGAAAAATATTGTCATTAAAAAATCAAAATAATCCTTCTACTTCAGTGGAAACACATGAGATGGAAGGTCTTTCCACATATAAAAATTACTGGTCCAACTTGATACAATATCAATGTGAATTAAAGCAGTATATCCTGGACAGCATGGTTCTGGGTTATAGTTACTTGGGGCTCCAACTCTTCTTGGTGGACAGAACTTATGAGCTACATGGAGAAGTATGAGACCATGGTGTAGGTCAAAGAACTTAGAATAACTATATCTGACCAAGACAGCAGATACAGGCAGGACATGAGTGGTCTCAATGAAGGAGATAAAAGGCAGTAACTGGTAAGGCATTATGAAATTGAGAGGGTGCAGCTTTAAAGACGAAGAGACAGTGGTGATAGAGTATTCTTATGTTCTACAAGCTGGGAACACTGTAAGAATGTTCCTGTTCTTAAACAGAAATGTAAGAGTAGACATTGTAGATAATAGGACATCCTGTGTTACACAGCGTTTCCTAAAATGTGCTTTAAACTTTAGGAGCCTGCAAATTTTCAAGGCCTGAGAAAAATCAGGTTTTAGGAATAATTTTTGTAGTTACCTCTCCCATAGAGTTAGGAAATTGGCTAGCCCTTACAAATACTTGCCTCTCTGACTTAAATTTTTGTTTGATTTTTATTCTTTCTATTACTGGCATATGCTTTCCTTCAGTATATTTACTACATTAATTCATTTATAAAGCCAGGTGCTCATCTTGTCTATGACTTATTCTGTCTTTTTAATAAAGAAGAAACTAATTGGGGGCCCATGGAATTTATCTGGCCACAGATACACATTTTGTTATTGTTGTTTTTCATTTGTTTGTCTGTTTTGAACCTCGTAATTATTTTCCTTTAAATTTAAATGCCTTCAGTGACCAACTGTATTCTTTTCTAATTTGCAGTTTCTGTGACTCCCTCTTGTCTTATGCTTGAATCAATTAATTCATAGTAACTGTTTGCTTCTTGTGTACACGTGACTGTTTAGCCCTTTATTAAGTTGAATTTCTCTATGAATTGCACCATTCCCAGTTCATCCTCTATTTCCCCTTTCTGCAGTAACCAGGAGTAAGAGTTTCACTTTCTCAGCCTGTTGCCGCTGGGGGCAGATAGAGAACAAATAAGGCAATATCCTAATTAGCTGCTGCCAAATGAGCTCAGAAGGAAAGGCTATTGTAGGCGAGCTTCCCCTTTAGGGTTTCTTTTGGCTGGGCTTGAGAATTAAATTGACATAAGACAGACCAACAGGAGAAATGCATACACACTTATGTAATGCAAATTTTATGTGGCATAGAAGCCTTCATAAAGAAGTGAAGACCAAAGAAGAAGTTAAGGGTACTGTTTACTGAATTGGACACAGAGTAGTATGCTGTGAAGAGGCAACTAAATTATGTGAGAGACTGAAAAGATGAGTTATTCCAACAAGGTCTGTGCAGTGTTGTCTCAGCCCTGAGCCTTGACTTCTTGTCCTTGAAGATAAGGATGTTGCCTTCTTTCTTGTATAGGGAGAGTGGCTTTCACGCAGGAATTTCACCTTCTGCTTTTAGAAAACAGAAAAGAGGTCAGCATGATCTTTTTGTGCTTGCCATTTTTCAAGTGCCTTTATTTCATAACAGTCAATATGCCAGGGTGGTATATTTTTAACTCTTTCACTATCTTATCCCAGTTTTCTGCCAAGCTTTAATCAGAATTTATTCCAAAATGGTTTCTCTTCCTTAGATATCAAATGTTGATATACTTTGATATTAATCATGAGTTTTGAGTTATCTGTAATTTCACCTCTCACCCTACTCTATTATTTCATTTCACTTTATTTAAGCTATATTTTAAACTGTATTTTATTCTATTCTATTGTTTGCTCAGTCAGAAAATATTTTCCAGTGTTTAAAAAAATTTGTTATTAATAATTTTATTACTTTAAATGACACTAATATTGATAAATAGTATTTTTAATATGAAATAACAATGGATTTTATTCAATATTATTAATATTAATCATTAATATTAACAATCTATTATTAAAACTATTAATAATTTTAAAATATTAACAATTTTCTAAAAATTCAATAATGGCTGTTTTGTACATAAAAAGCCACACAGTATATTCTTCTGCAGCATGTCTCATTCCCACTTGTATCAGCAGTTCTATTGGTGAAGTGCTATGCCATTTCTACTTTTATAAACATCTATACTGTTGCTCTGCAACCTTACCAGTCACAAAAGTCTGAAGGTTATTATTTTTTTTTCCACCAATGAAAATAAACCTTCTACTTAATGTCATTTTTAAAACTTTACAACTGAAAAATTGGAATAGACCTAAAGGTGTAATAAATTATCAAATTGCTGAGAACATAAGTGCCATCTCTAAAATTTTGCCCTGTGTGCTATTATTGAAGTACTAATACACTAGGTACAGGGAGTTCTGAAATATTTTTTATTTCTCTTCTAACCAAGATACATCCAAGGATGGATAAGGATAAACAAAATAGTACTAGAGGGCAATCTTGCAAGATTCCTATGAGTGTTTGAGGCCTTCCTTTAAGATGAAAATAGAGTCTAAATAATTTAACTCTACAGAACAAGGAAATCAAAGTCAGAATCTTTTGATCAATGCCCAAAACATGAACTAAAATTCCAGTGGGCTTTAAACAATGGGTAATGAAAAGTTGACAGTCTTTACTCTGTCCACATTATAAGAATGACAACGACTCTCTGAATTATGAATCGATTATTAATTTATATAATTTAATATTTTTGAACTGATGACTTATGAATAAATTATATAACCAAGCTGCTTACTTTCTCTCCAGAAAATATATATACTTTTTGTCTTTCTACTCTTAAACCCTATTACCTTTATCTTCTGTCTAGTTCTCCCAGTTACCGAGAAAATCATATCAGGAAACTGTAATACAGACTATTCCTGCTCAAATCAGTTTTCTACACATCATCTTCTCAGACACTGATATGCCTGTAATTAATTATGATTTTATTCTTGTTAAATCTTCTTAATATTTTCTTTGTGTTATTCTAGTATAAAGTGAAACACCTTTAAAACACCTCTTAAAAAGAACCTAGGAGCAGCGCGGGCGGCACCGGGAGGCAGCTGACAGGCGTTTGCGGCTTCGCTTCATGGCCGCTCTCCCGCCCCGCCTGGGACACCTGTGCGCCGCGCCTCTGAGGCGCAGCATGTGACGCGGAGACGGCATCCAGTGCGGGGCGAGCCTCTCAGCCGGCCCGGATGGCTACGATGGCCGAGCTCTTCGAGGAGGCTTTTGTGGCAGATGAATATATTGAACGTCTTGCATGGAGAACCCCAGGAGGAGGCTCTAGAGGTGGACCTGAAGCTTTTGATCCTAAAAGATTATTGGAAGAATTTGTAAATCATATTCAGGAACTCCAGATAATGGATGAAAGGATTCAAAGGAGAGAAACTAGAGCAACAATGTCAGAAAGAAGCCAAGGAATTTGCCAAGAAGGTACAAGAGCTGCAGAAAAGCAATCAGGTTGCCTTCCAACATTTCCAAGAACTAGATGAGCACATTAGCTATGTAGCAACTAAAGTCTCTCACCTTGGAGACCAGTTAGAGGGGTAAACACACCCAGACAATGGGCAGTGCAGGCTCAGAAACTGATGAAATACTTTAATGAGTTTCTGGATGGAGAATTGAAATCTGATGTTTTTACAAATTCTGAAAATATAAAGGAAGCAGCAGACATCATTCAGAAGTTGCACCTAATTGCCCAAGAGTTACCTTTTGATAGATTTTCAGAAGTTAAGTCAAAAATTGCAAGTAAATACCATGATTTAGAATGCCAGCTGATTCAGGAGTTTACCGCTGCTCAAAGAAGAGGTGAAATCTCCAGAATGAGAGAAGTAGCAGCAGTTTTACTTCATTTTAAGGGTTATTCCCTTTGTGTTGATGTCTATACAAAGCAGTGCAAGGTGGGTGCTTATTTGAGAAATGATATATTTGAAGATGCTGCAATACTCTGTCAACGAGTGAACAAACGAGTTGGAGATATCTTCAGTAACCCAGAAATAGTCCTGGCTAAACTTATTCAAAATATATCAGACTTTCTCGTCTAAGCTTATCAAATCCATATTCATTTCCTATTTGGAGAACTATATTGAGGTGGAGACTAGATATTTGAAAAGCAGAAGTGCTATGATCCTACAGCGCTATTATGATTCGAAAAACCATCAAAAGAGATCCATTGGCACAGGAGGTATTCAAGATTTGAAGGAGAGAATTAGACAACACACCAACTTACCACTTGGGCCAAGTATGGATACTTATGGGGAAACTTTTCTATCCCAAGAAGTGGTGGTTAATCTTTTACAAGAAACCCAACAAGCCTTTGAAAGATGTCATAGGCTCTCTGATCCTTCTGACTTGCCAGGGAATGCCTTCAGAATTTTTACCATTCTCATGGAATTTTTATGTATTGAGCATATTGATTATGCTTTGGAAACAAGACTTGCTGGAATTCCCTCTTCAGATTCTAGGAATGCAAATCTTTATTTTTTGGATGTTGTGCAACAGGCCAATACTATTTTTCATCTTTTTGACAAACAGCTTAATGATCACCTTATGCCACTAATAAGCTCTTCTCCTAAGTTATCTGAATGCCTTCAGAAGAAAAAAGAAATAATTGAACAAATGGAGATGAAATTGGATACTGGCATTGATAGGACATTAAATTGTATGATTGGACAGATGAAGCATATTTTGGCTGCAGAACAAAAGAAAACAGATTTTAAGCCAGAAGATGAAAACAATGTTTTGATTCAATATACTAATGCCTGTGTAAAAGTCTGTGCTTATGTAAGAAAACAAGTGGAGAGGATTAAAAATTCCATGGATGGGAAGAATGTGGATACAGTTTTGATGGAACTTGGAGTATGTTTTCATCGACTTATCTATGAGCATCTTCAACAATATTCCTACAGTTATATGGGTGGCATGTTGGCAGTTTGCGATGTAGCTGAATATAGGAAGTGTGCCAAAGACTTCAAGATTCCAATGGTATTACATCTTTTTGATACTCTGCATGCTCTTTGCAATCTTCTGGTAGTTGCCCCAGATAATTTAAAGCAAGTCTGCTCAGGAGAACAACTTGCTAATTTGGACAAGAATATACTTCACTCCTTCGTACAACTTTGTGCTGATTATAGATCTGCCCGCCTTGCTCGACACTTCAACTGAGATTGAATTTACAAAGGAATTCAATGTCAATTCCTTTACGAGAAAAGTCTTGTACTTCAGCAGCCCTCGGTTGATAGAAAGCACAGGAGATAACTTATGACACAGCCAACATTTTGTGAAACAATGACTGGAACAAAACAGCAGCCATCCTTGCCTTTGAGGTTTTATTTAACGTTTCGATACCACTAGCTATATTTTGCTTTTTTCCCCTTACGTTGAATTTTAATTCCATTCTTGAATGTAGAAATTTCAGATTCTCTAAAACTACATGTCACTGTTTTCATCCTAGAAAATGTTTCTGTCATAAAGCAAAGGAAATGTTACCAGTGTTTTCGGTTCTTGTACTTTTAACGTATTCCATTTAGAAATTTTGCCATTCTGTTTTCCATTAATAGTAGGCGAAATACAGGAAAACTACATTTATTATTCCTCAGTTTTTGAAGAACTTTTCAGCATCAATTGTTAATCAGATTATTTTAGGTTTTCATAAATAATTTTTTTTGCCTCTTTCAAAAGGTTAACAGTTAAGCATACTTTCTGTAATTGGTTGATTGGATTTTTTTCTGAGGTACAACATTAATACAAGTCCAAAAAATGTCATAAACTTAACTAAAATGATGAAATATTTTATGTAGACATTAGGAGTGGATCAGAATACTTCTGCTTTCTGGGTAAAACTTAAAAGTTTACTATTTCATATTTGGTAAATAGGTTTTAAGCCAATTCTAGTAAGAAATTAATAAAACTACCTTATTTTATATTTCACTTAAGATAAGGTAGAAGACTTTAACTAAAGGACCATATTTATTCATTATTTTAATATTATAAGGGAAGTAAAAAAAATAAGGTATAGTCTAAATGGTGCATATAAGAAATATTGACAGTGTTTAGCAACAATGCAGTCCTTTAAGATTTCTGTCATAATGCTAAACTTGAATAAGATGGAATGGCTGAACATGTGTTTAGTCTTTTATTTTAAGAGGAATTGAGATTTGATAGATTTGGAAATGAGCTTTGCAAAGACTTTTTATGTCTATAGGTCTGTCGTTGTCCTTTTTCAAGGCATTTCTGAAGTTATTCCTACTTGTACATAATTAATGGAATTGGCTTAATTTGATGACATAATAAATAACTTATAAAATTTTAAACATCAAGTGAAAATTTAGAAAGGCCATTACTATTCTATAAACCTTATAAACTTGCTCTGGGAGAATGCATTCTAAATTATATGTAGTGTTTCAGCTCCCATTGTGTTGCTCATAGTCTTCTAGGAACAGATAAACTTAAGTATTCAGTTCACTCTTGGCATTTTTTCTTTAATATAGGCTTTTTAGCCTATTTTTGGAAAACTGCTTTTCTTCTGAGAACCTTATTCTGAATGTCATCAACTTTACCAAACCTTCTAAGTCCAGAGCTAACTTAGTACTGTTTAAGTTACTATTGAATGAATTTTCTTCATTTTCAGATTAGTCCAGTGTTACCAAGGTAAGCAAGGGAATGAAGTATACCAACTTCTTTGAAAGCATTTTAGGACATTATGGCAGCTTTAGAAGGCTGTCTTGTTTTCTAGCCAAGGGAGAGCCAGAACAGGTTTTGGATACTAGAGAAAGTCATATGCTTGTACTATTGCCATTTTAGAAAGCTCTGATGTGAATTGAAATTTTACCTCTGTTACTTAAAGCCAACGATTTTAAGGCAGTAGTTTAACTGGCCATTTAAGCTCTTTGTACAGTGTCAATTTGTAAAAAAGAAAAAACAAAAAAAAAATCTCAAATAAAACTTGAGATAACATTTTAAGACTTCCAAAAAAAAAAAAAGAACCTAGCTATATTAAAATAACAAAATCTCAACACACAGCCCGTAAGACTCAATGAATTTCACATGAAGTGAATCCTTCCATGATAACAGGGTGTTCCTCCCTCCTCTTGAAACTCCCGGGATTTGTTACAGTGGCTTTATTGTCTATTATATCAATGTAATTGCCATATTGTAGCATCTCAGGTTTATCTCCGTGGAATATTTGTCAGTAAGGGCTGCCTTCATTTTCTGTTTTTCTCCACTATTCAAAATTCAACACTAAACTTAGAACAGAATAGGTATTTTCTTTTGCTGATAATAGATGATATATACAAAAGTATATTGCAATCCTTGTTCTTTTATATTTTTATATTGTTATTTTTTTCTGATTTGAATCCCATCTATAGAGAATGAATTCCAGTGGGACAGTACAAATTTATGATAGACACAAAAGAAAAAAAGTTAGGAGCTTATGCATTTCATGTGATGTACAATATCTGCTTCTCTGTTTTTGCAGCGCAAGAGTGTACTTACTTACCCATTGGGAGATAATGATGCTATATGAATACATTTTTTAAGACTTTATTTTTTAGAGCAGTTTTTGTTTCACAGCAGAATTAAGAGAAAAGTAGAGACATATCCCATATCTCTTGGCCTCACACATGCATAGCCTTCCCTATTATCAACATCCTCCATCAAAGTATTGCATTTGCAATTGATGAACCTCATTTGACACACCATCACTCAATGTCCATAGTTTACATTATTCACTCCTGATGTTGTAGATTCTGTGGGTTTTAGACAAATGTTACTAAGTCATGTTCCCATTATTATAGTATCATTTAGAGTGTTTTCACTACCCTAAAAATCCTCTTTAATTTTTCCATTTATCCTTCCCCACACCCACTCCCCTAACTTCTGGCCACGACTTACTTTTTAATATCTCCATATTTTTACTTTTACCAGAATGTCACATAATTGGAGCCAAACAGTACATAACATTTTCAGATTCACTTGTTTCACTTAATAATACACATTTATTTTTCCTCTGTCTTTTCTGGTTTGACAGCACATTTCTCTTTAGCCCTGAATAATATTCCATTGTCTGGATGTACCACAGTTTATTTATCCATTTATCTACTGAAGGATGTCTAGGTTGCTTCAAAGTTCTCACAATTGTGAATAAAGCTCCTAGAAACATCCACGAACTTTTTTTGTTACGTCATTTGCGTGTGTCTGATTCCTTATTTCTTCTGACCTCCTTCAGAATTTTTTATTTTGTGCCTCATGGTAATATGCCTGTCAGTGTTCAGAGTTTCCCTATCAGCCAGCTGAGCCAACACTACAGAGAGAGTGAAGAATCTCTCCTGCAAATCTTTCTCTTGCAAACTCTCTTCTTCAGGTTTTGGATGGAATTCTTCCCTTTGAGAAAATTGTTTTCAGCTGATTTCTCCCTCTTGGCATCATTATTCATGACAGCACCTTTAGTCCTCTCTCTTCTTTATTCTTTCAAAAATTATTTTTATTGAAATATAATTCACCTACTTAAAACTAACTCCTTGGAAGTAAACACTTCAGTGATTTTTTTTATATAGTAAATATTTATTGCCTTTATCTCAATTCTTTCTCACATTGTACTTCTTTTTTTCCAAAATGTGTCATCTTGTTTTCTGGAACTCACATTCTTAGCTAAAATATCTCTCCCACAACCTAAATATTTTCACTATACTTTACCCTTATCTCATTGCACTAACTAAAATCTAGCTACCTGCTAAGAATATAACTCCTATTACAGCTTCCTCATTATCCTGCACCCCACCTACATTAGTGCTAGGAAGCAGAGATTACATCCAATTCACTCCCAAATGTAGTTTCAGGATCATTGCTGCTCCATCCTCATGTTAAAAGCATCTGTTCCTTTGAGCATTATGCCATCTGGCTGTGCCTATTCCTCCAACTACACGATTTTAGTCACTATTATTTTACTAAGTATATTATAACTCCCTCTCATTTACTGAAGAGTGTAGTACCTAGAATAAATGAGTCCTTTCTGCAATAAATTCTACTATTATTCTGGCTGACTGCCACATCCAAATGGGACACACACACAAGATCCAACATTATACAACACAATTTAAGTCCTTTTCTCCCCCAATATAAAACAAGGCCTCACCGCTCTTTCCCAAATGCTCTGTTTTAACTTCCTAATACCACATTTAGAAAAGTTGCCTTTCTCTGGCCATTTTTTCCCTCTCCCTCTTTTCATAATTAAAGGAGAAGCTTTCCTTCTGTCTGAGGCTTTGCCACTCTTTTTTTTCCACCTTCCTAGTGATGCTGATCCATTTCATTATTGTAAATCTCTCATATATTTTCAGTTTATCCATTCCTTCACATTGACATGTTTTTGTATACAGTCATGCCTTGCAAAATGACAGGGATATATTCTGACAGATGCATCATTAAGCAATTTTGTCTTTATGTGAACATCTGTATTATTTTGTTTTCACATTGCTCATAAAGACATACCTGAGACTGGACAATTTATAAAAGAAAGAGGTTTATTGGATTCATAGTTCCACTTGGCTGGGGAGGTTCTTGGTCTCACTGACTTCAGGAATGAAGCCACGGACCCTCGCAGTGAGTGTTACAGTTCTTAAAGATGGTGTGTCTGGAGTTCGTTCCTTCAGATGTTCAGATGTGTCTGGAGTTTCTTCCTTCTGGTGGGTTCGTGGTCTTGCTGACTTCAGGAGTGAAGCCATGGACCTTCTCGGTGAGTGTTACAGCTCTTAAAGATGGTGCAGACCCAAAGTGAGCAGCAGCAAGATTTATTATGAAGAACGAAAGAACAAAGCTTCCATAGTGTGGAAGGGGACCCACGCGGATTGCCACAGCTGGCTCAGGTGGCCAGCTTTTAGTCCCTTCTTTGGCCCCGCCCACATCCTGTTGATTGGTCCATTTTACAGAGTGCTGATTGGTGCGTTTACAATCCTTTAGCTAGACACAGAGTGCTGACTGGTGCATTTTTACAGAGTGCTGATTGGTGCATTTACAATCCTCTAGCTAGACAGAAAAGTTCTCCAAGTCCCCACTTGACCCAGGAAGTCCAGCTGGCTTCACCTCTCAATACTCTCCTCAATTTCAGTAAAAGGCATGGTAGTTTTCTAGTTGAGTTGCTGATGCCAGAAATCCCTGATTTATCTTTGATCCTTTTTTACTCTTTATTTTCTAGAATTCAATCAATTAGCACTTTCTCTTAAGTCTTATAAAGACTGCAAATATCTTGCCACTTCTTACTACATTCAGTGCTGCCAACTTGCTTGACCCACCATTACTTTCACTCAGATTCTTAGAATAACCTTCAAAGGTTTTTTTGTTTGTTTATTTCTGCTTTCTTCTGCCCTCTTGTTGCAACCCACAGTCTCTCATGGTAGAGCAAACATAATAATCGTTTAAACATAATTAAGATGTTACAAAAATTGCATTTTATCTCACATTACTCTACCTTTGTCCCTCTTCCTCTTGTAGATGTCACCATTTGATAAACCGCACATTTTCCTTACTTCTCTAATCCTTATGTATCTCTTTCTCTCCTACCAGAGTAAAAACAGTGTGGAGGCGGAAGTTTTCGCTCTTTTGTTTCCTAAGAAATGCCTATTGCAAGAACATTCCTTGACACATGGTAGACATTTGATAAATATGTGTTAAGTGCAGGAATAAAAAATGAATTTATAAAGTATACATTTAATAAGACTTGAAAATTATTTGAATGTAGAATATATGTGAGACTAATAATTTAATATGACACAAATTTCTTCTGTGAGTGACTATGAAAATTGATGTTTACATGAAATGAGAAACTATGTAACACTAGTTTAATCACGGGTCAGAAGAAGATGATGATTTTTTAATATGTTGGGTTTTGGATTAATATTAATGAATTAACATCAAATTAGCAATTGAAATTTAATATAAGAAGGAAAGCTAGTCTAACACATGGATTAGCAAATGGGCAGGTCATTTCTGAATTTCTTAAAACACATAAATTAAACATTTATTTTTTCTCCTGTTATTTCCTGCATAATGCCCATATGGTAAGACAGATTTTAACCCAATTTATGGTTATATTTGGGATAGTTACTTAAAATGTAGGCTTTGTAGATTCCTGGATACTTACCTTGAAGCCTGAGGAGAACCTAAAAGATCTTTTCAGCCTTCCTCAAGGGCAGGTAGAACTGATGAATATCTCCAGAAGTTCATTTTGACTGCTGAATGGTAGAGGCATATCAATATGTGTCTACATGCTGTGGATAAACAAAACACACAGTGTTTTAAAATAGAGTCTCTAAATGAAAATAACACTGATAAGTATTTCAAATTACAGATTCTGATTTGCAATCAGGCCTGTTTTCTCATGGAAAGGTCTAAGTGTGTGTTCCAGGGTGAGGAACAGCAGGATTTATCTACATTTGTTAATGATTCTCCCAGTAGACCAGCCAGCAATTTAATAGAATAGTTTGAAAAAAGTGCATAATTAATTTATAGCTTATAGAGTTGAAGAAGCAGCTATCACAATAATTAACTTTGAATGTCAACACTTGTAGATAGATTTTAGTTAGTGAGTATCATACTTCAAAGTCTGTACACATTGCCTCTGTTTGGTTTCACTGCCATCAACTGAATAGTAATACCTTTGTTGATGTTCAGAGGAATAACAGGTGGGACTTTGGTACATTGTAGCTCAAAACAGTTGTGATTAGGCATTATTCAACAAAACTCCGTTCCTTCTTTAAGTTGCCTAAGGAAGGTCTTTAATCCGAACTTCTGATGTTTACGGCATCTATAAACCCAAGCTGCAGACACACCTCCTAGCCATCCAAATAACCTTTTTTGAATTTCACATTTTAATGTTTCATTAATATTTGACATCAATACAATTTGGTCACCTACTTACATTTAATCAGAAAAGACATTGAGTTATTGCAACACTCTGGCACTCTTTCTGTAAAACTAGACAGTATCTATCTGGACTATATCCTCTTTTCTTCATGGTAGGCAGAAAAGGGTAAGAAAAATAAGATTTAATGAATAGAGATAATGAAATGAACACAAATGATGGAAGCACTAGAAAATGTAAGTGTTTCTCACTAACAAAATTAAAATAAAGCTAGTCATATGCCTTATAGCAATAATTTTGGTAAGATAGACAATGGGATTTATTAGATCCAATTGTAGGAGAGTAGTTTTAGAGAAAATAATTAAGTCCAATTTAGTGTGTCAGATTTTTACTTCTCTCTAAATATTTAACTTATCTATTATGCTCTGTTAAGACTATGACTCCGTTTGAAATTATTTGAACATTATACTTCTACTTTACGGTGCATAATAGGAGACAGAAATTACTGGGTCATTCACAAATAACACAGAATAAAGAATAATTTAAAGCACTTTGCTATCAAAAATATACTGTTTAATTGTGTTGTGTTGCTTGATTGGAATTGTTGACTTGGTACAAAGTCTATATTGCATAATTTAGCTCCTTTTAATTTTAAAATTGTTGAGGTAATGATTATCATTCAATGCTATAACTTCTCACCTGCCATTATGTGCTAGGAGTCTGGAATACAGTCAACAGTGGGAAAAAATGATATCAATTTTAGCTGTACCCTTATAGAAAAAAATTATATTTCTGACAGAGAAATTTCTTGGCATTACTATGACGTGGATATCAAAAAACTCGAATCTATTCCTTCATTTTGCCTTTACCCATATTGGTAAACTTGAGCAGATTACATAATCTTTCTGCTATTCACTTGCTTACATTACCTTAAAGTTTACCTCCAGTTCTCAAAATAATTCTAATAGCATACATGATTTTCTGATGACAGTAATCATTTTAGCCTCCTTATTGACTTTTATTTAATATCAATACTGATCTTTCTAGTTACTAGGGAATACTAAATATTTAAATAGGACACAAATAAGAAATTTTTCGCACATGTTTACTTTAGACTACAACCAGAATGTGATACTATATTAAGGATGATATCCCATCTTCATTTTCTCCTGTTATTTCCCTGTTTCCTCTCCAAAGTTTCTGTTACATAGTGGGCTCTCACTGCCTCAAAAGGGGAATAGGATACAGCCCAGAGAAGGAAAATGTGTTATTCTAGCCTTGTCTTTGAGTTTTCGAAACCCAAGTCTTGTGGCAATGAGGTGAGGCAGGGAGGGGCGGGGGGTGAATTAGAAATTTGGTATCTAAACAAATTGTTTCAGAGAAAAAAAAATAACATTACTTTTCTAGGCTGGAGTGTCCATTTGAACTAAGAGAGAGACCCATTGTACTGGTCTAATAATAGGATTCTATGTCATATTTCCTGGTCAGAGATCTAGGAAGTTATTCAGAAACCAAAGAGGAAATGAGATGGGCAATGTAACTAGGTAGATGAAGTTATAGTGCACTCAATAAAATTCCTGTGCCCTATAATAGCAAGGAAAAAATGAAAATATCTGTTGGATATATTGTCCTCTGCCACACAAAGGCAACTGCCACTTATACACAGAATTGTAAGAGGTTTTTATTATATCTTTACAATTATGTCTTCTCCTTTTGTTCTTGCATAGGTTCACTTAGCCAAGTTCCATTTCCTTGCTCCAGTTGACTTTGTGCTTGTCATGAGACTTGTTTTGACTCATGGAATGGTGACAGAGAGGAATATGTATTTGTTTTTGTTCTCCTTATACCTTGTTATCTGTTACAAATAATAATAATTAAAAAAAACAGTTTCCAAGATTCTTTAGCCTGAGGCCTGGAATGGAGAAGACCTGACCTGATTTTGTAGCCTACAGCTAAATCCAACTGAACGTAGTCAAGCCAGGCCAAAGCACAGCCAACATACAAACTACTGGGTAACAAATTTTCTTGTTGTCATGTACTACCAAAATTTTGGTGGTTTTTAACCACAGCAAAAACTAACCACTACAGTAAGTGACAGAAGACAGATGTGCTGATTATATTAATGGCTAACCACAGGGAAAATTTTTAATTTTGATTTGAGAATTCAATATACGCCCACCAAAACAAACAGAATGCTCTAAAATCTCATTGGGATTTAGAAACTATCTTGTAAACTGGATAGTGGAAATATCCCAGTTGATCAAAGTTAAGTTTCCTCCACCCAACTGAGAGACAATATTAAGTGAAGAGAAAAACATGAGGATTAAAGAAAACTAGAAATTTAGTATCTTTAGAAATTCGTTGTCCAATTTGATAGCTGCTAGCCACATGTGGCTATTTAAATTAATCGCAATTAAATAAAGCTAAAAATTCAATTCCTCAATCACACTAGCTGCGTTTCAAATCTTACCATATATCGTTAATGGCTATCTTAATGGAGAGGACATATAAAGTATTCTTCTCATCACAGAGTTTTTATGGGACAGTTCTATGAGACACAGATGTTGGTAATTTAGCCTTTTTATACTAGATAAATGAGATAAAACAATACTCATGTTCCCATATTGGGCAGTGAAGAGATTATCAAAGGTTGTATTATTATTTGCAAATACTTACTTTTGCCTCCGTCTATGTTAATGTAGGCCTTGGACCTGTAAGTTGCTTGCCCGTATAAATACGAGTAACATTGGCACGTGTTAAGCAACACCAGCTGCTCTTCCTTTTCTCATCCAGGTAACCATGAATCTGTTATCCATTTCTATAGTTTTGTCATTTCAATAGTATTATGTAAATGTATTTATACAGTATGTAATATTTTAAGGTTGAACTTTTTCACTGTTTATTCACCTTCAGCTTCATCCAACAGTTCTTTTTTACTGCTGAGCTTCATGGTATGGATATACCACAATTTGCCTAACCATTCACCCATTGAAGACATCTTGGTTTTTTTGTTTTGTTTTGTTTTGTTTTGTTTTCAGTTTTTGACTATTACAAAAAAGCTGCCATGAATATTTGGGTACATCTGTGTGTGTGTGTGACCCTAACATTTTGTTTATGCTGGAATAAATGTCCAAGAGTATAATTACTAAGACAAATGGAAGTGCATGTTTAGTGTTATTTAAAATACCCAAACTGTTTTCCAGAGTAACTGTTCCATTTTACAATCCCTGGTAGCAATGAATGAGTTATTTAGTTTCTTCATGTCCTTGACAGCAATTAGTGTTGCTATATATTTTTTAATTATAGACATTCTGGTAGGTCAGTAGAGATATCTTATTGTGGTTTTAATGTGCATTTCCGTAATGGTTAATGGTATGGAATTTTTTATGTCCTTATTTCCAATCTGCATATTTTCTTTGGTGAAATGTCTGTCCATGTCTTTTGCCCATTTTCTTGTTTTTTCTGTTGAGTTTTGAGAATATGTATTTTAGATACCAATCTTTCACTGGATATGTGGTTTGCATTCTTTCCAGTTTGTCCTTTCATCCTCATATCCAAATATTTTTCAAAGCAATTTTTTAAAAATGGTGAGTTCTAATTTATGAAATTTTACTTTTATGACGAATGCTTCTGGTATCAAGGCTAGAAATTGTGCCTAGCTCTGTATTGTGGATGTTTTAAAATATTTTTATGGAAATTGTATGGCTTTGCATTTTACATCTAAGTTTATGACTAATTTTGACTTAATTTTTGCATAAGTGTGAGGTTTAGGCTATGTTCTTTTATTTCCACTTGCTAAAAGACCATTTGTTGAAAGGACTATTCTTCTTTGAAATTACTTTTGCATGCACCTTTGTCAAAAATTGTTTAACTATGTAGTGTGGGTCTATTTGTATTCTTTATTCTGTCTCATTGATTTATAATTCTATCTCTCCACTAGTACTACACTTTCTAGATTACCATAGCTCTACAATTTGCCTTAATATGTGTAAGATGATTTCTCCTACATTCTTCTTTTTCAAAATTGGTTTAGCTTCTCTAAGTCCTTTGCCTTTATATATAAATAGAATAAGTTTTTCTGTGTCTACAATATACCTTATTGAGATTTTGATAGCATTTGCAATAAAGCTGTGGGTGCATTGGAGGATACTGACAACTTTACTATGTTGAAATTTCCAATTCATAAATATGCTATATATCTTCATCTACTTAGTTCTTCATTGATTACTTTAACTAGCATTTTATAATTAGCATTCTTAGCATACATGTACATATTTCTATCAAATTTAGACCTAGATATTTCATTTTCCTTATGATAATAATATTTTATTTTTAAGTTTTATTTTCCACATGTTGATTTTTGTGTTGATTCTATATTCTATAACCTTGATAACATTACTAAAATTACTAATTAGTTCTAGAAATATTTTGTTGTTTGGATTTTTTTGTAGTTTCTTTGGGATTTCATACACAGATAACTTGTAAATAAGGAACATTTTCTTTCTTGCTTTTCAATCTGTATATCTTTTCTTTCTTTCTTTCTTTCTTTCTTTCTTTCTTTCTTTCTTTCTTTCCTTCCTTCCTTCCTTCCTTCCTTCTTTCTTTCTTTCTTTCTTTCTTTCTTTCTTCTTTCTTTCTTTCTTTCTTTCTTTCTTTCTTTCTTTCTCCTCTCTCTTTCTTTCTTTTTCTTTCTTTCTTTCTCACCTGCCTGTCTGCCTGCCTGCCTGCCTGCCTGCCTGCCTTCCTTCTTTCCTTCCTTCCTTCCTTCTTTCCTTCCTTCCTTCCTTCCTTCCTTCCTTCCTTCTTTCTCTCTCTCTCTCCCTCTCTCTCTCTCTCTCTCCCCTTCTCTTTTCTTGTCTTATTGCATTGGTTAGAACATCCAGTACTATATGTTGAATAAGTCTTGAGACCAGATATACCAGCCTTATTCTCCATCTTAGGAGAAAGCATTCATACTTTCTCTAGTAAGTATGATATTAGTTGTAGGTAGTTTGTAGATGCCCTTTATTAAGTTGAGGCTGTTCTATTTTATTTTTAACTTGTTGAAAGTTTTGTCATGAATGGGTTTGGATTTTGTCAAATGCTTTTTGTTTGTCCATTTATATAAGTACAATAATTTTTCTTTTTTAGGCTGTTGATGTGGTAAATTTTGTTGATTATTTGTAAATGTTGAATAAGCCTTGCATACCTGGAATAAATCCCATTTGATCATGGCATATAATTCTTTCCTTGCATTATTGGATTTCATTTGCTCCTTTTTTAGGGTTTTCATTCTTAATTTCATAAGAGATACTGGTTTGTATTTTTCTCTTCCTTTTTTAAAAAATTATTTATTTGTATTGTCTTTGGCTTTTGTATGAAGGTAATATTGGTTTCATAAAAATGAGTTGGAAAATGTTTTCTCCTCTTCCTTTTCCTAAAAGAGATTCTACAAATTTGAGGTTAATTCTTCTTTCAAGCTTTGGCATAATTTATTAGCAAAACCACTTGGATCTGTAGATGTATTTTAAGGGGGAGTTGTTAGTTACAGATTCAATTTATGTAATGGCTATTTGATATTTCAGATTATCTATATACTCTTGACTAAGTTATGTTAGTTTGTGGTTTACAAGCAAATTATTTTATTTCTTTTAAGTTTTTGAATCTATGAGCATAAAGTTGAATCTATGAGCAAAGCATTGTATTCTCTTATTAATTTTTAAATAACAGCAGGATCTGTAGTAATATCCCATTTTATCCTGGATATTGGTGGTTTGTTTTCTTTCTTTTTATTTTTATCAGGTCATTTAGAGTTTTAACAATTTTACTGATCTATTTGAAGAATGGAAATTTTATTTTATTGATTTTTTCCATAGTTTTTTCTTTCCAATTTTATTGATTACTGCTTTTCTTTGTTATCTCCTTCCTTTGATTACTTTGGTTTCTTTTGATCTTTTTTGTTATTTGTTGAGGTGAGAATATACATTGTCTTCTTACCTTTTCTAATGTAAGCAATTAGTGTTACACATTTTCTTATTAGTATTGCTTTAGCTATATTCCATCAAGTTATGATTCCAAGAGTGGTCTTTGGAAAGCTGTTATATCAACATATCTACTACTTCTATGGAACTGCAGATAATATTTTGCCAGTAGACCTGGGGCAGCTGTTGGCCAGAAAAACCAATTGTTGAGAAGAATAGCTAGACAAAGAGAAGAGGTGAGTGAAGACACACCAGAACTGCCAGGCAACCCTGCATTTGTTCCTCAACATATGTGACTACAAAGGACATAGAGTACTGCTTGCTACTTTACTTCTTTCCTTTGAAATTCCATGCAAACTCCTCTCTGGCCTAATCTAACCTGAGGCTACATAGACAAGGAGATTTGGGGAAATACAAGTCCCCGTTTAACTAAATTGACAAAGTACAATCTAGAATTTGTTCATATTTTGTTAAGTTAGTATTTATATAAACTGTCATAATCATAGTTACTTACAAATAATGACAGCAGAAAATCATGCTTCCTAATATGATGGAACCATCATGAAGGGCCCAAAACATGCTAACTTTTGTCATAATTGAGTATTTACCAAATACATATGGTAAGCCAACATTAAGCACCATCCTTGTAGTTATGGACATTTTGTTCGTTGGGTAATGGCAAGGGTAGCTAGTTGACAGTTGTAGATTAGAGCGTTTTGTTCATCTAATTACTAAGATCTCCCTTTACTGAGGTTGATAATTGGCAAGTATTCATATGAGACACAGATAATCTCACACCTCTCCCCCAAACTTTCTTGTAATCAGTATTATAATTCTGTTTATTCTGAAATTCTAATCATCTAGCCAAATTATTAGTTATTGTTTGTGAATTTATAACAATTCATACTTCAGGTCTTTTTTTCTGAAATAAAGGAACAACAACATAAACTTCTCAAGGTCTATGCTCCCTTTGGAAGAGTTTTTACTCACCACTGTTCTTTAACATTACCTAGGACTGGAACAGTACTGATACAGCTGTCTGCTTTTGGGTATACATGTTGCATATAACAATTTGGAGACTGTTACTGAATTCTTGCTAAATTTCCATGAGTGTATAGTACAAATTGAGAGATGAAGAAATGTAAAATTAATGACAGCTATGACAATTTCAGCTACACATTTATTCAGCTTACTCGTACCTCCAGGTCCTCTTCTAGCCTGATATTATGTATACTGCTTCTACATGATGATGGAATTCTTCTGTGTACACTAAAATTTATAAACTGATAGGTCAGATAACATCACAGTTCATAATAGGCAGCTCAGTTTTCATAGTAACTTTTGGCCCATGGTTAGGTGGTCAGTCTCTACTAGAGCCTGGTAGCAAGCCAGATGTTTTTTATAAATACAAAAAAGAAAGAAAATTTGCTTCAGAAGGCAGCAGAGCTTTGCTCCAAAATCCTAAGGGCTCCATACAGTGTCTCTTTTGTCTACTGATACATCAGTCAACATCAAATCATTTCAGTCATATAGCCTAAGTGTTGGAGTAGCTTGCACCTGTTAAAGAGAATTCTTTTCCTCTGAGTTCCATTCAAAACTGTTAGCCTTTCATTTTACTCAAGAAATGAGTGGAATAACAAGGGAAAATTAGGTATAGTTTGACTCCAAGGTCTAAAGAGGCCCACCAGGCTTTGTATTTCTCTCTAAATTGTAGGAGTGGCCAGATGCAGATCTCTTTGAATGGATGTTTTCACAAACACTGGAAAACTAGACTGTTACAAATTTAATTGAGGTATTGGGGCAATAAATTACAGTGGAATTTATTTTTTCCACCTTTAGCATACACGTACCTTAGCAAGGTATCAGGATCAATCATTACTTCCTACTTATCTAGTCTATTCAGGATGATATGATCAATAAAGTGGACCAGTGTGATGTTCTGTGGAATGAAGAGGCCATCAAAATTCATGTAGAAAAATTATGAAAGAGGACTGGAGAATTGATATATCCTTGAGATAGGATCATGAAAGTGTATGAACAACTTCAGTGGTGTTTATTAATACATATAGAAAAAAATTGCTCAAAAGCTGCTTACCAGACGACAAGATATGCTTTGATGTGCAATAGCAAATAATCTACATCTGGAAGAGAAGTTGCAACTGGAGCCAACATCTAATCAAATTGCAATAATTCTCATATACCCATCAGTCTTTTACACACTCATGATGAGAAAATTGGATGGAAATATGGAAGAAATAATCACTGCTGTGTCTGTCAAGTCTTTGGTGGGGGCACTCTTCTCTGCAAGCTCTCCAAGAATGGCATATGTTTTTGGTTTATTGTTTTGGAAAGTGAAGGCAGGAATAGGAACTTCCAGTTTGCCTTTCCTGCCATAACTCTCAAGGCCAGAGAATCCATTCAGACATTGCCATTGGCAGGTATTTCTATTACAACTGTGCATTCCAGAAGTGAGAAAATAAAGAGTGGTTTCAAGTGCCTTTGGGTCCTTTCAGAGAGAGATTCTAGCTAAACTCCATTAATCATCAGATCTTCGTAAGTCCTTAATCTGATTGGTGCAGGATCAGGGCATGTTGCATCTCAGGTATTAAGGACAATTCAAGGGCATGTCCACTACTCTCTGAATATCTAGTTATTTCTCATTCTTTTTTTCTTTTTTTTTTTGAGATAGAGTCTCACTCTGTCACCCAGGCTGGAGTGTAGTGGCACAATCGTGGCTCTCTGCAACCTCTGCCTCCCAGGTTCAAGCAATTCTCCTGTCTCAGCCTCCCAAGAAGTTGGGATTACAGGCACATGTGACCACTCTTGGCTAATTTTTGTATTATTAGTATAGACAGGGTTTCACCATGTTGGTCTGGCTGGTCTTGAACTCCTGACCTCAGATGATCCACTCACTTCGGCTTCCCAAAGTGTTGGAATTATAGGCCTGAGCCACCGCACCCAGCCATTTCTCACTGTTTAATTCACAGCTACCTCTGGTAAATGGTCTCAGGTGCTTTGGCAGATGTCTAAGAGTGAGAGTTACAACATAAAATTTTGGAACTTAAGTAGAGTCTTTTCTCAAGGGAACCTGACATCCCCTTCACTTCAGGATCTCTGATCTGGCTTAATTCTGAGATTTGTGGAGGGATCATTATATAGTTTGGATATTTGTCCTTGCTCAAATCCCATGTTCAATTGTAATCCCCAATGCTGGAGAAATTCTGGAGATGGGGTCTGATAGGAGGTGTTTGGGTTATGGGGGTGGATCCCTCATGGCTTGGTGCTGTCTTTGAGATAGTGAGTGAGTTATTGTGAGATCTCGTCATTTAAAAGTGTGTGGCACCCTCCCTCAACCCCCACCACCAGTCTTTCTCTCTATTGCTCCTGCTTTTGCCATGTGGCATGCTTGCTCTCCCTTCACCTTCCAGCATGATTGTAAGCTTCCTGAGGTCCCCTAGAAGCCAAGCAGATGCCAGCACCATGCTTCCTGTAAAAACTGCAGGTCCATGAGCCAATTAAACCTCTTTTCTTTATAAATTACCTAGCTTCAGATATTTCTTTATAGCAAGGCAAGGACAGCCTAACACAGACCATGATTTTTTATTTTGTTGATTTAATTCAAACTTCTGCTCAGCAAACCTAAGGCACTTCTGCTTACAAAAACCACGTAATAATTTAGTAGGTAGCCCATCTATTTCAGTCTTAGGGACATCATGATAAATTATCTAATACCAAAGACTCCTCTTTCTCAAAAGTTTTTGATTAACACCTTGGTTCTTCTTATCACTCTTGTCTATGGCAGTTAAGTACTGTGCTTGGCCCTTGTTTCTCTGAGATCCAATCATCTCCATTGAGCATTTTTCTACAGCCATTTCTGGCCTGCAGACATGAGCCACTGCAGAGCTCTGAAGACATCAATGGAGAGGATATAGAAGACTTATTCATGAAGAGGGAAAGGTTAAGAACTGATTAAGGGAAAGACAAGGCAAGTAAATAGAAATTTAAGCTGGACATGATCATGGTTTAATTTATTAAAACAGAGCATTAGTAGCACAAAGTAACAGTAAGGTAACAAGTGTATTGAGTATGAGTTTTGTTACAGTCGTTTTTAATATTTCAATGACAAAACACCATGTATCTATACAATTTTTAAAATTATGTTATTGGAATCCAGAACCCATGCTCTTAACCATGACCTAAAATGTAGAGGAAATAAATGAGCCAGTGTGGAGAGAGCTACAAGAATTCGCTAGTGTCATTGAAAGGACTACCATAAATATCCCCCCAAACTAAATCACTGGATATGGTGACAAGTATGACACTATTGGTTGCCAGAGATTTATGGATGCCAAAACAGTGTACCTCTTTCTTTCACTCCTACATGTGTTCTGTCTGAAGCTGCCCACATATTTGAATATATTCCCAGAAAGAAGATTACTCTTTTGGCTCTAATATGTGGCAGGAAGTGTCACTTGCCTGTTGCCACTTGCCTCTTGCCATACATTATTTATTACTTGAATTCCTGTTTCTATTTCAAGTTATGTAAGGCAGCCTCGTGTGTCACTATGCTAATATTTAATTTTATATCCTAATGTTCTGAATATTCATGGTCTGATGTCCTTTATACACTGTAGAAAATCAAACCCATGCTGAACTGGCATAGTCCTCATCAGCCACAATATTAGAGAAATGGGTTGAAGTGCTCACCACTCCACTAGCTTATGATACAAATATACCTATCAAATATCAGTGTCAAAATTGATTCTGTCTCATTCACTATGTCTTCACGGTGCTTAAAATGTTGGTTTCATATTCAGTCATTCTATTAATTATGACAAAATGATAAGTGTCAAGTAAAGAGAAAAATTTGAGATTAAAAAACTATTTTGTAATGAATAAAGAACTCCCTATATAAACAAGAAAATCCTCTGTCTTTTTTTCTCAACACATTAGAATTAGGGGTTTTATGAGAGTATTAAATCTTTTTACAGTGGCCACTATTTTTTATCTTCATCTTGCTGCTGAATTGTTACACATAATTCTGAGTTATTGGCTGGCCACCACTGATCAGTAGAAATCTCCATTTAAACCAAAGGAAGACGAGGCACAGGAAAAAACGTGAAATAATATAATTTTATTTCCTATTTTGTTTCATATGTCCAAAAGCCTGTTATTTTACCAACGGTCTCCTCTGTGTGTCTTCTCAGAATGTACTCCTCTGCTCTGGATACCATTCTTTCCTAGGGATCCACAACACTTTTGTTACCTTTTAGCTTCTTTAATGAACCTTTCTGGTCTATTTCTCATAATTACTTTAAAAAGCCTTAGTTATCATAATTTTGAGATAAACACAATAGCAATAAAAATAACAAAAACAAAAAATAAGCCTTCAAACTCTCTCTACTGCGCTGTGTCTCTCCTTACATCCAGGTGTGTGCTTTTTAAGAGAGTGGCTCATATTCACTGAGTCAATTTTTCATCTCCCATTGACTCCTCAACCTTTTGCCAGCTGGTTAGCCTCACCCAGGGCCATCTCTGCTGAAGCTACTTTGACCACGGTTGCCGTTGACATAATTGATGCAAAGGAAAAGGATAGCATTTATTCACCTTGTCCTTGTTACTGGCCTTTCTGCACATTGTCACTGTAGAACATCTTCTAAAGAATGTTAATGATTTTCTTGACATCACTGCCTTCAGGGTTTGCCTGTTATCTCTTTGGCAGGTTATTCTTTTTATCATTTTCGACCTCTCTCTGAAATGCTGAGTCTTTTCTGTTCTGTGCTGCCCACTCTTTCTTGATGAATTCATGTATCCTCATTTCTCCTGAAAACTTTTGTGATGATGTCTCCCAAGTATGTTTATAGCCCACTCATGCTCTTGGGTTCTAGTTCAATATGCACTGTTGCCTGCTGGATTTGAATCAGTCCACAATTTGGTTGGCCCAGAATTAGTCAAAATCAACATGTCTAAAACCGAATTCATCCTCCTACCCCCACCTGCTTCTTTTCTAGTCAGACTCTACTCGTTTCCTTCCAGTTACCAAAACAGTACATTTTGGGGATCATTCTTAACATTTCTTTTCCTTTCCTTTATTTTAAAGTGACCCAGTTATATCAGTTATTTCTTTAAAATATTTCTGAAATCCGTAATCCTCACTCAATTCCCAATTCCTTTTTTTGATCATTGTAGCAGCATGAGAGGAGGAAGACAGTATTGACCTATCTACAGCTATCACATTTTTTAAAAGGATGTTCGCATGCAGAATAGATTTCAAAACCTCTAATGTGTTTTCTCTGCAGCTGCATATCTCTATATCTTCTGTCAGAATTTGCCACTTGTTGAATCAGGATTTAGTATGGTTACATGTAAGTGAAATCCACCTATAATGACTTATGCAATTTTTAAATGTATTTTTCTTATGTAACAATAAACTCTGAGGGAGGCAGTCTAGACTTGATAGTGTGGTGGAAGGAAATAATTTTTTCCTACTCTTGTTACTCCTTTCATAATAGGGGGACCTGTCAGGGTAACTCTGGCCTTTGTCATCTCTCTATACCTTTATGTACGCTGCTCCGTGGTGGTGAATGTGACTCACGTGATGGTTAAATGTGTCTCCTTAACTTTATTGTTCCATGCTTCCCTTCTTGCAAGTCAGCTGCTCATGTGAAGTAGGCAGTCTTCATTGCTCCTCTAAGAGCAGATTCTTCTCCTACCACACAGAGACACCTTCCCTGGTGTAGCATTGCTTGTAATTGGGTGGAAAATTTAGCTAACTGTGAGGTTTAGTTAGCAAAATCCTTTGGTTCTCATGTTGAGCCACATAGTCTAACCTAAAATCTATCAATAATAATAATTCCCCCAATCTTGTCTCATTATCTTTTGTTTTATCCCTTAACTGATTCATAATCCATGGATCCCCCCAAGAACAGCAGCACAGTGAAGAAGCCATCCAGGGCTTAGGCTCTTCCTCCTTGCCCTTCTCTTCAGTGTCAAAATATGGTGAATGCATTTCCAGAAAATTCTTTTATGTTTTCATCAAAAAAGAACAGGAAAGTATAACATGAAAATGACACACGACAACTGAACATAACCCTTTTTATTATGAAAATCCTATCTTGGAAGTCCAATCTAAACCGTGTCTTCGTGATCCAGAATTCAGTATATGATTGCTTCTAGCTTCAAGGGAGTGGGAAAGAAGATTGTACACATTGGTAACCTGAACAAATCAGAACTGCATTAGAAAAAAAACAAAAACCAACAAGAATAAGAGAAGAATAGATAATGTACAGGCAACTCTCATGCACATGAAATATAAACCTCACCTGCCAAAAATACTGACCCACTCGTAGCTTATTGAAACTCATGAGATATTTTCATCCCTATGTCTCATCATATAATTTTTTCTCTTTCTATAAAGTCCATTCTTGCTGCATTTAGTTATCCTTCAAGAGCCAGCCAGGCATTTTCTCTTTCACAAAAGTTACTCTCTCCCAGGCTAATAGGAGTCTCTACTAAGAGAGTTCTTAACACTCTGTACTTAGGTTTATCTTAGTACCTATCTCACTAAGGTTGCTAAGGTCTATTTTGAGATTTAAGAATAGTAATGTTGTTTAAATTTTCATTTTCCTTTCTGTATGCTTAAACCCATATATATGCTCTAAAAATAATAAGATTTATTTAAGAAGTATTCTTCCTAGACTGAAAGACCTTAAATCAGAGAATGAATCATAATACTCTTAATCTTTGGTGAATATGAAGCACACACTGGGTAGGACTCACTTGCACCCATTTCAATCAGGTTAACTGTCTTATAATATGTTTTAAGCTATAATCCCTTAACTTAACAAAGTAAGCTTGAAGGTAAAAATGTCCCTGTCAAATTAATAGGAAATGTAACTTGGACGTACCTGACTTTCTGAAGTGCTTAAATTACCTCACATAGAAATCCTCCATTCCAGTTATATATGGAGTCAACATAAAACCTAGGGATTAGATTACTGAAGAGACAGGGGGTAGAAAAGAGTGTGTACGTGACAGAGAATAAGAAGCTTGGTAACAGTATACTATTTTTAGTAATATTTTAGGTAATTTCATCTTCCCATTTTTCACCTTATTTCTCTTGGTATTCTACCTTTTGGACTGTCTCCATCCCCTACTCTGGCTAATAGTTTTGCAAGTTTTGATGAATTAGTTAAGATCTCTTTGCCTCAGTTACATTATCTGGGAAGAGGTGATAGTAATACCTGATAAGATTTTTGTGAGTATTAATTGGGTCAGAATATTAAAATGCTAATAACAGTACCTTTACAGGCTAAGTGTTTAAACAACATTGGCTAATATAATTTTTTTTTTTTGAGACAGTGTTTGGCTCTTGTTGTCCAGGCTGGAGTGCAATGGTGCAATATCGGTTGACTGCAAACTCTGCCTCCCAGGTTCAAGCGATCCTCTTGCCTCAGCCTCCCAAGTAGCTGGGATTACAGGTGCTAGCCACCATGTCTGGCTAATTTTTTGTATTTTTAATAGAGACGGGGTTTCTCCATGTTGGCCAGGCTGGTCTTGAACTCCTGACTTCAGGTGATCTGCCCACCTCGGCCTCTCAAAGTGCTGGGATTACAGGCGTGAGCCACCATGCCCAGTTTTCTAACATAATTTTAAATATTTTACTTATGCCTTTTTCTTTCGTTTTAAAGACTACTAAAATAAGCAAACAGATAAAGGCATATTTGGTACCAAAGTAAAGTGTTTTTTTTTTTAAGAACTATTATCCACTCTCACTGTATCAGATCAGATAAGTATACCCTATAATAAGTTCACAGAAATTTAATGTCACATGCTGTCTCCAATGTAAAGACAAAACTCAGTCCTAGTTAATTAAGTGTTATGTATATGAGTTTTAAAATTATCAGAAACATTCTGTTTTGTTTTGTTTTGCCTACTAAAAAGTTTAATAATGTTGCATTTCCAACAAGCAAGATTAGTTCTTTGTATGGATTTAAATACTCTGTGGACCTGAGTTTGATACTAAAGGCTTTGCTTCTCAGCTGTGTGTTATTAAGGAAGTCCCTGATCCGTCGTCAATCTTACTTGCAAAACAAGAATAAATACATCTGCTTTGTTTTCCTAAGGATTTTTTTAGGAATAACTAAAATACATATGTAAAACACCTAGAAAAATTCACGACACAAACTAGGAAATAATATGTTTGTAATGTACTAATTCTTACCATAATTAAGCAAGCTTATTGAAAAATTATAAATCACTAGAAATCAACTTATTAACTTAAAATTATAATTATAGCTTAGAAAACTATTGTTTCAGATCTTCTAGTCACTAAGCTATCTCCTTAAAAAAAATCTCTTTAGAAAAACAAATTTAAATCAGAAGAGTAATTAGTAATCCATCTCTGAGAAAGGCAACTTGTTTTAATGGAAAACATTTTAATGAGTGATGCTTTTGTTTACTCAAAAGGGATAAACATTTACTTAAATTTTTACAGTCTGAGCCCTTAAAAGAGAATAACCATCCCTTGTATCAACTCTTTCTTATTGAAAGTCTTTTCTCTAAGTCCAGACGTCATCATGCATGGGATGACATTGCAAGAGAAATGTTAGGTTGTGGTTTTAAGATTAGGATTTATGGAAATGAGGGAAAGAAAGTCAAATTGAGTAAAGGAAAAATTTGTGCTCTTTTCTGGTTCTAAGAACTCTCAAAACATTGCATAGAGAGATCTGGAGCATGAGTTACCCTTAGGATTTGTCCAAATTTAGGCAAAAGAGCCAATCATTTCATGGTCATGTTAATAAGTCTTTGGATGTGTGCTGTTCTGGGAAGGGCTTGTGACAAATGCTGAGGTGGTGCCCTTCAGCTGAGGCAATTCCCAAAAGGGAGTGACATCTGAGAAATGCCTGCCCGTTAGAATTCCAGTAGCTGTGTAGTAAGTCCTTCATTCTCTAAGGCTTCAGAGTTGTGCAGTACAGCATCTATCACACACAACGATCATGACAGATAATGTTTGTCTGGTCTGTTTATGCTGCTGTAACAAAATACCTGAGATGAGTTAATTCATAAATAACAGAAATTTATTTTCTTGAAATTCCTGAGAGTGAGAAGTCCAAGATCAAGACGCAAGCAGGTTTGATTGTCAGGTGAGAACTGCTTTCTACTTCAAAGATGGCACACTTTTACTGCATCCACCAAAGCATGGAAGACACTGTGTCCTCACATGGCACCAAGAGGAAAGACAAGCCAACCACAAGCTGCTTGAAGCCTCTTTCATAAGGGTTTAATCCCATTCACAAGGGAGAACCCTTATGTCCTAATCGTCTTTTAAAGGCCTTACGTTTTCATGCTATCACATTACAACACCTGAATTTTGGAGGGAACACATTCACACCATAGCAATGGTAAAATACTTTTCTACTTAGTAAATTCCACTTAAACCACATAGAGCCCCCATCGTAACAGCCCTCCTAGATATAATATCTTTACTAGAACTGATAAACACAGGCTTTGGCTCTAGTAATGCATTAATAATCTATTCTGTTCTTTAATCCTCATATATAAATAGTGTCCAAAATGGTTTGTATTTACATGGGAAGAAGAGAAGTTTGCATTATCATCTAGCCCCAGGTCTTAGATAATTCCCCTACTACTTATTAAACTTTAATCTGAAAGTACCTTGATAATGGTGACATGACCTATAATACCTAGTATGCCAATGACATCAATTATTGACTCTCTTTACACACACACATGTAAAATTATTTAATGAATGGCAAACCACTGTGGAATTCATAAGAAATATTTAATACATATTATGCGTGTGCTAACTAGGAAAAAATTTGCTGCCTATTTTATTATTTATCATTCTTTTACTTATCAGTGTATTTATGCTTGGTGAATATGCCTTTCTGTTGCTTTTGATTTACTATTATCCAAAATTTAAGGCATAAAAAGTAGTGTGAAGAAAATGTGAGAAAAATAATGTCATTTTACATCCAGCTTTGTCTGACGAAAAAAAGGTTAGTAAGTACAGTGTGTGTAGACCTAGAATAGTAGTATATATTTCATTGTGATTTTGTGAAAATTAGTTTTCTCTAACTTTCTTTGGATTTTTAAAAATATTATGTTATCTAAGTTTCCCAGTATAGGCTAGTTAGCTAAAGTCAATGGAAGACAAATGACCAGGTAAACAAATATATACTTCAAAGTTTCTCTAAAGTATGGTAAGATTGTATGTGAAATATTTCAGGTTTTAAATATATTGACTTGCAGTGTTTTAAAATATATGATCATGACTTTACAAAATGAAGTTTTCACATTTTATATGAATAATTCCAAGTAGTTTTAATTTTATAACATATTCAAATGCAAGTTATTGATGTTTCTTTCTGAAGCATTAACTTTGATCTAGCAACTCCTATTTAATTTTTCTGTTCACTAAACTTAAATAAAACTCTAAATCTTACAATAGTGAGAACAAGTAGTACATCATTCTTCTCTACTGCTGAAAAATAAAAAAGAAAATTGCATTCTCTGTTGGTTATAAAGTTACATAATTGCAGTGAACCTACATAAAACAAGAGATGAATACATATAAATGGGATATAAATATGATAATTAGGCATTAATTTATCCCCTTTTATATCTATAATATGTACAGATATAACATCTGATTCACTTTAGCCTACTACTTTAGGAGTAAACTGTAACTTGAGGATATCTAATGTTGTTCACAGTAAGTTAAGATGAAGGAATAACACTGCTTTAGGTAACTCAATCATGGACTTTTCAATTAAAAACATTATACACACTACTCTGGTTCTGAACCAAAAGTCAGCATATCTCAAGATAACTATAAGGTTTACATTACAAACAAATAATAACAACAACAATACCTACTTCCTTAAAACTTTGATGCAAACACAGCAATACCAAAAACTTTCCTGTTAGTTAGAGATACTAAACCTGGTGACCATAGATAACAGAGAATTCTGCAGCCCCTCGTTTTGGATTAAAAAAATTGTATTTGTCCCCCACTAACCTATAACTAAAATTTACATTTTCTTCAATTATGTATGTAAAGCAATAAATCACGATACTATTAGTGGTGCTTGTAACTTTTTCGCCAAGAGAATGTGCAGATATTTTCATAATGCATGACACTAACTGTAAATATTTCCTAATATATTTATTCTCACCATTATTTTGAAATTATGACATTTATAAGATCAACCAATAATTTTTACATTTAATACATTAATCAAAAATATATATATTATCTATAGCATGCATCTAATATTCTATATATATTTCATTATAATTGGATTTCTTCTATAATAATATATATTATTTAGAACATTTTAAAAACATTTTTTATTTAAAACATTTATTTTGAGAGAGTCCATAGGTTAAACCAGATGGCCAAAGAAGTTCCAAGGCAAAAGAAACACATATACAAATAAAAAAACAAAACAAAATACGTGCTAGTAGGTAACAACCCACGTAACTTGGGAACACAGAAGTGCTTCACTAAATTGATGAATCAGAAACTATGGAAAATTTTTGAAAAATTCAGAACTATTCTGTTGTTTACTGTATTTGATGTACCTAAATCTAAATTATTATGTCTATCTATGTGAGCTTAGAAGAGTAGTTGGCCCTCTACTGGGGAAGAGACTACTAGGGGCAATAAAGAATAATATAATCTTTGAAACAAGAAAGGCAGTTAATGCCATGATGATTATATGACACAAAAAATTAGTTTGGAGTTCACATAAATCTGGGTAAATCTGAAATAATATATGTGTGAATTTATTAATGTATTAATATATGAATGTATTATGAAATGTAATATATAACACATATAATTCACATGGCCTCTCAGAACATTTATTTATTGAGCATTGTGATAATTAATCACTTCTCAATATTTCATTTTTTTCTTTTATTTACTTATTTATTTTTATTTTATTTTGTTACCATGCTTTTATTTAACTTTTAATTTTGTGGTACATATGCAGGTTTATTACATAGGTAAACTAGTGTCATGGGGGTTTGTGGTATAGGTTATTTCATCACCCAGGTATTAAGCCTAATACCCATTAGTTATTTTTCCTGGTCCTCTCTCTTCTTCTATTCTTCACCCTTCAACAGGCCCCAGTGTGTGTTGTTCCCCTCTATGTGTTGATGTGTTCTCATCATTTAGCTCTCACTTTTAAGTGAGAACATTTGGTATTTGGTTTTCTGTTCCTTCATTAGTTTGATAAGGATAATGGCCTCCATCTCCATCCATGTCCCTGCAAAGGATCTGATCTCATTCTTTTTTATGCCTGCTTAGTATTCCATGGTGTGTATGTACCATATTTTCTTTATCCAGTTTATCTTTGAAGGGCATTTAGGCTGATTCCATGTCATTGCTATTGTGAATAGTGCTGCAATGAACATATGCATGCATGTGTCTTTATAATAGAATGATTTATATTCCTTTTGGTATATACCCAGTAATGAGATTCATGGGTTGAGTGGTATTTCTGTCTAGGTCTTTGAGGAATTGCCACACTGTCTTCCACAATGATTGAACTAACTTATACACCCACCAACAGTGTAGAAGTGTCCATCTTTCTCCGCAAACTTGCCAGCATTTGTTTTCGCTTTTTTTTTTACTTTTTAGTAATAGTCATTCTGACTGGTATAAGATGGTATCTCATTGTGATTTTGATTTGCATTTCTCTAATGATCAGTGATGTTGAGCTTTTTCTCGTATGTTTGTTGGCCACATGTATGTCTTCTTCTCAATACTTCTTAAGTGTGGTTCCTTCCTTTCTTCAAAGAAAATATGGGAATAGAATTCTATAGTTAAGAAATCCTAGCTTAGAATAAAGTAGAAGTAGAATTTTTTCAATGGCTATTACCAATCTGTATTAGTCCATTTTCATAATGCTATGAAGAAATACTTGAGACTGGGTAATTTATAACGAAAAAGAGGTTTAGTGGACTCACATTTCCACATGGCTGGGGAGGCCTCACAGTCATGGTGGAAAGCAAAGGAGGAGCAAAGGCACATCTTACATGGTGGCAGGCAAAAGAGTGAGTGCAGGGGAACTGTCCTTAAAACCATCAGATCTCCTGAGATTTTTTCACTTTCAAAAGAACAGCACAAAAAATCCCACCTCCATGATACAGTTACCTCCCACTGGGTCCCTTCCATGACACCTGAGGATTATGGGAGCTACAATTCAAGATGAGATTTGGGTGGGGACACAGCCAAACCATATAACTGTCTTTAAAAACAGTAAGGGAATATCAGAACAAAATTGGAGAGATATCAATAAATAAAACAGAGAACAGGATGTCAGAGGTTAATTATTAAGATCTCCAGAAAATATAGTGGGGTTTTCAATGTCAATTCTGGAAGGTCTAATGGCTAGAGTAGACTTTGCTGGGAGTTAGAGGTTGGAAGTTTCAACATTTTATATTGTGGAGCTGACAGAAAGTGTGCTAACAGTTACAAAGAGAATATGTATCTATGAAAGAATACATACCTAGCAAAAAGATTCAAGAGCAGGCCTAATAGCCATGTCAATCCCCAAATACCTTGGGCTATGTTGGTGTTATTTCCAAGAACAACTGTGGTCTGTAACACTTGTTACTCATTGCTAACTTTCAATAAATGTTATGTGCTTCACTAGGGTTAATAAGAATATTATTAACAAGGCACACTCCATTTTACATAATAATATTTGTAATATGAGCCTACTTCATGGAGCATAAGAGAGAAAATGGAAATAACACAATTTTGAGAAAGAAATTGTCCTCTGAGATTTTAATTGATAGGAAGCTTTATTATCTTCAAACAATATGATGGACATCTTAACTTGCATTCATTGTATCTATGCCAGGCTTTAAAGTCAAGAAAAAACAAATAAAAAAATAAAAATAGTAAAAGCTACCATTTATTAAGCACTTACCGAGAGTCAAGCAGTGTGCTGAGAACTTTACCTGGACTTTTAAATCTATTTCTTATGGAAACTTATGAAGTATTATTGTAATCTCTAATTTACAAATAAAAAACCCTGATTCTTAGAGAAGTGGAGTAATTTGTTTTAGGTAATAGCCACGAAGTGGCAGAAATAAGATGTACTTCTAATTCTTATTATTGCAAACCCAGAATTTGAATGATTGAAGTCTGCTTTCAAATTCAAAGCAAAGAGAGGAAGAAAGGTATTATTTATTTAGGGTGTAATTGGCCAGTTTGGGATATTAACCTCTTCTCTCTGTTTTATTAAATTTTTGCTGAAGAATTATAGCTGTGTAAATATATACTTAGGTTAATCAGTGAAATTTTGCACCACTATAAACCAGCCACGAATTTAGGTATCTAAATCATAACATGGATTTCATTTTGTTAAAAAGAACATTAGAGTTTGCAATATTTTATCATAGAGAGAGATAGTTTTGAGACCCAAAAGCTGTCATGTATCATAGTTTGGTCTGTATTAACTTCATTATCTTGAGTACGTCACTTCACAGTGCTGAGGAACTATTTGTCCTTAATAAGGTATAATTACTTTTCTGCCTTATAAGTACGTTGGAAGAATATAAACAGGTAATGAAAGGAAAGGGTCCATAATGATTGTTCACTTTGCCAATATAGGAGTTTTATAATCCTGTTTAATGAGAATACTATTTCTCACACTGTTTAACTGAGAGGACAATTTAATTAATTGAGCACAGATGCTTAATCTGTGCTAGGTTACCAGATCTTTCAATAAGAATGATGAAACACTTTAAGTTGTATCATTTCATAAAAGATTATCAATTATAAGTACACTTCCCTTATGTTTCAAATATACCTTCAGGAGAGTGTGCCCCTGCAGAATCACCAATACTGCTAACCTTTGAGATGTCTTGATTGTGCTTCATAATGATTATTAATAAGGCCTTGACAAGAAATAAACATCCTTAACCTTCGTTGTTATTAAGTAAGGAAAAATGCTTGAACTGAAATTCATTATAGACCATGAAACTATAAAGGAGAAAACTAATATTCATGACTTTATATTTATTGAAAAACCTTAACCTTTAGGAATCATTAGTTTTCAGAATAGTCTATAAAGTTAAACCGAGCAGCACAAGAGCAGATGTGGAAGATCAAGGAGGAGAGTAGATGATAAACCCCACTATTGTTTAACATTTGTTGAGCAGCATTCTTCTAGTGTCCAGGCTCAATCCGAGTAGCAAAATATTTTCAGAGCTCAGAAATACCTAGAGTAATCAAACCAAGAGAAGTAAGTTACTTTTTAAAACAATACAAAATAGAAAGTATCCCAGAGTGTGAGACTCATAGTTGTGGATATAAAAACTCCTTAGTATTCACTTTTTACTCTGGGTTATTAAGGCCAATGAGAAATCAATTACTAAGAAGTCTCAGGATTTTTAACTTCATTTGGCGTGAGGCAATACTTTGGGGTGTGTGTGTGTGTGTGTGTGTGTGTGTGTGTGTTTATGTGTCTTAGTCCTTTTGGGGTGCTATAGCAAAATACTATAAACTGGGTAGCTCAAAAACAACATAAATGTATTTCTTACAGATCTGGAGGCTGGTAAGTTCAATATGAAGGTGCTAGAAGATTTGGTTTCTGGGATAGGCCTGCTTCCTCTTAGATGGCTGTCTTATCACTCTAACCTCACAGGGAGGGAGAGGGTGGCGGTCACTCTGGGGCCTCTTTTTTATCTTATTCATGAAGGATTTGCCTCCATGACCTAATCACCTCTCATAGGTCCCACTTTCTAATACCATCACCTTGGGGGTTACAATTACAACCTATGAGTTTTGAGGGGACACATTCAGATTTTAGCTGTGTGTATGTGTGTGTGTGTGTGTGTGTGTGTGTGTGTTTCAGTTTTCTTTTGCCTCAATAATATATCAAATAAACTACCCCAAAGCTTATAGTATCACAGTGGCAACCCTTTGTCATAAGCCTGCAGGTTGTCAGAGGAGCTCTGCAGATCAAGACATCTTTGAGAATGTTTATTGCTCAAATTCACTTCTGAATGATATGTAGAGAGAGACTGGGTCTTCTTATTACAGGTCAAAATTATGCCTTTGACCATTCATTGTTCCATTCTTACTGGATACAATGGCTTGTGATATATTTATTTCTAATTTCTAATTAGTTACAGCACATAATCCCTAATTTTATTATAAATCTCTCTATCAATACATCTATGACATGATCAAGACAGAGTCCAATGCTTATCTTTTTTTTTGTAGTCTGTTTTACATTGTTTTATATATATATATATATATACACATTGTTATATGTATGTATTTTTTGTTTACTTTGGTCTGGGTATTACCCACTAGGCCTTAGAGAGTGTAGCAAGCACATCTGAACTTACTTTAACCTGCTTATTAAACTTTTGCTTTTATCTGTCACCATAGACTCTTTTATGTCTATTATTGATTGCTTGCTGATCTCCCATTTCTGTAGAGAGAAGAGTTATTGCCATAGATTATTACAAATCAGTATGCTCTTACAGTTGGCACCAAGGCTCAGCAGCATGAAGTGGCTAGAGGAAGATGAGTAAGTATGCAAGAAAAAAAATGCAAGAATCCAAAATCCTGTTTTCTCAAAACATGAAGCATTTATTGGCTATTCTGGTAGGTAATTAAGCCAAATTTAAAATACAACATTTGAGAATAGATTGTTTTCTTTAAAAAATAATGAACATTACTTAAATGTTTATACTTAAATGTTTTTTAAGCTCCTGATTGACTGATAATTTTTGGACCATTCCCACCCCTTGCCCCCGGGCAGGAACAGACAATACTTTTTCAAGACACAAATTTGAGGTTATAAATACTACCTATCCAGAAATTGTTTGTTTTTTTCTTTCCTGTCTATGAAGAGTAGCTCAAGATCCTGATCATGTTTCACTGCAGTAGCATGTAACTAATTATATACAAACAAGGTACAAAGGGCAAAAGGTGGGATGAACTGAATGATTAATTCAGTTAATTAATCATTAGCATGTAATTAGCCTGTAAGGGTATTCTGGAAATGGTTTTGAAAGAAAGAAAATGAAAACTTGAACTTTTTTTTTCCTAAATTTACTGTAGATAAATAAGGAAACTAGAATATATATATATATATATATATATATATATATATATGTATGTATGTTTAGAGTAAACCACAAACATGCTTTTTTAAAAAAGCTTTCCTCTTCCATTTTACCTTCTCATCATTAATACAATCGACATGCCTGAAGCATTACAACCACATTCAGTAAAGGGTGAGAAAGAGTTAAGTAGTAAATTCAAATTGCCATTAAAACAGTGAGACAGAAATAGCTGAAATAACTACAGCACCTTCCTGAAGTAGTGGTTTTGGAAGCTGCAAGTGCTGCTCTGTCACTGTAGTCAAGGATTTGACATATTCTTGGATGAGGAGGAAGTCCTTGTTTTGATAGTTAGAGTATAGTGTCTGGCACTTTTGGTAGAGATGCAATTCTGTATTTACATATATGAAGTCAAAAAGGGATAGCATTTTATTGGACTAAATCTAATTCAGCCAATCTTAGCCTGAAGAAAATTGTTAGGCAGCATTTTAATATTTGATTTACATATATGAAGTCAAAAAGGGATAGCATTTTATTGGACTAAATCTAATTCAGCCAATCTTAGCTAGAAGAAAATTGTTAGGCAGCGTTTTTAACACTGTTGTCTGTTCAATGTTCTGTGGTTCTTTGATTTTCACATAGGGTGAGCAGTAATAAAAACTAAGATGGTTTTAAGAATGGCATTTTAAAACAATTGATTTTTAAAGATACTTTTATAATGCTAATATTATGCAAAATAATTTAAATTTAATTTTTAATAGGAAAATTTTTATCATCACTTTCGAATAATGTATTTGAATTTAAATTTTACCTATTTTTTATTTTGATTGACATAAGAATATTCATAAAGCATTTAAAATGCTTTCTAAGTAATATTAAGTAATAGTAGTTACAGATAATATTAATGTCAAATGCAACAATGAAATGATATTACATATTAAATTTCACATAAATATAAATAAAATAGTGTTCTTATAAGAAAGTGACACATTTTAGACTGCTTAGCAGGAAGAAAATTTTTGAATTGTCATTATAACAAAGGGATGACACAACTCAAGTATGTTCAGATATTGTGATGGTTACAATTTGCTCTCCTAATTGTGCTATGTGGAGTGAAAAATAGGGTACAGGGTAATTTAAAACTAGAGTACAGTCAAAAACAGAAGATACAAATATTAACTGTAGCTTACTGAAATATGCAGAGTGTAAAAATCATTCTAAAAGGAGGGACTGAGGTTGCTGAAAAAGAAAAGAAAAAACATACAAAGAAACAAAAACAGCTGGCATACATCATGAATAATTTAAACATGGATACAGGACAATATTCTGGTGTGACAAAGCCTCTTTTTAAATTTTTAAATTGACCTCAAAATTGTATGTATTTATAGTGTACAACATGATGTTCTGAAATATGTGTATACATTGTGGAAAGCCTAAATTGGACTAATTAACATATATATTACCTCACATACTTATTTGTGGTGAGAACACTTGAAATTTTATTCTACCAACTTTCAATTATAGAATACATTGTTAGTAACAATAGTCACACTTTGTACAATAGATCTCTTGAACTTATTCCCCTTGTGTAACTGAAATTTAATACCTTTGACCAACTCCACCCTAATTTTTAGGGCTTCTTTTTAATGTTAGATTAGAATTTTGTTTTATGGACTTATAATCAGAAGAAGAAACTAGGGTGTTTTAATGTAATAAAATTCTGATGAATCAACTATCCTCCGCCAAGGCATATATCTTTACAATGGTTTATATTTGTCACAGACAGTTCTACTCCTTTGCTCTGTATTAAACTGTGACAACCTTATATGCCTTTTGAGTATATTTTTGCACACCTGCATTATATGATTTAGCACTGCATTTTAAGTGGTCAATTTTAACAAGATTGATTTAATGAAGTTCTAGTTTTGAAGGTGTATCTTGTTTGTCTTCATTCAGATGTTGATCCCTTTTATTGATTCTGCATATTCCTGGAAGATGTATTATTTACTTTTAAAACTTTTGAGGTTTTATAAATGGGAATCATTCTGTATGCTTTCATCTATGACTTTTTACCCAATATTATATATTTTGATATTAATCCACATCAGTGAATGCATATATAATCCAATAGTTTATTTTATAGTATTCATTTCTTTTAACACTTAAAGTGAGTCTATTATAAATAATAAATTGAAGACATATCTTCTTTGTTTATTATTTACTTGTACTCTTTATCTTTTAATTGCAAAATTTAGTGAATTTTTACTTATTATAACTGATATGAGATTCGTTTTTACACATTTGTTTGTGCTGCTTTTCTGTTTATGTACCCAAATACATGATTGACAGAAACCATGAGATGGTAAATATGCTATTCTTAAATTACAAAGTTTGGGGGTTATTTATTATTTAACAATAAATACATAATAAAAATCACCAAAATATTAAGACTAAACAATCCCTTAACTAGCATTTCTACTTGAAAAGTGACTTTAGCCAGGTATTTCCCACTTGCTTCATTAGTGATTATGCAGTGTTAAATCATTATGAAATATAATTGTTATCTGCAGATAATGTATATTGTGTCCTCTTTTGTGTACAAAAAACCAACTGCCTTCTGAGGTTTCTGTTACTGAATAAAATTCACTGAGAAGAACATGGGCAATGCTTTCAGTAGTATGATATCAGCTCATGTGGCTGCCCTGCGATGTAGTACATTTCGTGATTAAGAAAACCTTGTCATTGACACTTTTCTTAGACACTAGATACCTTTGGTTTATCTTTCCAAAGTGAGTCTTCACTCTTCACCTTCTAGACCTCTGCCATTGAAGGATGACTATGTGAACTTCATCAGTAGCTTCCCCACTCACTAGATTGTATTGACCTAACTCCGATCCCTGGGGAGAAGATTAGAGGGTGAATGGAGAGTGAGATCAGGAATTGTATTCTTCTATGTCTTGTGTGTGCCACTTTGTCAGCCTGACTCTGTCACTAGCTAGAAGGTCACTGGTCCTCTCCCGGTAGTCTGCATCATTAGAATCTCTCTCCACTACAGTGCATTACACTACAGGAGGGATGCTAAATAGAAGTATCTAGTAGTACTAAATAGTTACTGTAGTTACTGTAACCTCCATAGTAGTTTACTTTGTACCAACATTTGTAAATTATTTCTTTGAAATTAAACTTTCCTTTTTTCTTTTGACGGAGTCTTGCTCTGTCACCTAGGCTGGAGTGCAGTGGTGCGATCTCAGCTAACTGCCAGCTCCGACTCCCAGGTTCACGCCATTCTCCTGCCTCAGCCTCCCCAACAGCTGGGACTACAGGCACCCGCCACCACGCCCAGCTAATTTTTTTGTATTTTTAGTAGAGACGGGGTTTCACGGTGTTAGCCAGGATGGTCTCCATCTCCTGACCTCGTGATCCTCCCGCCTCGGCCCCCAAGGTGCTGGAATTACAGGCGTGAGCCGCTGCGCCTGGCCCCCAAATATTCTATTTTGAGTATGCTTTCTGTTTTCTACTGGGGTTCTGACTGATACATCTTATTAAGATCCAAAAATTAGGCTAAAGGAATGCAACTTTCATGGAAAGAAACTGCTGACGAGAAAAAGAAGAAAAAATAAACTGCTTTCTACATGTTGTTAGATCCTAAGAACAACCTGGCTTGTATTGCATTATAGGGAGTGATAAAAATACCAAAATAATAAGAGAAAAGCACTAGGCTCTATATTCCACTAAAAATGATGTTTACTGTATTTACTATCTCCTGAATTTTAAGAAGGATCATTGGGTTTTAATAGAAAAAGAAATTTTGTAACGCTTGCTCACAAAACCGAATTTAAATTCATGTGTGCTTTTTATTCGACATCTATTTAAGGTTGCTTCAAAGACCTATTAACCTGTCTCCTCTTTTTCACTCCTGACATTTCTTATGTTGATTTAGATCTTCTCAGGAGTAGAAATTGAGACAAAAATTTTAGTGCCAATAGTTTTTAGGGGAGGTCATCTCGGGACATGTCTGCAGGGGAGTAAAGAAGTGAATCAAGAGTTCCAAAAAGGATTATCAATATAGTTATCATTAGGTCCAGTTGAAGTTTAATTCACAGAGGAATTCTGGGAAACAAAGTAGGAAAAAGTGCCTCAGAGTCATCCCACCTAAGTAACAAAGAATTCGGGGTGTTAATATACCAAGTTCTGTCAGTGATTAGTCATTAATTTCTTAGAACTTCCCATCTGCTATGCTTGCAATTAGAATGAGCTCTAACTGCTGGAGAAAACCATTGAGGAAAAAAAAAAAAGGAAAAGAAAAAAGAAAACAAAAGGCAAGTCAGTCTGGCTGGCTTGCACAGAAATGGTAAAGCCAAAGGGAGACAGGCAGGGGACCAACTGTGCCTCCCCCACTCCCAATTCATTTAAACACTAGCCCCAGCAACTTTTTTGTCTAATCGTACACTTGATTCTGTAAACTTTTTGCTTAGCTATTTCAAAGTGCTCACATTACTCTTAAAATAAAGTTCAAAATCCTCAATATATTACAAAGAGTTGCGGCAAGATTCAGGCTCTACCTACTTTCTTGCCGATCTTTCATATCGTTTTATGCTATCACTCTGCCCACAATAGACTTTCTTCCAATTTCACAGCATAATGTGGCACCTCTCAACACAAGATATCTGTGCGTGGTAGGTCCTCTTCTCCCTGTTTATTTAGTTAATGTCTATTCTATCTTCCAACATTAGCTTATAAGTTATTTGCTAGTTAGGACAGCCTTCACTGATCTCTTCCCTGTTTTTCCCTAAAATGTAGGGGGAAAAATGTTCTTTTATAACATTATACACCTCAGCCTCTCTTTATAGAATTTACCAGTTATAATTGTGTATTTACTTTTGAAATATTTGATAATGTCTATCTCTTTAAAAGTACTGCTTGATTGAAAATTTCAGGTTTTTTCATCTTCAGTTTTATATCCCTAGCACCTGAAGTATCTGATATTGATGGGGATTCTATAATTAGTTTTAAAAAGTATATATATATATATATATATATATATATATATATATATTTATAGAGAGAGAGAATATATATATAACATATATATAACATATATATAACATATATATAATGTATATATATAACATATATATGTAATGTATATATATATAACATATATGTATATGTAATGTTTACAGCCGGCCGGGCATGGTGGCTCATGCCTGTAATCCCAGCATGTTGGGAGGCTGAGGCAGACAGATCACCAGGTCAGGAGATTGAGACCATCCTGGCCACATGGTAAAACCCCATCTCTGCTAAAAATACAAAAAATTAGCCAGACATGGTGGCATGGTCCTGTAGTCCCAGCTACTCAGGAGGCTGAGGCAGGAGAATCACTTAAACCCAGGAGGCAGAGGTTGCAGTTAGCCAAGATCGTGCCACTGCACTCCAGCCTGGGCAACAGAGTGAGACTTCATCTCAAATAATAATAATAATAATAATAATAATAATAATAATGTTTACAGCTGTTACAAAATATGTTTATGACATTGTCTTGTGTTTTAAAAATAATCACACATATTGAATAATAAATAAGAAAAAACATAACTAATGAATATGACTCATACATATAAAAATTATACTAAACTGAATACTTTACTTGTACCATGTTATTAGAAAGTCATTATAGGCCTGGCACTGTGGCTCAAGCCTGTAATCCCAGCACTCTGGGAGGCCGAGGCTGGCAGATCACGAGGTCAGGAGATTGAGACCATCCTGACTAAAAGTGAAACCCCATCTCTACTAAAAATACAAAAATTAGCCGGGCATGGTGGCATGTGCCTGTAATCCCAGCTACTTGGGAGGCTGATGCAGGATAATCGCTTCAATCAGGGAGCTGGAGGTTACAATGAGCCAAGATCGCACCACTGCACTCCAGCCTGGCGACAGAGCGAAACTCCATTTAAAAAAAAAAAAAAAGAAGGAAAGGAAAAGTCATGATTTATTATCATTTGAACCCCAGGAATGTATTGATTGAATACCTAATATAAGTAGATATTGTAAGGGACTACCAATGTATAAGACAATATTTATGACATGAAAAAAACTCATGGTCCTGTGGGGACAAAATGTTATATGTATATGTGCATGTGCATATGAAAAAAATTAATATAACGATTGTATATACTAGCCAAGTACAGTATACATACAAAAGACATAAACAGCCAGGCCCGGTGGCTCATGCCTGTAATCCCAGCACTATCGGAGGTCAAGGCGGGCAGATCGCTTGAGCCCAGGAGTTTCCGACCAGTTTGGGCAACATAGTGAAACCCCGGGTCTACAAAATATACAAAAAATTAGCCAGATGTGGTGGTGCGCCTGTAGTACCATCTACTCAAGAGGCTGAGGTGAGTGGATCCTTTGAACCCGGAAGGTAGAGGTTGCAGTAAGCTGAGACTGTGCCACTGCACTCTAGCCTGGGCGAGACCCTGAAAAGAACAAAAAAAAAAAAAAAAAGGAAGAAAGAAAGAAAAGGAAAGAAGGAAAGAAGGAAGGAAAGAAGGAAGGAAGGAAGGAAAGAAGGAAAAGGCCTAAGCATTAACTAAATGTTAATGAATATTAAGGGAAGGAAATACTAGGAAAGTGGTATTAAGGGCTACAATGATATGCCTGGGAAGAAATGAAAAGAACTGGGACTTGGACAAGAACTTGGTGTTTGGTTAGGGTGGCATAGTGTCACAAGGAAGCAGAAATGTTTCTCTCATTTTTTGTAATAAATAAAAAATCATAATAAATATATTTTGTACTTTTATTACCTTCTTTCTTAACTAGTCAAATGTAATATTCTGGCTTACTAATTTTACAATTCTTTTTAATTGTACCTATAAAGGTTGAGAAATTATTCTATCTTTGCTAGTAACTGTGGAAGAAATAAATGAAGTGTATGTAAGAATTTATTTTTTATGAAGATTTCCAAGAACTCCCTTCCCTGAAATCCAAATGTATTACACCAGTTATGATGTAATTGCATAAAGTTTGTGATTAGTTATTGCCAGTCTTTATCTTTCATTCCAATGATTGGCTCTTACATAAAGGCCACATTGTAATAGGAGCAGTTATTGTGGAAAACATAATTATCATTGTTAAAACATTGAAGGCATTCTATTACTTTCTCAATTATTTGCAGTTATCTTTCTAAAAAAAATTTGGAATTACAAAAGAAAACTTTGTAAATGTATTTAAAAATGAATTCAAATTGGATTTCAAGTATTTAAAACTTTATTCATTTTTAATTCGGTTAGTATATGTTGTATTATTCATACGCTTTTCATTCCCCTGTGTGAGGTAAATATTCAGAAAGCCTTGCATGGCACTTTATTCAATTCTGATGGAAATTCAATTATAACTAAATAAAATGTATTTAATTAACAGGCAAATATGTTACATTAACTATTTAATCACAACTATTAATATGTAAAAATCTGGAACAATTTTAAATGACTAAACAATTGTCCATATTACTTCTCATTCAGCATATTTATTTACACATATTCATAACTGGAAGAGCTGTCCAGTTATCTGCTTTCAGCGATTCAGCCTCTAACTTTTTAAAGATTACTCTCAACACATTGAATTAGCTCCCTAAAGTTAGACACTAAGTAAATCTCAGATCCTATAAAGGAAGTAAATTCTCTATTTGCTGAGAAAAAAAAAATACAATGAAATTAAGTGATACAATAGTCTAATATAGTTTGGATTTGTGTCTGCACCCAAATCTCATGTCAAATTGTAATCCCCAGTGTTGGAGGAGGGCCCTTGTAGGAGGTAATTGGATCATGAGGCCCAATTTCCCACTTGCTGTTCTTGTGATAGTGAGTGAGTTCTCACGAGATCTAGTTGTTTAAAAGTGTATAGCATCTCCTCCTTCACTGTCTTCCTTCTGCTCTGGCCTTGTAAGATGCCCTGCTTGCCTTTCACCTTTTGCCACGATTGAAAGTTTCCTGAGGCTTCCCCAGCCATGCTTCCCATACAGCCTGTGGAACTGTGAGCCAATTAAACCTCTTTTCTTAATAAATTACCAATTCTGGTAGTTCTTTAGAGCAATTCGAGAAAAGACTAATACACAATCGTTTTTAGTTAATCCATTTTCACTGATATATAATAGTCATACATATTTGGGGGCACATGTGATATTTTGATACTTGTATACAACATGTAATTATCAAATCAGAGTACTCGGAATATCTGTCACTTGAAACATTTATCTTTTGTTTGTTTTGGCAACATTATGATTCCAACAGTGACAATTTTTTTTTTTTTTTTTTTTTAGACGAAATATCTCTTTGTTGCCAGGCTGGAGTGCAGTGGCGCAATCTCGGCTCCCTGCAACTTCCACCTTCTGGGTTCAAGCTATTCTCCTGCCTCAGCCTCCCAAGTAGCTGGGACTACAAGTGCCTGCCACCATGCCCGGCTCATTTTTTGTACTTTTAGTAGAGACGTGGTTTCACTGTGTTAGCCAGCACGGTCTTGATCTCCCGACCTTGTGATCCACTTCAGCCTCCCAAAGTGCTGGGATTACAGGTGTGAACCACCACGCCTGGCTGACAGTCATTTTTAAAGTTCAAATGTACATGCCAATTAAGTCACTTACGTTGTTCTTCATTACTACCTCTTATCACAAATATTAATAATAACATGTTTGTAAATTTTCCATTTTCAGTTCTATAGAAAATTTTAAATTACCCTCAATCAGCACTTTGCAGCAGAGAATGTTTAAGACAGCTTTTAAGCTTAATAAATACTAATGTAAACAAATTGAGGTAAAAAGGCAATAAAACCTCAAAAGTCTATACTCCTAGTTAAGAATTTAATAATAAATGGTTTTACAAAATTGACCTTACAGAATTCTGAAAAAAGAAATTTAAATACAAATACATCTAAGGTGTAGTGAGCTTGTATCACACAATTAAGACTTCTTTTTTTAAAATCATGGATTCTCACTCTTTTTCATTTTATAAAATATCGTGGTATAAAGAAACATAACAAAATTTACCATTTAACCATTCATAAGTGCACGGTTCAATAATGTTAAATATATTCATATTATGGTGTAACCAATCTCCAGAACTTTTTCTTCTTGCAAAGCTGAAATTCCACATCCATTAAGCAACTCTTTATTTCCCCTCCCACCAGCCTCTATCATCTCCAATAAATTTGACTACTGTGGGAGCCTCATATAAGTAAAATCATGTATTATTTGTCCTTTGGTGATTATCTTATTTCACTTAGCATAACTCCCTCAAGACTCATCCACGTGGGATCATGTGTTGGAATTTATTTTCTTTTTAAGGCCAAATAATACTCCATTGTAGGTATATACCACAATTCCTTTATTCATCAGATAATGAACACTTGGGTTAATTCTTGCTATTTTGAACAATGCTGATATGAACATGAATGTGCAAATATGCCTTTGAAATGCTGCTTTCTTTTGGATATATTCACAGAATTGAAATTGCTAGATATATTTTTAAATTGTGAGACTTGGTAGCTGTAACTGCTAATGTAGATATGATTATTTCACTTCAGCACTGTAATATGTAATTCACAAAAGAGGTCATAGTACCATAGTCAGATGTAGTTATTCATAAATTAGAATTGCCAGAAATATAAGCTGGAAAATATTATTTTTACTCATTTTAAATTGTATTCATCATTAATTATTTGTTGAAGTGCCATTATATTCCTGTGTGCTTCACACAATAATGGGTGTAAAATGACTAAACCATAACACACCTACATTAAAGTGGGTTGATTGATTCAATAATATAAAACAGAAAAAAAAGTGTGCTACATTATATAAAGGCTTTTTTTCTCTGGGATCCCAATAAAAAAGTAATTCAAAGATGATTATATTAATCTATTCAATCATTAGAATGCCACTGGGAAGGATAACGTAGCAGCAAACATAGATCCAACAAAGAACGTTCACATTAGAAACAAAAAGCACAGTGGCTTTCACACGTTAGGCAGGAATCTGGGGAAAATGTTTCTGGAGAAATAAAGTGATGAATATTTTATTTAAAGAAATGTTAACATTTTTAGACTCAATGACAAAGACTTTGCATTTACTAAGGAAGAATTTATTGCATGTGACAAAAAACTGAAACAAGCAAGCAAACAAACAAAAATCAGTTTTGACAAAGAAAAATATCATCTGAACCCCAAAGAAAATAAATGCGGAGTAGATTAGAATGGTATTCTTGTATATCTAGATTCTAGAAGAACATTTGTTCAATTGTCATTTATAATCTGGTGCCTTCAATCCTACACAATACATGATTTATTTATTTTCTTATGCTAATAAGTAGGATTAGCAAATTGTGATCTTTGACTATTGTAAACCACTTGTTTGACACTGTAGTCTGGGAAAGAGTAATCTATGACACAAATATACAAAAAAAATAAAAATCCTGGAAAACTTCTCTAGAAAATGAGTTAGTGGCCATTGCTGAAATCATAATATTCAACAGTTTAAATACATCAATTAACAGAATGCTTTGTAACTCTGGACTTTGGATAACTGTCAGAAACTAAAACAAAAGAAGGAATTAATTTGCTACTATAACTCAAGGTTCTAAGGGGTTGGGATTGTTTTAAGCACAGCTCAAAATTTTGAATTCAGGAACCCATACATTTTTCTTTTACTTTCCTCTTCTCTCTTAGTTCATGGTTTAATTCTGCTCACTTCTGTTATATTTCATTCTTCTTAAACTTTATATATATGGTGATAAGATTTCCCCCTTCTTCTCACCCAAAGCTCTTTAAACTGGTGAATACAAAGAAAGAATAGGCATTTTGTTCCTTTAGCATCAGCAGAAATATCAGCAGAAATTCGTCTTGGTCCTGGTAGAGACACATATCCCGTATCTGATTCCATCATTTTATTGGAGACATGGAATATGCTTATTGACTCAGTCTGAGTCACATGTCCACCTTAGGGATAATGGGATCAGTTACATATTAATTATATATATATGATATCATATATTTTGATAAGCATGATGCTGGAAAAAATATGCAAGACTAGAGAAAACATATACTTTAAAATCACTTCCAACTTCATGTGTAGGCTATAAAACATTGAGTAAGTTAACCAACTTCTCTTTTTCTAAATAAATGAGCTTTGCTTAATTTGAGTACTTTGATTCAAAAGAAGCAGTGATCTACTGTTCATCTGTAGTAATAAGTAAAATATTACCTTAAGTATATCATTATAATTTTTTAAAAAATTGACATTTTGAGAAATATTAACAAAAGTTAACCTATAATGTGTATTTATCCTATTTATTCTTAATTTTTTCTTTATTTTTATTTAAATGTTCTGTCAATCAACTTACATTCATTCTGTTTTTGTCCACAAGTGTAGTTTTCAGTATTTTCTTAATTCATCCTAACTGCCATCGAAACTAGATGCATGTTTTACCACAAAACAGGCCTGTTAGTATATTTTTGTTAACTCATTGTGATTTTTCACATTTTTTCCTGCAATTCCATTTAATTAGGAAATGATCAGTTAACATATGACTAATTTAAACCAACAAACTTAGAAAATAGAAAGGAAAATGGGAAAAAAGTCAAACGTTCTACTTTCGAGAAAATTATAATATAATAATTTGAAAAGAGTACACACAAAAAAACTTTACAAATAAGTTCTAGAAGCAACAATAGTTGAATCAAGATTTGATTAAGTCTTGGTAAAATTCAGGAAAGATTTACAGGAGTTTAGAAAAAAATGAATTAATCTACATATGGATCAAGTAATTATTAAAGAAGTAATATTTTAGCTGGATTTTCAGTGTCAGGTGGAATTTCAATAGGAATAATGAGGGAGATTGTAGGTAATAGGAATACTTGAACAAAGCAGCAAAATAGGGGGAGAGTGGAATATGGGGAAAAGACTGATTCCTGGGTGCAAACATTTTGAAAGGTAGTAGTGAGAGGAAGCTAGAATAGATTTATGGATTGAAAGATCAAACGTGAAACTAAGGAAAATAGACTATTGTGCTGGCAAAAGGGAATGGTTAATAGATTTTAGCAGGAAGGTGATATGTACATGGCTCCAACTTTTTAGCTATATTGGTGAATCACCAAACTGAGACTTACCTTGTTTTAGTATTTTTTTTTTTTTTTTAGGAATGAACGACTGACCTATAGGAATGTCTCAGAAATTAAAGAAGAAGAATTAAAAAGTAATATTGCACCTCCTAACTTTTATTTACACTTGTAAGATGATGCTTAAATGCCCTCCCCTCCATGAAGTTTTCCCATAGCTAATCTTCATTTGAAGACATACTTTTTGCCATTGTTCCTGTTTATTTTTTTCATTTTTAATTTGAATAATAATTATTGACTTAATATTGTCTCCTTTAATAATTTTAAGAAAGAATATAAACATGACATTTTTATGTTTCCACTAGTGCTGAATATAGGCTTCTGAATTAGAAGGTAGATGGCAGAGACAAAGGATTTAACTTTTTGTAGTAAAATAATTGTCACTTGAAATTGTTTCTTCATTTTCTAAGAGTTGTGAGATATTGGTCAAGGTGCATAGCATCTATGAATCTGTGGTGAAAGAATGAGAATAACAAATAACACATGGGGTTGTTTCAAAGATTAAATAAACTAACCTATGCCAATCACAAGGAATAGTTCATGGCATATAAGAGATATGAAGATAAAACTCTATCCACTTTCTCTTTCTAAAAGTGACTTAATAAATGTTTACTCCTGAAACAAATAGGATTATCAGGATTTTAATAAATGTTGGTTGAATATATACCTAAGAGTCTGCCGGTGTGGTTCATAATTCCATTTAAATAAGCATAAGCAAAAAGTAGCAATTAAAATAAAAATTAAAAGTAGATGATGTCACAAACAGGCTTTATTTTTTACCTTAATAGTATGTTTTAAAATAATAGGAATACAATTTGTCCTAAAGAAACAAATAAACAAAAGAAATCATATAAACATATGAAAATAATATAAACATCATTCTCTATGTTATAGAATCATTTATCAAGCTCTGTTGAGGAGTGAACAGAGAAAAATATATCTATCATGACCTATTCAGATATTAAGTGATTGAAAGCCTCTTTAGTTACTAGAATATAAAATGTCTGAATGGAATTTACTATATTCTCATTAACAAAAAATAAGGGCAGTGTTATTACTTTATGGCTGAAATGTAAAGACGTTTTATTGACTGTTTCATTAGATGATAAAACCTGCTTCTCTTCAAACAGTTATAAAAAGAAAGTTTTAGAAGTTTGATAAAATAGCTGTCTAGAGGCTTATACCTGAAAATATGAAAAATATTAAAAGGTCATAATGCCATTCATTTTATTATTTGGTAATATTTGTACTGATGCAGAACAGATGTACATAGTTTTGGGGTACATGTGATAATTTAATATATTCATGTAATTTATAAAGATCAAATTAGGGTTTTAGGAATATCACCTTAAATATTTTTCTTTCTTTCCAGCTAGAAACATTCTATTTCTTGTCCACTAGGTATTTTAAAATATACAAGGTTATTATAAACTATAGTCACCCTACAGATTTATATATCACAAGGTCTTATTTCTTTCATCAAACCTTATATTTGTACCTGCTAATAAATTCTATTTTATTTTTGAGTGACAGATATTATCTGAATAATATTAACTGGCAAGCTGGATTTGTTTCAATGGACTTTCTGTCCTTGGCTACATCAAATGATTAGATGTCTTGGGGGTACAAAGGAGATAGGAGAAAAGGGAATAGTTTAAACCACCGCAGAACTGATTAACTAACTTCAGGTTGTCATCATTTGTGGGAAAAAATAAAGGTGAGACACTATATTTTGGTCCTCTGTTCTCATAGTACAAAATCGTATTCGAGAGAGTTGGCTCTACCATCTCACATAAGACATGAGAATCTGTAGTAGAGTATGTTTACATGTCTTTGGGGAGCATAAGTTACCTTTAAGGAACTGTTTTATTTTCATCAAGTAAAAATGTGTTTGGCCTTCTTTTGTTTCTCTTTCTCCCTGTATGGGACCCCCTCCACCTCAATTTTTGGGCATTTTTCAATATTACCAATAGTATGCTTCTCCAGATGGCTCACGCCTGTAATCTCAGCACTTTGGGAGGCCAAGGTGGGCGGATCACGAGGTCAGGAGATCGAGACCATCCTGGCTAACATGGTGAAACTCCATCTCTACTAAAATACAAAAAAATTAGCCGGGCATGGTGATGGGCGCCTGTAGTCCCAGCTACTCAGGAGGCTAAGGCAGGAGAATGGCGTGAACCCGGCAGGCGGAGCTTGCAGTGAGCCGAGATCACTCCACTGCACTCCAGCCTGGGCGACAAAGTGAGACACCACCTCAAAAAAAAAAAATAATAATAATAATAAACATTTTTATTTATTTATTTTAACACTTTTAGGTATTATATACTTTCTAAACTTTTTACTCACAAACCTATGAGAATAATTAATACCGGATGGAGCAACTAAGTTGCCCATTCAAATTTAAAACAATGTTTGTTCAAATAAATCTTGGACCATTTCTGGAATATATACAACTGTGTGAACCTTAGAAAAGATCCTCAGTATGAACAAAAGAGTTCTATAATTGCTACCTATAATAAACAGATACAATGTAGATAAATTGGTAAACATACTATAGTTGAAAAATGGCGTTCCATGACACTAATTTAATTATGTATTTAAAAATATTTTAATTAATATTTAACAAAATACTGAGTAGTTTATGTATCCCCATGCTGATCTAGGCAGTCCTTTCCTTAATTGATTCTAGTAGGCAGACAGGCTGATTATAAAAATACTTCTGACCGAAGTAAAGCACAATACATTTAAAGGAAATCAGCCTGTAAACATACAGAGAGGCTCTCAGTAAAATTCTCTCTGAAAATACGTACATGTTACATTTTTTAACATATTCAGAGGTTAAAAAAACTCCCTGCCTTCCAAATATACCTATTTATTAACTAGAATGCATATTATTTGTGTTTATATTGAGACAAATTCTGTTCTCATGAAAATGTTCACTTCTAACTAATATGTTTATACTTTGTGTTCACATTAAAAAACTCACTTTTTCTTTCTAAGCTAATCTGAATGCCTTTCAACAAGAATATCATATCTGTTTCTCTAATATCTTTATTTTTAAAACTTTGGTTTTCAAATCGATCTACATTTCAAATTTATAACAATATAGTTTGTTACACTCCAAATTTTGAGAACTTACATTTTAGAATATGTGTGTCAGTAAAATTACTTACATTTTGCCACACCATGGCAACATTCCTTCTTCCTACAATAACAAAATTAATTTGTTTGAGAATTAGCTAAATCTATAAAAGTTTTTAATCTAAAGATTAACCCTAAATAAAAAATTATAAATTAAGTACCAAATTCACACATTTGATTTACTTTAGTTTAATGTGCACTAAAAGCCTTATAATTTTACTTTATTTTTAAAAAGATGTACGATTTCTAAAACTCAATACAGACACATTAAGTTTTCTTTATTATTTTGGTATATTCAATACATTCCTTTATTCTATCCAGATTTTTGAGAGTCATAATTCTGTTGTCAGCTTCCTATCATTAAAATAATACTGCTCATTTTGTTTAAGTAATTAACAAAAATGTTAATTTGTCACCATTTTTAAAACTAGTCAGACTAGAAGCCAATTCCAGAAACTCCAAAGCCAATTTAGAAAGCTCATCCTCAAAATTCTATTTCTTTAGACTCACTCTTGGCACAAAATCTGTATTAGCACTGAATAAGTAGGAAGTCCTTCCTAACATAAACTATTCACAAAAGCATAAGCCACGGCATATCTTATGAAGTGAAATGACACTTCCATCACTTACCAGCTGCATGATCTTGGGCACACTACTTTAAATTTCTATGCGCGAGTTTATTTCAATTGGAATAATAATGGTCCATATTCAGGAACAAATCCTGGAACTGGTGAAAGTTCATAAACATTACTTTGAATAAAACAGCATCTAATTCATCAGTTGTTCTAGCACACAGCCTATGTTTTAAAATCTTTTCTACAAGTATAATTTAATTTTTTATTAGAGCCTCAATATATTACATTTTTTTTTTTTTTGAGACGGAGTTTTGCTCTTGTTGCCCAGGCTGGAGTGCAATGGCGTGATCTCGGCTCACTGTCACCTCTGCCCCCCAGGTTCAAGCGATTCTCCTGCCTCAGCCTCTGGAGTGGCTGGGATTATAGGCATGTGCCACCACGCTTCGCTAATTTTGTATTTTTAGTAGAGACAGGGTTTCTCCATGTTGCTCAGGCTGGTCTCGAACTCCCGACTTCAGGTGATCTGCCAGCCTTGGCCTCCCAAAGTGCTGGGATTACAGGCATGAGCCACCATGCCCGGCCCCCAATATATTACTTTTAATATATTTTATCCTCCACTGTTCTAGAAACCTAAAACAACTTGCATTTTCTCAGGTATGTAAATGCTTACCCTGTGGTAATACATTCTACAATAATATCTTGGATTAATGGCCTGAATTACAAAACAAATTAGTAAAGCAATAATTTTGATTCTCTACCAAGTACAAAAAATGGAAAAATTTCTGGATTATAGAATAATAGGGCATATATTACTCAAATAATGTAAACAGAAAAAATGTAAATTCTCAAAATGTTATACCTTAGTATACTTAAACATAGTTATCTAGACTAGCTCTGGCAATAGAATTTTGTGTGATGATAGAAATGTGATAGATCTGTGCTGTCTAATATGGGAAGTAGTAGTCATAGGTGGTGATTGAACACTTGAGATTTGAGTAGTGTGATGGTGGTTAGTATTGTGTGTCAACATGACTAGGTTATTGGGTGCCCAGCTATTTGGACAAACATTTTTTTCGGGGTGTGTCTGTGAGGGTGTTTCTGGAAGAGATCAGTATTTGAATCAGTAGACTGACTAAAGCCATTTGACCTCCCTGTATAAATGGACATCACCCTGGCCGGGCGCAGTGGCTCACACCTGTAATCCCAGCACTTTGGGAGGCTGACCTGGGTGGATCACCTCAGATCAGGAGTTCTAGACCAGCTTGGCCAACATGGCAAAACCATCTCTACTAAAAATACAGAAATTAGCCAGGCATGGTAGTGCCTGCCTGTAACCCCAGCTACTCAGGAGGCTGAGGCAGGAGAATCCCTTGAACCCTGGAGGCGGCTGTTGCAGTGAGCCGAGATTGTGCCGCTGCACTCCAGCCTGGGTGACAGAGCAAGACTCTATCTCAAGGAAAAAAAAAAAAAAAAAGGACATCATCCAGATTATCCAGTCTGTTGAAGACCTGACTAGAACAAAGAGAAGGAGCAAGGGAGAATTTTCTCTGTTTGTGACTGACTGTTTACAATGAATTACCCATTTCTCCTACTCTTGGACTGAGACTTATGTCATTGTGGCTCCTAGTTCTCAGGCCTTCAGACTTGGACTGGAACTACACCATTGGCTTTCCTGGATCTGTAGCTTCCAGAAGGCAAATCATGAGAATTCTCAGCCTCGGTAATTGTATGAGCCAATTTCTAATTTTATATATATATGCAAACGCACACACAACATTATTATAAATATATATAATTTATATGTGTATTATATATTATACATATATAATTATATAGATGTTATATAATTACTACATAATTATATAATTACAACTATATAGACTTAGATACAGATGTAATTATACAATATATAGCTATATACAATTATATAGATAGGTTTTTCTCTCTCTTTGTATGTATCTTATTTGTTTTGTTTCTCTGGAGAACCTTGACTGATACAGATTTTGTACGAAGAGTGGTTCTAATGGAATCGAATTTTAAGAATAGGTTTTCTAACTTGGTTTTGGAGTTCCTGGAATTGGCTTTCTAGGCTGACTAGGTGCTAGTGATTCTATTTCTGCTAGTAAGAGAACACTTGTAGTCTGTGGAGTGATCCAGCAATGGAGGTATGCAAAATATCTCAATTGAATATTCCTAACCAATCACTTACAAGAAGCAAGAAGCTGAGTGTATGATGCTTTCAAAGATTTATGAAAAACTAACAAATATAATGAGGTTGGCTGGTTGCTTCTAATTTTGCTGGACAAAGTGACAGAAAAGACTGAGTTTCAGAATTCAGATTCTCAGCTCAAGCACTGCATAAATGTCTTAAAATCTTTTGCATGCCCTGGAGGAGATCCTTATCTCCTTTAGCCACAAGACTGAGATAGCAGAACATCATATGCGGAATTGCATCCAGTGCCTCACTGAATTGCAAGTTGAGTTCTCAGTCTCACAGGGTGTCTACTTTTAAATTGAGGGCATTGATTGAGAAAGAACTGGATATTGTAAGTTGGAATGGGGGCATGTGGGGAAACCCTAATGAAGCCAAGGACATTGAGCCTCTAAATTCTGATTAGTCTTCTTTGTCAGTGAAAGAGGCCTTGACTAATACAGCTAGTGTAATTGAGGGATTTAATTTTTAATTTTATTTACTTTTAATTAATTACCCATTAAATTTATATAGCCCTATGTGCTAGTGGCTACTATATTGGCCAACCCAGGTATAGATAAAAGGATTTGCACATGCAATGTCAACAAGCCATTTTTATCCACTTGATGAGTTTTAGGGATGGGGGCATACTTCAGAAGAGTTTAGTTGTCTCCAATAATCTTTTAAGTGTGAATTGCAGTCCACTTAATTGAGAAGAAAGTTAAATATAAATTGAATTTTTTTTTTTTTTTTTTTTTTTTTTTTTACTTTATATTCATTCAATGGCTGGGCGTAGTGGCTTGTGCCTGTAATCCCAGCACTTTGGGAGGCCAAGGTGGGTGGATCGCTTGAGCCCAGGAATTAGAGACCAGCCTGGGCAACATGGTGAAACTCCACTTCTACTAAAAATACAAAAAAAATAGCCAGTCGTAGTGGCACTCACATGTGGGCCCAGCTGCTCGGAAGGCTGAGGTGGGAGGATCACCTGACCCCAGAAGTCAAGGCTACTGTGATCTGTCGTCATGCTACTGTTCTCCAGCTTAGGTGACAGAGTGAGACACTGTCTTGGAAATCTATAAATGTATTCATTCAAGGTTAAATAATCAGCGTAGATAAATAGGCTGTTTAGTGCTGTAAGTTTCCTTCTTTGAACATGACTAATCAACAAGCAAACGAAACAAAGCAGTGATAATTGCAAAAAATAAGACCACAACCAAAACTAAAAAATTATCTTGAGAGTCATCTTTCTTTATATTTTTCTCAGAGATTGATATCACTCTTTTATGCTTGGCTTTAATATAATTTTCAAACATTTTATTAATGTAAAACCTTTTTTCCTGATCATCATGTTTTATTATCTTCTCTGCTTTCTCTTGTAGATCATTCGTAAGTATAGTCAAGCTTCTCATAATTTCTTATTTTCCTTTAAGGGCCTCAGTCCCCTGCTGTGGACTGGTCTTTACATTTTTTTCTGATATTTTATAACTGCTTTTCTGCTGTTTAGTATTCACATATATAATTATTCTTCAGCTTCGCTCTTCCACACTTTATGATGATTTGTCACGACTGCCTCATTTTAAAGAGCATCAGCTCTTCTTCAGCCCCTTTCTGGCTCCTAAGGAGCTAAATATTAATTCTGATACTTAATTTCATTCAGACCAAATGATAACACCACCAATAAGTGTCAAAGGAACTTAACACTTGAGGAGATAAAAAGGAATAAAATAAAATAAAGGGCAGAAATTAAATCTGAATGATTTCTTCAATTCAACGGGCACACAGAAAACAAAAATCACTAGAATTAGAATCGGAACAGCAAGAAATGTTTCAGTATTTTTTTTCCTACCAAAATATTCAGTTACCAAGAGGAAAATAAAGGGCTTATCTGTTAACTATTTTTTGGTGTATTAGTCGCAGTGAAAATGGGCAGATAGTAGAAATCATTATTACATTCTGCTACTATTTAAGGTTTGAAAGCCATTGTGATCTTTGGCAGAGAAATCTGATCTATTTCTCACAGCTGGAAAATAAGCAAGCAGTGTGTTACCCACTAAAGATATAACTTCTGTTCTTTCTTCTAGTATATTACCAATATCTTCTTAATAATCTACTGTTATTCTAAATAACAAACCTTTAATTTTTAGGAATTAGCATCTACAATTACTTCTGCCAAATCCACCTTTAGTATACATGATGCATTCCAATACAAGATTAATGATTATGCTTGTTAAAGAATAAAATTATTTTGGCATGGCTCAGATGAAGATACTCATTTATTCAAGGCTTTCATAGTTATGTTAAAAACACAGAAATTGATTTTTTAAAAATTAAAAATATGATTATGGTCATGCTGATTAAGAAAGAAACAAGAACAAATATTAAACATGTACATGTACATATATTAAGTGTACATTTGTACACACTGATAAAAATACATTTTTTCAATGAATGGTCCTATTTAAGATTTGAGTATGCAATAAAATTTCATTTTATGCCAACTTTTCAAAGTGTGAATGCTGTGTAGCTTGGGTCATAGTTCAAACTGGATTTTGATAACTACATTTTCTTGCATAAGGTATAATATTAACACGAGCAATTCTAAATTCTATATTTAGAACAGTACAGTTTTTTCTGATTTTTTGCTTCAGGTCTTAATACTTCCTATTTTATAATAATCTGCACTCATGGGAAATTCCTAGGTTATATACATATATATATAAGAAAACTGGTCTTCAGCTATATATTATTTGTTTTGTTTTGTTTTTGTTCTTAATGTTTGTCTGCATGAGACCAACAACAAAGTAAAGAAACAAAAGGTAAACTATTATAAATTACCGATGCACTCCTGAAATTCTGAGTTAAAGCATTTAACTCAAAAGAAATGCACTTTGACTTTTTTTTTTAAAGTTTGCTGTGAATGTTATCAACGAAAATCAGAGGGAAGAAAAAGCTCCAAGCTGGTGTGATTATAACACACCATCAGTGAAAGTCATATTTCCCATCCTTGACTGCCAAAGGTGTAAATGAGCATCTGAGGCTAGTGCTAATTACAGCAATCTAAAGACAGAAACTGCTGTTGTTAAATCTAGGAAGCAAGTGAAATCCAGCATTGATTTCCAAAGTGTGTAATTTTAGAACTCCTTTCTGTGATACTATTTGTTTGATCTTTCCAGTGATCGTTCACATTTAAATCACCCATCTAAACAATTTTATTTAAAACTGTTTTTAAGGCATGTATAAATACTAATTTGTAATTAATATCAGCATAAAGATATTTTTAAGTATTAATGTTTTTTGGTGTGATGTCTAATGGTCCAAGTTAAGTGGATATTAAAAGAATTTTACTGATAGCCTTTCAAAAAATTGAAATTCTGTAAAAAACATGTAATAATTTTATCAACGATGTATTAAGTTGCAGATATGGATAATAAACTTCGATTCTGAGGTTGAAGAAATGACATTGCTGAAGCATGTAAGAATATGTGCCTTTCTTTTTTCTTTTCTATCTTTCCCCTACAAGTAGAGGAAGCAGGATACCGTAGTAGAGTAGAGAGAAACATGGGCTCATGAAATAGAGTGCCTGAGTAAGTGACTCATTCTTTTGAAGTCTCAGTTGCCTAACTAGTAAATAAACATAAGAGCTTCTTTAATGGGGTTATTATGATGATGAAGTGAGCTATTCCATGCATAATATGAAAACAACATACCTCACATGTAATGACTCCTAATTATTTTATTGTGATTACTGTATTGACATAAAAGCTTTTCTGTATTGACTCATTCTTTCTCCTCTCCTCAAATCTGTGTTACTTTTCTTTATCTTAAAAACCTGTTCTGTTGGCAAATGACCTACATTATGTCTCATTCTCTTTTTTCCTTCTACTGACAAGCTTCTTAATTAAATAATTTGTAATGATCATTATTGTAGTAGATTCCACACATTTTCACATAAACATATAATTATCCATATTTATAAATATGGGCTTATATTAACCTGTATCTTTTTGCCATGACTCTTGTCACTGAAATATATGTTTGAATATCTTTACTGATCAGCAAGTTTGGAACTCTATTGTTATTTTTAATGGCTACATAATTATGGTACCACAGTTTTGTTATTATAATTTTCCAATACCTCAGTGGATTTGTTATATTTTTTCTGCTTTTGTTTATTTGCTGTTTCCTCTAATGGAAAAGCAGTACAGTATAGTGCTTTGAATCAAAAGCTCTAAATCTAGAGTGCTAGAGTATTAATCTGGCCCTGATCTTTAGTAGTTGAGTAACCTTGGATAAATTACTTATTTGTGATGAGCAGAAGGTTGTTGTTTGACATTATAATAAAAAATCAAGTTATCTGTTACATTTCTAGAGCTGACTAATTCTTACATCCATAAGTCATAATTTAAAGGATAGGTCCAAGTGCCCAAGCTGAAGGACTCTGAGCTACTACTGCAAGTACATACAATGCATATATCCTATCTTTCCATTACTATATACTGGAGAAAGGGGAATACCCAGCTTAGATACAGAGGATGACTAGCAAATTTGAACTGGCATTGATATCAAGGGAAAACGAGCCATTATAGCTCCCTGTGAAAACAGAGATGGTTAGAAACCAAGTAATAAATTGAATATTGAGCCAATTTTGTCTAATGGGATTATTTCTGCTGTTTAGGAGTGCATATTTAGCATGTATATTGATCACAGCTGGCAGTACCCTTTCATGAATCCTTCATCTAAAGAGTAGAGCTATCAGGATAGGAGAGGCTACGTGAAAGTCTGGAATCTGTACTCTCCACATAGCCAAGAGGGTAAAACGGAATCAGTAACATATCCCAAAAAGCATTTCACAGATTAGTAACAACTTCATAGACTTAACAAATACAAGAGTGTTGGACTCAATGCTCCTATTTTAATTCACTTGTCTAACTTCTGCAAACGCTAGTTGATCTTATTGGATATTGGTTGATGACTGAATATCCAAGGTAAATAACTAAGGGGTAGCTCCAATCACAGTGGTTGTGGAGGAGGTGGTAACCTTATTTTAAAATATTACACATCTTTTGAGTACACTATTTGGCTATTTCTCTGCTAAATGTGTTTTTCTTTTCAATCTCCATCTGGACAGATCAAAAGCAGCTTAAATTCATCTGAGATAGAGAATAGTATACATGTATATAGGTATATCTTGCCAAGGAATAAGCAGTATCTGCTTTTTGTCACAATAACATTCAAAGGAATTATAATTGTCTTGATACTTACCAAGAATATGACACTGGTAGTGTAATTGAGGGATTTAGAACTCCAACTTGCCATTGACATAAAATGGCAAGAACTCTGAAAGACGAGTGATATGGTTTGGCTGCGTCCCCACCCAAATCTCATCTTAAATTGTAATTCCTGTAATCCCCACATGTCATGGGAGGAACCCGGTGGGAGATAATTGAATAATGAAGGCAATTTCCCCCATGCTGCTCTCATGATAGTGAGTGGGTTCTCATGAGAACTGATGGATTTATAAGCTTCTGGCATATCCTCTGCTGGCACTTATTCTCTCTCCTGCTGCCCTGTGAAGAGGTGCCTTCTGCCATTATTGTAAGGTCCTGAGGCCTCCCCAGCCATGCAGAACTGTGAGTCAATTAAGCTTATTTCCTTTATAAATTACCCAGTCTTGGGTATGTGTTTTTCAGCAGTGTGAGAATGAACTAATAGAGCAGTCTAGGCCATAAGGACTGCAACTCTTAAGAGAGTCTTAGTGCTAAACTAGGCCCAGATACAGTGGACTAGGGGAGCATGCAACATCTTGAAACACCGCTGGGGTGGCTAACAAAGTGATGACATCACTCCTCCCCTAACCCTAAGCTGCACAACTTGTGGCTCCAAAAGAGACCCTTCCTTGCATTTAAGGACAGAGGAGGGAAGAATGAGGAGGGTTTTGTCTGCATCTGGGATACCAGTTCAACCACAGCAGGAGAGGGCACCAATCAGAGTCTTGAGTCCCCTGTTCTGGGCCCTAATTCCTGAATGACATTTCTAGACACTCCCTGATCCAGAAGAGAACGTGCTGCCTTAAAGATAAAGACACAGTTCTGGCAGTATTTATCATCTGCTACCTGAAGAGCCCTTGGGCTGAATAACCAGGGTCCAAGAAGAGTGGGAAAGACTGTGTCTTGCAGTTTGAGTGTCAGTTCAGCCACAGCACAATAGAACACCAGGTAAACTTCTAAGGTTTTTGACTCTAGTCCCTGACTCCTGGACAGCACTTCTAAACCAACCTGAGACCTGGGGCACCTCAAAACCCTGAAGAGAAAGACACAGGCCTGGCTGGCTTTGCCACTTGCTGGTTGTTGGGGCCCATGACTCATGGATCTGTTGCCTACAAGAGACACACTTCACCTATAAAGACACACAGGCTGAAAATAAAGGGATAGAAAAAGAAATTCCAGGCCACTGGAAACCAAAAAAGTGCAAGAGTCGCTATACTTACTTCAGTCAAAATAGATTTCAAGACAAAACTATAAGAAGAGAGAAAAAGTAGTGACCTTCTGTATAATGATGGTTTAATTCAGCAAGAGGATATAACAATTATATAATATAAAAAATATATACATATTACATGCACCCAACACTGCGGCACCTAGATATATAAAGCAAATATTATTGGAGCTAAAGAGAGAGATAGGCCCTGATACAATAATAGATGGAAACTTCAACACCCCACTCTCAGCACTGGACAGATCTTCCAACACATTTCATCTGACAGTTGTAGAATACATATTCTTTTCCTGAAAACATGGAACATTCTCAGGATAGACCATATGTTAGGTCACAAAACAAGTCTTAAAACATTCAAAAAAATTGAAATAATATCAAGCATCTTCTCTGACCATACTGAAATAAAACTAGAAATTTATAACAAGATGAATTTTGGAAACTATATAAATAGATGAAAATTAAACAATATGTCCTGAATGACCAGTGAGTCAACGAAGAAATTAAGAAGGAAATTGAAAAGTTTCTTGAAGCAAATGATAATGGAAACATAACATATCCAAAACCCATGGGATACAGCAAAAGCAGTGCTAAGAGAGATGTTTATAGCAATAAGTGCTTACATAAAAAAGACCTGTAATCCCAGCACTTCGGGAGGCTGAGGTGGCAGATCATTTGAGGTCAGGGGCTCAAGACCAGCCTGGCCAACATGGTGAAACCCTGTCTCTAATAAAAATACAAAAAATTAGCTAGGTATGGTGGTGTGCACTTGTAATCCCAGCTACTCAGGAGGCTGAGGCAGGAGAATCGCTTGAACCCGGGAAGCAGGGGTTGCAGTGAGCCAACGCTGTGCTACTGCACTCTAGCCCGGGCAACAAAGTGAGACTTCCTCTGTCTCAAAAAAAAAGGAGGAAAAACTTCAAATAAACAATCTAACAATATATCTTAAAGAATTAAAAAAGCAAGAGCAAGCCAAACTCGAAATTAGTAGAAAACATAATAAATATCAGAGCAGAAATAAATTAAGTTGAAATAAAAAATATACACAAAAGATCAGTGAAAAGTTGGTTTCTTGAAAAGTCAAACAAAATTGACAAATCTTAAGGCAGACTAAGAAAACAAAAGAGAGAATATACAAATGAATAAAATCAGAAATGAAAAAAGAGACATTACAACTGCAGAAATTCATGGGATCATTAGTGGCTACTATGAGCAACTATACACCAATAAATTGGAAAATACAGAAGAAATGGACAAATTCCTAGCCACATGCTACCAAGATTGAACCAGGAAGAAATCAGAAAACTGAACTGACCAATAACAAGTAACAAGATTGAAGCCATAATAAAATGTCTCCCAGTAAAGAAAAGCCCAGGACCCAATGTCTCCACTGCTGAATTCTACCAAACATTTAAAGAACTAGTACCAATTATACTCAAACTCTTCTTAAAAACGGAAGAGAGGAGAATACTTTCAAACTCATTCTATGAGACCAGTATAACCCTGATACAAAAACCAGACAAAGACACATTAGAATTAAAAAAAAGAAAAAAAAAAACACTACAGGCCAATATCTGTGATGAATATTGATGTAAAGATCCTCAACAAAATACTAGCGAACCATATTCAACAATATACTGGAAAATCATTCATCACAACCAAGAGGAGATTTATTCCTGGGATAAAAGGATAGTTCAGCATATGCAAATCAGTCAAGGTGATACATCACATCAATACAATGAAGAATAAAAAACATATAGTCATTTGAGTTGATGCTTAAAAATTTGATTAAATTCAATGTCTCTTCATGAGAAAACTAAAAATAAAATAGATATAGAAGGAACATACCTCAACATAAAAGCCATATATGACAGACTCACAGCTAGTATCAGACCAAATGGGATAAAGCTGAAAGGCTTTCCTCTAATATCTAGAATATGACAAGGATGCCCACTGTTACTGCTGTTATTCAACACAGTACTGGTAGTCCAAGCTAAAGCAATCAGACAGGAGAAAGATACAAATGTTGTCCAAATTGGAAAGGAAGAAAAAATATTCCTGTTTGTAGGAGATATGATCTTATATTTATACTAATCTAATGACTCCACCAAAAAAACTATTAAAATTGATAAATTTAGTAAAGTTGCAGTATACAAAATCAACATACAAAAATCAGTAGTATTTCTATATGCTAATAGTGAACAAAGAAAAAGGAATAAAAAAGCAATCCCATTTACAATAGCCACAGATAAAATTAAATACCTAGGAATTAACCAAAGAAGTAAAAGATTTCTGTAATGAAAACTGTAAAACAATGATTAAAAATAAATAGAAGAGGAACCAAAAATTGGAAAGATATTCCATGTTCATGAATTGGAAAAAATCAATATTTTTAAAATGTCCGTACCACCCAAAGCAAGCTACAGGTTCAACTCAATCCTTGTAAAAATACCAAAGACATTCTTCACAGAAATACAAAAAATAATTCTAAAATTTGTATGGAAGCACGAAAGATGAAAAATAGACAAAGCTATTGGATATAGAACCAAAAAGGCCCAGAATAGCCAAAGCTATTTATATGGAACCACAAAAGACCCAGAATAGCCAAAGCCTACGCAAAAGGGACAAAATTGGAAACATATTACCTACTTCAAATTATACTACAACACTATAGTAACACAAACAACATGGTACTGGCATAGAAGCAGACACATAGACCACTGCAACAGAATAGAGAACTCAAGAACAAATCCACATACCTACAGTGAACTCATTTTTGACAAAAAAAGCCAAGAACATATACCTCTATCTCTCACCTTATACAAAAATCAGATTAAAATGCATTAAGGACTTAAATCTAAGAACTCAAACTATGAAACTACTACAAGTAAACATTGAGAGAGCGCTCCAGGACAGTGGGCTTGCCAAAAGTTTGTTGAGCAATACCTTACAAGCACAACCAACCATAGCAAAAATGGACAAATTAGACCACATCAAGTTAAAAAGCTTCTGCATAGCAAAGGATGCAGTCAACAAACTGAAATGACAATCCATAGAATGGGAAAATATGTCTGCAAACTATTCATCTAACCAGGGTTAATAACCAGAACACAAATGGAACTCTAAAAACTCTATAAAAAATTCAATATCTGATCAAAAAGTGGCAAAATATTTGAATAGACATTTATCAAATAAGACATACAAATGGAAAAGAGGCATATAAAAAGGTGTTCAACATCACTGATCATCAGAGAAATGCAAATCAAGACTACAATGAGATATCATCTCACCCCAGTTAAAATGGCTTATATTCAAAAGACAGGCAATAACAAATGCTGGTGAGGATGTGGAGAAAAGGGAACACTCATACACTGTTGGTGGGAATATAAATTAGTACAGCCACTGTGGAGAACAGTTTGGAGCTTCCTCAAGAAACTAAAAGTAGAGCTACCCTATGATCCAGCAATCTCACTGCTGGTTATATACCCAAAATAAAAGAAATCAGCATATTGAAGATATATCTGCACTCCTATGTTTGTCGCAGCACTGTTTACAATAGCTAAGTTTTGGAAGCAACCTAAGTGTTCAGCAGAGGAATGGATAAAGAAAATGTGATATACACACACATGCACACACACACACACACACACACACACACACACACACAATGGAGTACTATTCAGCCATAAAAACAAATGAGATCTTGTCATTTGCAACAACATGGATGGAACTGGAGACTATTATGTTAAGTGAAATAAGCCAGGCACGGAAAGGTAAGTATTGCATGTTCTCACTTATTTGTGGGATCCAAAAATCAAAACAATTTAAATCATGGAGATAGAGAGTAGAATGATGTTTACTAGAGGCTGGGAAGGGGAGTGGGGGTTTGGGGAATGTGGTGATGGTTAATGGGTACAAAATATATAGTTAAGGAAAAAATAAGTAAGACCTACTATTTGATAGCACAACAGGGTGACTATAGTCAATAATAATTGTACATTTTTAAACATCTAAAAGAGTGTACTTGAATTCTTTGTAACTCAAAGGATAAAATGTTTGAGGGGATGGATACCCCATTCTCTATTATGTTATTATTTCACATTGTGTGCCTGTATCAAAACACCTCATGTACCTTATAAAAATATGTATGTATATACTCATATACTATATATATGTGTGTGTATGTATATGTATATGTACTCACAGAAATAAAAAATAAATAAAATGACAAGTACTCTGGGTACTCTTGAGTGCATACCAGAAAATTTAGCGACATTTCACTTTAGACAAATTTTAAGGTGCCCAAAGATCTGGTCATTCCAAGATATCCCTTCCAAGGTAATATCAGAAAAGAAATACAGCTTCTGCAGTCCTCTTAGAGTTTTGGACGTCAGTTTCCACTTTGCTTAGAAATATACCACCAAATTATTTTATAGGTATATTAGTTTACTATTGCTTCTGTAACAAATTGCCATACATTTAGTAGTTTAAAATAATACATTTATTGTCTTACAGTGGCCCCAGATAATTATTACTGGGTTAAAGTCAAGGTGTCAGTAGAGCTGGTTCCTTCTGGATCTTCTGAAGGGAGAACTTGATTTTTTGCCTTTGTCATTTCTTGGCTCCTCTTTATTCCTGGTTTCTCTTGATTCCATCATCACAACTTTTACTACTGATTTGATCTACCTGTCTCCTTTTTACAAGGACACTTTGGATTACATTTTCCACCTACAGAGTGTCCTCATTGCTATATATTTACTTGAAAAATGTGTAAAGTTCCACTAATTTGTTATGTAACATAATCAGAGGTCCCAGAAAACAGAACATGAACATTTTTAGAGAGTCATTATTTAGCCTGACACAGTGGGTATCTCAGAGGACTGCCATTTTTATGAAGCCCAGAGAAAAACAAGGCTCTACAAATGTGCAAGCTCCAGTAAAAACTGCTCTGTCACTTATGTCATGTGATCCGAGATTCTTATCAAAATGTTAAGATTCTAGGAGTCCAGTAATCTGGGGAGTACAAGATATCCCTTATGGAATAAAGTACAAGTTAACATACCTAGCACTCACTATTAGTGAGAAAGATTCACCGTGATTATTGTGCTTTTCTGAATTTTAGAGCAGCATTTATTCAACTGCAATTCTTCTTAGACTAATTTAGTGGGTAACTCAGAAAGTGCCAGATGGAAATGGAGCCCTGAGCAGAAGAGGTTTCTAAACAAATCTTTAGCTTTAAAAATCAAGGCCATGTTCTTTGATCAAGCTGTTTTTTTATAAAAAAAATATATTTTTGATATACTATTGAAATCTCAGCAACATTGAGCATCTGAGCATAAAACAGCAAATGTTGATGTGGCTGGAGCTGCCCATCTTTCACTGAGTGCTATCAAGTCTACAAAACATAAGTTTGAGTGGGTAGAAAAACAATTCACTACAAAATAGGACTGGTTTGTTTCTGATTGAGGTTCACATGGTCCAGATGGTATGGTATGAATAATTTACTTGTACAAATGGCACCTATGTCTGTTGCACTGATGCTTATCTTTTATTTTTACCAATTTTCCCTAAGTGGTTATCTATGGCTCACTGCGAGAAAAGAAAAACACAAGGGCTTGGTTCAAAGTTGGGTCCAAACAATGTACAGATTCCTGGCAGACAATGAAATGGCTGCTTTATTATAAACCCACTTGGGAGTGGCAGTGAAATATGAGTTAAGGGAAATTCAGTAGAGAAAGCTGTAAGAATATACTAGTGTATTCACTTTGTATGAAGGAGAAAAACATCTGAATTATAGAAACACACATGCTTCCTGGACAGTAATGAATAGCCTGAACAGTTGTCCAGAAATCTTGAAACAATAGGATTAGAAGATCACAGAAAATGATTTGTGGAAATTTCTAAAGAGAGCACTAAGTATGTGGATCCATGGAAGAAGCACCTGTCATTTGGTAGGGAGACTATCCAAGATTTATCTAGATGCTGCTGATAGATAGATACACCTAATGACACACTATCAAAAACATTAAGTTGTCATAGTACCATTTCAGGTTATCTCCCTGGACCCAACTTTTTAAATAGAACATTTATTTTAAATTTTTTATTAAGAAGTGGTCAGCTGATGCATGGTCCAGTGTTTGGGAACCTCTGCCTTATATTTACCGCAGTCTAGTATCAGTTCCTATCCTAACTGCCTTCTTCAGAATATACCTTAATTGTAGATATCCTAGGGATCTATTTTTTAAACCATAATGGTGATAACTGTTAGCCCTACAGTAAATGACGTTTGAATAATAGACAGAAAGTTGAGACCATTATTATTTAACTTGGGAAATAAATTTATTTTAATATATCTGGACATGAATGTGTTGTTTTAATAGGTTTATTATATGTAATACACATAACTTAGAATTGAGTGTACATTTAATGTGTACAATTAAATTTTTTTGTATATTTACAAAGTCCAAGAACCATCACTACTACCTAATTTTAGAACATTTTGATTAACCCCGACACACCTTAGTCAAGTGATAAAGTTACATAATCAGTAACAAATCATATATTTATTGCATAGCTTCTTGAGATGAGCACATCACACCTATGGTATCCTTCCCAATAATGCATAACAATCTAGTCACGAGAAAGCATCACAAAAACTCAAACAGGGCTATTCTACAAAATAGATGATCTGTTATTTTTCAAAATTGTCTAATAAAATAGGAGAGATATCACAGATTGGAGGACAAATAAATTTAATAAGGGATCCTGGATTAGATGGTAAAACAGACAGAAAAAAGAAATTAGTGGAAAAACACATAAAAATGTGAGTAGTTCTGTATTTTAGTTGATAATATTGCACTAAGGTTAATTTCTTAGCTTTGACATATGGTCTATGTCTGTGTGAGATATATTTTTTGTTCTTGCTGTTGACATGAAAGAAAGTGAGTGAAGAATATATTAAAATGTCCTATACTATAATAGTACAGCTTTATTGAGATAAGAGTCACATATCATAGAATTAAGCCATTTTAAATGTATAATACACGAGAGTTCCAAATTTGCCACCATCTTACCAATATTTGTTATTGCTGTGGTTTTTTTATTTTAGTCATTCCAGCAAGTGTGGAATTTTGTTGTGGTTTTCATTTGCATTTCTCTTATGACTAATGATGTTTAATATCTGCTGTTTGGCTTGTTGACCAGTTGTATATTTTCTTCTGAGAAATGTCTGTTCAATCCTTGTCTCATATTTAAATTTGAAGTCTTTCAGTGTACTCTGGATACTAGTTCCTTATGCAATATATGACCTGCGACTATATTCTATTATGTTGATTCTCTTTCGATTTTCCTGATGGTGCTCCTTTTAACCAGAGTTTTAACTTTAGTGAAGTCTAACTTTAGTTTTGTTTGTTGCTTATGCTTCTGGTGTTGAATCTAAGAAACCATTGTCTAACCCAAAGTCATAAAGGCTTATGACTATGTTTATTTCTAAGAGTTTTATATGTTTAGTGCTTATATTTCACCTATGATTCATTTTGAATTAGTTTCATTGTGTGAAGTGAGATCAGAATCAAATTCATTCTTTTGAATGTGGATATCCAGTTTTTCTAGCATCATTTGTTGAAAAGACTATTATTCTTTTTCCATTAACTAGTCTTGTTGTTCAAAATTGAAAATCAACTGACCACAAATGAGAAGGTTTATTCTTGGACTCTTAAATATTTTATTGTTTGATATATCTGTTACTTCAGTACTACACTGTCTTAATTACTGTTGCTTTGTAATAACTCTTGAAATTGAGAATTGTATTTTATTCAATGTTCTTAAGATTATTCGGGACTATCCCGAGTCTCATGACTTTCATCATAAATTTTAGAATAGTTCTCTTAAAGGATCTGCCTTCTACCGTCAGTCAGATGAGAGTCTCATGACCCACAAACTTTATTTGCCCTCATTTTGAGTCATTCAGAGAGGTCAATGCAAAACTAAAACTAGTAGCTCATTCTGACATTAATTATTGACTCATAATAGATGAGTCAAACTGCCTTTGTGATGAAATTTCCACAGATTAGCTTTGCATTTTGGGGGTAATGATGTAAATGTCTATCTTTTTAAAATCAACATCAGGATTTGTCTAAGAGTTTACATTTATAATCTTAGTGCTAGCCACTCCAAGAGGAGAACTTAGAACAGATGAGGGAAACAAGAACTTCCTTCTCTGAACTAAAATTGAACTTGATTGCTGGTGTTTCTCCTGAAAATTCTTTGACCTAACAGTTTCTTAAATTGCTTAGAAGCCAAACGTTACCTAAATTCCCTTTTCTCTCATGAGCTTTCCAATCCCTTCTTTACTATGCTTTTTCCTGGTTGACTTGTTTAGAATTTTGCCTTTCTTGTTACAGTTGTGATGTTTACCAAAACCTTTTAACTTACCTGGAAACTCTGTTCTTCTTTATCCCAACTGCTCCTCTTACTTAAACAGTCGAGTAAAAGCCCATCCTATTACTTAAACATTGGAGTAATACTGAGTTGGTGGAATTTGCTTGTTTCTTTCCCTAATGACCATAGTTGGTAAAGGATTACCTCCAAGTTATTTGAATACTTTGATATCAGAATTATATATGTTGTCACTGTTTTTTTTTAATTAAATAAACAACCATTGCTTAAAAAGTGTTTTGGCTCTTAATTCATTAAAAAATAAAAAAATACTTAGTGCAGAATGTATTTTGGAAGAAACAGAAGTGAGTAATGCTCAATTCTTGTTTTTGGAGTGATCATTCAAGGTTACTGTGTTTTGTCTTTGTTTTTGTTGTTGTTTTTTTTAAAGAATAACTTTTATTTTAGTTTTGGGAGTACCTTTGAAAGTGTTTTATATAGGTAAACTTGTGTCATGGAAGGTTTGTTGTACAGATTATTTCATCCCCCAGATATTAAACCCAGTACCCAAGTTATCTTTCCTGCTCCTCTCCCTCCTTTCACCCTGCACCCCCAAGTAGACCCCAGTGTCTGTTGTTCCCTTCTTTGTGTTCATGAGTTATCATCATTTAGCTCCTACTTACAAAAAGCATGTGATATTTGGTTTTCTGTTCTTGCGTTAGTTTGCTAAGGATAATAGCCTGCAGCTCCATCCATTTTCCCACAAAAGACATGATCTTGCTGTTTTTCATGACTGCATAGTATCCCGTGGTGTATGTGTACCACATTTTCTTTATACAATCTGCCGCTGATGGGCATTTCAGTTGATTATATGTCTTTGTTCTTGTCAATAGTGCAGCAATGAACATTTGCGTGCATGTATCTTTATGGTAGAATGATTTATATTCCTCTGTGTTTATGCCCGGTAATGGGATTGCTGGGTTAAATGGTAGTTCTGCTCATAGCTCTGAGGAATTTCCATGTTTATGTTTAATTGCTATATTATGCCTAGAGACTTGATGTTAATGGAGAGATGTGACTATCAGTACAATGTGGGTATATGTGTTATTGATTTAACAGCTGCTTGTTTTCATAGAGATTCATATTGTCCTGGGAAAGGAATAACAACATAATATTGGAACATAATTAGGTCCCTGTTATTGATTTGGGGCAGTCATGAAGTTGGAAATGATTTACCAGCAAATAGGTTGCAATACTACCAGGTGGTGACTTTTTAGTAACCTTGTGATTTGAGTGTATATTTATGGTATAACATGATATTTATAAGCCATTGGGATGATTTTACAGTTATAATATTTCTTCTTATAAAACATGTCAACATAAGCACAAAAGAAAGAAGTTATAAAAAATTGTATTAACAGTAACCAAAATTATAAATTATAGTTCTATTTTACCCTTCATTTATCTAAGAAATTTATCAAAAGGCTACTATTTGTGAACCTTTCCTCCATGCCAACAAAAAACAGGAAAGGCAAAGATAGAGGCTATATTTGAGCTATTTAAAATTACAGTGCACTAGGATTGACAGAAGAGGTACACAAAAATGCAAAAGAACACAGTTAAAAATAAATGCCATAAATATGGTTCAGACAGTTGTTGTTAAAAGAATTCAAATGAGGATAAAGTTCTTAACGGTCATCAATTCATCCAAATCATTTTTTATTCCTTAATTACAGTGCTGTTTTGTAATATACCTTATTTTTTCTTAATAAATTAAAAAATTACTTTTTCTCAGGACTTATTCAAGGCAACCTGGTGTCAAAAATCCATATAAGTGAATTTCCTCATCTGTCAAGCACTTTCTTCCTTTGAAGAGAGTTTTTTCTTCTTTTCTTGTGAAAATGCCCAATTTAATAAAAAATGTATTTGAATTGCCATCTATAAAGTTTTCCTCTTGCTTTTTTCCTCCACTCACAAAAACAACTCAGATTTTAATTATATACTTCATTATATACAAACTGAATTAACTATTTGAGTATATTTCCTAGATGAGAAATGACGATAACAGATGCACCCTTCCCCTCATTGGCTTTCAAATATTTCTTTCAATATTTTTATTGTAAGAATGATACATGCATTTTTGTAATCCTTCAGTATGCTAGATTTCATTTTACATATTTTATTGATTTTAGTAATGAAATGTTTAATTTCCAGTTTGAACTAATATCAACTTTTAAAAACATTTTTGCAAAATAAATAGATAACATAAAAAGTTATATGTTACAGGGCAAGAAAAAGTGGTTTCTCATCTGTCTTCCATAATCTGAGATATCTAGCAAAATAATGCTAATTTTATTTTTAAAATGAAAATGGAATTGGCACATAATTAGCACTGGTTATCAATTTCTCCTGCAAATTCCTCAGGCTAGGCAGTTGATCAAACGTGATGTTTTTTCTATATATAATAGCATTTATGTTAGAACCATGCAGAATAATTTCAGATAAAATTTTTGTAACACTTCTAGGGTTAAATGGGCTATGATAAGAAAAATAACTTCTGCTGAATACTTAGAACATGGCATACACTGTGATAGTCACGTTGTTAATAAATAACCATAAAACTTCATTCTATTTAATCCAAGGAAAATTTATTATCCCCATGACAAAATGTATAGAGTTATTGTAATGCTAGCAATGGTCAATCACATGATCAAATGATCACAGGAAGTAACCCAGCCTCTTTCCACCATTTTCAGCTATTTTTTCTGTAGGCCCACAGCAAGGTGGCTGCAGTAGCTCCACGTATTATATCCAGACACTAACACAAATCCACAAAGAGAACGTAATGTATAGAGTTTCACTTTTAGAGGAAAAGAAACTTTTCCTTTAACTCTTCTGGAGATTGTCCTCATATAGACTGTCCAGCATTGGATCTTAAGTCTAGAGTTAGACCAATCATTGACAAGCTAAATGGGAGTGCTGTTGTTTGATTAGACCAATTAGGAAGTACTCCTGAGGTTGGAGGATGGAGACACTCTTTAAAAGCACATTGTTTTGTGGACGAGTGTAGATATCTGTATAGTATTAGGCTTCAATGAAACAAGGAAAGGTCTATGAGTGAAGGAGGTACGATTACAGATGTGTGCTACAGTAAATTAGAGTGCTGTAAATTACTTCATTCACCTTCATAGGAGCTCTAAAATGTAAGCGATGTACAAATTAGAAACAGATCTAGAGAGATATGTTTTTCCCCAGATAACAAAGCTAGAAAATTGTTGGGCCAGAATTAGAAATTTTGGCCAATTCCAAACCTGTGTTTTTTCCACCAAATCATGTGGTATGCATCTAGAATCCCTGACTAACAGCCTGTGAAAACAGTTCCAATATCCACAAAAACAATGATAGAAAATCCTTTATGAGTTAGTTCAAGGTAAAATGTGAAAGTTTGTAAAGTTTTTCTCCTGTTTTACAGCTCCTCTTTTCCAAGATCACTTTCCATTTAAATTACACTGGAAGGAAAAAATTATGCTAAAGCAAAGCAACTAAACAAATGACTCTGTATCTTCTGAGTTTAGATTTTACTTAGAATGCTTTTAGGAGTAACAGAAAGTTTAACACTTTAGGTTGTGTCAGCATAAGAGCCAGTGTTGAAGATAATATTTTGTATATACTCAATGATAATATTAAGAGTACTTTAGGGATAAGAGGATTAATATCATGCCTTAGTCAAAATAACTAAAGCTGGAGAATAACCAAGGATCATGGTTGCTGAATCTTTCTAATTGAAAACAACCTGCCAAGAATGATATTTTCTACTTGGGAGTTTAAAATTATTGGATCTAATTATAAGCAAAATCTGGATACAAAGACTAAGGGTGAAAGCAGTTTAGTAAAAGTATTTTCTCCTGTAAACTTCAAACCTCAGGAACATACAAGAAATGTAATTTGAAGTGGGATCTTGGCTGAGGCATTAAATCAAATACAAAACTAAGGATTACATGACAGCTGAATCAGACTGAGGTAGCTTTTATGCTTCCTGTTTCAAAAGTAAGGAGACTAGTGTGCGTGTGTGTATGTGTGCGCACGTGTGTGTGTGTTACATAGTGCTATAATTTAAATGTGCCCCCCAAAGTTCATGTGTTGGAAACTTAGTGCAACACAAGAACAGTAACCCAAAAGGCAACAGTGTTGAGAGGTGAGACCTTTGAGAGGTGATTAGGATCTGCCCTCATAAATGAATTAATGTCATTACTGAGGGAATGGGTTTGTTATCCCCGAAGTGGGCTTGTTATAAGAGTGAGTTTGACTCTTTTTGCTCTCTCGTCCTCACCATGTGATGCCTTCTGCCATATTATAATGCAACAGGAAGGCCCCCACAACATGCAACTCCTCAATCTTGAACTTTCCAGACTTCAGAACAATGAACCAATAAATTTCTGTTCTTTATACATTACTCAGTTTCAGGTATTGTATTATAATAGCCCAGAATGGATTGAGACAGATATAGTGAGCAATTTTGGTATTTTTCCAAACCATTATCATCTAGACTACAAGTTCAAACCATAAATACGAGTTTTTCTCTCCTTTTATTTTTCTCCTTGTCAGATAGTCTCTGAGTAGAGGAAATAGATGATGAAGTAGAAAGAGAAGGTGAACAAAATGCTCAGTATCACTATCATTAGAGAAATGCAAATCAAAACAATGAGACACTGTCTCACACCAGTTAGTACAGCTATTATTAAAAAGTCAAGAAATAACAGGTATTAGTGGGGTTGCAGAGAAAAGAGAATGCTTATACACTGCTAGTTGGAATGTAAATTAGTTCAGCTGCTGTGGAAAGCAGTTATGAGATTTCTCAAAGAACTTAAAAACAGAACTCCCTTTCGACTTAGCAATTCCATTACTGGGCATGTATTACATACTGTGTAAATTTATTTTCAAAGGAATATAAATTGTTCTACCAAAAGACACATCCATTCATATGTGAACTGAAGCACTATTCACAGTAGCAAAGACATGGAATCACCCTAAATGCCCATCAACAGTGTTCTGGGTAAAGCAAATGTAGAATAACTATATAATGGAATACTATTATAGCCATAAAAAAGGAAATCATATCATTTGCAGCAACAAGAATACAGCTGGAGGACATTATCCTAAGTGAATTAACAAATGGACACAAAGATGGAAACTCAGATTTTCACTTATAGTAAGTGTGAACATGGTTTTCACTTATAATTGGGAGTTAAGCATTGAGTATACGTGGGCACAAAGATGGGAACAAGACACTGGGGCTTACTTGAGGGAAGAAGGTGGGAGAGGGGTAGGGGAGGAAAAATTTCCTATCAGGTGCTATGCTTTCTACCTGGATGATGAAATCATTTGTACACCAAACCTCAGCAATGTGTGTTACCCATGTAGCAGTGTTGCTAAACCTAAAATAAAAGCTGCAAAAAAAAAAAAAAAAAAAAAAAGAGAAAGAAAAGAGAAAAAAAAGCCCATAGCTATCTTTTTCCATGAGAGCTTCAAAGCCTAGTTAAAGGAGAAGGGTGAATATTTAAATCTAATGAGAGATTGTAATTCATTTTATATTATCCTGGATTCTTCAAAACCTTAAAAAGGAGGGTTTTTTCGTTCTAGAAAGTGAAAATAAATAATATTTGTTATTGTAGACATGGTATTAAGGAACAGAAAAATAAAATACCCACTATCTCAAGAAAAATCAAGCCACGCTATGATTTCACCTCACTGTATCCAAATTCTTCAATAAAATGCCTAGAAGTATGTTTGGCTTCAGTGAAATAAACTGGTTAAGTAACGTAAAGAATTCTTATATCCAAAGCTGGGCTTTGGTTTACATAAGCCCAATTCAAGTGTTTTTGTTATATCTGTGGGACAACTCATTAAATAAACTTTAACACCTAATGATGTCTGATGCTAGGAACAGTAAAAAAAAAAAATAAAATAAATGAGGTATCAAACTTAAAATGTTGTCGCAATTTCTAAAATGTGAATTTAACCTACATTTGCTTTCCATTTTTTCCTCCTTCTGTTCCTAGTTATCTTTTCTTTTACTTGGGGAAAAATACTTAAGCCCTGAATCCACAAGTTTGAATTAAACTTACTTATTTGAGACATGTGTGGTCAAAGATATAATGATCAATGCCACATATTAGTCATAGCTTAAATGGTAGTCCTTAAAGATTTACTCAGCTCATAAAAGGATAAGTCTAGAAACTTTATGCATGTCACAGATTTACATTATCTAATTTCACATGATGTTTTGAAGGAAATTTTGTGCAGAGAGATTTCTTCAACAAAATTCATTGAGCCCCCCAGACTTCCTGGTTTTTCCATTGCCTCCCTCAAATGTGTAACAAAAATAGCAGTCAGGATTATGTTGAAGACAAATAAAGCTAATAACTTCATTGATCTTAAAAATATTTACAGTCATTTTTTTATGTAGCACCAAATTCAAGCCCCCAATTCGCACAAATTCACACACTCAAGCCTGTGTGGCCTGTCCCTTATGTGGCTTGCCAGCCTTATCAGACCTCTTGGTACTCCTTCCTGTTCACTGTGGTTCAGCCACGCTGACTCTCTCTGCTCCATTAACGTACAATGCTTGCTTCTCCTCAGAGCGTTTAAATATATTGTTCCATCTGCCTAAAACACTTTTTCCACACTTTACACACTATTTCCAGGACTACTTTATCTTTTGCTTTCATAGAGCATTTGTACTCTGTGTTTATTTTAGATTCTGCCTCATTACTTAAGACTAAACTTGTTTGATCACACAGAGAAAAAATATGAATTCCCTATAAATATGTATATATTTACATATATTTATACATACACCAGTGTTTATATAGGTGTGTGTGTATATATACATATACACACACACTTATGAAGCATAGCAAGAGCAAGAAAGATTTTTAAAAAGGTAATCATCAAAAATATATGCAAATCAAAATTCTAATATTTTCTTTTCCCATCCCAAAATACTGTGTTTCTCTGGGCAAACTTGTCTCGCTTATGTGGGCTCTGCACTTGATTATAAGCAGATTCATTTTTGCTTGCTCACTATTATATTCTTAGTGCTTCCATGTCTCACATAAAGTAGAAACTCAGTAAATGATTGTAGAATGCATGCATTAATAAACAGATTAATGATTCTTTATGCAGAAGCATAACAATAAGAACAAAAGAAATAATATAATGCAAACTTTTAAAATGAGGAATATTTGTATTTGTTGGTTTTAGTATGTTTTTCCATTAACTCATTTTGTGCTTTTATGGATAGGTCCACATTTTTAGTCCATAAATAGCAGCTGTTAGTGACAGAATTTTCTCTTTGTGAGGAGGCAAAGATACCTAAATATCTCATTCACTTCACAAAAGCCTGTGTAATGAATGAGGCAATATTTGTCTTCTCTTTTATAAGTTGGTTTTTATAATCAAGCAAATCACTGAAGAAACAAAGGCTTTATGTGCAAAGAAACAAAGACTGTGTTAATGCAGGCTGTATCTTTTACTTTTTAAAAATATTTTATATTAATAAGCTTTACTTTAAGAGTAGTCTTAAGAGTAGTTTAAGAGTAGTTTTAGCAAACCTAAGCAGAATGTCGTGAATTCTCATATGCCCTCTTTCCTCTTGCCCCACACAGAACTTCCATCACTGTCAATATTCCCTACCACAGTGATAAATTGGTTAAAATTGATGAACCTAATTGACACATTATTATACTCAAATTCCATAGTTTTACATTAGAGTTCATTCTTGGTGTTGTACATTCTATGGGTTTTACAAATTGTATGATAACATGCAGCCCCATTACAGTATCATATATAGTGGTTGTGCCATTTTAAAAATTATCTGTGCTCTGTTTACAATAACAAAGACTTGGAACCAACCCAAATGCTCATCAATGACAGACTGGATAAAGAAAATGTGTCACATATACACCATGGAATACTATGCAGCCATAAAAAAGAATAGGTTTGTGTCTTTTGCAGGGACATGGATGAAGCTGGAAGCCATCATTCTCAGCAAACTAACACAGGAACAGAAAACCAAACACCACATGCTCTCACTTATAAGTGGGAGCTGAACAATGAGAACACATGGACACAGAAAGGGGAACATCACAAACTACGGCCTATTGGGGGGTGGGAGGCAAGGTGAGGGAGAGCATTAGGACAAATGCCTAATGCATGCGGGGCTTAAAACCTAGATGACAGGTTGATAGATGCAGCAAATCACCATGGCACACGTATACCTATGTAACAAACCTGCACATTCTGCACATGTATCCCAGAACTTAAAAAAAAAAATTCTCTGTGATTTTCCTAGCCATCCCTTTCTCCCCCAGACCCCTGATTACCACTGATCTTTTCACTGCCACCACAGTTTTTCCTTTTCCAGAATGTCATATAATTGCAATCATACAATATGTCACTTTTAAATAATGGTCTTTTTCACTTAGTAATATATATTTGAGCATCCCCCATGTCTTTTTATGGCTTGAGAGTTCACTTCTTTTTAGTGCTGAATAATACTGCATTGACTGAATGTACCAGTTTATTTATCCATTCACCTATTGAAGGACACCTCGGTTGCTTCCAAGTTTGGGTAATTATAAATAAAGCTGTTATTAATATCCACATGCAGGTTTCTGTGTGGACATAAGCTTTCAATTCATTAGGGTAAATACTTTGAAATATAATTGCTGGTAAGAATGTGTTTAGTTTTGTAGGAAACTGCCAAACTTTCCAAGTGGCTGCATCCACTTGGCTGCATCCAAGTCTTTCCAAGTGGCTGCATCATTTTTCATTCCCATCAGCAATAAAATGCGAGTTCCTTTTGTTCTACATCCTTGCCAGCGTCTAGTATTGTCAGTGTTTTTGCTTTTAGTCATTCTGATGTATGCTTACATGATGTCTATATATCTTCTTTAGTAAGGTATCTCTTTCGGGCCTTTACCCATTTTCAGTAGACTTTTTCATTTTCTTATTGTTGAGTTTTTAGAGTTTTTTTTATATATTTTGAAAAAGAGTCCTTTTTCAGATGTGTCATTTGTCAATATTTCCTCCAAGTTTGTGGTTTATTTTCTCATTTGTAGACATTGTCTTTTGGAGAGCAGAAGTTTCCATTTTTAAGGATATCCAGCTTATCAATTATTTGTAGGTCTAATTTCTAGGTTTGGGATTATTCTTCAATAAGCTTTAATATTTAAACATACATGATAGGATCAGTGGGAATTCTTTTGTTGATATTCCTGTTTATCATTATAATAGTCATTTGTTTTATTAGGTTATCTGTATTCTCCCTTTATAATTAATCTGAGTTACCTCCAAACACGTAACTAGGGTAGTAGGGAGGTCATTATGAGTTCTGAAACAAAATTTAAAAGATCACTGCACACCGTACAGCCTCTTAGATAAATAGTTCTTATAAAATATGAATTATAATATCAAACCAGCCAAGAAAAAAATAAGCATAACTGGCAATACTCATTGTTAGATAAGTATTACATGATATTCTAAAACTTTATTAATTTACCTCAACCAATTACTCACTCATTTTCTGAAAATAAATTTAATAATATTTTCTCCTTTTTTTGCATTGTTAGAAGTTGTATAGCACTAGTTATAGTGAATGTTGAGAGATCAATGTGAAATGGTAGAGCAAATTATTTTCACTAGCCTTGATAACTACAAAGCAAAAATGTTATAAATGTGTTGGTAAGGATGGAATTCTGTTATTTAACTCACAGGAGAGCCATTTACTATAGATGTATAATATTTTTACATTATATACATTATTTTTGACATACCTTTAAGTCTTAATAACTCTGTTTACTCTAAATTTGTACAAGGTAAAATGACCCAATTAAAATTTATCTTTGATTTACAGTGATTTTTAAAGTGGTAGAGTATTTCATCTGAACATTATCTCATGGCTCTTTAGCACTTGAGATCATAGGGAAGATTTTGTATCTCATTGAATAACGCTTAGCTTTTGATGGTATATATTCTAAACAACCTCCGCTGCTAACTAAAGTCTAGACCATTAGACTAGTTATGCAAATAAAAAGAGAACTGAGCTAACATGAGAAGAAACATTATCGATTATTTCATTTATTTATGTATGCAGCATTTGGGACAATAAAGTGGAGATAAACATACTTGTCAAATTTGTATTGAAATGATTGCAAGTTACAAACGCACATACACACTCATGCAGGCACACAGACACACATTTAATTTACCGTCAGACTAAATGTGGAAGTAATTTTAAATTTATATACTCCCAAATTTGTATTTCAGTGTCACTGATATTTGACTGACTTAGGGTTTGCTGTAGATTTTTCAGTACTAGACTTGTTCCCCAAACATTTCATTTCAAGATACAGGTTTCAGGTGAAGTTATATATGTCTTCAAAGCGTAAGTTAAAAATATAAGCAATATTATTGTGTCTTACTATTTTAAAATGCTTCTGTATTAGTCAAGATTCCACCATGGAAGCAGAACCAGCAGGAGATTTATCTATCTATCTCTACATTCGTCTCTGTCTTTCCATCTATCTATCTATTTATCTAACTATCAAAGGATCTGTTACAGGACACTGGCTTGTCCAACTGTGGGACCTAGTTAAGCTGTCTCTGTGAGGCTATTGTCTCCCTCTCAGATGCTGGGGCTTTAATTCTGCCAGACAAGCAGTCAGGAAAGAAATATCATGAGCAGGGTAAAATCTACAAACATGAGCTTGAACCTCAGCAGAATGGACTGAACTCCTTGTCCATTCTTACTGCTTAGGACATTGGTGATGAAGGTATCTTGCAGAAGCTGGAGCCTTGGAGCTAAATACACACACTCATCATAGGAATCAAGATAGCTAAAGAGGAATTTAGGGAAAGATAGAGCAGTTGCAGGCCCAGCTGCTGCTTTACATCCAACACATCAGCAACTACATTTGTGTGCTAGAGAATGACTGCTGCTTCCCTTCCATTTTCCAAATATCCTAAGACTCTCTTTTGTGGCCTATGCAAAAAAAGAAGCATAAAAGAAAGGGAATTCTGGAATATTTAGTTCAGCCTATTCAAATTGAGACATTACAAAGACATTAAATATTATTTATTCCTTTTTATTTGGAAATAGCCAACCATCAGGGCTGCTTTCTATATATCTTACTTATATCCCAAAAGGATGACATAGAATTTTTCTGAGTACAGATAACAATAGAAGCAGGAATACAAAAATTCAGAAACAGAAATTATCTTTTATGTTTCTTACCTTTCGTCTTATCTCAGATTCTTTATTTCTAGTTTGATTTACCCTAATAACACATATTTTTGGGAGGAAATCCTTGCCTCATCTTTTTATTTTAAAAATTGTCAAACCTATGAATAGTATAAAGAACAATACAATGAAAACAAGTATTTCCTTTACCTAGATTCATACATGACATGCTTACATCATTATGCTTTCTCAGATGCACACCTCTGACTGCACACACACATGCACACATGCACACGTACAAGCATGTGCACACACACAATATTTTTTGTGGTGCTTGATTTGAGACTTGAGTTTGTAAAAATAACACTTCACCTGTAAAAACTTCAGCATTTACCTCAAATAAGGAAAGGGCGTTTTGTTATAATGAAATTGTCATCTACATATATTGTATAATAATCAGAACTAAAATATACAGTTATAATTATCACCCACATGAAATTTAACATTATCTAATATTATTAGTTCATATATCATTCTTATTGAATATTGCATAATTTTTCCTAAATGTCTTTTATGGGTTTATTTCTGCTATTTTTTTCCTCCACCTAACATTTACTCAAGGATCATTCATTGTGTTTAATCATTATGTGCACTTGGTATCTAATATAGAGCTTTCTCTCTGCTTTTTACAAAAGTTCATCATGCAAATTTTTTTAAGAGTTAAGGCTACTTTTGTAAAAGATTCCTCAATTTTGGCTGGTTGCGGTGGCCTACACCTATCATTCCAGCACTTTGGGGGCTGAGGCGGGAAGATTGCTTAAGGCCAGGAGTTTGAGACCACTTTGGGCAACATAGTGAGACCCCTGTCCCTACATAGGAAAAAAAAAAAGATTCCTCAGTTTGGGTGTGTCTGATGTCTGCATTATTAAGATATTACATTATAATACACATTTTTATGTGCTACCAGACTTTAGACAAATGAGGATCTTTGGATGATGACTGAGTGCATGAGACTTACAGAGTACACTTATTGGAAAGTATTTGTCTTTGTCCTCTGGTTCTGTCCCACTTTTCCCTCTACTACCAGGTTTGCACATGATGACAACAAGAACAACAAAAGATGTTCCACTTCTAATTATATTAAAGAGTAATTATGGTTATGTTTCTACGGTTGACAGGGCCTTCCCTGGTGATGTTAGGGTTAGGGGATGACCTCTTTTCAGGTGTAACATTTACATTGTATTTGTCTTTGGATGACTAAGAACAGAAGTATAACTATCTATGCCTGAATTTATTATAAGTAAAAGGTGAGTATTCAAATCCATTAATTCTGCTTTAGAGATAGGGCAACTAAATTGTGAGAAGATCAAATAACGCTCCAAAAGACACAGATTAAGAAATAAATATAACATGTAGCATACTTTTTCATAAGGGCTTTTGTTGTATATTTTAAGATTTTAAAATTATTGTCTCTAAGAGAAATGTGTATGTTAATATTTATAGGATAAAAATTGGTATATTTTAAAGTTTTAAAATTTTTGTCTCCAAGTGAAATGTGTATGTTAATATGTATGGGATAAAACCAAGTGTACAACTGCATAAAATGAGATCAAATCAGAGTTAAGCACTAATACTTGTTTTACCACTGCTACAGAGTCAATCATGAGAGTCAGGGGAAGGGAAGGAAGGAGCAGTGTGCTTTAAAATACCAAACTACTTTGAGGCTGCAGTGAGCTATGATCACATCACTGCACTCCAGCCTGACAGAGTAAGGCTCTGTCTCTAAAAAATAATAATTAAAAAAAGACCAAATTAATCACATATCATATAATAGTATATGTTAAATGTGTATCAATTTTTGATACATTTTAAAATCTCCTAAATTCATAATATCCTTTGGTATCAATTAACAGATAGTAAAGTTACCATCTGTTAGAGGAGATGGTAAATATTTTGACTTAAAGGAGATATCCCTTTGTGAATTTTGCAGTGTTCTGTTTTACATTCATTAATAAGTTAGGCATATTACCTTATTTTAAAGCTACTTATAAAATTTTATTTATTTCCAATCTTTATAATTAAAAAAAAATTGTAACCTTATTGCATTAGCTACAGCCATCAATCTAATATTGAATGGAAGAAGTGAAATCAACATCCACGTTCTCTTGTCTTTCTTAGGAAAAAAAATCAATTATTTGCCATTATATATTACATTAACAATACATTTTACAAAGATAATCCTTTATTATATTGTAGAAGTTTTCTTTTCTTTTTTTTTTTTTTCGAGATGGAGTCTCACTCCGTCGCCCAGGCTGGAGTGCAGTGGCGCGATCTTGGCTCACCGCAACCTCCGCCTCCCGGGTTCACGCCATTCTCCTGCCTCAGCCTCCTGAGTAGCTGAGACTACAGGCACCCGCCACCACGCCCGGCTAATTTTTTGTATTTTTAGTAGAGATGGGGTTTCGCCGTGTTAACCAGGATAGTCTCGATCTCCTGACCTTGTGATCTGCCCGCCTCAGCCTCCCAAAGTGCTGGGATTACAGACGTGAGCCACCATGCCCAGCCAGAAGTTCTCTTTTTATAAATTTAAAATCAATGTCAAATCTTTCAATAAATAAAAAGTTTTTAAATTGAAAATTAAAACTATTTATTTTTAAATAGGTAATATACTAACATCCATAAAAATGCCCAGGGCACAAAAGTGATATTTCTTTCAAACTCTATTTCCCAGCCACCTGCATCTAAGCAACAATTTGCCTCTTTCTTATATATCCTTGCAGAGATACTTAAGCTATTGTAATTACATATATTTTGCCTATAAACACAAGAAAAGCTATATGATCTGATAAAATTTTGAAACATTTCCCATCATACCATTTTTCAAATAGTTGATGCCCTGAGCTTCTCTAGAGATGGACTTGCCTTAATCACCCTGGCCTTCCAAGCCCCTGTGTTGTTCCCCTAGAACAACAAATGAAGCATTTATTGTCTGGCACAAAAGGGACATTAGGACCCTGTTTTGGTGATCTGGTGCTGGTGACGGTGGTGGCCTGCTTGGAGCAACTGCTGTGGGGATGCCAGCTGCATGGGGGGAGGTGCAGCTGGTGCTGCACACTTTGTGGAGCTGGGAGGGAGGAGCCAAGAACAGGTGATCCCAGTGGGAGCCCCACACCCTACCAAGTTGGCTGGGCAGGGGCCTGAGCTCCCAGGCACAGCTGAAGCTGCCCAACCATGGCTTCAGACCCGGGTATTCCTGCGCTCTAGGGGGCCTGGGAAGCCCCCTACCCCCACAAGCTCAGAAGTGCCTGCACCCTGGCCCCTCCTCATTCCTGGCCCCTGCTCCCTTGTGAAGCAGTTGTAGCCAAGCCTGGGAATTGTCACAAACTGGCTGGGAGTGTGCACACTCAAGGTTGCACTGACACACTAGCCCCCCCACCACCTTGGCCTCCTCTGAAACTTTGGGTGCTGATGAGTTCAGGGAAGGAGGCTGGCTGAAGGCAGCTAGGTGCTGACCTATGGGAACCACTCAACACAGACAGTCTGGGCATCACGGATGGCATATTGATGGGGTGGGGGGCATACAGATTCTTAGGAGAGAAGGGGTGGGTCCCTGGCAAAACCCCACCTCCAAGCTAGGGATGACCTAAAGCCTGGGAGTAGGCCGAGTGGAGTTCTGGGTGGAGTCTGCAACCCTGAGTGAGCACTTCATTGTTGCCTTTTGGCCAAATGGATGGTGATTTTTTTCAGTTCCACCCATGCCCACCCATAGACCAATCAGCACACAGTTCCTCCATTTTTAGCACATAAAAACCCCAGACTCAGCCAGACTCAGACACCTGCCTGCAGAAAGAAGGTACCCAGTTTGGGTCTCCTGAGAGCTGTTCTGTTACTCCACAAAGCTCTCTCCACCTTGCTCACCCTCCACTTCTCCAAGTAACCTCATTCTGCCTGGATGTGGGACAAGAAAATCAGGACCCATTGAACTGTGGGAGCAAAAGGAGCTGTAACATATTTCTAGCCAGCTTGCTGAGCTGTAGGTGGTGACACGCTCCCAGACTGTGGGAGTGAAAAGTAGTGACTCTTCTGGGGGCCTAGACCTCAGGTTTCTTTGAGTCAAAGCTGCTGTAACACGGTAGCTTTCCCACCCCCTGCTGACATTGGGCAGTAGCCCCACACAACAGGAAGCAGTGGCAGGGCTGAGCCAGCCCAGGAGCCATGGGCCACAGCAAGGTGGCAGGACTGAAAGAGCTGTAACACAAACAGGCTGAAACAGAACCCCCTGAAAGATGCCCCTCACTTTCCATGCTGCAGGCAGCAAGAAGGAGAGAAAAGCTGAGGCCCTTCTGGGGGTCCAGACCTCGAGGATCCCTGAGCCTGGGCAGTGACACACTGTAACACCTTCTTTGGGGCTCTGTGTTTCCCGGCATATCCAAGTTTTTGGGTGCCACCACATTCTCCAGTGCCCACAGCAGAAGCCACTTGCAGTACACACCTGGTCCAGCCACAGCCTTGCATGGAGCCAGGACCTGTGCTGGCACCTGGAGTTGCCTGCCCTGCCTCAGCCAGAGCACCTGCCTGGGTTCAGCGGCCGGACCCTGCGCTCACTTGCTCACACACCCTTTGCTGCTCCACACCTGGCTCACCCTTGGCAGGCATGGGGTCAGGGCTGGTAGTGCAAGCCGAGTACAGCCTGATGGGCTGAGTGGGTGGAACAAGCCCAGTAGGTGCAAGCAAAACCCAAGCAGAAGTACTGCCAGTCAAAGAGGTGTCTTGCTGTCAAAGCAACCTGTGACAGTGCCCATTGTGATTGGTCACCAGTGTCCTGACTCATACCCACTAAGCTTTTCCTGTAGTTTCAGTTGAGTCTGATGTGACCATTCCTGGGAAATCTTCAATTAGTTTTAATCTTACAGCATCTTGTTTCAAGGCTACTGCATCTTTTCAGTTTTGAACTTCAGGTGGGGCCCTTTATGTCATAAATGTCATCACAGATCTTTGAAAAAGCTATCAGAACACACTTTATGTATAGAAAATAAGAAATTTAGTTTTTTTGTGAAACTTTGATATGAAATATTGTTGGAATATATTAGCAATCTCCCAAAAAATCTATTGTAAAATTTCTAGTTCAAATAGGAAAAGTAATTTTTACCTCTAAGCATTTAATACCAGCACTATTTGATGAATTTTTTCAGTGACAAAGCTTTGCCTTAGGAAAATTATGACTAAAGAACTACTTGACACTTGAAAGGACAATAGTGCTTTATGAATATTGTGTTTATTAGCTTCCCTGGAATCATAATTTTTTCCTTAGTTTATATAAAACAGCTGAAAAATCTGATAGTGATTCAGTCCACCTGATATTTAGAATATAGAAAATGACTATGTATTAAAACAAATAATTACAATGTGTTAAATCATTGTATTAATTTATTTTTAATGCATTGCTTATTATCACAATTAAAATATTGCTTTATGTAATGAAAAATCTTGATTTCCTTGTTAACACATGAACACATACAATCTACTTGCCCTTTTCAAATGAATCTTAATATATTTTTATGAACTATTATAATTCAATTTTAACTCAACAGGGCCTATGTAAAATATCTATGCAAGTTTTCTAGGTCAGAAAGAAAAGAAAAAATAGTATACAGGGGAATATTAATCACAAGCATAATGAAAATGAGAGTGGGTTTTTAATGTACACTAGCTGTGTGTTCAGGACACAAGGAATTAAATTAAGAATTACAGAGTCTCAGAGTAATAGCTGGTTAAAGGAAAAGTAAAGCTACTCTGTTAAGATATAGCCTCAGCAAAAGAAACTATCAAAAGAGTAAAGAGACAACCTACAGAATGGGAGAAAATATTTGCCACCTATGCATCTGACAAAGGTCTAATATCCAGAACCTATAAGGAACTTAAACAAATTTACAAGCAAAAACAACCCCATTAAAAGTGAACAAAGGACATGAACAGATGCTTTTCAAAAGAAGACATGCACACAGCCAACAAGCATATGAAAAAAAAATGCTCAACATTACTAATGTTTGGAGAAATGCAAATCAAAACCACAATGAGATACCATCTAACATCAGTCAGAATGGACATTATTAAAAAGTCAAAAATAGCAGACACTGGTGATATTGCAGAGAAAAGGGAACACTTATACACTGCCAGTAGGAATGTAAATTAGTTCAGCCACTGTGGAAAGCAGTTTGGTGATTTCTCAAAGAACTTAAAATAGAATTACCATTTGAGCCAGCAACCCCATTACTGAGTATATGCCTAAGGAATATAAATCATTCTATTATAAAGACACAATCACATGTAGTTTCATTGCAGCACTATTCACAATAGCAAAGACATGAAGTCAACCTAAATGCCCATAAATGATAGACTAGATAAAGAAAATGTGGTACATATACACTAAGGAATACTATGCAGCTATAAAAAGAATGAGATTATATTCTTTGCAGCAACATACATGGAGCTAGAAGCCATTATTGTAAGCAAACTAATGCAAAAAGAGAAAACCAAATACTGCAAGTTCTCACTTGTAAGTGGGAGCTAAACATTGTGTACATATGGACACAAGGCTGGGAGCAACAGACACTGGGACCTACTTGAGGGTGGAGGGTAGGGGGCAATGAGGATGGAAAAGCTACATATTAGGCACTATGATTATTATCTGCCTTACAAAATAATCTGTACACCAAACCTCCATGACACACAATTTACCTATATCACAAACCTGCACATGTACCCCAAACCTAAATAAAAGTTTAAAAAAAGTATAGCCTCAAACAAGATCTTTCAGGATTCCTAAAATTAAACTGTAGCTAACATGAGTTGATAATCCAAAATTACAAGACACCCAAGCAAAATTTTTTATATAGCTATTTGAATGAGAGCATCATCAATAATTATAGCCACATATAAATTTGTATTATCGCCAGTTCTTGTTTAGGTCATTTAGTTCTGTTTTAACTATTTAATTACAGTTTTTTTTTTCTGCTTCATGTGTTGTGAAGGAGTGGGGTAGAATTTACTTCAGCTATTATAATTATATTTAATGTTCTATTTTCTTTTGTTGCATCTTTGTATGGAGACTGTTTTCTTCATGGAAGCATAGTAAACCTCAGCTTCTGTAAGATCTGATGCTTGTGTTAGTAGTGAGAGAAGGGAAAGGAACTTCGTATATCTACCCCCTCCATTTGTATTTCTCCATAATTCTTATTTTTCTCTTTTATTCATTTTTACTCTTTGCAGCTGCACCCCCAAAGAGCCCATCTCTTTCTCTATTTATCTGATTGTCTCTCAGAAGCAACTTTACTTTGAGTCTGGCCTATGCTGTCTTTCCCATTTTCAACCCCCTTCCTTAGAGCTGGTGCTATCACCTACCAAGTTGTAAATTTGTGGGTAGCATTTTGCCATTTACTGTTGGGCTTTCTCTACCTTGGCTTACTCCTCCCTGCCATACCTTATCTCTGTCTTCCAAGTCTCTCTCCTCTTTTTACGGTAGCTCTTAAGTCTCTTCCCTACTTTCTACTCTCAACAAGTTTGAGACAGAAGATGGCGCTCCAGTAAAATTTGGTTTGTTTATTTTTTCTACTTAGAGGTAACTTGAAAGTTGTGCTCTTCTCCATTTCTGAGAAAGGCTCATGGCAAGTTTTACATATGATTGTGTTTGAGCTCCTTGTTGATCTCATACTTTTCTTTTAGGGGGAGTGGGGGGAATGTGTGGAGAGATTCTGATTCAGGCCTCCTTTACTTTTGCTTCCTAAACTTTTATGCTGTCTCTTATGAAAAGCATTTATAGATACTGCTTTTGTTACTATTTGACGCCAATGCATCCACTTGTGCATAAGCATTCTATTCATTCTTGCATTTTTGAAAATTTTATGTCACGAAAATCTTCATGTTTGTCTCTATAGAGAATCGTTTTCATCAGCAAACAAATTATGCATTATCCTCCATTTTAAAAAAGAAAAAAAGAACATCTATTTTACACACATTTCCCATAGCTTCTATTGCGGAGCTCCTCTTTAGATCAAAACAACTCCAAAGCATTATTTATTCACTTTCTCTACCATGTCTCCTCCCATTCTTTTGAATTCACTCCATCTCAGTCAGCATTTTTTCCACTTCATTGCTATCACTATTATCAAGGTTATCATGGATTCCAAGTTGTCTAATCATTTTCATCTGATCTCATCTCCAACCATCTTCAATACTTAACAAACTTAATCATTCACTTCTTTTCACTATTCTTTTCTCACCTGATCATGGGGGCAGCATAACTACTTTTTTCTTCCCTACTTAATTTTTTGCAAGTCTTTTCTTTGCTGAATCCTTTATATTTTCTCACTGTCATTTGCTGTAGTACCTTACACTTAAAATTTTGGATATACTTTTATTTCCATTTCTATACTCCCCTCAAAAGATGGCTGAGATTGGAGTTATATACAGGCTGGTTAATGGAGTTCTGGCAAAACAACAGAGTAGAAGACACCAAAGAAAGATAGAAATGGTGTCACAAATGGTAACTAAATGTGGTATCTTAAAGAGGACTACACCAACAATATAAATTATGCAGAATAGCTGAATAAAATGAAAACTGAAAAATTTTATTGGATTTATCAATAAGGAGGCAATTAATAACCTATATATAAGGCCATTTCAGAATCCAGATTGTAGTGGATTGAGGTAGGTAGGTAAGAGCGAATGAAGACTAGGCAGTAGAGTTCGATGTTTTATAATGTTTGATTACAAAAAAAAAAGAATGGAGGGTCTGGGAATGAAAGAGAGAGAGAAAGAAGAAGGAGCAGGAGGAGAAGGTAGAGAAGCATAAGGAGTAGTGAGGAGAGAGAAGAAAGAAGCAAAGAGAAGAAGAGAGAAAAGGATAGAAGAGGAAAGAGGAGAGATTGGAGAGAATGAGCAAGATTTTCCCCCAAGATGAAAGAATCTGGAGAATCTATGTTTATATGCTGGTGGTAAAGATAGTTTGGTGTGAGAGTTGTAGATTATACCAAGGACAACTTGCACGTTTAGTAACATAAGGTTTCTAGGAGTTGGAAGAAAATATGATCCAGACCCCAGAAGGAAGAGTTTGGCTTAGATGGGATAAGCAACAAGGGAACAAACTGAAGATGGATTTTGATGCCATTACGTAGGTAGTTTTCTTATTAGGATGCTAATGAAGTTCTGTATCCTGGTTTTTAATAGTTATTTGATCTATCACGAGATGATAATGTTGCAAATGTTGCAATAATATCTCTCATGATTATTTTGTCTTAATTTTCAAGAAATGTTTTTATATATTTCTTTCTTAGGTAGTAAGACATATATAGAAAGATGATGACAGCTACCTTACAAATGTGGTTTATATTTTGTGTCACCAAATCAGCATCCCTGGTGGATAAGTGTGCAGACAATGAAACAAGTTGTCAGGGATCAAATATTAGCTAAAGAGCAAACCAATTAGGTGATCTTGGGCAATTTACATAATCTTTTGAGGCCTTAATTTTATCATATATGGAGATGATAATACTACCTGCTCTGTATAACAAGTATGATATAAATTTTTATTTGTAAAGCACTAGAAAAGTGATTGACACTTAGTGTTATGTAAGATATAATCAATGTAAAATAATTATAAGCAATGAAATGTATTCATTTAATATTGCCATTCAAAATGAATTATAGTCTACTTTGAAGCATTTGAAACCAGCTACTCTATAAACTTTTTAGTCCATCCGACTAGTTTGTAGCATTTTAGCATCCAGTTCTTATACAAGAATCATTTATTCTTTTGATGTTGATTTTTAAAAGAAACAACCAAAACCAATAAAAGTCTACTTGATATCTGTCTTGGTCCACCTAGTGGCTATTACAAAATACTTTAGATTGTGTAATTTGTAAATAATATAAATTTATTTCCCACAGTTCCAGAGACTGGAAAGTCCAACCAAGATCAAGGTGCCAGTAAACTAAGTGTCTGGTAAAGGCTTACTCTCTGCTTCATAGATGGCAACCCTTGCTACTTTCTCACATGGCAGGAGCAGCGCATATTTCCCTTGTACTTCTTTTATAAAATTATTAATGTCATTCCCAAGAGTTCCACCCTCATGACTTAATCACCACCTAAAGACCTTACCTCTTAATATTTTCACACTGGTGATTAAATATAAACATATAAATGTTGCAGGAGCACATTCAGACCACAGGAATATTCCTATCCTCGACTCTATGTAGAATACTTCTACGTTCCAAATACTCTACTCAGGTTGGTTTTGGTATCATAGAACATAGATATGATGTTATTAATCTCTCTCTGACTGAGTTGAATAAAATTGGGCTCCCTTTTTGTTTGATTATTTGTTTGTTTTTCTATTAGGCTGTTGAATAGAGAGGAAGATTTCAAAGCAGATTCTTAATAGACAAAAAACATACCACACAGTCTACAACTTGCCTTTTTTCTTGTGTTCTGTCTCCCTATGTCCATGCTTTGATTACTGGAAGCAAGGCTAGCCCTAACTAAAGAGGCTGTTACATGATTGATTTTTCTTTAAGACTGAGTCAGAAGAATAATGAAGACGTGTGTGTGTGTGTATGTATTTTGTGAGTGTGCATGTGTGAATATTTGTATGAATGTAGGTTGTTAGCAACTTAATCACTATTTTAAAAAAAGCAAAAAGTGTCCTATAATTTCTGATATATGCTACATAAAACAACACCTCAATAATCTAAATATAGTTTGCTTTTTATTTTTCTCTTTGTCCAATGGCATTGTGGCAGATGTTCTTCCAGGCACTCTTCTAAAATCTTTCCAAGTAATAACTCATATGATTTATATAACATCCTACAAAGTAGGTACTACCATCCTCATTTTATGTATGGTGAGGTTAGGTAGCACAGTGAGGAAGCACAGTGAGGTTAGGTAGATTTCCCAAGAGCCAATGTGGAGCTAGGACATGATCTTTGGCAGTCTTACTCCATAGTTTGCCTTTTGGGGGAAAAAATTTAAAAAAAAAGAATGAAAACAAATGTGTGCATGCCATATGGCTACCCCATCTCTACCTCACAACCTTCCAAAAATGTATATAGTCTCCTTACAGATAATTGTCATTGTGGGAAAAAAGAATTTGGCCGATGGGATGTGAATAAAAGTGTTACGTACAAATTCTGGGTCTTATTTTTCAAGAGGAGTGGTGCTCCCTGCTTTGTCTTGACTTGCACCTGATGGTGAGAGTTAGAACTTTTTATGTGGTTGATAAAATGGGTGCCACATATTGAGACTGGAAAAGCCCCAAGACATAAACAAAATAAGTTCTTGGTATTTGTTTATTGCCTACCTAAACTTCTATGTAAAAGAGACTTCAAATTTTGTCACATCTGAGTCGTTGTTTTATAGAAGCTGAGCCTTCTAATGATAATCTAATGTAGAGGTTATGATAATTGTTTCTATGGAAAGCAAGACCTATAATGATATCTGCTTTTCCTTTTACCACATCCTTGTTATGCAGCTATAACGTCAAGTTTTACCTGGTTTGCTTCGCAATTCTGTTTCCTAATAAAAAAGGCCAAGTGTTGACACATCTAGGAGCAGTCCTATCAAATGAGGACTGTGTGTAGATCATCTTTTCTTGGTTTTTCTTATGCTATTAGCATAAGTTCTTTCAAATACATTGCTGCCCATTATTGAAAATCATTCCCGGGGATGTGTCAAAAGCCTTCACAGAGTTCATACTCTGATCTAAAGTTCTGCAACATCATTAGTAAGGTTGTATAGTAATCCAAACATTTCTTCTGACATTAAATCACTTTCTTAAAATGAAAAAGAATGATTAAATTTTCAGTGCTTCCTTTATTATGGTTCCATTTCCATTTTTACCAGAAAGTCCTCTAAAGATGCTGGTCTCTGGATGACCTATTTCTTAAATTACTAAAACTGACAGAGCCTTCGCTCCTTCTTGTACATTTCAAATAGCATTTTAATTATTTCCATTTGGATATGGGATGAGCATCTCTGTTCAAATTACTCTTAGATGTATCAAAATTATAACTATTACTATCCTTTCAGTTAATTTTTGTTATTTTAAAGCTACACTACTTCTAGGAACAAAAAGGGTTTCATATTGACAGAAACATATAAAAGATAAAGATTTAATTTTGCTTAAATCATATTCTTCCTGTTCTAGAATAAGCAAAACACTATGTTTAAGAATATTAGCAAGACAAAAATGTGTTGAATTTCATATAATTTGTAGTAAAGGAATGCAGTTTGGATTCCAGTGACTGTTATATTTCTATTAAACTGAAATTTTATAAAACATTTGGCACAGTTTTAGTATCTTGACATACATAAATTTATTTCCATGCTATCACATATGTTAATTTAATAAGAAAAATGCTTTTCATCAACTTGCAAGAAAAATAGATATTCATTTGAAAATTGTGCCTTTATAATTGCAAAGTTTTAATGTCATATTAATAGCAATAATTATCCTTATTGACTTCAATACAATGTCAAACACAATTATCTTCTAATTATAAATTTGATGACCTCTGTCTAAATTTTCTTGTCCAAAATTCTATAATTATAAGCAAGCTGCTCTCTAGTATAATTGATAAATCCTGTAATAGCATTTTAAAGAAGAAGTATGAAAACTGCTCCACAGGAAGTATTATTCTATAAAGTGAATTGGCATCAACAAAGCTGCTGCTGGTATTTTTATATTCAAATTCACAACAGGTTTTCATTCTAACATATATAATTGTTACTTATTTGTTCTAAATGCCATCTGTCCTTGTAAATGATATATTTCTTATTAGGTGGTGAGAATATACAGATCAACAAGTTTGTTACCAGTTCTTCATTTTAGAAAAGCCTTATCAGATAAATTTTTCTAGTCCTTTTTCCAGAATCCACATGAGAAGGCAATTAAAATTACTATTCTTCTACTCCCTTCATTTTTTTATACTTTTAATATAGTGTAAAATTCTCAAAATTTGGAAGAAATTTAGATTGTATAACAAAATTCTATGTGAAATATGAAAGTTACCTTAGCCATTACATTTTTTCTTAAATTTATCCTTTACTTATAACCAGAAGTCCCATGCTGCCATATCAATTTCAAATTTTTAAGGGCATAAAATTAATATTGGTATTTTCAATGCTACTGTCTATGTGAAAAAAAAAAAATGGTTTCCTGAACAATGCTGGTAGGAATGAAAGTTGCCTCAATAAATTCTAAATTATTTGAAAGTATTATTTAAAATACACTTTTAACCAATCAATTGTTTCTGGTAATCTAACCTACAGAACTAAAAATAAGCATAAATATATACATATACAAACACAAAAACGTATGTGTTTTATTTTGCAGCATTGTTAAAAATCTGAGTGTAAATCAATATAAAATTCTATCCATAATAAATTATAATTTTATAATTTATATAATTTTATTATGTTATATATAATATTTGTAGCATAATTATAATGCTGCTATTAAGATAAAAAGTTAGATATATTAATTGCAAAAGTTCAAAAGTTTCTTTATGATGCTGTATGTAGTTCGATCTCATTTTTATTAAAATGCAAATTGGGCTTTTAAAAATTTTAATATATGTATTAAATATATGTACTTTTACATATATACATATAAAAAGTAGAAAATTATACACCTAATTGTCAATATTGATTATCTTCCGGGTGGAAAGTTACAAAGAGAGAAGAGAAATTTTGTTGTTGTTTTTATACGTTTTAGTTGTATTTGAATTGCTACCAAAATAATGTTTTAATTTTGAAATTTTTTAAAGCAACACAGAACATAATGAATAGCAATACACTTTGGGGGGTTAACATGTTTAAATGCTTAGAGGTATATGAAAGCATTGGTGCATTGGTAAGAAGTAACAAGTCAATTGAATACAATTTCTTTGAAATGAATCACTATTTAATATTTTCATTTTTTAAATAGTAGGAAGCTAGAAACTTTGAACCTGTTAAATCATTCTAGGTAATAATCTGTCTTGGAAAAGCTCATTATATGGGGGTTTAATGTACAGAAAAATAAATTTATAAAATTCTCAACATGATGGTTTCTGAGAATTAAAGACATTTAACCCATCTATAAATCCATCTATAACTCAGTGGGTTAGAATAAATGATGGACATAAAAGCTCTGTTAATCCAAAGTCACAAATACTAATGGACTGCTTGGTAGATTAACAGCAATCGTGGCATCTTGCTAGAACCATACTGTTTACTTCTATCCTCAGCTTGAAAGGATGCACAAAGCACATTCAGGTCTCTAAGAACATTTAATTCAAGTGGACAGAAACACATGAATATGCATTCAAGCTGACTATTGAACTTGCAAGCTTTATCTTTGAGCTGCTCTAGTGCTTCAAGCTGTGGAGATATAAAACTCTACCTTTGGGACAAGGAGTTGGAGCATCACCAAACTCTGATCAACAAAGAATGTATCCAGTGTTTTTTTTTTTTTCTTTACCAATGACAAAGAAAATTCTTCATTTTTATAACACTGTCTTTCCAGTTCTTAAATAATAGCATGCACAGGTGGTGTGAGGGATTACCATAGTAAAGCAACAAAAGGGTTATGAGCTTCCAAAGAACTATTATTAAATATAGGCACACTATAAAAAAATACTTTAGAATGATGACACCGTCAGGTACCATATTTTCTTTTTTTTTTTCTTTATTTCTTCTAAAAAAATGGGATACATGTGCAGAACGTGCAGTTTGTTACACAGGCATATGTGTGCCATGGTGCTTCGCTGCACCTATTGACCCATCCTCTAAGCTCCCTCCCCTCACCCCCCATACCCCAACAGGCCCTGGTGTTTGTTGTTCCAAGCTGGTTCTTCTACTTCTGCAAAATAAGTTTTAGATTAAGCTATTGAACTTGACTATAATCAGAGGAAATGTTTGTGCAATATACAATTCAATTGAACATACAATAATTGAACACACAATTCAATTATTTCAGTGACTTGCTTTCACCATATATATTTACATTATTTTTCAAGTGAATTTAGCATGCAAAATAGGTTAGGCAACTATAAGTTATTAGGCTGGTGCAAACATAAATGTCATTACATTTTGCTGTTACTTTTAATGGCAAAAACCACCATTATTTTGGCACCAACCTAACACTAACCAAGGCTCCTCAAAATACAGAAAAAGATTTAAAGCTTTTTTCTTCCCTTTTTTATGTAGCACATCTCAGTGAAAACTGAAAAGACTTTCTAATTATATTCTCATATTGTAAAAGATGGCCACTAACTACAAATATAACTGAAAGCATTTTATACACTTACAAAAATCTTAATATCACTATCTTAGAGGATTATTTTCATATATTTTATACAACTATTAATCCTTCCCTTTATTCCTATTCATCTAGTCGTGAGCAATCTCTGGTCAGGTGTTTAGACCTGATTCAATTGCTGGACTATACTATCAGAATGCAACAATGTTTATGCGTTTATAACATCATAAGACTCACACACAGATCTAAAAGCCTGTATTTCTTCACTGTGTCTCCTTGGCCTTTCCCTTGGAATCTTGGGCCATCCCCAAGCAAGTGTTTTAACTTTTACAGTGTCATTCTTCCTTTGATTCTTTGTGTCAGTTTCAGTGCTGTCATCTGTGTCTGTTTTGTATATCAAAGATTCTTGTCTGAACACAAACATAATGACAGAGTACAGGTTGTCAAACCTACACAATCCGGAAATGCTTTATAGATGCTCATTTTCATTGAGTGCTTAAGTGGCAACACAACAGTACCTGCTAACCAGGTGTACATAGATATTGTGGAACTAAATCTAATGGCCAAAATATGAAAATCGTTATAATGCATGCACTTACAAAGACCCATTCTTAGATAAATATTTCAGAGATAATATTTTAATAAATCTGAGCTCATTGAGGCATATGAAATAAAGTATGAGCATTCTTGATTAGAATATTTTACCCCAATCAAAATGTAAGAAGAGGCCTATTTAGGTCTCACATTACAATATCATTATCATCTATCACTAATGTCAGAAAATGTGTTAAAATGTTTTTGTGTTTGCTGCATGTTATCTAAATTATCCTAACTGAAACTTTAAAAAAATTTGTCTCATTGGGATGATCTGCCCTCACGCACTTGACACACACACACATGCACACACACACACACACAATACATAAGATGCATAGTGCAGATAAGCATTATTAAAAATTAAAATGAATATGTCAGAAGGAAACATATATTTTGTCCTTAAAGTGATTTGATACTTATATATATTTATTATTTATATTATTATACTTGAAATATCTTAAGTTAATGAGGAAAAATTTCTAAATTGCTAAAACACAAGAACAATCCACTTCTAATTCCTCCCATTGTGACAATGTAGTTTATAAATCTGTCTACCTATCCCCCCCTTCTTTTCTCCTTCCCTCCCTCTTTCCTTCCCTTCTTTTCTTCCTTTCTTCCTTCTAGCCTTGCTTCTTACCTTCTTTCCTTCTAATCTCATTCTTTCCTTCCATTCATTAATCTATACATTATTCTAGATATAAGACAGAATAATGTATTTTGTGTCTCACTACTGATACACTCAATAACATTTTGTAAATTTAAGTAGTCACTGTAACTATGCTCTAAGTCATTAAATATGTTACACTGCAGATTATTAACCCATTTCCTATTGTTAAATTTTAATATTTTTCTAATTTTTTCTCAATTGTAAAGAATGCATAGATGCTTTCATTAAATAGAAATTGTTGTGTGCATCTCAGATTATTTCCTTAGGCGCAAAATCCTACAAGTAAAGTTACTAGATCAAAAATTATGAACATTCTTGCTAAAGTTTGAGAACTCTAATCTCAGATTTAATTGACTACCAGAAGTGTATGAATTTTCTTTGTGTCAGCATATCCCAACCAAAGTAATTTATGAAAAGATTATTGCTGATTAAATATAGAATTAAATCTGTTTAATTAAAAAATTTTTCGTCTGATAGTATGATAAATTATTATATTTAATATTCTTCTGCAAGTTTTTCATTAACATCATGTGATTTTAAATATCTACAGCAGATAGATTTTTTCTTTTAATTTTTAAAGGAACTCTAGAAAATATATTAATATATTATTTATTATAAAAATATGTAGTGTTACAATATTATTTATAGCGTTACTTTATTTTTTCTTAAAACTATATAAAATGTGACTTGCTTTATAATATAAACTAGATTTTATTAATAATTTGGGGGATGACTAATCGCATGTTCCACCATATGAACTGAAACTTCATTGGCTACATTAGATATATGTAGCTTATACTGACACAAAACTTTATGTACTATTTATTTTTAGGTGTTGAATTCCATTTCTGTTTCACCGAGACTTCTACAGGTTTCTATCATCACATCTTCTGAACTGTATCTGTGCTCAACCTTCTACCTTTATTCCGATTTTTATGAATGGATTATTCATGCTTCTATGTTGTGCAGTAGATATCCTCTTGTTCACTAGACCTTTTGCCTGCCGACTACTCCCATACATAGTCCAATTCTACCCTCTTTACCGTATATTTACAGCTCTTTACCCTGTACACGTTTAGCTCCATCAACACACAAGCATGTACCATCTCTGCCATCTGAAAACAAACAAGCAAAACAAAGCAAACATCTGTCTGGATCCCACCTTTTCCTTTTGCTGCCGCCATGTTTATTTCCTACCCTTCAAAGCAAAACTCATTGAAAGTTGTATTTTCTATTTACATTGACTAGTATGTCTCATTTATCTGAGATAGACAGAGTTTACATATGTTGCCCCTTCTAATACAGGGTTTTATCAAGACAAAAGGATTCTATTAAGTTATAATATATCTAGTAGCCCCTATTTTTTGCCATCTTTTTGTTTACCTCTCATTCTTTCTCTAATGGTTTTCATTTAGATTTTTGCCCCATCATTCCACAAAAAGGCTTTTATAGATTTCATGATCTCCACCTTGTTAAAATCCTCAATATTTTTGAACTATTCATTTGATATGTTTGATTACTTGCTTCTGCTTGAAACGTACTTCTGTCTTGTATCAATAGATACAACATTCTCTTCATTTTCCTCCTGCCTTTCTGACTCTTGCTCTCCAACTCCTTTTCTGGTTTCTCTCATATACTTCATTAATTATTCTGGTGTCTTGGTTCTTAGGCCTTGGACCTTTTCTATTTTATATATTTATTTTCTTCTGTAAATAATAACATATTTATTATTTCCTCTCTAATCATTACAATATTTATTTCTTTATCACTACTGTTCTGGCTATAGGGTATCCAGCAAACTGATGAATAGAAGTGGTAAAATGGACATCTTCACCTTGTGTTTTTTTTTCTTCATCTTTTCTTCCATATGATTGAATTCTCTGATAAAAAATTAATGTCTATGTTTTCAAGTGAGTCGTGGGTTTTAGGGAATCCAGGTTAAGACAGAGGTCTTCACATTTAAGTCCTAAAAATTATTTTAGAATCTAACCATATCAAAGATCCCTGATTGCTAACTATTCTGAATGCTATCCTTTAATGTTGATTAGGGCCATCACCTTTCCCTTGCTTCTGGAAATTAACTGTTGCTATGTTCTGAGAAAAATAAGAACAAAAACAAAGTGAAACAAAAAACCCCGCACATTTTACAGATCTGTTTTGTCTAGAAGCACCCATTTTCTATGCACAAGGGAGCTTGAACTTCCATGAAGTACAAGTAATTTATATTTCAGTTTTCTATTAGTTTCATTAAAAAAAGATTAAAAAATATAGAAGATAATAACAGCCCTGAGTGCTTTATCTACTGCAGGAGCAAAGTCCACATTTTCAGTAAGTGAGTTTGAGGACCTTCTTCTATTTACTGAAGAGGGAACCACTGTGTTTGAGAACGAAGCACAGAGGTAAACATGCTGGCATTTTGCCCTATTGGCAGAACACCAAACTCAGCAACACTCAGTTGATCTACTTAATCTTTCTATTGAAAAAAGGTATTATTAAAACCCTTAGGAGCATTCCTGAAATCAGACTAACAAAAACAGCTTGACACTCAGTATGCATTTTTAAAAAACCCAGATATATACATACATTACAATGGTATTTTTATGAATACTCTGTTGCAAAAATATTAACCCAACAGATTTTCTTTACATAATAAATGCTGAAAATACAAATATATAGGATTTCAAAACTTTGTAAAGAAAGCCTATGACTCTTATATTATTTATCTGTGTATTGTAGAGGTTAACTTTGATATAGTGAAATGGAATTGAAGAGACTGTAAGACACTGATGAGTTCAGAGGTTTAGATGCTTTTTTCATAAATAGAGATACATAATGACAAGGGAATTTTGGAAATTAAGGAGGCAAGAGTTAAAGAATATACTCCATAAAAACAGCAAGATATAATATGACATATTTCTAAGGACTGTTAAACAAAGAAGTGGGTTGAAACAGTGAGATACAATACAATGAGACAGTGTGAAAAGCACTAGGCAAAATGCCTTTGCTATCGTAGAGTTTATAATCTCATAAAGAAAGGGAACACTGAAAGTAATGAAGCATATATACATATATATGACATATATCTGTAAATATCTGATGAGTGTTATAAAAGAAATGTAAGTATGGCAATAAAAATTTTAATAAGAGTACTGATATGCATTGAGAGGTAAGATTTCAGTTAATTGAAGTGCATTGTGCAGCCTTTGTTTTCTGAAAATTTACCAAAATAAGTCACTCAAAGTTAATCCTTTCTTTTGAACATTAATTAAATTTTCCAGTCGTTACGGTAGGTGACTAATTATAATTGCTTTGAAAATATTTTAGTTAAATTTATCTCTATTCATGCTCTTCAGGATAAAATATATAATAGGTAATGAAAAACTGTTCAGAAATTTCTCGTGGAAAATTATAATTGTTTCTGTTGGTACCCTTAAGCTTGTGGTGCAAAAATGGCCTCTCATTAAATATCAATTCAAGATTATTTCTTTAAGCTCCATAATAATATAGATTTGTTTCTGATCTCTAAAACTTTGCTTAGATTTTCTTCTCCCTAGGATTTTAATCTCAGCAAGTCCTACCCATTTTGGCAACAATCTAATATCTTCAAATATATTTTTTTAAATGCCCAGCTTTTCTCAGATAATTTTGGCTTAAGATATACCCAGTATAATGTCAAAGGAAAGATAACTACATAAAGTTACATTTTACAGTCTTCTCTTTGTAAATTATAAAATCTTTGGGGAAAAAAGTATATGACATACTTGACTTTGAGTCTCAACGAATAATGTCAGAAACATAGAATCTCCTTAAATTTTTCTTGGGGTAAGTTAGGTATCAGACATGATAGAAAGAAAATAAAATGTTCTGATTTGGGAATGGAAAAAGTTGAAATTTATATGTATGGGTCAAGGAGAAACTTGATATAGTTAAGTTTAGATGTTTACTATCTACAAGAAAACATTAATTTAAAATAAAACAATTATTTTAGCACTTCAGTCAAGCTCTACTATAAGCATGATGTTATTAATAGACAGCCTAACAATGGCCCATTTTTTCAAGGAGCCCAAAATTTATTTAAAACAAAAAAACCAATTAAACTTCATACAATTCTATCATAGCTAACTGCAGGGTATATCTCGAATAGACTCTTTATGCCATTTTCACTACTTCCACCTTAGCTCAAACTGCCATTGCTTTAGCCTAGTTTAGAGCAACAACTTCCCAGATGGTCTCTCTCTTTTCAACAAATACCATTCCCTCCAATCCATTCAAATGGAAAAGTCAGAGTGATATTTTTAAAATTGTAGATCATATCACATTGCTTTTATCCCTGCTTAAAACTTTTTATTTGATTTTTTTACTTTTGTTGGAATCTAAATTCCTTAGCCTGTAATGCCTGAATGAACTTTCTTCTGCTTTCATTTCCAACCTGTCATCTCATGAATCTTCTCATCTAGCTCAAAAGTCCACTCCTTTCTGGTCTTTTTTGTCTTCTCCCATTAGTTCTGAATTATATCACGCTCTCTCCTGCCTCAGGGCTTTTGTGCTTTCTGTTCTCTTGATGTGGACTGTTCTTACTTGCATTCTCTCATGTGGGCCAGCTCACATGCTGCAGGACTCTGATAAAGCTATACCCTTTAGAGAGGCTTTTCTTGACTGTTCTGTCTAAAATAGGCTCCAACATATGGCTACATGACGGCTTATCAGATCAACACCCAAGCCGGATATCTGGCCAGCAAACTTACATCACACAAAAGACATTCCTAATTATGCTCATACCAATTTACTTGGTAAGCCAATTTAGCATATTCTAAGAATATACGGGGTAATTCAAATATTTATTAGTTGGTTTGTTATTTCCACTAAGGTACAAGACCTGCAAGTGCAGAGGATTTGTCTGTCTTCTTATACTATATTTAATCTCTAGTGCCAACATATTGTTAGCTAAATAGTATGTGCTAAATACATTTTTATTGAATCAATAAATGAAAACATGATGTGTAACAGCCATTCTGTTATGTAGAGTACTGGGGACCCAATAATCAGCACAGATGGTTTCAACCATTAAGTATTTCCCAGTTTAGTAGAAAAGAAATATCTGGAAATAGATAATATAATAATCCAGTAATATAAATGCTACACAAGATGAAATAAATGCTTAGTAAAACCATTCTGTTCTTATAAGTATTAATGTTTACCACATATCTTTCATCAAAGCAAATTTTCTTAAGCTTTAGATCACAAAACTTGCAAAGGCATTTAAACACCCATCATAATGGTTACCTAGTAGCAACAAATTTCTCCTTGCTTTCAGAGATGTAGAATTTGTGTAGATGTAGAGTAGTGTAGAAGAAAGTGCTCTAGAATAATGTGCAATGATTTCTGGTAGCTTTGACATTAACCATTCGGGAAGTTGTTGGTGTCTCATTATAATATTTTCATAATGTTAATATATGAAGATTTTATACACTTTAAAAAGGCCTAAATGTATATTATAGTGTATAAGAGTATCAACTCTCAATTAAGCCTGCATAGATTTAAATCACAGATTACTCAATTTTCATTTAAAATTTAACAAAACCATAGGCAGATTGTTCAAATGTTCTGTGCCTTACTTATATTAAATGAGAATTATAAGAATGTCTATCTCATAAGGAGGTATTTTTGCAACTTTAACAAGAGTGTTTACATAAATACTTGCAATATGTAATATGCATGTAGATAAAAATTGTAGGTAAAGTATTTAATTGTAATGACCTTGTTTAAAATTTAGAAAGAAGAAAAATTAAAGCCCTTACTTGAGGTCAATTGGGTAATATGCTTGAAAAGTTGGAAAAATATGCATTGTTTTGCACCAGATTTTTCACTTTGACGACAAAATTATAAAGATATACTTGAGTTTCCTAGCAAAGTTAGTTGCAACAAGGTTAATTAAAATATTCATAATATGGAAATAATAATCACATCTAATAGTTTAGCACATGTTAAATAAATGTGATGCATTTATTTATATTTAGTTATTCAATGTTATGCTAGATAAACTGATTTTTAAGGAAAGATACACTGTAAGGTTTAAACATGTTTTCATACACTGTAAGGTTCAAACATGTTTTCAGGTAGCATGTTAACTTACTGCTGTATACATAGACTAAATTCTGTTAGGATATACAGCAGGCGATTATTATTGAAATAAATGGTTAATAAAAGAGTGTTTCTTCATATTTTATGTCTTTCAATTTCTATTATTTCTACAATGTAAATGATTTTTGTACATTGATCTTGATTTATTTAAATCAAAAAGTTATCTTAAATGTAAAGAAGATAGCTAAGTAGGATTCTGTAACCAGGAGGCAAATTATAAAATCACTCATTTGGGTTCCTACTTATGTGCCTATTTTGGAAATAAATGAGCAGGAAACAGATTAAGAGGAGGATATCATCGTATTAGAATGTTATCACTACTTTGTTGGTTGTGTATATGCTTTTAGTGGAATAAGCAGTGTTGTTTTTCAGGTTTTTCCCAGGTCTACTAAGAGAAAAGATGTGCTCTAAACTAGTAATGCTCACTTATATCTATCAGACTTTTATAGATAGAATTCTAAAAGATTACATACAGAATTTCCTGAAAAAATAAATAACTATACAAATAAAGTGGGTGGATTTGTTGGTAACTTATGTAAAACAGTCTGGCTGATATATTTGGAATTGATGAATAATCTGGTGCTGAACATAAAACCAGCACAGCAAGTAAACATGAGTACGTGGAATCAGAAAGGAATCTAGTATAGGTGAATAAAGTTCTAAGATCTTTATTTTCACAATACACCACACTTACATCATGAAGTACTGCATATCAAAAAAGAAAATATGATAGTATTTAAAGGACAAAACACCTTTACGTATGTTTAAGGCTGCATGTAATTTAAATTCAATAAGTTATTTTTTAAAGTCAGTTGAATGGTGCTGCTCAAAGAAAATGTTTTGAGCTATTCGTTTTCACTATATATTTTCCCCAGAATATACAATTTATATTTCCCATAAATATATGTCTGGTCAATATGGCCTTTTTAGGTTTTGATTCACATTTTAATTTTATCTTTGTTTTCTTAGCTATAACAGAATGCTCTTTCTATGCCTCTGTAACTTAAGGCATATACTGATACATGGAGCTGGTCATAATATAGTCAGGCACCTTTTAATAACTGGAATACACTGAGAAATATGTCAGTAGGGAATTTTATCATTATGCAAACCACATAGAGTGGACTCACACTAACCTAGATGCTATAGCCTAGTATACATCTAGGCTATATGGTATAGCCTATTAACCCTAGGCTACAAACCTGTAGAGCATGTTATTGTACTGAATACTATAGGCAATTGTAACACAATGTATTTGTGTATCTAAACACATCAAAAGATAGTAAAGATAAATTGAAAATGCAGTGTAGATGATTTTTTAAAACTGTATAGGGCACTGGCTATGAATGGAGCTAGAAAGACTGAACGTTGCCCTTGGTGAGTCAGATTTTTCTGGGTGAGTGATAAGTGAGTGGTGAGTGCATGTGAAGACGTAGCACATTACTGTACACTATTGTAGATTTCATAAGCACTGTAGAGGTAGGTTACATTACATTTATTATTATTTTTCTTTCATAATGTAACTTTAGCTTACTATAACATTTTCACTTTATAAACTGAATTTTTAATTTTTTTTGACTTTTTTTCTAATGGCACCACTTAAAACACAAATATGTTGTAAAACTGTACAAAAATATTTTCTTTCTTTATATACTTATCCTGTGAGTTTTTTTTCTATTTTTTAATATATTTTTAAACTGTTTTGGTTAAAATCTACGTCACAACACACATACTAGCCTAGGCCTCTACATGGTCAATATCATCAATATCATTGTCTTTCACCTTCACATCTTGTCCCATTGGAAGGTCTTCAGGGACAATAACATACAGGGAGCATGAAGCTGTCATCTCCAATGATAACAATACCTTTTCTGGAATACCTGATGAAGAACGTGCCTGAGACCATCTTACAGTTAATCTTACAGTTAACTTTTTTAAAAAAACAATAGAGTGCACTCTAAAATAATGATAAAAAGTATAGTACAGTAAATACATAAACTAGTTGCAGTCATTTATTACCATTATCAGGTATACTCAACCCTTCATATCTGTGGGTTCTGTGTCCGTGGATTCAACCAACCATGGATGGAAAGTATTCTGTAGAAGGAAAAAAAAATCCACAAAGTCCAATAAGCAAAACTTGAATTTGCCATGCTCCAAGCACTACGTTAAATTCATAGGAATTAAGTGATGTATAAGCATTATATTAGGTATTACAAATAACTAGAGATGATTTAAAGTATACGGGAATATGTGTGTAGGCTATATGCAAATACTGGACGGATTTAGGTATAGGGAGTCCTTCATGTATACGAAGGGAGAACTGTATTATACACTGTATATATTTGTATGTGCTCTACTTTTATGCAACTGGCAGCATCCCCACAAACATGTGAATAATGCATTTATGCTGCAAATTTTCAATGAGTATAACTTCACTAGGGTATAGGAACATTTCAGCTCCTTTACACTCTAATGGGAGCACTGTTGTGTATGTGGTCTGGCATTGACAGAAATGTTATGTGGTGTATGACTCTAGCTAAAGGTACGTTATTTGGTGATATAGGGTCTGGCTACTGAGGAGTAATTTTAACATTAATTGAATATAAACTATCTCTTGTGCACCACAGGAAGTATGATTATTTTACTGTGTAATTTTAAATCCACACACTGTAAAGCAGGCTTTGTGAGCATGTGACACATACAGTCACAAGGGCCTCATGCTCAGAAGGATCCTACACTACATTTAATGCTCTGCTGTTGTTGTACTGAAAGTTTTAATGATTTTTGAATAAAGGAATCCACATTCTCATTTTGCCTGACTCAAAAATTATATGCTCAATTTTGTGTAACAAAAAATCAATCAATAAATATAACTATACCTAGTCTTACTTTAGTAGCCATAATATTCTAACACATCAATTGATTCAATCCTGCCCTTTGGCATCCTTACTACTTCCCAAACTTATGTTTTCCTATTATCTATTAATGCATAACAAACTGTCTCAAAACTTGGTAGCTTAACAAAAGTTCATTTCTTTTTATATCTCATGACATTTTGAGATGATCGAGGTGAGGAGACTGGCCAGGGTTTCCATGGCTGTGACTGGGATCATTTGGTGTTATTCAGCTGTTAGCTGAGAGGTCCAATATGGTGTCATTCACATGCCTGTCACCTTGATGAAGAGAGTAGAAAGCTGGGCTCAGCTGGGGTCCACTATCTTCCCATTCTGTCTTAGGACAGTCCCATGTAGTCCCCTGAGCAGGTGTATTAGACTTCTACAAGGCTTCCAAAGAATGTTACTGGAGACCGGAAGTGGAAGTTGCCAGTCTCTTAGTGCTTGAAAGGATATTGGTATAACAGAATTCCCATAGTACCCTATTATCGAAGTAGCCACAGAGCCCACACATATTTCAGAAAAGGGGTGATAGACACCATCTCCCCTGTCAAAGCATTTGCATCTTTCTTTAATCTGGTAAACTAGTATTAGGGTAATATAGACAAACAGAATTTACTCTTAAACATAAATTACTTTGTCCACACCACTTTTAAAGACATAAGTGACTTTTAAGCCACTTATGTCATTTTATATACATATAGATACAGGCATAGACATAGATAAACAAAATAAATATATATAGATAGATGAACATAGATAAATATAATTAAATAAATATGGATATAAATAGATACACAATATGCATGTGTAATTGCCACATATTCCCTCACTAGATTGTATATACTATTGTAGCGATATTGGTTTTATTGTTCAGTATCTCATATCTGCATCCTCAGTTCTTATAAAGCTACATGGCACCAGTTTGGACTCTATATTCTGTTCTATATGTAATGTATAATGTGAGTTTCTACAATAAAAACTGGTTTATTAATATATTCTACAATAAAAACTGGTTAGGTAGTATGGACATCACGGCCGTGCATCATGAAAGTCACAGGGCTTTACTCATTGTTAATATTTGCACAAGTAGGTAATGGCAGCTGAGCACAAACTCCATGAACACAAGTGAATGCAATGAAGATTTCAACATGGTGCATGAATGCCATGCACTGCGCATTCTCCCTCCTGTCTTTATTGCGCTGTCCCTGTCAATTTTTACCTTGTGTCTATTGTTACATATACAAGCACTCTTTACACTCCTTTTCATAACACTGCCTTCACATTTTTAAAAAGATACATTTTGTGTAAAACATTTATTTGATAGAAATTTAATATATAAAACATTTAAAATTACTCATTATTTTATTAGATATGTAAATGCTTTTGTACTTTGCTGTAGAGGTTTTGAGAGGCATGTTCTCACGTTACTTTTCCCTTATACATAGAATTTGAAATTGTACTAAATATGATAAATATTGAAATGATTGCCAGTTGACTCCATAAAAGCAAGAAAGGGTTTTTTATAAGTAGAGCCTGATTGAAAACAATGTGCTTTAACTTGAATTTAAATTTTTAAATTAATTATTTAATCTTCTATTTAGTAATTCTTCTAAGTAAAGAAAACAAATTATACTTTCTTTGTAAGTACTAGAAAAGTATAAAGCCAGGCCACTTTTGAGAAAAAATTAACAGATAAAGTGTGTTAGGTTATCACATATTTTTGCCAAAGGAGGTCGACTATTTAATAGAATTTTTCTAAAGTGTAATTTTAAATCACCTGACAAAATTTGCAATTTCTTAAAAACATATTTGGAGTTATATTTTTAAGTCACAATATAAAAAATAATAAATTTACATCCAGGAAGTTAAAAATAAAATTAAAATAAACAGAACATAATTTAAGGCATTTATGAATTTAATCTATGTAAAAGTAAAAGTATAAATAGAATAATATGATCTACTCTGTGACTGCCAACAACAGAAATAAAAAAGCTCTTACTTTTTCATGTGCAAAAGTCTTATTACTTTTTAAAAATATAGGTGTATATTAAATGACGTATTACCTATACAAACAATATAAATTCTTCAAAGATACAGGAATAAAATATGTTTATTTAACACAAGCTTTAATTCACATTATTTATTTTTTTCAAAATTAGGTTTTCAGTATTCAGTGAGCCCTAATTATTATTCTGCATTGCTGCAAAACAAAACAAAACAAAACAAAAATCTCTAGTTATTTAAGTATTGTACTTTGCATGTTGATTAACACAGGGAAGTGGACTGAAGTGTTACCATTAAAAATGATATTGAGAAAAGTAAGTTGCCTCAATAGTTTCTATTAAACTTTTATAATAAATGTAAAACAGTAAACACTTTGCCAAAACTAAAGGTTTTAATGGAGGGTTGCATCTACTTAATTACTATTAAATAATGTCTTTGCCACGGAAATCAAATGTGCTTAATTACCTGGTGTGGTAGTGGAACTCATCCTGAAAAAATAACTGAATTAAGTAAAAACAGTCATTTATTCTGTTTATTTTATTTAGAACTAAAACATTGCTTTTTTTACTAAAAATTATTTAATGTTCTAGATGAAAAATATAAACTAGTATGCTATTTAAAAAATTAACTATGAAATTTCCACCAAATAATGTAAGATACATAATTTGAAAAATGGGGAATACTAATGTATCTTCATGGAAACAGTTTTTAGAAATAATATACCTGAGTCAAACACACTGAAGACTTTGAGAGTATGAATTAATGGAGTCAAACTAACTTGTCTTTTCTGTCCTAAAGTTTTTGACACCATTTTGCCATATTACACAAGTTGTTTAATTTCCAAAGTATGTAGCATACAAAAAGTCCATGTTAATAATTAAAAAGAAATGTGTGAGCAACAGGCATTATTATACAATATTTTATTAATCTATACAATTATTTGTTATGATTATTAGCTTATTTTTGAAATGAAAAATTAAACTTTTCTACTAGATTTAATTGCTTGTTAATATTAATATAATTAGTGTATTAGTCCATTTCCACGGTGCCACAAATAAATATCTAAGACTGAGTAATTTATAAAGAAAAGAAGTACTCACATTTCCACACAGCTGGGAAAGCCTCAGGAATCTTACAATCATGGTGGAAGGCAAAGGGGAAGCAAGCACCTTCTTCACAAGGTGGCAAGAGAGAGAGAAGAGCAGGGGAAACTGCCACTTATAAACCCATGTGATCTCATAACTCACTCACTATCATAACAGCATAGGGGGACCACCCAAATGTTTCAATCAGTTTCCACCAGGTCCCTCTCTTGACACGTGGTGTTATGGGGATTACAATTCAAGATGAGATTTGGGTGGGAACACAAAGCCTAACTGTATCAATTAATAAATGATACATCTTAGATTAAACACATATTCAGCTAATTGCCTCCAATGCCTGATCACATCGTATAGTAGGGCACTATGCTATACATAGTAGATAAATATTGGTACATTGTTCCAGTGGGCAGTGTCAATAATATATATTGTAATATAGTCTCCCAAATTTGTACCTAGGTCCTGAATGTCAATTCCTCTTAATGTTTTGATCAACTAATTAAAACTGTAGTGACCAGAAGATAATTTATTTCTTAAATAATATTTTGAATGTTGTGCTGTTTACTAGTTTTCCATTTTGCTAGGTTATTCAACAACCATACATTAAGCACCTCCTTCCTATGAACTACAAACAGCTTGGAGAGGGAAATGTGAATTAATCTTTCTGATGGCCACAATATACTCAGAGTTTATTAAAGAAAATTGAAATACAAATAAAGTTACATAATACCTTACTGTTTTACATTTATTTTAATTATATAGAGATTGTATGATCAAAATGAAAATGGTATATATAAATGTTACCCAAAATAATGCATATAATAGTCTTTTGAATATTCTCCAAAACTCTGTGTTTGATTTACATTTGTTATTTGTGAAGTGTTTGGAAAGGCACCTTCCAGATTAAGATGAATACTATCTATAAATTTCATCACTCAGGGAAAGACAGAACAGATGTAAAACGGAACAATAAACTTATTGTCTAGGTTTGACTGCTGGGAGTGAAAACTGTTCTCTATCACATAAAAAGACTGAAAATCTAAACTTCAAATTTTGGTGTGAGTCATGGATATTGAGATCTAAGATGCTGACACTGGCAATTCCAAACTAAATGAATGAGATAAGCATTTTCACAGACGTCAATAGCGAGAAATGAGAGCATGGAGAGCAAGGAGACTCCCCAACTCTGAATCACCTTGAGGAGGCTATAGAAATTCTTAAATAGGCTGAAGAATGAACCCATAATTAGAGAGGATTCCCTTCCTCTTTGTCCATGGATATCTACAGAATCAAATCAAAATGTCTTCCTGGGCCATTAGAGTTCCCTTGATTGAAAATGGCACATTGATGAATTGAAGCAGAAAGAGAAACGGATATAGAGTCTCTGAGTCTCACTCCACTCTTCCACGATGAGAAAGGAATCCCATTGAAGGAGGCAAATTAATGTATAATTCACTGGGCTTGTCAAATTGTCATTGTGGTAAAAAAGAATGTGGCTCCAAGACAGACACTGCAACATGGGCTACTTGCGTCAATAATGAGACAGAGACAGCAATGAAGACTCAGATGTGCTGGCACAGATCAAAACTAAGACTCTCATTAATCAATCAGGAGGAAATTACTTGAATCTAACAATGCTGAGAAAACTGAGCACTGCACAAAATACCATAGTTGTACCTTGAGTGGCAGATGTCGCCATAATGTCCAGTGGGCACTGAGATCAATAATCCCTCCTCATCACTGTAAATAAATGTAATACAGTACAATAAAAATACATAATAACAATTTTTAACCTGATTTTTTCATTTATAACCCTTTGGTATTTTTAGGATAATTGCTTGGTTACTGCTCCATTTTTAACATTTATATACCCTGTATTTTACCAATTCCCTAATGGTTGCTTTATAGACTGTTTCTACTTTTTAACTGTTAAAAATACAGGTTGGATAATTGTGCATCCACTCTTGTAGACTTAACTAATTATTTCTTTTCAGAAGTCTTGTAAATAGAATGAATGTATCAAAGGTTTTCAGCATTTAAAATTTTTGAAATATTATACTGGTTTTCCTCCAGAGAAATTGTTACCAATTAGTATTACTGTAAGATGTATAAATGTTCCTGAGATATACCTTTAGGTGAAGATACGTTTTCATATATATATAATTTCACAATATATAAAACTTCTTATATGTGGATATGTTTATATAATATATGGGTGTATTTTTTGGCTACTGTATCATTTCTATGAATTGTCTATACATTCATTTTTTTCCCCATTGGCGTGTATCTCGTATCCATGTTTTTCATTTGTATCATCTTGTATTAGACTTTTACAAACTAAATGTTAGTTCACTTAATCAGATTAGGTAATACTAAAATAAATAAATGAATAGATAGAGAAAAACTAGCTCTTGAAAAATATTTTGAGACAAAAGAGGATGTACTGTTGAAGAAATCTAAAAGCTAAACAGTGTGTCTACTTTTCTTATAAATCTGATTTTTATATGATTATCTGCAGTGTGCTCCATAGTTCTTTCCAGGGTGCATTACAGATAACTATCCTCTCAGAAATAAAAGTTATAGTTAATTAAAAAATGGCAGGTTTTCTTTCTCCAAAATTTGAAGGGAGAGAACTCATAGGACAGAGACTACCAACAAGAAGTAGGCTTACTCAAAAGACCACTGCTTTTGCCTAGTGACAGACAGATAATAACAATTTTGGTTGTATATGAGTAGTTTATTATTATATTAGAATACAAAATAAAATTTCAAAAATGTAGGCATTAGGCCATTAAGATAGATTTATATTAGATTTACAGGGAACTTTTCCCTCATGGACACTGAGATTTTGTGGCAGAACTAAAGAACTGATGGAGCTTTTTCTATATATTGTAATTACTACTTCTGTGATGCTTTGAGGAATGTTAGAATAAATAATGAAAGAGGAGATAATACAATATTCGTTGTGAATTCCAAACAGCTAATACTCTGGAGTGCTTTCTCATCAATACATTGGTTTGAAAAATAATTAGATTTTTATCTGCTTAAAACTAAGGTTAAGAATACAAAATTGCTAGTAATAATGTAAAATTACAAAAAGGTAATTTTAGGATCATAAGTGTAAGATATGGAAAATTCTACTAGTTTTTATGAAGATCAAATCATTGTCTGTTACATTTTTTCAAAAAGTTATCTTCATGTATTCAAATAGAAAAATAATATTAATGATTTTAATTTGTATTCATCTAATGGCCTCTTGTAGAATAAATTTTGAGAAGTGATATAATGAATTTAAATAATTCCCTTGGTGAATTTTTTAATTGCAGTTGAGCAGACAAAAACATCAAGGTCACTTTCCTTTTAATTATATATATCTATGCATATGTGTGTGTGATTTGCAATGCAAATATAAGAAACTAAATAATGAAAAGACTTGGACTGTTGAAAATCATTAGAAGTTTAGTAAACCACAGGGACTGGAAGCTCAAAAGCAAATAGGATTTAGGATTTCTGGTAGAGAATTATCTTCTGATTAGATGATATTAAAAATTGAACATTTTAGGAATGTTTAAAATCTGTTAGTGAAACATATCAATTGTCTAGTAGTTACCTAGGAGATAACCTTAGTTATATAAAACAGAGAGGAACAATTTTGCAGATGCTCATAAGAACCTATATTTACTCTATTCCTGTTTATACCTTACTTGCTTATTCCTCACTTGCCAAATCAAAGCAAAACACCAATTTAAAAGTATTGAGAGGCACACACATCAATAACAATTCTTTCTAAAACTCAGGCAGGAGATGGAGACAAAATAAAATGTTAACCATTGAACTCAGAAGATGTAACAATTTAGAGAAATATATTGTAGGAAAAATAGAATTCAAGAGTAGAAATTCTTTCAGATTTCACCTTTAATTCTCAAATACTTGGAACATTGTAAGAATAAAAGTTAAAGTAAGATACCAATCTAAAGGCAGTAGTACTAGATACAGAAATTTTGAGTAACCCAAATTAATTGTGTGCAACCCGCTTTTAAATTCAAATATTTTAACATTTTTTAGTTTTTAATTATATCATTTATATTTTTCACCCTTTGGAACTTCTTCTTTGTGCTCATTCGAGTAGGTTTGGAATAAGGCATTATGGGATTGCTCTTGTTTGAGATACATTTCCCAGGAAATGAGAGTCAATATTAGTGAGTTTATTGGGGAAGGGAGAGATGAAGCTTCGGATTGGAGACTTAAAAACAGGAGTTCTCTAGTTTATCATAATATCGGGGCTATTTTATCAAGATGCTAAGGTTTCTACCTACATATATTTTATTTTTAATCTCATAGTCTTAAATATTATGTATTTGATTCTTCTTATTTAAGTGACACATTTTTTCCTGTCTAAGCGAAAGTGCCTAGCATCATGTAAGACAATTGGTAGGGTTCAGGTCTCTCCATTAAAGATATGGCTAAAATAATACTTTCTGGGGTTAAAGCTCAGGGCAGTAACTGAGATTCATAAGTCTCTAAGCTATATCAATTTTTTAAAAATGATAGTACATATATTCCAAATTTCATATGCATTGTTACTAAGAATAGTATTAGCACAGTGGTTAAAAGCATAAACAGCAAATCCAGTGGGCTTGGACTAGAATCTCAGCTCTGCTTTATTAGGTGAATGGCGTTGGTCAAGTAACTTTATGTCTGTGTACCTTGGTTCTCTTACCTATAAAATGCATAACTAGTATAGACCTCACAGGCTCATGCTGAGGATGAAATTAGTTAATACATGTGAAGTACTCAGATGGATCCCTTTCCCTATCATACTGGCTTTGTCAGTGTTAGCTGTTACCATAAACTGTTCAATTTAACTTTTCTGAAATATTCACTGACTTGTCAGGTTTATAAAATATTACTTTATACATTTAAGCTATTGAGTGACATCATTTACATAGCCAACTCTTTTATTAGCAAACTAATCTTTCTGAAATAACCTAAAAGCGATAATGATATGAGAAAGAAAAGTTGAGCTTTCCCCACAGCTGTTTTCATGATGTGCAATGAAAGATATGTTAATTTTTGAGCAATTTATTTAAAAAATCCATGAAGGTGAGAATAATTTTAAAAGAAAAGCTATTTGAGCGTTTGTTTGCCAGACCCTTTGCTTTGCAACTATTTAACCCTTACAACAAAGTTAGAGTTAAAATGAACTAATGAAGCACAGGAATAGCTCAGTTAACGTCTCAAGGTCGGTCAGATTATAACATTTCAAGTTCAGTAAGTGGAAGGAATCAGGATTTCAGCACAGGCAGCTGCATTCAAGGACTCACCCTACAAGAGTCTGGAGACTTGGCAAAAGTGACAAGGAATGTGACCCTAATTATGGAGACAGGAGACACAGCAGAGAGATCATAAGTACCAAGACAGGAAAATCCCATGTGTTTTTCCAGAAACATAATTGACATAAATACATATTTAAAAGACTGAGTTTGGTAGGATTTTTTTCTTGTTTAAATTTGTGTCCTGCCACCAGTTAGCTTGAGACATTTTGTACAGGACTTAACATCTCAAAATTTCAGTTTTGGCTCCTGTAAAATAGGAAGAATACTTTGTCGATCAAAAGGTCATTTTATGGATCAAATATCGTAAAGCACAAAGTACAGTGTGGTGCATATTACACAAGGAATGCTTAACATATGATTAGACATTAGCATTATTATTAGCTATTGTTTTTATTGTGATTGCTAGTTTCACAGGAATTATTACAATTTTTGTCAGTTAAAATGCATGTAAAAATGTGGAAAATGGCTTAGATGTTATGGCAGAAAAAAGAAAGGAGAAATAAAAGGTCTTCCCAAATGATTCAGCTACTCGTTAACAGCATAACGAGTAGCCAGAGACCTAAGTTTCATTCTTGTCTTCTGCCTCATTTTAGTCTTCTATCTTTGATCATTATACTCTTTTAAGGTCTCTTGAATCTCCTAATGTACTTTAAAAAATATTTTCAGTTATTACTTTGGTTTACTGTTGTACAACTTTTCATGAGTATTAACAGGATTATTTCTTGTATCCTTGAAGCCACTCTGGACTTTCACAGCGCCTGTGTCATATTATAGCTAGGTGACTGTTGAATTAATCTTTTTTTCTTAGGCCAATAAATCCAACTATTGCCATCCGTATTTGGTCTCTATTTCTTAACATAACTTTACATCACATCATGTCACAGCACATCACATCATATCATAACATGACAAGATGCTGCACAGCACAATAGAAAACTTGACATTCCTTTGTCATCTTACTCTAACCTCATATCTCACCAATACCTGCTTTGGAAGTACCTATTCCCTTCCATTAAAATATTTTTATTTTTTCCTTCTTGCTTTTATCTTACCACTATTACTATCCCACAGCTATATTATGATTGCACCGTAAGCTACATCAGGACAAGAAGTGAATCTTGTTGAACATGGATATTCTGATGTTTATTTTACTATACTTGTAATTTAAATTAATTAACTATAAAAATAAAGTGTCTGATGTTTATTTTACTATACTTGCAATTTAAGTTAATTGACTATAAGAATAAAGAGATATAAATACATTTATTGAATAAATGATATGTGATGAATATGTTATCTATATAGGCATGCCTAGATAAAAATACATTGTTTCTTGCTCCAAAAGTAATTATTTTTAATGTGCCAGTCATGTTCAATAAAATCTATAGAATTCAGTTTAGTTGTTCGGGGGCCATGCCACACTTTACTGTGATGTATTGTCTTTTAGATAAGACTAGATTCAGTTTGCTAAAATTCTGACTATGTGTACATAAGAGGGAGAATGTCTGTCTCTGTGTGTGTGTGTGTGTGTGTGTGTATGTATGTGTATATATACACATATGTAGAGAAGGAGAGCAAAGTTATCTTGAGCACATATATGATTACAAATAACAACTTTTGTTTGTATGTTGAATTTCAGTGAAAGTTTCTTTATTTATTCAACATTGGAAAGATATTCCCTGTGAGTATAGACCTCTAGTTTTGTCTAAAGGCAAAACTTTAAGTCTTTAAACTTTTAACTTTTAAGTGTTTGAAAACACTTAAAGAATATCATTTTATTTTTATCTGACTTTCATAATTTACTTTGGAAGTCCTCTCCAAGTCTTTTTTAGCACTTTTCAAAGTAATATATTTTCATTTTCTTTCAGTGATTTTATTTTTCCTCAGAGAAACACCCATTATGCTCTTAGTTAGTCATAGTATGTTAATTTAGCTTAATCCAAGAAATTCTCAAACTGACCTTATGCTAGTTTTAGTTTTTAGAAGGCTCACTATACCTTTTTCTCCCCATTCTCCCTACTTTAGCAAGTAACTCTCCAGTAGAGCCTGTTTATTACTGCCATTTTTTTCTTTAACAGTATTAAATCCCTCAGGAACATGACATCATGGAAAGCCTCACTCTAATTTCCATTCACTTTCTGCTCATTTCTTCATGTCCTTTACCTGCACAGCTTAAGAATCAATAATATTTATTATTTTATATTATTATTGTTATATTATATTATTATTATATTTATTTATTTTCCTGTGTCTCTCTCTTGTTTCAGGGATTCTTGCCATTAAGTTCTTGCATGCTTGGCAGTCTTAAACTTTGATTTTCTTTAGTTACATGAAATTTTCAAGTCCTCTGCTGTCTTCTCTGCCCATTAGAGAAACTGTCTGCCTTGTTTTTCAAACATTCATTCTAGGTCAAGATTCATCAAAAGTCTTGAGGGCCCAACTTTATATACATCATCTAGATTAAGCTTTTTACCAACGCTGCAAATTATAAGTTCTACTCTTATTTCACAGACATGATCCTTGAAGCCCAAAGAGGTTACATACCTTGCCCAAAATAGTACAGGTAGAATTAGAGGCAGTTCTCTCTCTAATCTTCACAGTCACTTCACTATGGAAGAATGCCTTCCAGATGTTGTTTAAAATAAATGAAGGAAGTTTGGTGACAAAAATGTAAGTAGGAGCTAAATTTATGAGGACTTTAGTTAATTTTTACTTCTTGAAACATTAATGTATTTTGTTCTATAACTGACAATGATAGAGATTAAGTATTTTAGAATTCTAAATATTTGGCCTCTTTGTTAAAAAATTATGATTATCACATTGGCTGTAGGCATTTTAAAAATTTACTGCAAATCATAGGACTTTATTAAGTTGTTTTTCTTCTTTGATAATAAAGAGTTTTTGAAAGACAACTTTTTAATATAGATAACATAAATAGAAATTTATAGAATATCATAGTAAGTAGGTAACATGAGCTACAGCTCCCATGGAAGTTTTTATAATATTGCTCACCATAATTGGTGATCACTGTACTTTTGTGCCATCTCTTGACATTCCATTTTGGGACATTTTTTTTCTCATGTTAAGGAGTAAATAAATCTATATTTGTTGCTATTGGTTATTCTTTTGTATAGAGAATAGATTTTGACAAATGAACATGTCAGGGAAATGTCTGCACTGTGAGGAATGTAAAAACAAGCAAAGTATATTGAAAGGGTAAGATTTGCTTCAGAATAACAGGGTGATAATTTTAGCCAGAACAAATAGGAGAGAATCAGTGGGAGAGGTGGTAATGCTATGCTGTCATAGTTAAGATTGCAATGCAATGAGCAAACAAATACGTCTATTCTGGAATTTCAAAGAGAGCTAAATAATCAAGCAGGTCTTTGTGAAATAGTGTAGGAGTAGTTGGTCATAAAATTTTCCATTCTAATATAGTCTGAAACTTTTTCTATAAACTATATTAAAATGCTAACAATATACTAATATGAATATGCTAAATAACTCTGGTAACTCCAGTAACATCAGATATTGACATTATTACAGACAGAACAATACTGATATCTTGGATTTTAGAGGGTGTGGAAATAGCTAGTACTCATTATATCCAGACATTTATTCCATATTTGTTATGTTAACAAAAATCAAATAACCAAGCCAAACAAAAACTCCAGTACTATAATGCCACTGTACAATTAAAAATCTTGCTCTTGCTTGTTATTTGTTATTTGACAGTGCTGGTAACTCTTATCAAAAGTCTCTGTTCTTATTCTCCTGAGCAGCACCCACTCTTGGTATTTCTCTCACATCTCAAAACACTCATCGTGTTTCAACTTCTCTTCCTTGGCATGCTCCTTGGAATTATGAGCTAGATCCTCTTCTCCATCCATTTTACAAAGTCCTTATGGTAAATACCCTCTATTTTCAGATTTTTCCATATTTATTTTATGTGCCATTATCCTTTTGTAATGATTTAGAGAGTGAGGGTCTAGCTAGGGTCCAGAATCACCTGGACTTGGGTTCAATCACTGAATTGCTAATTAAATGAGATAAGTCACTTAACCTTCAAAGAAAAAAAAAAAGAAGAGTGAAGATGAGTCGTTACTACAAGGTGAGGGCTTCTTCCTCTTTCCTGAGAGGAAAAAAACTAATAATCTGCCTTTGATCAGATTCTAAGACAATAACCAAACCATGGTTATCTGTGATTTGGATCACTAAACACAAGAATGAGAAATTTTTCTTTTTACCTAAGGCCAACTCATTTTGCTTTTTTGTTCACACATTTCACTGGCTTCCATTGGTCTTTCAGCCAAAGTTATAGACTTTGAGAATCCCCACAGAGTCGTCTATGGTTCTGGAATAAACCCTAGTTTAACTTAATCCTGTATTACCAGTATGAACCCACCCATTGATAAAATAATGTATTGCATAATATTTGCACTGATTTTGGCAGATGTATTTTACCAGAGATCATAGAAATGGATGCAACTGGGCAAAGGTAGAATTCAGGCATTCACCTGTGTCCAAAACAAGTTCCAAGTTATAGTATCAGACCTTTAAGACAAATAATAATAACACTTGCCTAACAGGTTTATTTTGACAAATAAATTATATATCTTATATAAAACACAAAATGCAATAGGTGATTCTAATTTACCACTTAGTTTGCTCACTGCTCAATGAATGCATTCATCTTTTCATGCTTTATTCAACCAGAGAAAAATATAGAGAGAGGAAATGTATTTTGCAATAAATGCTATGACAATCTAATATAGAGAAGTCCAAAAGATACAGAGATCTAACCAAGATTATTGATGAGGAGGGTGCTGATGCAGAGAACAACAAAGGAGTAATATGCCAGTGGTAAAATAAAGAAAGCAGGTGCCATATTAAAACTCACTTGACCTAATAGAATACTGCTGATGGGTCAACTTAATGAAGACCAAGAATTGTCCATGGGGATTTAGCAAAAATGATGCCATTGTTGACTAGAGCAAGACAATACAGCATCATATTTTATGAAGAGATGTGGATAAAATATGGATTCAAATCAATTCATGAGAGAAAAATTTGACAAAACTTATCAAAAAGAATAGACAAGTCTTTTCAAATGTTGATGTAAAAGGTTTTCAGAGAATGGAGCATTAAAGGGTTTTATAAGATCACAAGGGAGCTGTTTCAGTTTGTTTGTTTGTTTGTTTTTTAACAGAGTTGGTAGATAGAAAGAGAGAAAGCTGGCAAAGGAAAATGAGTTTATTTCAATGGCCTCAACTGACGCATAAGGGCTCACTTACATTCAACAATAGACCAACATTCAGACTCTTATTTTGGTGCAGTAGACAAGTATGGATGCAGCTGTATTGCCTACTATTCCCTTAACACCTATTTTTTAAGCTTTTAGGGAAAGATTAATATTAGATTGATATTAATATTAATTAGATTGATATCGATAAAATATTTAGTTAATTTAATCTTTTAATAAAGCCATATATTCTTATTGTTGAAGTACTATTATTGTTATTTTTACTATTTTGGAGGGACTATTCCTTGTGGTTGGCCATGTTGGTGACTAATATTGAACTTGGCTTGGCTACCACTATGTCTCTATCTTTAAATGTTTATTCAAATAAAAAAATTAATAACTAGGTCTCAAAAGTCATTCTAGTCCAACTAGGTCTCAAAAGTCATTCTAACAAGCAGAATTATTAAGACTGTGTCTTGTACTCCATTTTGCAACAAGAAATAGAGATTTTTTTTCTCATTGGTTCAGTTATTCTGTAGAATGTTATATCAGAAGCAGAGGCTTATTTCTTATTAGCTTAGTTTCTCTTAAGTTCCTTTCCTGGGAGGTGATGTCTTATTTCTCATTGCTTTGACTGTTTAGTATTGCACAGGTAAATAAATTCAATATCTATAGTGGCTAAAACATTCTTGTAATCTGGTCAGTTATTTTTTTGTCATAGTACTTACAGTTCTTCAGCAATTTTCAATTTCTTCTATATTTCAAAGGTGAGAAACTCACCTCTTGTTCAAACTCTATGTATAACTGATTCTACAAATACCACCCCTTAAATGTCTCCTAAAACTTTCAACCATCTGTACTGCTACAGCTTTCATTCTAGCATAATACATGAGTATGTCTTATTTGGTCTATAATAATACATTTCTACATCCCTCTCATTCTTTTCAACTTTTGCTCTAAGTTGAAAGGGTTACTTTTCAGACTGCAACTATGTTCATGTCATAACTCTATAAAACTTTCATATTGTCTTTACTATAAATTCAAATTCTTAAAAAACTATTCTTTTAAAAGAAAAACCCTACCTACTTCTCCAGCTCCAGCTTTAGCAACTCCAGCTCCTCTTCATTTTTATTTTAGCAATGCCAAGATATTTTTAGATCTCTGAAATACCAGTGAATACTAGCGATCTTCCTAGTTCCTGGGTTCTTTTCCCAATGCAAGGAATACTCTTCTGTTGTCATTCTCCATTTAAGTAGTCAATTTTTGTTCAAACTTCAAGTCACACCTTGAATGTGTGGGGTTTTTTCAGAGAGATTAAAAATCACTTTTTAGTATTTCCATAGCATACTGTAATCTTTGTTATTGTAATTGTTTAATTTGCTTTAATGTATTATTTTGCCCCTCATATTTGAGCTACATTGAAGAAGGGCTCGTTCTATCTTGCTCTCTTTTATACTCATGGAACATAGAACTGCTCTTACCCCGAGTAGGTAATAAGTCGTTAGTGACTAAATGAATATCTAAGTGTATCAATAAGAAAAACATCCTGAAATTATTTTTCATAGTGAGAAAATCAGTTTTTTTCCCTCTCTAGTTAGGAGAGTCAGGGAGGAAGTAGTATGTACTTATCAAATAATAAATCATAAGGAAAAAATAAAAACTTTTTATATAGTGCTTTCAGAAACATTGTGAATAAATTTGTTTTCACATATAGTTGACCCCAAGTAAATTCCTCATCAAATCTGAGACATCAAATCTGAGGCAGTGTTAGATTTTTAATTCACAGTTTCTTGAAAGCCACAGGTAAAAACAAAACTCCTTCAATTTTATAAAGAGAGATGAGGATAAGTATTTAAATATACATACAACATATATTGAGTGTATTAGTAATATTATCAGCTGTAAAATATTTCCTGTACCTCGTGTCCTATATTTTACAACACAATACTGGAAGTGGACTATTGATATGGTTTGGCTGTGTCCCCACCCAAATCTCATCCTGAATTGTAACTCCCACAATTCCCATGTGTTGTAGGAGGAATCTGGTGGGAGGTGATTGAATTAAGGGGGTGGGTCTTTCCAGTGCCTTTCTGGTGATAGTTAATCAGTCTCACAAGATCTTATGATTTTAAAAATGGGAGTTTCCTTGCACAAGCTCTCTCTTTGCCTACTTCCTTCCATGTAAGACATGACTTGCTCCTCCTTGCTTTCTGCCAAGATTATGAGGTCTCACCAGCCATGTGTAAGTCCACTAAACCTCTTTCTTTTGGAAATTTCCCAGTCTCAGGTATGTCCTTATCAGCAGCATGAAAATGGACTAATACAGTAAATTGGTACCAGTGGAGTGAGGCATTGCTGAAAAGATACTAAAAAATGTGGAAGTGACTTTGGAACTGGGTAACAGGCAGAGGTTGGAACAATTTGGAGGGCTTGGAAGAAGACAGGAAAATGTAGGAAAGTGTGGAACTTCCCAGAGACTTGTTAAATGGCTTTGACAAAAATGTTGATAGTGATATGGACAATAATGTCCAGGCTGAGGTGGTCTCAGATGGAAATGAGAAACTTTCTGGGAACTAGAGCAAAGGTGACTTCTTATGTTTTAGAAAGACACTGGCAGCATTTTGCCCCTGCCTTAGTGATTTGTGGAACTTTCAACATGAGAGAGATGATTTAGAGTACCTGATGGAAGAAATTTCTAAGTAGCAAAGCATTCAAGAGGTCACTTGGGTACAGTAAAAGGCATTCAGTTTTGTAAGGGAAGAAGAACATAAAAGTCTGGAAAATTTGCAGCCTGGCAATGTGATAGAAAAGAAAATCCCATTTTCTGAGGAGAAATTCAAGCTGGCTGCAGAAATTTGCATAACAAACAAGGAGCTGAATGTTAATCCCCAAGACAATGGGAAAAAAATATCTCCAGGACATGTCAGAGGTCTTTATGGCAGCCCCTCCCATCACAGGCTCAGAGGTCTAGGAAGAAAAAATGGTTTCTTGGGCTGGGTCCAGGGTCCCCACGCTGTGTGCAGCCTAGGAACTTGGTGCCATGTGCCCCAGCTGCTCAAGCCATGACTAAAAGAGGCCAAGGTACAGCTCTGGCCTTGGCTTCAGAGGGTGCAAGTCCCAAGTCTTGGCAGCTTCCAAGTGGTGTTGAGCCTGCAGGTGCACAGAAGTCAAGAATTGGGATTTGAGAACCTCTACCTAGATTTCAGAGGATGTATGGAAATGCCTGGATGTTCAGGCAGCAGTTTGCTTCAGGGCTGGGGCTCTCCTGGAGAACCTCTGCTAAGGCAGTGCAGAAAGGAAATGTGGTGTTGGAGTCTCCACACAGAGTCCCTACTGGGACACTGCCTAGTGGAGCTCTGTGAAGAGGGCCACTGTCCTTTAGTCCCCAGAATAGTAGATCCAGTGACAGCTTGCACTGTGTGCCTAGAAAATCTGCAGACACTCAATGTCAGCCCATGAAAGCAGCTGGGAGGGAGGCCATACCCTGCAAAGTCACAGGGGTGTTGCTGCCCAATACCATGGGAACCCACCTCTTGCATCAGCATGACCTGGATATGAGACATGGAGTCAAAGGAGATCATTTTGGAGCTTTGAGATTTGACTGCCCCTCTGGATTTCAGATTTGCATGGTGCCTTTAGCCCCTCTGTTTTAGCCAATGTCTCCCATTTGGAATGGTTGTGTTTACCCAATTCTTGTACCCTCATTTATCTAGGAAGTAACATAACTTGCTTTTGATTTTATAGGCTCACAGGCAGAAGGGACTTGCCTTGTCTCAGATGAGACGTTGGACTGTAGACTTTTGAGTTATTGCTGAATGAGTTAAGACTTCATGGGACTGTTGGGAAGGCGTGGTTGGTTTTGAAATGTGAGGACATGAGATTTGGGAGAGGTCAGGGGTGGAATGATATGGTTTGGCTGTGTCCCCATACAAATCTCATCTTGAATTGTAACCTCCACAATTCCCACATGTCATGGGAGGAACTTGTTGGGATATGATTGAATTGTGAGGGCAAGTTGCTCCTGTGCTGTTCTCATGACAGTGAGTATCACAAGATCTGATGGTTTTAAAAATGGGACTTTCCTTGTAGAAGCTCTCTCTTTGCCTCCTTCCATCCATGTAAGATGTGACTTACTCCTCCTTGCTTTCTGCCATGATTGTGAGGTCTTCCCAGCCATGTGGACCTGTAAGTCCGTTAAACCCTCTTTCTTTTGTAAATTGCCCAGTCTCGGGTATGTCTTTATCAGCAGTGTGAGAACAGACTAATACAACGATTGCCTTCAATTTGTAGGTGGTCAAAATGATGCCTAAACAATCATTAATAATAAGGGAAGATATTTGTTCCTGGGTCTGTCTGATTTCAAAGCCCATGATTGTAATACAGAAATCAAGTTAGTTTCTCAGGGTAAGTTTTAGTGACAATGGATTTTTGATACTCAACTACAATGTAATTTTAGATAGATTATGTTTTTGTCTTAGTTAGGAAAACTGATATAAAACCTATTCCATTATCTGAATGGAATTTACTATTTCTATTTCTAATCATTGTTGCAATGCAGACAAGTTTTCATGTCTATATCTAAGGTAAGAAATACAAGATGATCATAGTGTTGAGGAAGATAAAAATTAGACTGATACTTGTGAAGAAGAGAAATTCCACAAATTTATTTTTTCTTCTTCAGAGTGGCAGGTCACTCTTCCTTCTCTACTAGGGAGGGGCTGCCTACACTCCCAATTGCCTGCAATGTCTCCAGGCAGTCTGTGGCAAATATGTAACTCCTTCCTAATTTGTTGCACTTAATGTTTGTTCTTTAGGTGGAATTGTGAGATATGGAGTTCTTCTCTTGCAATGTAACCCGTGATGAGTCCAAGTGTGTCCTGGCTCCTGAATGCTTCTCTATGGGATTATGAAACCTCACCTGACATTATGCCTCATCTTACCTAAGCACTGCTTTTTATAGAAAGCTTGCTCTGTGCTTACACTAAAGGTTGAGGTGGGGTTTGCTTCCTCAATTTATATTTAATAGATACATGATCATTATACAGAGATATCGACATAATAGATTGAAGTTTACTGTGATATTATGCTTAATTTAATAGTGCTTTTATATTTGTTATGTGATGAAATGAATGAACGTTTAAACATAAGGTACCAGAAGTCCTTTTTACTTGCTTTTGGCAAATATGAGGAACATATTTTTTTTAACCAATCATGCATAGCATAAAGACTAGCACTTTTCAGATTGTGCCTGAACGTGATATCAAGTCTATTATTTTTCAGGGTTGCTGATAATCCTAGTATGAAGATATGAAATAATTTTCATTAATTTCCTACAGTAAGGAATTTTAAACTTCAAAATTTGAAGTCTAATGGTAATAATGTATGCTTAGATCAACTTTTTTTTTTTTTTTTTTTTTTTTTTTGAGAGGGAGTTTCGCTCTGTCACCCAGGCTGGAGTGCAGTGGCACGATCTCGGCTCACTGCAAGCCCTGCCTCCCAGGTTCACGCCATTCTCCTGCCTCAGCTCCTGAGTAGCTGGGACTACAGGCACCTGCCACCATGCCCAGCTAATTTTTTTTTGTATTTTTAGTAGTGACGGGGTTTCACTGTGTTAGCCAGGATGGTCTCGATCTCCTGACCTTGTGATCTGCCTGCCTCAGCCTCCCAAAGTGCTGGGATTACAGGCGTGAGCCACCGCACCCTGCCTAGATCAGCTTTTGAGGCACTGAGGAAAAGAGTTGTTTTAACTTGCTGAGCATATCTTCCCAAAGTTATTTATTTAGATAATTATTTTCTTCAACTTTTAGGTTCAGGGGGTACATGTGCAGACTTGTTACATGGGTATATCACATGAGCTAAGGTTTGTGGTATGATTACTCTTATCACCCAGGTAGTGAGCACAGTACCCGATAGGTAGTTTTTTCAGCTCATACCCCTCCTCCTCCTTTTACCCTCTAGTAGTCTCCAATGTCTATTGTTTCCATCTTGGGGTCTGTATGTACCAAATGTTTAGTTCCCACTTATAAGTTAGAAGACACAGTATTTGGTTTTCTCTTCCTGCAGTAATTCACTTAGGATAACAACCTTCAGCTGCAACCTTGCTGCTGCAAAAGACACAATTTTGCCCTTTTTCCTGGCTGTGAAGTATTCCATTGTATACATATACCACCATTACTTTATCAAATCCAACATTTTAATGGGCACCTAGGTTGATTCAATGTCTTTACTATTGTGAATAGTGGCACAATAAACATACAAGCATGTGTGTCTTGTTGGTAGAACAATTTATTTTCCTTTGGGTGTACTCAGCAATGGGCTTTCTGGGTCAAAGGGTAGTTCTGTTTTAAGTTATTTGAGAATTCTCTGCATGGCTTTCCACAGGAGCTGAATAAGTTTACATCCCAACAAACATTTATAAATGTTCCCTTTTCTCTGCAGCCTTGATGGCATCTATTATTTTTTGACTTTTTAATAGTAGCCATTCTGACTGACATGAGATCGTATCTATCTCATTGTGGTTTTGATTTGCGTTTCTTTAATGAAACGTAATGTCGAGCATTTTTAAATGTTTGTTGGTAACCTGTATGTCTTGTTTTGAGAAGTGTCTGTCCTTTGCCTACTTTTTAGTGAGGTTATTTTTTTTTTTTTGCTTGTTATTTTGTATAAGTTCCTTATAGATTCTGGATATTAGACCTCTGTTGTATGCATAGTTTGCTAATATTTTCTTTCATTCTGTATGGTGTCTATTTATTCTTTACACTTTTGAAATTTTTTTTTTTTTTTTCTGCACAGAAGCTCTTTAGTTTAATTGGGTTTTGCTTGTCAATTTTTGTGTTTGTTGCAATTGTTTTGGGATCTTGAGCCATATATATTTTTTGACTGTTAGCCTATTGCCAATGTCCAGAATGGTATTTCCTAAAATTTAAAATTGCTGAAATACACACAGCCATGCTACAACTCTTATTCACGCTATACTGAGGTATATAAAATAAATACCACTTTTTTAAAAATTCTCATAGCTATGTTGATTACTCATAGGCCAGCACTTGGCTATTTATCAGAGAAACAAATACAATCAGTCAAATTTTGAAATATATAAGATTTTAGTGCCTCCCAGTCTCAATGGTTACTTTTTCATGGATTCCTCTCTTTTATGTCAAAGCACTGTTTCTTAAATTCAGTCCTTTGTTTCTCTCCATGATGGTATTTTTTTAAAGGAGAAGTCAGGTTTGTGTGACATCTGGCAGTTGAGGAAGACAAAGACCAAAAATCCTTGCAGTACCTTCTAAACCATTCAAGCCTTTGGTTAAAAAAAAAAAAAAGACTGATATGATCTTCCCTTTGACCTAGTGATCTCTGAATTGTGACTCATCCAAGCTTGTCTTTTAGAGTGTTGTAGTAACCCTGCCATTGGAATCCCTGGCCTTGACCATTGCCTTTATGTTGAATTCCCTACAAGTAACACATTCATTGTGCATTGTGACTCAAGACATTTACTGGAACTTGACTCTGATAGGACCTTATTACATTGTCACCAGGGCATCAGAGATTTCTGAATCCTCTTCTTAGTTTACATAGTCCTTTGGGGAAACAGAATTCCTGACTCAGTCTATTTTATCCATCCATCTCCCCTCACCATTCTGGCACAATTATCACCTCTTCAAGTTGGTTGTTTCCTTGAGGACATGTCCAAAAAGCCTGGCATATCCACAAGATTCTTAGAACTGTGCACTTATAGCTTCCTCCCTCCTCCTTCCCAATATTGTTGGGCTTCCTGCGTATCTTTTCGGAATTTGAAGTGAGGAAGACAGAACAGGCTGATGTGATATCTTCTCACAACTCTCTCTGTCTGTGGGGAAAAGCAAGAGAGATCAGATTGTTACTGTGTCTGTGTAGAAAGAAGTAGACATAGGAGACTCCATTTTGTTCTGTACTAAGAAAAATTCTTCTGCCTTGAGATTCTGTTAATCTATAACCTTACCCCCAACCCCGTGCTCTCTGAAACATGTGCTGTGTCAACTCAGAGTTAAATGGATTAAGGGCGGTGCAAGATGTGTTTTGTTAAACAGATGCTTGAAGGCAGCATGCTCCTTAAGAGTCATCACCACTCCCTAATCTCAAGTACCCAGGGACACAAAAACTGCGGAAGGCCGCAGGGACCTCTGCCTAGGAAAGCCAGGTATTGTCCAAGGTTTCTCCCCATGTGACAGTCTGAAATATGGCCTTGTGGGAAGGGAAAGACCTGACCGTCCCCCAGCCCGACACCCGTAAAGGGTCTGTGCTGAGGAGGATTAGTAAAAGAGGGAGGAATGCCTCTTGCAGTTGAGACTAGAGGAAGGCATCTGTCTCCTGCCCGTCCCTGGGCAATGGAATGTCTCGGTATAAAACCCGATTGTATGCTCCATCTACTGAGATAGGGAAAAATCGCCTTAGGGATGGAGGTGGGACCTGCGGGCAGCAATACTGCTTTGTAAAGCATTGAGATGTTTATGTGTATGCATATCTAAAAGCACAGCACTTAATCCTTTACATTGTCTATGATGCAAAGACCTTTGTTCACGTGTTTGTCTGCTGACCCTCTCCCCACAATTGTCTTGTGACCCTGACACATCCCCCTCTTCGAGAAACACCCACAAATGATCAATAAATACTAAGGGAACTCAGAGGCTGGCGGGATCCTCCATATGCTGAATGCTGGTTCCCCGGGTCCCCTTATTTCTTTCTCTATACTTTGTCTCTGTGTCTTTTTCTTTCCTAAGTCTCTCGTTCCACCTTACGAGAAACACCCACAGGTGTGGAGGGGCAACCCACCCCTACATCTGTCTCTTCTTCCCATAAGCCATCCAGGTCAGGAAGAGTAGTAGGTCTTTCTTTGTCCTTATGCTGTATTCCTGTATTAGATTCTCCCCCTTCTCTAAATATAATTAATCTTTCAATCCAATTTTGTGCCATCATAGCAGATGGAATATAGTAAAGTGATGAAGAACACAGACTTTTGAGCCAGCTTGTCCGGGTTTGAATTCCAGCTTCATAATTATTACATATATGACTTTGATAAGTCACTTAACCGGACCTCAATTTTATTTTCACTGAAATATGGATTATTACAATACCTACTACATGAAAAAATGAAGATGAAATGAATTAATGCAAATAAATATCAGAATAATGCCTTGTACATAAACCTCAATATATATTAGCATTTGTGATTAGTGCAAATCTTATAGAAAATGATATTAAAAGAACATTTCAATCTTTGCATTTCTTTTGAAGTACTCCCTAATGTGCTTGGCTTTCTCTTATACTTTCCAAACTAACTAGAATTCTAACACTTAGCCACCTCAAACTCATCCACATCTATGATTAAAACCTCCTTAAATCCAGGAAAAACATGAGATATATTTTGTTCAGCTGCATTTGTTGAAATTTATTGGGAAGTGTCTTAGTTTCTAATCCCAATGTTATGCCATATTCTTTTTTGACTAAAAAAATTTATAATCCAGACTCTGGTCTCAGTTGTTAGTTTAACAAAGAAATAGGTTTCAAATGAGTCTGTTCTTCAGAGATAAAGGCATGGTTTTACTCTCTGAATTTTCAGAACTGTGGCCTTAAATTTTCTGATTCTGCAGAATTCTGGCCTTAGATACCGCAATAAAATAATTTCTTTCTTTTAACTCTTTTTTCTTCTCCTTTTCTTCCTCCTTCTTCTCTTTTGCTCTCTCTCTTCTCTCTGTTTTTCTAATTATATATAAAATCTGGGGTCTTTCTCCAAAATAAGGTCATTTTATCATATCCCACGCCAATCAGAACATTGTAGCCTGAGTTATTGCAACTGAGTCTGGGCTTCAGTTCAGCTTCCTTTTTTGAAAAGCAGTTCAGTTTCTTGAGAATGCCAGCTCCTTTTGCAATTGCTTTTGGAGATTTTGTCATGATGTCTGTGCCCATGACTATGTCCTGAATGGTATTGCCTAGGTTTTCTTTTAGGGTTTTTATGGTTTTGGGTTTTACATTTAAGTCTTTAATACATCTTTAGTTAATTTTTTTGTATAAGGTTTAAGGAAGGGTTCCAGTTTCAGTTTTCTGCATATGGCTAGCCAGTTTTCCCAGCACCATTTACTGAATAGGAGATCCTTTCCCCATTGTTTATTTTTGTCAGATTTTGCAAAGATCAGATGGTTGTAGATGTGTGGTGTTATTTCTGAGGCCTCTGTTCTGCTCTGTTGGTCTATATGTCTGTTTTGGTGCCAGGTCCATGCTCCTTTGGTTACTATAGCCTTGTAGTATAGTATGAAGTCAGGTAGCATGATGCTTCCAGCTTTGTCCTTTTTGCTTAGGATTGTCTTGGCTATACAGCATCTTCTTTGATTCCATATGAAATTTTAAATAGTTGTTTCTAATTCTGTGAAGAATGTCAATGTCAGTTCAATGGGAATAGCATTGAATCTGTAAATTTCTTAGGGCATTGTGGCCATTTTCACAATATTGATTCTTCCTATCCGTGAGGAGGGAGTGTTTTTCCATTTGTTTGTGTCCTCTCTTACTTCCTTGAGCAGTAGTTTGTAGTTCTCCTTGAAGAGGTCCTTCACATACCTTGTTAGCTGTATTGCTAGGTATTTTATTCTTTTTGTAGTGATTGTGAATGGAAATTCATTCGTAATTATTTGGCTCTCTGCTTGTCTATTGTTTGTGTAAAAAATGCTTTTGATTTTTGCACATTGATTTCATATCCTGAGACATTGCTGAAGTTGCTTATCAGTTTAAGGAGATTTTGGACTGAGATGATGGGGTTTTCTAAATATAAAATCATGACATCTGCAAACAAAGATAATTTGACTTCCTCTCTTTCTATTCAAATACTCTTTATTTCCTTATCTTGCCTGATTGCTGTGGCCAGAACTTCCAATACTACGTTGAACAGGAGTGGTAAGAAAAGCCATCCTTGTCTTGTACAGGTTTTCAATAGAAATGCTTCCAGCTTTTGCCCATTTGATATGATATCATCTGTGGGTTTGTCATAAATAGCTCTTATTATTCTGAGATATGTTCCATCAATACTTAGTTTATTGAGAGTTTTTAACATGAAGGGATGTTAAATTTTATCGAAGGCCTTTTCTGCATCCATTGAGATAGTAATGTGGTTTTGGTTTTTGGTTCTGTTTATGTGATAAATGACATGTATTGATTTGTGTTTGTTGAACCAGCCTTGCATCCCAGGGATGATGCTAACTTGATTATGGTGGATAAGCCAAAATTGACAAATGGGATCTAATTAAACTAAAATTCTTCTGCACAGAGAAAGAAACTATCATCAGAGTGTACGGACGACCTATAGAATGGGAGAAGAATTTTGCAATCCACCCTTCTGACAAAGGAATAATATCCAGAATTTACAAGGAATTTAAACAAATTTACAAGAAAAAAAAAACAGTCCCATCCAAAAGTGAAGAAAGGATATGAACTGACACTTCTTAAAAGAAGACTTCTATGCTGCCAGCAAATATATGAAAAAAAGCTCAACATCACTGATCATCAGAGAAATGCAAATCAAAACCACAATGAGATACCATCTCACACCAGACAGGGTGGCAGTTATTAGAAAGTCAGGAAACAATAGATGCTGGCAAGGCTGTGGAGAAATAGGAAAGCCTTTACACTGTTGGTGGGAGTGTTAATTAGTTCAGCCATTGTAGAATACAGTATGGCAATTCCTCAAGGATCTAGAACAAGAAATACCATTTGACTCAACAATCCCATTACTGGGTATTTACCCAAAGGAATATAAATCATTCTACTATAAAGACACATGCACACATACGTTTATTCCAGCACTATTTACCAGAGCAAAGACATGGAGCCAACCCAAATGCCCATCAATGATAGATTGGATAAAAAAAAAAAAATGTGGGACATATACACCATGGAATACTATGCAGCCATGAAAAAATGAGATCATGTCCTTTGCAGGGACATGGATGAAGCTGGAAGACATTATCCTCAGCAAACTAACACAGGAAGAGAAAACCAAACATCACATGTTCTCACTCATAAGGGAGTGTTGAACAATGAGAAGACATGGACACAGAGAGGGGAACAACACACACCAGGGCCTTTGAGGGGTGGGGGATGATGGGAAGGAATTAGAGGTTGAGTCAGTAGATGCAGCAAACCACCATGTCACACGTATATCTAGGTAAAAAACCTGCACATTCTGCACATATATCCTTTTTGCTTTTTTGTTTTAATTTGGGATTTTAGAAGAAATAAAGAAAAACAACTTAAAAAAGAATGCAAGCTCCTAGAGGAAGGGTAGGTTGGAGGGTGGATAGGGAAAGGGGAGATGTTGGTGAAAAGATGCAAGGTTTTAATAAAGAGGAATAGGTTTTAGTAATCTCTTGCAGAGCAGAAAGACCATTGTTAATAATAACATATTTTAAAATTGCAAAAATATTAGATTTTAAATGTTCTCAAAACTAAGAAATGATAAGGTTATGAAGTGATAGATATGTAAAGTAGTTTGATGTAATCATTTCACAATGTATGCATATATCAAAAATCATATTGTAGCCCATAAATGTATAAAATTATTACTTGTTAATTGAAAGTTTAAATGAAGAACACTTGGGCACAAAGGAAAGAAGAAACAAACAAGTGGTTAAAGGCAATATTTATTAAAATAGATAAGATGCAGTTCCAGATTTGACCTAAAGATAAATTTCCATTTCTCCCCCCTCCCTTTTTTTTTCCTTCCTGTGACCCTCTTGTATCTTTATTTTTGTTCTGCCTCAGGTTGGAATCCTGGCCTCATAATGGCTTGGCTCTCAATAGTCCATAGCTCTGTAATTATCCAGGGCTCACATAAATGATACATAGATTCCTTAAAACATTGGGGTTATATCTGTACATACTATGGGAATGCATTTCAGTTCCAACCAGATAGTCAAGTTGGGGTTTCACTTTCCACCTTCACTGACCCTCTGGCTATCAAAAGTAATTTTTTTGGCTTATTCATCAAATATACTGGGAATTTCAAAAGGCTAAATGCTCTACACTCACCTATTCAAATGACTATCATCAGTTATTTAAAAATAAATATTTTCAAAGCCATCTGTTGTGTAAATTATTTTTTAAATATACATGTTTTACATAAATGAAAATACCAAAGATACTGATTTTGTTTAATCCTTTTTCTTTTGACTTTTTTTTAACTCTTATCTATTCATCTGAGTGATTAATCCACCAAATAATTCACATACACAATTCAGTTTAAAGCCTCTGCAAGTTTAACTATTTTAACTGTATAGAAGAATACATAGAGTTTTCTTTGTCATTTCATAATTTAAAGTGGAATTACTTTTCTGCTGGTTTTAGTGAACAATACTTTATGGAAATTCCTCCATTTCAAGTGGCATATATGCAATTAATTGTGCTTAATGCCTTCATAATACTTAGTAGTGGGGTACACCATAATTTATTCAGTTACCTCACAAATGATAGTGATTTATGTTATTTTCACTTTTTATCTACTAAAAATGATGCTTGCCATAAAACTTTTGATACATATATTATTATACAAAGGTATTCTATTTTTATGGAGTACATATCCCAACAGAAGATTATAAGTTTAAAGGGGAAATTTATCTTAGTACATTTAATTTGTGCTGCTCAATTTCTTGCCTTAAAACCAATTCAGATTTTTACAAGCAATATAAGAGTGTCATTTTCCAGTCCCCAAAAGCGATGTCTTTTTAACTTTTTACATACAAAATGTAAGCTGATACATATAAAATATCAAGTCATTATTACCTGTATTTTCATTTATCTGAATACTAGTGAATTTAACAATTTGGATTACTTTTTTGGTGAATTTCCTATTCATATCAATTGACCATTGTTTTTTGATAATTGTGTCTTTTTTAAAAAGCTTATTGTTTACATTACACACATGTTTTCCATTGCCATACATTTGTTATTAATTTTTATGCAAGCAGGTATTACTATCTTTCATTTTGGTTGTTGGTTCCTTTTACAAGTATTTTTTTTTTTTTTTATTCCTTGACTACAGATAGGAGTTTAATTTTAGCTAAAGTTGGATAGTCACGCAGTGGTAGAAATCCAAGCTATCCCTATACAAACCATAAGAAAAAGGTAGACTGTTTCCTCCTGCTGATGTGTGTAAAGTCATCCTCCTACCTCTTTGTTGTCCATATATTCTCTGAGAATTACAGAGATATTCAGCTCAACTATTCAACTGATTATGGGGGTTAGTCAGACTGCTTAATATTGTTGTGAAGTATTGTTAAAAATGTCAACTGGGAATAAAAAGGAGGTAAAACTCTCTAATATGTTGGTGAAGTGTCTGCTCCCAAAATTAGTAGAGAATATCAATTGTAGAGAATACAATACCAGCTCTTACTTCCCCAGAACTCAAGACTTCATTTGCCTAAGCTCAAATTGTCATTTGACTTGGCAGAGGCAGATTGTATAAGTGATTTTCATATAAAAGAAAGAAGATAATTTCAGGTCATTAGCCTTCTTAGAATGCCTTCTTTGACACTCTGTGTTCAAATTTATTTTGTTGCTGTCAAGAAGGAGGGGACTGCCCTAGGGTTGATTATGATTAATTAACATTCTCATATCATACATATAATCCATTACTATACTGCTATTTGTACATGGCATATATACTTTTATGGAACACTGGCTATGATTTCTGATCAATTCTATAGATCTTTACATATTTTCTTTACATTTGGAAACCATGAAAATGTAAAACATTGCCCCATGTAAAACATTGCCCCTTTATAGAAGGGCAATGTTTTACCCAATGTTGCAAAATGAGTTGATACTTGTCATTTTGTTGCATGAAATACCTATGATACCATAAACCAGATTTTAGCTGCTCATCACTCCTTTCAGTGATACAAATTCTGTTTTAAATGCAAAATACATTTGGTGAATCATTAGTGTCTCAAACCTGAATAACTCCATTACAATGAAATCACTATGTGAAGAAAAATGACTGACACTACCCAAAACCTCTGAATTTGTATGCATTGAAATTACTGTACCAGATATGGTGTGGAAGAGAAGAATTAATCATTTTTATTAATATGATATTCAAAAAAGTGTACTTTCTCCTCATTTTCATGACCAACATATCATGTCTGACACATTTATTTTTGTCCTTCACAGTGAGTTACATTTCATCTTTTGGATTATTGGCATGAAGTAAAAGAGATAGTCTTGCTGAGATCTATTAATAGTTTCATATATCACTTTAGTAGTGACTCAGCATTTCCACTACATAAGTTCAATTTATCTCTCTTCAGTATTATTCATACATTTGTAGCACAATTCAGAGTTCAACAATTATTTTCCTACATGGAAAGAGCATTCTTCTCATGAATCCACACAGCATGCTTCCTGAAACATTTAAAATGTGATAATCCTATTTTACATTTCAAACATCCTTAAACCATGTAGCAATACATTTGTGATCTTGGTCAAGTCCCTATCTCCCTTGACTCACTTTATTTATGTATATACAACTATAATATTACACATTATACATATATGCTAATTACACTATCCTTGTCCTTAAAAATCTTCCTTTGGAAGTGTTGTAATTTTATGTATCCTAAAGTTAAACTAAAATGAAGAATTTGATGTTTATCAATCAATATCCATTTAAAGACAGATAAACAAATAAAGAACAATTTGTATTGTTTTCTCTATCTTCTCCCAGTGTACAGTATCTTTCTTTAGTTTTTTGATGATTTTACTTGTCATCCAATTTGTTGTACACCAATTCTATCTTGAATATTTATGAACATAAGATTGTATTAATTGATCTATACATGAGAATGTTTTACAGAAGTTTAGAAATTCCATCAGTAAAAACTAGTTATTTTTCCCCCTGATTTTAAAGTAAGTGACTTCACCACCTGTCTCTTTTCTTATGAGTGTGGCTGCTAAAAGCATATCTGGATTTAACATGCAGAGATCAGATTTTTTTCATAATGCTTGGATTTGGTAGATAAGGTTTGTGAAGCAGCAAAAGCTTTCGCAGGAACTCTTTAAACATGTTACAAAAAGTTACAGAAAAAAACTCTTTTAGAGATGTTTTTATTTTTTGGCATTGACTAGTTGAAAAGACCAGGTTATTTGTCTAATAGATTGACACACATTTGGTGTGTGGCAAGTGGTCTTTTTCTGATGTTGTTTACTTTTTTTCGCAATTCATCATATTTCCTGTAGAAGAGTAATTACAACCAGAAGTTTGATTAGAGTTATATTCAACTTTTGTAGAACAAAAATAATAATGCTTCTGTGTTATTTCTATTGTGTTAAATTACTAAACACAGAATGTCTGGTTGTTCTATTTTTATTAATGTAAACATTCACCAATGAGTAAAGTGCTATCAGTCTAATCACTCTACTATAAAAATTCTTTACCACATTTTCAACTAATCATTTAAAATCATTTTGATTATTGCTTAGATTGATTGTTCCATTATATGTTACAAAATGTTAATATTCCAATTCCCCTTTCCTTTTGAATTTATTAGATAAAATTCTTCTCTAAAGAATTCTCCCTCTTCCTTCTGTTATGCTAAATTAAAGTCCATAAAGGTAGATGAGATAAATGCTTTCTATTCTTACATTACCAATTTTCAGAACAATGCATTGCCTATTAATATCATTATGAATTTTGGAATTTATAAAAATCAATTGTACTTTCTCATGTTATTCTCCACTTGGTTCATAAGCATAGTTTTTGTGAGGTTTCCTGTGGTCTTTGGAGATGAAAATTTTTAATTTTCTTGTTGCTTTCTAGCCCAGAAAATGCCTATGGGGAACATAGAGAGGCATGTTCCCAGACAGATATGGATTGATTTATTTCTTGAGAACATAGGATCAACTCAGAAGACCATGGATGGTAAATTGGATGAAGAAAATGTAGTACATGTGCACCATGGAATAATACTACATAAAGATCAAAAAGAATGAAATCAGGTCCTTTGCAGCAACACAGATGTAGCTGGAGGTCATTATCCTAAGTGAATTGATGGAGGAACAGAAAAGCAAATACTGCATGTTCTCACTCATAATTGGGGCTAAACTGAGCGCACATGGACATAAACATGAGAACAATAGACACTGCGGACTATTAGATATGGGAGGGAGGAAGGGAGAAGTGCAAAAGTTGATAAACTACTTACTGGGTACTATGCTTACTACCTGGGTGATAGGATCCGTACTCCAGACCTCAGCATCTTGTGATACGCACATGCAACAAATCTGTACATGTTCCCCTGTATCTAAAATATAAGTTGAAATTTTAAAAATCCCTGCTTTTGTTTTTGTTTTCCAATGATATTTAGAGGCTGTAGTCTAGGAGCTAGAATGGAGACACTGCTTAATATTCTGGAATAATGGAAAGATTGAGAAACCTGGTATATCAGTAAGAGCACAGCATTTAGAAGTTTATACTAATATGTGCAATTCCAATTTAAGATCCAAAATTTCCAAGTAAGTTATCCAATTATATTTTACCTTCTCTCAACTGTCATAGTTTTAATAACAATGTGATTATTAAAGTTATTATACCAAAATTTAGCAAAGATGCATTTGCAAGTATTTTGCATGTATCATAAGTCTTAAAACTTTTTCAAATTCATTTTGAAGTATATTTTATGCATTTCAGCCTCAATAACAGAGCAATACCTTGTCTCTTAAAAAAAAGTATACTTTAAATTTCTCTAGAAAGTAATTTGTTTACTTGTGTAGCTATCTCATTCATTTAATATACACTTAAGTTAATTTGTGTCATTATTTCTATTTTAAAAGTCTGTTTTTTTTCTTTTTGATTGAGTTATTTCAGGTAACTTTAATACTAAATTTTTTTTTTACAAAAATACATGAAAAAGGAAATTAGTAGCCAATTTTACTCACAAGTACAAATTAAAATTCTAAATGAAATATCAAAATGAGACACCTATTGTATGAAAAATATACTATATCATATGTTTCAGATTATTCCAGATTATGTTAAATTAAGTTACTGTTAAAACAGTCAATTTAAGTTATTCATAGATTAAGAAAATTTACATGATCACATCAATAATAGTATATTAATCACTTATAGTAAGTATGTACTTGTGACAAAAAATGAAAACTTTCACAACTGGGAATGGAAAGGAACTCCTTTAATGTGGCAAATATATATATAAATAATTAAATCAAATATCATATTTGAAATCTTTTTTTCTATTGTAAATAAGGTGAATATTCCCATTATTAAATGTACAGTTAGTGTTAGTTCAGAAAGATAATTTTATAAGTTTTGAACATTGTAATAAATAAATGTGTAATTATTTTCAACTATTATGATTGTGCAAATAGGAAATTTAAAAAAATACTCAACAAAATTCTTATATTTAATGAAAGACCTTAATAACTCTACTACATAAAAGTGAAAAATAAAAATGGTTTTGTTTCTACATAAACTTAGGAAATAACATTTATGAGAAAATACTCTTTAGAAAAGCAATGAGGAGTAAGTTCCTCAGTAATAAATATAGCAATATACTTGTAGAACCTGTATGGAAAGTTTATATATTATTTTTAAGAAACAAATAAATATTTTGAAAAATACATCATGTTCATCATTGTGAGGATATAATATTTAAAAATTTCAGTTCTCCCTAAATATCATGAAGATAACAATTCTCCCTATATTAATTTATTGATTTAATACAATTGAAACAAATTAATATCATTTTTTTCAGGAAATTGGCAAAATTGAAGACTAATAATAATAAATAGTCTAAATACTCCTGAAGAAGAATAAAGATAGAATTAGCAAGTGTTCTACCAGATTTCAAATATTTTCATAATCATAATAATTACAACTACGGGAGGGATGCAGGATAGAAACATTAATTATTGAAAAATTAGAGAGAACTCAAAAACAGGCTGAAGGATATAAGAATGCTTGTTATGTGACAAATATTTTACTACAGTAGGGTATACCTGATTATTTAATGGTAGGTTTCAGGGAATGTGGAAAGAAAAGCAGATCTCTATATAATTCTTTCTGTAAAATTTTGTTTTCAGTGCATTAAATTAAAACTTAAGTGAAAAAGGCCAATCTATAACATTTTAATGTAAACCTATAGAATAATGCCTTTAAAAATAATGTCAGCTAGCTTTTGCTATATAACAAACCACAGACAAACTTAGTGGCTTAAAACAACAATTGCATATTTGGTTTATGATTCTCTTTGTCAGAAATTTGGCCTAGGAACATATGGTTTTTTCTCCTTATTTTAGTTCACCTAACTCATGCATCTATAGTCAGTCAGTGCTCACCTAGATGGTTCTGCTTTTGGGACTTGGTTAGGGTTGTGGATTGGGGTAAGTGGAGATAATTGGATCATAAGTTTCACAATGTCCATCAGTTAATCTGAGATGTCCCTTACACGGTGAAAGGCAGGTTTCCAAGAGAATGACTGAAATAACACAAAGCCCCAATGCCTAAGCATGGAACTGACACAACGTCACTTGTCAAAGTGACAAAGAAAGGCATGGTTTCGGATTTCAGAAGCAGACATATACATTCAGTCTCTTGTTAAGAGCAGTTACAAAATCACATTGCAAGTGTCTGGATACAGGAAGAGAAATAATTGCAAACTTTTTTTTCAAACAAGTCACTAAAATCTAAATTCAAATTAAAGAACGATATTGCAGAATGGACACAAATTTACAAGCCATGAAAATAAACAATAAAATAAAATGAATTCAAATGAATAACTTTAATAATGAAATACATATAAAGTACATATTAGAAAGTAGATATTTATAAAACCTGTGTAACTGAAAAAATTGGTATCAAAGTACATAATAAAAAATAATAGTAAAGAAAGAATTTATGAACAAATATAAAATGTAATAAAATTGAGCAAATATGGAAATAGGCATTTAACCACAAATAAAATAAAAAAGGTAAATCAATCTTTAAAAATATTCTTACATTTATTAGTCATTAGGCTAATGCAAAATATTACTACAGTATGGAACTATTTCATTGCATCTAGGTAGACACACATTAACTAATTGGACCTTATCAAGTGTTAGTGAGAATATGAACTGTATTATACATTGTTGCTACACAACATAATTGGTGTGAAGTACTCGTCTCCAGGGGAGAAAAATAATACATTCCTTTCTTTTTAAAATAGATGTGGTCAAGTGATTTTCTTTGGCCTAAACATATGAGTAAGATTTGAAATGGGGCTGCTTTGTCTGCTAGATTCCCAAAATGGTATCATAAAGTAGAGCCACAGACATACTGTAATGGCATCTCAATAATGTGAATGGGAATAAACTCTTTTTGTTCTAAGCTACTGGGATTTCGGTAACATTTGTTATTCGTGTATCAAATTCTTAGATTAGTGACTCAAAAGAAAATAATGTCTTCTGTTGTCTATGCCTTGATCACCGTGCATTATATACATGTAACAAAATTTCTCAGGTACCCCATAAATGTGTACAAATAAATACATAAAATACAAGTAACTGTTAACAGTATCATGGTGCTCTATCTATATCTTCTACAGGCTTTTATAAATGTATATTCAGAAATTGCATACCTCCTAGATTCCCATGCACGTATACCTTTCAAAACTGAAGCAATAATTCCTCCAGATGCTGGAAATCTTGGATATTGTTAGTGCCCAGCTGAGTCAATTTCCAGGAAATGCTCTAGGCCAAAATAGTCTCTACCAATAACTGGTTGGTAAGGAGATATAAAAATCTAGACTGACAGCTTCAGTGCAAGGCAACTGTGGAGGGTCATGACAGGTCCACTCCTACCTTTGCCCAATCATGCTGCCTTCCCTTCCTCACAGGTGTCGACCTTAAGAGCTAGCCCCAATACACACCCTACTTGCAAATCTGCTTCAAAGTTGACTTCCAGGAAACCTGATCTACAGCACATTCCATTCTAGAAGAAACATTTCAAATGTTGATTCTCATGTCTTAGTATTCACGGATCGATTACACTTTTAAACAACTGTAAGTTAAAGACAAATTTATAACTCTTTTACACTCAGCATGTAAGCTCTTTTCTCTGAGACACAATAGCTTAATTTTTCTTACTATTTGTTCCCAGTTACTCATGACTACTTAATATCACAGTTCAGTGTTTCTAGGTGCACAGCCAGTTCACAAGTCCAGCTACAGAGTTTTAGCGTTATCCTCCCCCAAGCCAAATACACTTAAACGAGTATTTATTTGAATTAATTAGAAAATTATCACTTAGTTTAAGTAACCTAATTGTTCTCAGCATTGGCAAAAATCCCAAAATTTACAAACTGAATTAAATGTATGTCACCAAGGGTAGGGCAAAATAAATCCTATTTAAAATCTTAAAGTGTAAATGAACAGTTGTTAAAATAATTATGAAGTTACATATATAAATGGTAGATGGAGATATATATATATGTGCTTGTATATATATGTATAAGTTTTAAGCACATTACAAAGCAAAGGTTTACAAATAAAAGGTATGACAATTATCTATTGCAACTGTCATTTTTCAGAAAATATCATTTATTTCAACAAAATTAATATTCATAGCGAAAAGTGGAACTTTTCATAATATGTATATACACATATGTATGTTTATATAGAAGAGCAACTATTTGTAGAAAAAATACAGTAAAGAAAATATTGTCATACACAGTGTTACAAACCAGGGAAACCTTATTAAATATTTTATTTGTTACTTTCCAATTTTATCTTGTTCTTTCAAATATATAAGGCTAACTTTAGATAGATTATCTAAGAGATTAACAATAGACAGAAGAGCTAAACTGAATAGATAAGATTAGCAAATATTAAATATAACATTAGATAATTTATATCCAGCAAATACTTATTGAGTGGATAACATGTACATTTTCTTTGTTTGCTTCTTGAGACAGGATCTCTTTCCATCACCCAGGTTATAGTGCAATGGTGCAAATCATGGCTCACTGCAGCCTTGACCTCCTAGGCTCAGGGGATCCTCCTGCCTCAGCCTCCTAAGTAGTTAGGACTAGAGTTGGAGGCCACTTCACTGAGCTAATTTTTAATTTTTTAAATTTTTTTTTTAGAGATGGGTCTTGCCCAGGCAGATCTGGAACTCCTGGGCTCAAGCAATCCTCCTGTCTCGGCTTCCCAAAGTTCTGGGATTACAGGAGTGAGCCATTGAACCCAGCCAGCATGTACTTATAACTGTTCATATCACTGGGAATAAAGTAGACAAAAGAAAATTCTTGTTCTCATTGTATTGTGTGTGTGGGTATATAAATATATATATTTATTTCTACACATTGTGCTGTATATATATGTGTGTGTGTGTGTATATACATATATACGTATACATATATACACACACACACACACATATATGTGTAAAGGAAAAAGACATTAAACAAACATAAATAATAAAACAATCTATAAATAGTGCTATAAAGATAAAAAACTGTAGAAAGTGTTTCAACATTCCCCTTGAAAACTGACACACGACAAAGATGCCCTCTCCCACCACTCCTATTCAACATAGTTCTGGAAGTTCTGGCCATGGCAATAAAGCAAGAGAAAGAAACAAAGGTATTAAAATAGGAAGAGAGGAAGCCAAGTTGTCTCTGTTTGCAGATGACGTGATTCTATATTTAGAAAACCCCATCATCTCAACCCAAAAGCTGCTTAGGCTGATAATTTCAGCAAATTCTCAGGATACAAAATTAATGTGCAAAAATCACAAGCATCCTTATACACCAACAACAGATAAGCAGAGAGCCAAATCATGAATGAATTCCTACTCATAATTGCCACAAAGAGAATAAAATACCTAGGAATACAGCTAACAAGGGAAGTTAAGGACCTCTTCAAGGAGAGCTAGAAACCACTGCTCAAGGTAATAAGAGAGGACACAAACAAATGCAAAAACATTCCATGCTCATGGATAGGAAGAATCAATATCATGAAAATGACCATATTGCCCAAAGCAAATTACAGATTCAATGCTATTCCCATTAAACTACCATTGACATTCTTCACTGAGTTAGAAAAACTTTTAAATTCATATCAAACCCTAAAAGAGCCCATATAGCCAAGACAATCCTAACGAAAAATAACAAAGCTGGAGGCATCACACTACCCAACTTCAAACTATTCTATTTAATACAAAGCTACTGTAACAAAAACAGCATGAAACTGGTACGAAAACAGACACATAGACCAATGGAACAGAATAGAAAACTCAGAATTAAGATCACACACCTACAACCATCTGATCTCTGACATATCTGATAAAAACTGTCAATGGGGAAAGGATTCCCTATTTAACAAATAGTGATGGGAAAACTGGCTAGCCATATACATAAATTGAAACTGGAGCCCTTCATTACACCTTATACAAAAATTAGCTCAAGATGAATCATAGACTTAAATGTAAAACCCGAAACTCTAGAAACCCTAGAAGAAAATGTCTGAATACCATTAAAGACATAGGCATGGGCAAAAATTTCATGATGAAAATGCCAAAAGCAATTGCAACAAAAGGAAAAATTGACAAATGGGATCTAATTAAACTAAAATATTTCTGCACAGAAAAGACAACTATCATCAAAGTGAACAGACAACCTACAGAATATGAGAAAAATTTTTCAATCTGTCCATCTGACAAAGGTCTAATATCTAAAGTCTACAAGGAACTTAAAAAAAATTACAAGAAAAAAACAACTTCATCAAAAAGTGGTCAAAGGGCATGGACAGACTCTTCTCAAAAGAAGACATTCATGTGGCCAAAAAACATATGACCAAAAGTTCAACATCACTGATCATTAGAGAAATGCAAATAAAACCACAATGACATTTCATCTATCACCAGTCAGAATGGCAATTGTTGAAAAGTCAAGAAACAACAGATGCTGTTGAGGTTGCGAAGAAACAGGAACACTTTCACACTGTTGGTGGGAATGTAAATTAGTTCAACCATTGTGGAAGACAGTGTGGCGATCCTCAAAGTTCTAGAAGCAGAAATACCATTTGACCCTGCAATTCCATTACTCGGTATATACCCAGAGGAATATAAATTGTTCTATTGTAAAGATACATGCACATGTAGGTTCACTGCAGCACTATCCACAATAGCAAAGATATCGAATCAACCCAAATGACCATCAATGATAGATTGGATAAAGAAAATGTGTTACATATACACAATGGAGTATGATGCAGCCATAAAAAGGAATGAGATCATGTTATTTGCAGGGACATGGATAGAGCTGGAAGCCATTATTCTCAGCAAACTAACACAGGAACAGAAACCCAAACACCACAGGGTCTCACTTGTAAATGGGAGCTGAACCATGAGAACACGTGGATACAGGTTGTGGGGGAGGGAGGTGGAACAACATACATTGGAGCCTGAAAGTAGGGTGGGGTGGAGGGAGAGCATCAGAAAGAATTGCTAATGCATGCTGGGCTTAATACCTAGGTATGGGTTGATCTATGCATCAAACCACCATGGCACGTGTTTACCTATATAACAAATATAAGAAATGTAATCTTTAAATATGATAAGAAAATATTTCTATAAAAAGGTATTATTTTGCACCTGAATGAAAGAAGAGTCACGAATTTGTGTGGAAGGTGAAACAGTATATACAAAGGTAAGGATCAGAACATTACTGGTGTGTTTTCAGAAAAGCAAGGCCAGATTAATTGTAATAAAAAGAGAAAGGGGGAAAGTAATAGGAAATGAAGGTATGGGTGAGGATCGCGATGGAGAAGCAGATTGCAAATGGCTTTCAAGGCCAATGTAAGACTTCGGATTTTAATTTGGGAAAGGAGGATAGCCTCAGAGGCATTTGGGCTAGAAAGTGAAATGATTAGATTCATGTTCTACAAAGACAACTCTCATGGTGTGTGTAGAATAGGGATTGCATTGGCGACACAAAAGTTAAAATAAAATACCACATAGGTGGCTACTACTAAAATTCAGTAAGATAGCATTCCAATCAGGGTCATAACTATTGGAGATAGTGAGAAGTTCTCAGATTCTGAATAGATATTTTGCATGTAGAAAATACTAGATTATCTGACATATTGAAAAAATGCTGTCAGTAAAAGTAAACACTCTTAGGCTTATAGATTTGGCCTGGAAAGTGTGTGTTTGTGTGTGTGTGTGTGTGTGTGTTTGTCCATTAATGGTTTGTATCTGCCACTAAAATGTAGAGCCAAGAAGATATGAATTTTTATTTTCTTAATTGCTGAATCTTCAGAGCCTAGAATGAACATGGCACACAAATGCTCAATAAATGAATGAACTGATGAATGAATGGGGTATACTTGAGGTGGGAAGAAATAATTAAGTTTTCAAAATGGAAGTCTGAAATACCATTAATATATCTAAATACAGAAATTGAGAAGGAAGCCCTATATATAAGACTGGATTCAAGGAAGAGATCAAATTATGGATTTAAACTTGGAGTGACCATTATATTTATTAGTGGCTTCCAACCTTGGCTGATTACTAGAATTACTGGGTGATATGTTTATAATACATATGTGTCTGGATCTCAGGGTAGAACAATTTATTCAGAATTAAAAAAAGGTGCTGTGTGCATTAGTGTGTACGTGTTTGTAGGTGGGCATATTTAAATAACCCATATGATTCTAATGTGGAGCTAGTACAAATGCCATTTAAAATGAAGGGTTTGTATGATTTTACTTAGAGGTGTGGTTCTAAGTCTTGGCTGGGAATTAGAATCTGCTGCAGGAATTGTGTAATATTTATGTCCGGGTTATTCTCTAAGCCAATAAAATAAAAATCACATATTTTTCAATTTATCAAGGTTATTCCAACATGCAGTCAGGTTGAGAAGCAATGACTTAGAGAATGGTTGTTGATAAATAAATGGAACGTGTCTGAAATCTGAGCCTTAGGCTATTTCACATTTAACGGCAGAAAAATGGATAGGCTCCAACAAAGAAGAATGAAAAGGACCAGACAAGTAGGTTAAGGAGAAAGTGTGAGTGCACTTCCTATGCCAAGTGAAGATGATGTTAGATCAAGTGCATTAAAATGCTGCTGACATTGAGTTTAAACATAACTATGGGTATAGGCTTGTGAAGGTTGTTGTTGAGCTACACAAAAGCACTTTTGGTGAAGTTGTAGATGGAGTATTGGGGGAGGTCAATAGGCAACGAAGAAACAAAGAAGATAGAGAGACAGTGAGTTGGTGCAAAATTTGAAGACATTTTTTCTGTGAAAGACAACAGGATATTGGGGAGGTACTTGGAATGATGGACAATGGAATAATTTTTTAAAGGGAAACATTATATTATATTTGTTTGATGGGTATGATCAAATAGAATGTGAAAAAATTGAGAATGCAGATTAAAGAGGGGAACATTGTTTGTATGGCACTTGAGTGGGCATGAGCAATGTTATCCTCATGTGCACAAGTAGAGGGATTGGTCTGAGAAAGGTGCATAGAAGGTTATCCACTGTGACAGAAGGCAAGTTAGCATACATGGAACCAATCTAGGGAGGTTAGTAGCTTTGTTAGTGTGGAAATATGAAAGCTGTTTTCATACTGTTCCAATTCTTCATTGATCATCCAAGCAGGAGTCAGGTTATTAGAGGAAGGCTGTTGGTGAGAAAAAAAAGTGCGATAAAATCATCTGTAAAATAAGAAAATAAAATGATGGCAAAATTATAAAATTTTATCTTCTATTCACATTGTAAAGATTTTGTACACATTCAAAGTTGTCGCAGTAATTTGTAGCTACAGGTTCGGTGTGAAGAGTGCTTGCCTAATGCCATTTGTCAGTTTTAAGTTGAGATATTTAGAGAAGGCAAGAGTTATAACAATGTTTTGAGATGACCAAAGTTTTCAATACCACTTGTTAGCCTTTTCTCATCAGTAATTATCTAAGAAGAATGTTCTTTCCCAAAATGTCTCAAAATATTTCATGCAAAAACTATATTTTTACATACCTGTTTGGGATGAAAATTTCACTCTGTGCCTGTCCACTAATTAGATAACTGTTAAAAATATTGCTATTCTTCACATTTGCCATGCCTTTAAAGAAGAAAAATTCTTCTTTAATGGAGGAAAGATTATTTCAACTGGTATAACGAAAGACTACCAAAATTGGATTGGTGCCTGTCTTGTCCACTGAGGCCTATGGAAGGTAGCTTAGGTTATGGAGACTATCATCTCAACAGCTCTATGTTAGGACAACTGGTAAATATAAGTAGTTTTGTTGATGGCTGTTATGAAATCTTGGTTTTTGTCTTCTTGGTTTAAAACAATTTAAACAAGAGACACACAGCAAAGGAGATGCAGCATGGAGCAACATATTGCAAAGAAGAAAGAATATTCTGAAAGTTAGGTGCAGAATAGAAAATACACCCCAAGAGACAATTCAGAACGGGTTTCTTGTAAGGATGAGACAGTGTTCAATTACTGGGGAAACTCCCTTTATGGTAATCTTACATGATTATTCATAAGGAGCTGGGAAGACGTGCTACCAGTAAGCATGTTTTGGGTGGTCCTCTGAGTGCACATGCACAGTAGCTATGCATGCTTGTTCACACATCACATGTCTTATTTGCATTCTAAATCTCCCCCTGGGGTGTGTTTTTTACTATTATTATGAGCAAAGGGTGAGTTTGAAGATAGGTAAAATCAAAATGTGCAAGCTGACTTCAGGGGAAACTCCATACTGGAGGTAGCTTTGCTTTAATGAGCTTGATTATGACGTGAATGCTGAGGCTTACTGTGTTGATGAGGACATGGTTACTTCTTTGACTACATATCCTGCCTCAGTTTGGCAAAGTGCTAAAATGGAACCATAAACTAAATGCCTTTTGTAAAAAATTATGCTCGTTTTGAATTACTTTTGAATATTTAACTATGCCTTTTTATTTTTTCTTTTCAAAGTGAAAACTTGGAAAATGAGCTATGTGCTATTGGGTTCATCATGCTAACTGTCATGTACCACCTAGAATACTGGGACTAAAAGCAGTTCCTAAACTTTTCAAACTTTTTGTATAATGTTAAAGAATTTTAATTATTGTTGTTATTTATTTTTGGTCAGAATATACTTATTAACTTCAATTTGCCTTTGAATTTTTTTAACATTTATGATTCAGATTTGTTTACTCCTGATCTCAGCTGTTAAGATTTGGTAAATTACATATACACACACCAAAAGAATGTCTGACAACGTTAGAACAAACTCTCTTCTGACCTAGAATACTAATACTAAACTTTCTACATAATAATAACATCCCTTCCATAAAATATATGATAAAGAATTAATCAGAAAAAAATGTCTAAGATTATATTGTAAAATAAAAGAAAATACAAAGGAAAAAAGAGGGAGATAGCTAAATTTGAAACAAAAAATCCACAAAATTATTTTAATTTCATGACAATATAAATATTACTAAAATTTATTATTTTATTAATAGGTATTAATAATATATCAATAAATTATCTCATTATTTTAAATTATTTTATATTATAATTTTATGGTAATTTCATTAAACTTGAACAATTGAGACATTTATTTTTAAAAAAATTTTTGATGGAAAACTATGAAAGGGAAGCATTTTTGTGCTCTAAGAGTTACTGGATATAAGAATGTTATTTAACAGTCATATTTGAGGAAGCTACCAATACAATCCTTATTTTAAAGGTAAGTAAATCGAAAATGAGAAAGCTTCATCAACAAATTCAGTTCTAAAAGGCAGAGTCTAACAATGTTTCTGATTGTAAATTTAACACTCATCTCTATGATATATAATTAATTATAGAAAAATATTTAGGGACTTAAGTTACCATATTATGTAATATTCTATAGATAACTTTTCTGTATTATATATTTTTTGTGTGTAAGAGAAATATGTTAAATGTATCAGGGACCAAAGTAAGGATATTTACCACTCTAAAAACAAAGCATATATATCTTTTTAGTTTTTAAAATTATTGACACATTAAAATTATGCATATTTATGGTGATACTTAAAGTGATATTTCAATACATGTATACAGGCTATAATTAAATCTGCATAATTAGCACATCCTCAAAGATTTCTTCAAACATTTATCATTTATTTGTGTTGGAAACATTCAAAAGCTCTTCTTGCTATTTGAAAATAAGTAACACTACAATGCTAAAGAACACTAGAAGTTATTCCTCATAACTAGCTATAATTTTGTACCTGTGAACCAACCTATCCCTATATTCCTGTCCCATCTACTCTTCCCATCCTTTAGTAACCAGTATTCTACTCTCCACCTCTATGAGATAAACTTTTTTTAGCTTCCATTCAATATATTATGCTACAGAGAAAAGCTGGTTTTGTTATTTGCCTTCCAAAATTGTGTATGTGTGGGAGGGAGCTTAAGTAAATAGCACTCCCCAATATAAGCCACAATAATTTATGCAGTAAATAAAAAATTCACTAAGTTTGACACTATGCTAAGTTTTTAGACATATCTTGTCTGTTATAATATTCACACTAACCCAGTGAGCTGAGCATTACTACCTGTTAATTCCTCTGGGCTTAGGAACTCCAATGACATGCCCAGGTAATATTTCTAGAATGTGACAATAAAGGTATAAAATATATAAACCTAGGTCTTCCTTCCACTTCAAGTACTGTGATGTCTCTCATATGCCACGTTAGTCCTAGATAGTCAGAATCAATATATGTGACAATCAGTTTATGGCTATATTTGACACAGTGATAGATCGATTAGTGCAATCAGTGAGGATAATAATCTTTAATACAGTCTGTGATGATAAAATAGGAGCTGAAATTAAAGAACAGATAGTCTAAGACCTATACTTAGGAAATAGATGGACAAGAAACAACTTGTATTTCATTCAGAGAATGAAAAAATAAACATGAGATAATTTCAGTCTCAAGCAGTATAAGACAATGTATATAAAGAAAGTATTTAGAAAAGAGTAGTAGAAGTAAATCCATATAGATGTAATATGGTTTGGCTCTGTGTTCCCACCCAAATCTCATCTCAAATTGTAATCCCTACATGACATGGGAGATACCTAGTGGGCATTTATTGAATCATGGGGGCAGACTTTCCCTTGCTGTTCTTGTGATAGTAAGTTCTCATGAGGTCTGATGGTTTAAAAGATAGACCTGATGGTTTAAAAGTCAGATTGTTTAAAAGGCACTTCCTCATTCTCTCCCTGTTTCCTGCTGCCATGTAAGACTTGCCTTGCTTCCCCATCACCTTCCACTGTGATTGTAAGTTTCCTGAGTCCTCTCCAACCATGCAGAACTGTGAGTCCTTTAAACCTCTTTTGTTTATACATTACCAAGTCTCAGGTAGTTCTATATAGCAGTATGAAAATGGACTAATATAGATCTATTGTTAATTTTCTAATTTCTTTATAAAATTATTTTTTGCCTCTCATTTAAGATTACCTGACCATGATCCTGGAAATTATACTTCATTGATTGTCAAAAATGCATAGTAGTATGCTCCAAGGATCAATCTTGTTGTACCCTGAAAAGAATAGTACCAATATTGGCTTCTTGTACAGATACTATTCATTTATTGCACAATGATTCATCAATAACAGGTGATATCATATTTATGGAATATTTATGTTGCTTAAGTTGGATTCTCTTTTTAATGACACAGAGGTGGTAAATTAAAAAAAAAATGTTTTTAAGGCAACAGCAACACACACTTTTTTGTTTTAAAATACTTTTACTAACTTAATATAAGACTTATACTTAGGAAATAGATGGACAAGAAAAAGTTTGTATTTGATTCAAGGAATGAAATAAAACATGAGATAATTTCAGTCTCAAGCAGTATAAGACAATGTATATAAAGTATAAATGTTACTGATTTCTTCTCATATTTACTCAACTGACCCATAGTTGTTAGGTCATAGATAGTATATATTCTACTTTACCAAGTAGATTATTTTTCTTAATTATATGCAAATAGCTTTCTGAGCAGAGATTTTTCTGATTACCTGTGTAAAATCTCTTGTCCACATTTCATATAGCATCTTAAGAAAAACAACATTACCATATAAATACAATCATTTGCTTTCAAATTTTGATAAAATGAACTTATTCATTCGAAAAATTAAGTATTAACATAGTGTGTGATATTTATAGCAAAACCATTCTTACGCTGCTCATATCATTTCCCAATAAAAATATATAGCCAGAACTGTCATCTTAACAGAAAAATAAGAAAAGGAAACACTACAATGCAAAGAAACACTGCGATGCATGCATGTTCAAGAATAAATAAATAGATTACTTTCTCCACAAAAGAAATGTGTTGTCTTACGAAGCTCCTTCTTCTGGGCCATGTCTGCATCAGAGATGAGCTTCTCCCCTTGTCCTTGTAGACAAGTATAGAGGTGGAACTACCCATAGTAGTTGTTATCAGTAGCTACTGATATTTATTTAAAGTGGCTTTCTTCTTCATGTTTACTTACAATTTTTTTCTTAGTAAACTTAAGGAAAATAATAAAGCAAAGAAAATACATATTAATTCATTAATTTTGGCTAAGCACTGATTTATTATAATCATAAACAAAACATAATATTTTCATTAAAAATCTTAATATATGCAAATACAGAGGTAGAACTATCAATAGTAGTTGTTATCAGTAGCTAGCTACTGATATCTATTTAAAGTAGCTGTCTTGTCCAATTCAAAAATGGGGCATAAGTAAATTCACTATAGTAAAATATGTATAGGATATTCTGATCTTGGACTCACATATCTACTCTTCTACTGATGAGTATTCTTTTTTATTAATGTAATAATGCAATTATTTATATAATAATACAATTTATGTAATAATACAATGCATTTGAAGAAAAATATACACTCTCACAAGTTATAGGCATTTAACTTTCAACAACTAAATAATTTGGTTTTAATTTAGAGATTGTTTTGAAACTAAAATATATAAGTATAGTAAAATAAAAGTCACAGTGTTATAAAATATAAACCCAACTAATTACAGTATATGTAATTATTTTGTTCTATAACTGAATTAATGTATCACAAATGACCTTTTTCCTTCTTAACTTGGTTTGAGAATAAACTTTTATAATTATAAATATGTAAAATATATCTAGGTATTATATAAAAACTTAGACTGCCAGAGGCTATTATTAATATAATAATGTGACAAGAGAAAATAATAATATTTAATATAATCTTGACCTAGTTATATCCTTTCTCCAAGAAGACTCTGAGATTTCTGGTAGACATTTCTCTCTTTTTCAATATGCAACGCAAACTGAATTTATTTCTACTTCATACAAGGAAAGGTTGCACCTCCACATATGCATCAAGCAGCAGATGCCAGATTTAAAAGATAAGACAGAACCTTTGTTCAAATGCCAATCAATAAACTGGGAAACTCACCACACGTCTCCTTCAGGATGGGACAGTGGTCTGGGCCATACCTTCACAGAAGTGAGTCCAAGGGCAGAGATACAGGGTCTTTGGGCTCTTACCTCTCAAAATAAGAAAGATAGAGTTGGAAGAATATATTCATAGAAATTCTTACCTTTATTTTTATTATAAAACCCAACGTTTGAAAGTGTGTCAGTACTTCTTGCACTTGAGCAAATAAACAATACTTCAAGTGAAAACTCGCCAGCTTTCTAACCCTATAATTTAGCTTTGTCATTTCTAGAGTTTCATATAAATGAAATCTAGAGTATAAGCTTTTATAGTTGTCTCTCACCCAGCATAATGTTTTCAGACAGGCATTCTTGTTTGGGGAATGTATCAGTCTGTTATGGCATTGCTATAAAGAACTACTTGAGACTAGGTAGTTTATGAAGAAAAGAGGTTTAATTGATTCATAGTCCCACAGGCTATACAGAAAGCAGGGCTGGGGAGGCCTCAGGAGACTTAAAATTTCAGCGGAAGGCAAAGAGGAAGCAGGCACATCTTCACATGGTGGAACGAGAGAGAGAGCAAAGGGGGAAGTGCTATATGCTTTTAAACAACCAGTCTTGTGAGAACTCTCTCACTATCATGAGAACAGCAAGGGAACGTCTGCCCTCATTAACCAATCACCTCTCACCACGCCCCTTTTCCAACACTGGGGATTAAAATTCAACCTGAGATTTGGGTGGGGATACAGAGCCGAAACATCTTAGGGATGTATCAGTAGTTACTCCCTTATTGGTTATTGGATGGTATTTCATTCTATAAAATACCACAATTGTTTATTCATTTATCTAATAATGGACATTTGATTTGAATCCAAATGTGGCTATCATAAATAAATTTGTGATGAATATGCATATATAAGGCTCTGTATGGATATATGTTTTAATTTATCTTGAGTAAGTACTTAAGAGGGAAATTCTGGGGCACCACAACAGATATGCATCAAAAAGTATGAAACTATCTCCCAAAATGTTAACTGCATCAAAAAGTCTCAAACTATTTCCCAAAATGTTTGTAGTTTTTACATTATGTCAAGCAATATGTGGAGTTTCCACTGTCTCCAAACCTTGCAAGCATTCAGTTTTGGTGGTCATTTTAATTTTAAATATTCTAGTGGGTATGTGTGGTGTGTCGTTGTGGTTTTCATTTACAATTCTTTGACAACAATGGTGTTGTGAATCCTTGCATGTGCACATTGGCAATTCATTTTATTTTTGAAGATTTAAGTTATAAAAAATTTTTAAACCATTTTGCCTTTTCATTGTTGAGTTCCAAGAATTTACTATAATTTGATTAATTAGTCCTCTATCATGTGTACAAATTGTAAATATATTATTTCAGCTTTTTACTTGCTTTTTTAGTTCCTTAAGACTTTTCACAGCCGGGGAAACATGGATAAACCTCATATTTAAATAAAATGTATAAAAAATATATAGCTGCATGTGGTGGCTTGAATCTATAGTCCGAGCTACCTAGCAGGCTAAGGTGGGAGGATCACTTAAGCCTGGGAGATGGAGGCTGCAATGAGCTGTGATTGTGCCACTGAACTCCAGCCTGGGCAAGAAGTGAGATCTTGTCTCAAAAAAAAACAAATCTTTTCAAGTAGAGAAATTTTTAAATTTGGTAAAGCATGATTATTTTTCTCTTATAGCATGGGCTTGTGTTCCATTTTGGAAATATTTACCTCCTTCATGTTATAAAGATGCTAAAATTTTAAAGCTGTGTCCAACAAGCAAGGAGAAATGTACAAGTGACAAAACCATAGTATAAGAACATAAAAAAACCAAAAGATCAGATTGGAGGGGTATAGACATAGACTCAGTTGACCTTCAGAACTACACCAATCAGTGGGAACACTATTTGCAAATTTGTTTTTGGAATCTGATCTAAGGCCGGCCATCATCAACTGCAGTCTGACATGCTCATGTCTCCAAGTAAATGGAATGAAATAAAACAGTTCTCAGAGTCCCTAGGACGAAATTGAAAAAAAGTCTGTATAGTTTTGAAAAACATGACTAAAACAAACTTTTCCAATGACTTCTCTCTGATAAGACCTTTTGAAATCTTCAGGACTTAGGGCCACATTAAGGGTAGATTTAATGTATATGTGACCTTTCTTGCACTATTAGCTTCTTCTCATAGATATACAGTTGACCCTAGAATAACACCAGTTGAACTGTTTGGATCCACTTATATGTGCACTTTTTAAAATAAGTTCCATCAGCCCTCATCAATGGTTCTGGTCTATAACCATGGGAATTTTCGTCGAAATTCACTGTAACCCATTTTTTTCATGAAGCTGACCAAAGAAAGTTCACTAGAAACATACTTGTACTCAGACAAATTTAGTTTATTTATCTTGCTGCTGTAAGGGAGGATACACTGTCCAAAACAAATAAAAAACAAAACCTGGGAGCATTTTGGTAAAGAACAGTAGGAAGGAGGCTTTTACTAGTTTTCTATTACTGCTGTAATGAAGTACCACAAACTTCTTACTTAAAACAGTGCAAATGTATTATTTTAAAATTCTGGAGATTAGAAATCCAAATGGCTCATCAAGCTAAAATCAAGGTATTGGAAGTTCTGTGTTCTTTTTCAAGTCTCTAGGAAAGCCTCCATTTACTTGCCTTTTCCAGCTTCTAGAAGTCACCTGAGTGTATTAGCATGTAACCCATTTCTCCATTTTCAAGGTCAGAAATCATATCACTCTAACCTCTATCCATTGTCATGTGTTCTTCTTTGACATGAATGTTCTTGCATCTTTCTAAAACATATAAACAGTCTTGTAATTATACGAGGTCCACTGCATAATACAAAGTTGTCTTTCCAGTTCGTATCCTTAATTTAATCACACTGGCAAAGTCACTTTTGCTGTATAAGGTGATATGTTTATAGGTGCCAGAAATTTGAAGGAGGACATCTTCAAGTGGGCAATAATTCTGCCTACCACAAGCTTCCTACAGACCTTTTAGTTTTTGCTGGGCTAAAGAAGTACTCAGTAATTATGAGAGTTTTGGATTGAATAATGTCTGAAAGTGAGGGACATTCATGATCATGCATCTTAATAAGTTTTATTCATGATGAAGCCAGGAATAGGATTATCACTTGTAAAAGGAGATTTACATGGGAAAAAGGAATTTTCACACCCATCCAGTGCATGCAGGTAAAGAAAAAGACTTCCTTTAAATGAGAATATTATTATTGGTGAATGTATGCAAAATATGACTCAAATGAAGAATAACAGAATGCAAAAGGAAGACTCCAAAATATTTAGAATGTAAATAAGATCAACTTTTTAATGTGTTCGGGATTTATTCAGAGAAATGAAGTATAATCCAGACATCCAAAATATTACCAGTAAAATCAGTTTAATGTATTTGTTATCTAGATCTTAATAAAGTAAATCTATAGATATTACATTTTTTAAGTGACAAAACATTTACTGTCACAGATAATTTTCAGATGGCAATCTACTTGTAAATATTCAAGTAGATGAGACATGTTCAGGAAATAAAGAAGTAGCACAAAGGGAGTTTTAGAAAAATCATGTTTAAGAATACATGGATATAAAGTGAATAGTGAGATTAAAAGTTTGAGATAAGATTATGGGTTGTCTGAAGTACCAGATGATGGAAAATAATTTGATCTTATCATCCATGATAACTGAAAACTGATAACACTGAGATAGGTAGTAATTATAATAAAAGTGATATTCGGGAACACTGATCTATGAGTGTCATTTGTGATAAATTAGAATAGACTCAGATAAAACATTTAGAACACTACTATGTTATGCAGATATGAAGAGATTAAAAACAGAGTTAGACTGGAAAGGAAGTAATAAATTTAAGTAATGTTGAAAGAAAAGATTTTTTTTTTTTAGATTTTATTGCAAGACTATGAATGTAGAATGGGGAAAAGAAAATAGAAAGATGATTTTGCATTTTGGAGAATAAATTGGTAGACAAATAGACATAATGATTGTTAAAGTACAAAGAGAACACTTTTAGCCATGATGATTTTAGGTACATTTGGATGGACAAATAAAATGTATTTGCTTATATGTTTGATACTCATTAGAGAAATAAGAAATAGGAATGTAGGTATTTTGTTACATATTCACGTGTTCAAATATTCAGTAACAGACAATATGAACATTGTATGTATACACACATAGAAAACTTGAGTAGTCCCTTACCAGAGGTGTCTGATGAAAGGAGACATAAAGGGACCATGGAGAAACATGAAGCAAAACTGAGGGCCTGGAAATATAATGGGAAAAAGATGAGTTTATCGAGAAAAAAAAAAAAATATGCATGGACATTAAATGCCTCAGTGAAGCAAAGGGAACTGTGACTGCAGGAAAATGCCATTGAATATAAAGCAGTTAATTCGGTTATTTTAAGTATCAAAAAATAATCCCATTAAAGTTTTAAAAATTAGACTCTTTTTTCTACTTTGTCTGACTAATGTTGTTTATGAATTATATTTAGGAAAATATTAAGACTGTAGAAAAGCAATGGAATAAATGTGAATTCTTGTTAAAATGTGAAGTTTTTTTTACTATCAAAAGAAAATTAGCTACATGGTATTAAGTTGAAACATTAAGAAATATTAAAAGCTATAAAGTATAAAAATTCTGATGTATTATTTGGGTTTATTTTTTGTATTGAATAAACTGTAATTGGACAGGAATTTATATTTAATTATAGACATTTTTACAATTATTGAACATTTAGCAGCATCCAGCATAGTGATAGACAACAAGATGTATTGGACAAGGAAAAACTTTTTAATTTTATGTTGGCTATTCTTGTAAAAGTTTATAAACTAACGTTACTTTGAGTTTGAGCCTTTAACATTTATATTCCAAACATCCCTTTGAGGTTATTTAGGATCTTCAGGTTATTTACAGACTAATGAATTAAAGTAAACTCTTTCCCAGAATGCTGTAAAAGCATGAAAAAAAAGTTTGCATTTCTATAGAGAGACAAATATGAAGGACTGATACTTCTTTCCTTTAATTGAATAATTGCTTGAGTCTCACCACACTCTCAACAACTGGAGCAGGACCAATAACAGTATATGTACTATGAAATCTTAGAAGATTTAATTGTTTTATTGGAAAATAATTTAAACTTCATGTTGGAATTAATTATTAGAAGCGTCATTTGAAAGATTCAAAGTAATAAAATATTTTAACTTTTAACTTTTAATTTTAAAATACACATTTTTAAACATGAACAACACAAAACATGTTTCAGGGTTATCATACTAAGAAATAGTAAGACCTCAATAATAGATTTGACTTACTTTATCCTTACTAAAGTTGGACTCTACATTTTAAGGACTTCATCTGCTCCATCTACTATTCTGAAACACTACAATGGATATTTAGCCATGATGAACAGTTATCCAGTGACTACATCTACCTTCTTATTGGGAGACTGGACTAGCTGGATTTTCCAGGCTGACTAAGAATTCCTAAGCCTATATGGGGAAGGTGACCACACCCACCTTTAAACACGGGGCTATAACTCAGCTCACACCCAACCAATCTGGTAGTAAAGAGAACTCACTAAAATACCAATTAGGCTAAAAGCAAGAGGTAAAGAAATAGTCAATCATCTATTACCTGAGAGCACAGGGGGAGGGACAATGATTGGGATATAAACCCAGGCATTCATGCCAGCAGTGGTAGCCTCCTTTGGGTCCCCTCTCATTGTATGGGAGCTCTGTTTTCACTCTATTAAATCTTGCAGCTGCATACTCTTCTGGTCTGTGTTTGTTCCGGCTCAAGCTGAGCTTTCACTCACTGTCCATCACTGGTGATCACCATCATCGCAGAACCACAACTGACTTCCAGCCCTCCGGATCCGGCAGGGTGTCTGCTATGCTTCTGATGCAGCGAGGCACCCATTGCTGCTCCCAATTGGACTAAAACCTCGCCATTTTTCCTGTGCGGCTAAGTGCCCGGGTTCATACTAATTGAGCTGAGCACTAGTCACTGGGTTCCACAGTTCTCTTCCATGACCCACAGCTTCTAATAGAGCTATAACACTGCATGGCCCAAGTTTCCATTCCTTGGAAGCCATGAGACCAAGAACCCCAGGTCAGAGAACAAAAGGCTTGCTGCCATCTTGGGAGCAGCCCACCACCATCTTGGGAGCTCTGGGAGCAAATACCCGCCAGTAATCCCTGGTGGCCTGCACAGGGATTCTCCAAAGTGATGAGTAATATCGGACCACTTTTGCTTGCTATTCTGTCCTATCCTTCCTTAGAATTGGAGGAAAATACCGGGCACCTGTCAGCTGGGTAAAAACAATTAGCTTGGCCACCGGACTTAAGACTCAGATGTGAGGCTTTCTGGGAAAAGGCTTTCTAACAACCTTCACCCCTTCTGGGTTGAGAGCATTGGTCTGCCTGGAACCAGCTTCTGCTTTCACAATATTCCTGGGGAAAGCTGAGGGCCAACTAGAGGCAGAAAGCTGTTATCCCAAACTCCCAGCATTGGCCGGTCAAGATCATGGCACAGCCAGAAGTCTCTACTCAACAGTCTCCCATGCGTGCACCCCTACCTCTCCTTCTGACCCATACCTCCTGTGTTCTGACCATGATTTTCTTGAAAGTGTAGCCCCCAAATTATCCTTACCACTGAATCTACTTCCTCTGATCTCTGCCTCCTAATTACTAATGCTACAGACTTTCACCTCCTCTCGCAAGTATTAGAGCAAGCTGTATTTCCAAAGGGATCTAAGGAAGCTCTATGCTGTGTCCTAAGGCACCTAGGCTGTGAACCCAGGGAGTCTTGCTCCTGGTGTCCCTCCCAATTTAGGTATACAGCTCTCAACATGGGCAGTTATGTGGGACCCATTCTGTATCACCCTTGCCAGGGCCCCAAGTTTGTAAATGGCTAGGAGGATTGCTCTCCCATTGTGTAAAATGCTCTCCTCCCCCAATTTCTACCCAGCTTACCCCCCTTCAAATACAATCCCTAAGCCTCAGTTCCTTTGCCAGGGCCTTAGAACTGACAACCCAGTACTTTAACAACTGGAACTGGGTATACGACAACGTAATAGATCAGGATGAAAGCGAATTTAGTAAATTAAAGGGAGGTGCATATTCCTATAGTGGCAAATGGGGGTAACAAGTGAACATCCTTCTGCTGTGTTCCCAAAATCCATATACCAAGAGGCAGAGAGAGAGAGGAAAGAGAGAGAGGGGAAGAGAGAGAAAGGCAAAGAGAGAAAGAAAAGAGAGGAAGAGAGAAAGAAAGAGAAAGTCAGAGAGAGAAAGAAAGAGATAGAAGTAGTAAAGAAAAGACAGGGTACCCTATTCCTTTAAAAGCCAGGGTAAATTTAAAACCTATAATTGATAATAGAAGGTCTTCTCCATGACCCTATAACCCTCCAATACCACCTTGTTGTCAGTGCAAACAAGGGGGTAGCCCAAAAGCACTGAGACCACTGACAACCCATAGCCTTCCTATCAAAAATCCTTAACCCAGTAGCAGCAACTGCTTTGCTAGTGAAGAAAGTAGAAAAATAACTTTTAGAGGAAACCTCATTGTGAGCACAACTTACCAGTTCAGAACTATCCTAAGTCAAAAAAGCAAAAAGGTAGCTTACTAACGCAAAAATCTTAAAGTATGGGGCTATTCTGTTAGAAAAAGATGATTTAACACTAACTATGGAAAATTCCCTTAACCCAGCAGATTTTCTAACAGGGGATTTAAATCTTAATTACCATACAAAGGTCCGACCAGACCTAGGAGGAACCCCCTTCAGGACAGGAAGATAGATGGTTCCTCCTGGGTGATTGAGAAAAAAAACCACAATGGGTATTCAGTAAGTGATAGGGAAACTCTTATAAAAGCAGAGAGGAAAACTGCCTAATAATTGGTGTGCTCAAACTTGTGAGCTGTTTGCACTCAGCCAAACCTTAAAGTACTTGCAGAATCAAAAAAACCATCTATACCACTTCTAAGTGAATTTGGACTAATCAAGGTCTTATTAATAGCAAAGGATAATTGAAATCCCAAACTTACAAGGTTTTCAACAAAAGTAAAGTTTGCTCCAAGTTAACAGTGTAACCTGTATTATCCTAACTTCTAATCTTGTGGCCTTATGAGAGGAGGTGCCAGCTGGGCTTCCTGGGTCGAGTAGGGGCTCAGAAAGCTGTGAAACTCACTCGTTTCCTGCATCTGGATTTACTTTCGTCTTGGATGAATAATATTGAAGATAAATGCTTAAAATATTCCTAACATCAGAATTTGTGCATGTGTTTTCTTCCCCAAGAAAGCTGTAAACAGCGAAAATTTTGCTGTAAGCTTCCCTGTGTCCTCTCTCCCTCTCTCTCTCTTTTCCCCCTCCCCTGAAACTAAAAGGAATGTTAAAAGCTCATTTTTCTGTGACCAGCAGACTTTGTCTATGCTCCCAATACCAATTCCCTGTAAACATAATTTGTAAAATCCTGTGAGATCCTGTCTCCTTTGCCATGCTGCTATAAAGTCATAAAGTAGAAAAAACTTAATTTGCAATTCCAGTTTTTCTCAAGATCTGAGACATCTTAATTGTCTTTGTTTCTCACTCTGGTAACATCTTCCTGCTGCACGTATTTCCCACCTTAAAGAGTTTAAAAGGTGATAGAAAAATCCAACACTGGCTACCCGCTCAGGACCCCTTCCACGCTGTGGAAGCTTTGTATTGTCACTCTGTTCGATAAAGCCTACAGCTCTTTTTTTCTCTCGATCCAATCCATGTCTCTCTCACACCATGGGCTGCTGCCACACTAATTCTTTCACGTGGCTCAGTCAAGAACCTTTGGCGTTACATTTGGACGGTCTAGTCCACAGACACAAAGGAAGTTCACTTTGGAAAAAATGGTTATCATCTTCAAAAAAAAAACTCTTATCTCAATCCTGACTCAAAAGCTTACCTACACCCTCTCTGAAACGAATTTGCATAAGAACTGTTGTTTATGGGAATGCATCCTGATGGGGCAACTGGGTTGTTATGAAATACTCAGGAACCCAGCCCAGCTCTAGAACTCACCCCTGAGCACAAAGGCAATGTTGGGCACACTGGTAAAGGACCACTAGAATCCAGCAGCCCTGACCCCTTTCTTTGTGGTCAAGAAAGGTGGCAAAACAGGTGCAGGACTGCTACATCGGTGAGCCTAACTAATCTGATAAGCAGAGGTCCATGAGTCGTTATGCACCCTGGAAAGGAATAATCATTAGGACCAAAGAGGATGCTCTAGGACTAATGCTCATTGAAAAATGACTAGGGGTGCTGGCATCCCTATGTTCCTTTTTCAGATGGAAAACTTTCCCCCAAAGCAAAAACACCCCTAAGATGTATTCTGGAGAGATATAATGTTACTGCTAGATCAGACAGTAACCCCAAATGAGAGAAGTGCCACCATAACTGCAGCCCGAGGGTTTGGTGATCTCTGGCATCTCAGACAGGTCAATGATAGGATGACAACAGAAGAAAGAGAACAAGTCCCCACAGGCCAGCAGGTACTAGAGTGTAGACCCTTATTGGGATGCAGAATCAGAACATGGAGATTGGTGCCACAGACATTTCTAACTTGCATGCTAGAAGGACTAAGGAAAACTAGGAAGAAGCCTATGAATTATTCAATGATGTCCACTATAACACAGGGAAAGGAAAAAATTCCTACTGCCTTTCTGGAGAGACTAAGGGAGGCATTGAGGAAGCACACCTCTCTATCAACTGACTCTACTGAAGGCCAACTAATCTTAAAGGATAAGTTTATCACTCAGTCAGCTGCAGACATTAGAAAAAAACTTCAAAAGTCTGCCTTAGGCCCAGAGAAAACTTAGAAACCCTACTGAACTTGGCAACCTCAGTTTTTTATAATAGAGATCAGGAGGAGCAGGAGGAATGGGACAAATGGGATAAAAAAAGGCCACCGCTTTAGTCATGGCCCTCAGGCAAACGGACTTTGGAGGCTCTGGAAAAGGGAAAGGCTGGGCAAATCGAATGCCCAATACGGCTTGCTTCCAGTGAGGTCTACAAGGACACTTTAAAAAAGATTGTCCTAAAAGAAATAAGCCGCCCCCTCATCCATGTCCCTTATGTCAAGGGAATTACTGGAAGGCCCACTGCCCCAGGAGAAGAAGGTCCTCTGAGTCAGAAGCCACTAACCAGATGATCCAGCAGCAGGACTGAGGGTTCCCAGGGCAAGTGCCAGCCCATGCCATCACCCTCACAGAGCCCCAGGTATGCTTGACCATTGAGGGCCAGGAGGTTAACCGTTTCCTGGACACTGGTGTGGCCTTCTCAGTCTTACTCTTTTGTCCTGGACAACTGTCCTCCATATCTGTCACTATCTGAGGGGTCCTTGGACAGGCAGTCACTAGATACCTCTCCCAGCCACTAAGTTGTGACTGGGGAACTTTACTCTTTTCACATGCTTTTCTAATTATGACTGAAAGCCCCAGTCCTTTGTTAGGGAGAGACATCCTAGCAAAAGCAGGGGCCATTACACACCTGAACATAGGAGAAGGAACACCTGTTTGTTGTCCCCTACTTGAGGAAGAAATGAATCCTGAAGTCTGGGCAACAGAAGGATAATATGGATGGACGAGTGAAGAATGCCCGTCCCGTTCAAGTTAAACTAAAGGATTCTGCCTCCTTTCCCTACCAAAGACAGTACCCCCTTAGACCTGAGGCCCAACAATGACTCCAAAACATTATTAAGGACCTAAAAGCCCAAGGCCTAGTAAAACCATGCAATGGCCCCCAAAATACTCCAATTTTAGGAGTACAGAAACTCAACAGACAGTGGAGGTTAGTGCAAGATCTCAGGATTATCAGTGAGGCCGTAGTTCCTCTATACTGAGCTGTACCTAAACCTTACACTTTGCTTTCCCAAATACCAGAGGAAGGAGTGTGGTTTACAGCCTGGACCATAAGGATGCCTTTTTCTGCATCCCTATACATCCTGACTCTCAATTCTTGTTTGCCTTTGAAGATCCTCCATACCCATACTCACCTGGTAAGCCTATTTAATACCACCCTCACTGGGCTCCATGAAGCCTTGTCCCAAACCCTACTAACTGTTGGATGTGCCTCCTCCTGCACTTCAGGCCATACATTTCAATCCCTGTATTTTTAGCCTTCTTGCTAAGTTTGTCTCTTCCAGAATCGAAGCTGTAAAACTACAAATTGTTCTTCAAACGGAGCCCCAGATGCAGCCTATGAGTAAGATCTACCACAGACCCCTGGACCAGCCTGCTAGCCCATGCTCCAATGTGTATGACATTGAAGGCACCCCTCCAGAGGAAATCTCAACTGCACAACCCCTACTACACCTCAATTCAGCAGGAAGCAGTTAGAGCACTTGTCGGCCAACCTCCCCAACAGCACTTGGGTTTTCCTGTTGAGAGGGGGCACTGAGAGACAGGACTAGCTGGATTTCCTAGGCCGACTAAGAATTCCTAAGCTGAGCTGGGGAAGGTGAGAACACCCACATTTAAACACAGGGCTTGTAACTCAGCTCACATCCAACCAATCAGATAGTAGAGAGAACTCACTAAAATACCAATTAGGCTAAAAACAGGAGGTAAAGAAATAGTCAATCATCTATCACCTGAGAGCACGGGGCAGGGACAATTATCGGGATATAAACCCAGACATTCATGCCAGCAGTGGCAGCCCCCTTAGGGTCCCCTCCCATTGTATGGGAGCTCCGTTTTCACTCTAGTAAATCTTACAACTCCACACTCTTCTGGTCCTTGTTTGTTCCAGCTCAAGCTGAGCTTTTGCTCGCTGTCCACCACTGCTGATCGCTGCCTTCGCAGACTGCCACTGACTTCCACCCCTCCAGATCCAGCAGGGTGTCCACTGCACTTCTGATCCAGCAAGGTGCCCACTGCCGCTCCCGATTGGGCTAAAGGCTCACCCTTGTTCCTGCATGGCTAAGTGTCCCGGTTTATCCTAATTGAGCTGAACACTAGTCGATGGGTTCCACGGTTCTCTTCCATGACCCATGGCTTCTAATAGAGCTATAACACTCACCGCATGACCCGAGGTTCCATTCCTTGGAATCTGTGAGGCCAAGAACCCCAGGTCAGAGAACAAAGGCTTGCTGCCATCTTGGGAGCAGCTGCCGCCATCTTGGGAGCTCTGGGAGCAAAGACCTGCCAGTAACATTATCTTGTCAACTTAGCATTGCATGTAACTTATTTTTATTAATCAAATAGACTGTTATTTATTACTATTTCAAAACATAGTTGATGTTTCATTACTTAAACGTTCAAACCTTAACTAATGAGCTAACCTTAATTTCCGAGTTTGTTTTACCCTTTGACCTCTGTTTCCCTTCATAATAAGATAATACTCCCAGTGTTGTTCTTAACACCTTAGTTTTTCTTCCTCCCCAGCCTGTGCACCTCACACTCCATCCAACTTATTGCCCATATATTTTATGCATCATGTCTTACATGTCCCTTCTCCTGGCCAGTACCAAAATCCCAGCTCTCAATATCTCAGTGTAATCTCAGCAGTCTTTTTCATCAAGAAGTTATCCTTGAAAATCCTGCAAGATTATCTTCCTATAACACAGCTCTGATCATATCATTCTAGAGCTCCAGTGGCCTACAGAATAAAATGTAAACCTATGGAATTTTAGGACTCAGTTGTAATCTCAAAATATAATGTTATAAAGTGATTTTACATACTCTTTGTCTACATATCATTTACTAAAACACTTCCCCATTAATGTATGTGTTATGTAATTCTAATTTCCATCATAGATTTTTCATGCTCTTTCCTTTTTTGGAATATCCTAACTTGTGCCCTGTGTTTGTTAAGAATGGGTTCAAACAGCTGGTACTAGGTATTTGACTACAGTCTTAACAACAATAGAAGTTTCATTTTACTCATTTAACAAGATGTTTTAAGGGTAATAGCATTGGGCTTGTATTAGTGCTTAAGAAAGTCAACAGAGATCTGCGTTTTTTTTTGAGATGGAGTCACACTCTGTCACCCAGGCTGGAGTTCAGTGGCACTGTATCGGCTCACTGCAACCTCCGTCTCCTGGGTTCGAGCAATTCTCCTTCTTCAGCCTCCTGAGTAGCTGGGATTACAGGCAGCCACCACCACGCCCGGCTAATTTTTTTTAATTTTTAGTAGAGAGGGGGTTTCACTGTGTTAGCCAGGCTAGTCTCAAACTCCTGACCTAGTGATCCACCCGCCTTGGCCTCCCAAAGTGCTGGGATTACCGGCATGAGCCACCATGCCTGATCCGAGATCCTGCTCTTTAATTCTCCCACAATTCACTCCGTATTCTTGATTGATGGTTACTATTCTCAAGTTTGGAAGGTGGTGCCTCCATCAATCATATCTCACTCTAGGAAAAAAAACACAGAGAAATAGACAAATTAGTTGTGTTTGTGTCTTTTATGAAAAATGTAATAAATTTCCCAGAACTCTTATTCAGGAGAATTCCCAGAAGTCCATTCAGAGTTAGTTCCTATATGCAACGCTTGGTGTAAAGATATAACACCTAAGGCCTAGCCACGCCGAAGAATTGGTGCAGGGGCTGACCGCAGGGAGTGACAGAGACTTGGACTGAGAGAGAGTGAGCAGTAGGTTTTATTGAGGAGAGCGAGGGTACAAAGCTTCCACAGCATGGAAGGGGTCCCAAATAGGTTGCCATTGCTGGTTTTGGATGACTGCCTTTTAAGCTCTTTAAGGTGGGAAATACATGAGGCGGGAAGATGTTACCAGAGCGAGAAACAAAGGCAGTAAATTATTTTGTGACATGTTTTACATTTTGAGGAAAATCAGAATTGCAACTTAGGTTTTATCTACTTTGTTACCTTGCAGCGGCATGGCAAAGGAGAAAGGATCTTACAGGACTTTACAAAGTATGTTTACAAGGAATTGGAATTGGGAGTATAGATAAGGTCAACTGTTCACAGAAAAACACGCAGTTAACATTCCTTTAACTTTAGTTACCGGGGAGGGGGAAGGGAGAGAGGACACAGGGAAACTTAGAGCAAAATTTTTGTTGTTTATAGCTTTCTTGGGGAAGAAACTACATGCACAGATCCTGAAGTTAGGAATATTTTAAGCGTATATCTTCAATATTATTCATCCAGGACTGAATTAAGTCCTGATGCAGGAAATTAGTGAGTTTCACAGCTTTCTGAGCCCCTACTCGACCCAAGAAACCTAGCTGGCACCTCCTCTCAAAGACATTTAGGTGGTACCTACTTTAAATGTCCACTGCTGCCACCACCCACTGACAAAGAAAAAAAAAATGGATCTCTTATTAAGAAAGGAGGAAAGGGCCAGGCGCGGTAGCTCACGCCTTTAATCCCAGCACTTTGGGAGGTCGAGGCGGGTGGATCATGAGGTCAGGAATTTGAGACCAGCCTGACCAATGTGATGAAACCCCGCCTCTACTAAAAATACAAAAATTAGCCAAGCATGGTGTCGCCTGCTTGTAATTCCAGCTACTCAGGAGGCTGAGGCAGGAGAATCGCTTGAACCTGGGAGGCAGAGCTTGCAGTGAGCCGAGATTGCACCATCACACTCCAGCCTGGGCTACAGAGCAAGACTCCTTCTCAAAAAGAAAAAAGAAAAAAAAAAAAGGAGGAAAGAATGTCTGTTCAGTAGATGATGATTCATGCAATATTCCCACCCTGCCCCACACAACTATAATTTCATTTCTTATCCATCATTTAAATTCAAATAAAGTTTTCTCCAAAGTTAATCATACCCTGATTTTACAATCTATAATCATCATTCCATGTTCGCAAGTCTCATAGAAATTTAAATTTCTTCCATGATACTCTCTTCTACTTGAAAATATTAATAGTATGTATGCATTCTATTCTATGCATTCATTTAAGTTTATAAATTAAAAACAATGACACTAATATATGCTTGATTCCTCTGCCATTCTGTGAAGCACTTCAACACTCCATTGGCTTACTGAGTTTACAATTTCTGTGAAATATCTTACAGTTTCATCTAGGTTAAGAAGCCAAAATATCACTGCACAGAATCTCCCTATAAGTTATTCAAGTGTTTTAACAAGATAAAGCAAAAAGACCAATCTTTCATGATTTTTTCTAGGGTCCAAGATTTCTGGTATTCTATTTCTTTAGACAGGATTTGTTCACATAGGCTGACGAAGAGCTGTAAACATTTTGACCCATAAAGAGTAACTGCCCCCAAACGCCCGCAATGGGCAGTTTTCACAGGATACTTTGATGTCATTGGCAGGTCCAAATTTTCTGTCTGAAGCTCTCCAGGACTCATTATCCCTCAGTAATTTTAACACCTTCCCAAGGCTTCAGTCATGTATCTGGTTGCTGAGAAGAAAAATAAAATGCTTTTTAAATCTAATTTTTTTTGGTCTGTCTCTACAAAGAGCAGATCATTTAGAAACTAAACACAGAACATTTTCAGTCTCTTTTTTTTAGTTGTAGCTGCCTTATTCATTCCTATGTGTAGCTTCCTTAGAAAGGGATTTTTCTTTTGGCAATGAAAGCATTTGGTGAAGATAGTAGGAAGTATAGCATAGAAATAATATGCATACATATATGTCATCTTTACTGAATTCTCAATACATTTGTTTCTGGAGACCAGTGAATAGTACTTAAAATATAGCAGTAACTATTACTAATCAAAAGCCTTAGGACTGGTAACCAAGCAGTAAATCAACCTAATAATCTGCAAAAAATAAGTTTAAAATATGAAAGTTTACAATATGAAAAGTCTCATACTGTAGCACAAAGAGGAATTTTTCAATATATCAAATTTTATATTTAGGGATAAAATTTTGGCTTTTTTTTGTATAACTAATAATTTACTGAAATATGTTATTTTAAACAAAAGAATTGATTCTACCAAGGATGATGCTTATCTCTTTGTCAACAAAAACTTAAATTATTTAACTTAAAAACAAACATCTAATTAAGAAAAAAAATCAGCCTATTTCTGATTTATCTGAAATACAGAGATATTTATGTGTAAAACAAATGCATCTCTAAATTATAAAGAAATTATGTGTTTGTTATTAGAGTAAACATATGTCCTGGTTGACCTATCTCTGATATAGTATTGGTTTATGCCTGTTGTCCCTGCATAATTCTTAAGAGAACCTTCTTTCATTTTCATAATTGAAAATGCCATCATTGAATAATTTTCTTTCTTCTTAAAGAATATACTGTATGAATTAGTCATGCCTTATTTTAATGTAGCCCTTGTGTATTTATGCTTTTGTCTCCACTATATAAACTTAACTTTTAATTCTGTAATGGTTGATGTTGTTAATTTGTTAGCCTTAGCAATTAACTTTTATACCTATCAATAGTGTAGCTACTTTTATCAGTTATTTTCTAATGCATTAATTTTAACCATCTATGGCCTGAATATGCTCTTTCTTGAGCTTAAAGGATTGCAGCAAAAAAAGATCTATGTGACAAATCCAATTTAACAATTTTTAACCCATATATCTTTAAACATTTTTAAATATTATGGGTCTTAGTATAATCAAGTTGAATACATTTAGGTATTGGTTTTAATGTTAATTATCTCTAGTGTCTTTTTGGTCATAAACATTTATTAGATAGCCAAATTTTAGAGGAGAGTTTAGAAGAAATAATTAACATATTCAGATGTATCTCTCTTTCGTGAAATATATCACAGTATTAGTTGAGCCATCTCTCTCTAGAACCACTTTACTCCTTTTTAACATTCTCACCTACCTAGAATGTTAGTGAGCCTGAAAAATGTTCATTCATTCACTAAATTGTTATACCTATCACTATTAGGTGCAATAAAAATATATATATATGGATATAAATGGATATAAAATGGAGAATCTGTGGTTTCTACTTTTTAAAACTTTCATGGAATAATTGGGAAGAAAAGTATATATTATAATGTCACTGACTTTTGTCAAAGCCCTCCTTAATGCTTAACAGATGTGCATACAAGCATGTGCATACAAACAGACCACATGTACATACAGATATACTCCACTTCTATGCTATAGTCAAATACTAAGTTTGGACAACAAGAATCTCCATCCACATATGCCTTGTTGATTCACTGGGGTCCCCTAAGAGTTGCTGTGGATATTTGACTGAGAACTTTTTAGTAACTCTTAGTACGGGAGGAATAGAAAGCAATGTTGAACTGAAAGCAATACTTTATAATTTCTTTTTGGTATGCAATAAATAATTTGTTCTGCTTAGAAGAATATTGCATTTCGAAGTTACTGGCCTGTACTTGGCTAATCAAAGGCATTTGTACCTCCAGAAAATACATTGACTAGAACCCCAAAGACTGTGTGTTTGACTCACTGTGTTGAGGATCCACATTAATGATATGTCCAGATGCGGGAGTTCTTGGCCTATGATGATTTGCAAATGTCACCTCACAAAACATGTGCATCTTTTCAGTAAATTGTCATTGTTCACTGAAAATGCATAGATTACTTCTCTGGTCACTTAGCTGAAACAAGCAATGATTATAATACAGTATTAAATGATATAATAAAAATACGTTCAAAATATTATGAGAGTTCAAGACTGAGCATAATCATTTCTTTTCTAAATGAACCACAAAAGACATTAGAGAGAAGCAGATATTAGAGCCATATGAGTGAGTTGCAACTCTCCAGACAGAGAAAAAGAAATAAACATTTTTAGAGAGATATTCCTAGCACTTGGCATAGCTCAGGCCACTTGAAAATGAGGTGCCATAAAATTACACAGATACACATGCAAATACTTTCATATATTCTTATTTAATAATAAATATATTTGAAAATCTGTTCCTCTTATTCCAAGTGAAAATTATATTTTATTTTGAGCTGCAGTGGATTTAAAATCCTCAATCACCAATAGCATATTATATTGCATCTAAACTGGCATTTTGAATATTAGATTCAATATTTATTTATGCTTCTCTTGGCACTATTTCACATTAAATAGGAGTTTTTGAGAAATAAAATATGGCATATTTGAAAATAAAAGGTTTTCTATCTTATTTAGTTTTATTTGTATGTATTTCAACATAGCCAATATCCCATTTTAACTTCCTCTTTCTATATACAGCCCTGAGTTTTTCTTTTTATTTCTAACATATATTTTGCAGAGAGCAATGAATATTATATTAATTCTGAAAATGTCATTTTATTTTATTAATGTAAAGTAACGTTGATAAATCTTTTAATTTTGTTGCCAATACCCGGCACATGATCATTTGCTTTGTTATTCTCTAACGATTATAGAGTGTAATATTACTCAAGATGAAGAAACTGAATTTTTTATATTTAAATATACACATTTAAGAGGGAAAAAGGTCTTTCTTTCGTAGACAATATTCTCACTTTCCAATATAATCAAGTGAATTGCAATTGTCTTCTCTGATTTCTGTTTATTTGTTTCCCTTTAGAGCACATATTTTCATTTTTATTTTTCCTACAAGGGAATGAGCCTAAAAATTTCCATATCTTGACTAGTTCATGAAAATACATATAAATCTAGTTATTATGTTATTAAATTTCAAAAGCACTCACAAGCAATTTAGAAACAAATGCAACCAGTTATGAAAACTTCAATAAAATAATTTTATTTCATTTCCAATAGACATATGCTAAAAGGAGACAAACATAGAAATCAACAGACCAAACTCCTGAAATCTTTTAGAAACATACATCATCATCTGCTTGATTAAAAAATACTTTGAATTAGATATTTTAGACTAATTTATATTACTCTTGTATGGCATAATCTCTGGCATAGCACATCTTTATTTTATTATTATTATTATTTTTTGAGATGGAGTCTCACTGTATTGCCCAGGCTGGAGTGCAGTGGCATGGTCTTGGCTCACTGCAACCTCCGCCCAACCTCCACCTCACAAGTTCAAGAGATTCTCCTGCCTCAGCCTCCCGAGTAGCTGGGATTACAGGTGCCCACCACCATGCCCAGCTAATTCTTGTATTTTTAGTAGAGATGGATTTTTACCATGTTGGCCAGGCTGGTCTTGAACTCCTGACCTGAGGTGATCTGCCCACTTAGGCCTCCCAAGGTGCCGGGTTTATAGGCAAGGAGCCACTGCACCCAGCCCTATTAAATTGTCTTTAATTGTCCTATATATTATAATTCATTTAAGTTTAATTATTCTAAAATATCAATGTGCTTGTTTTTTTTTTCACATCCAGTATCCACCTAAATAACTAATTGTTTAATTTTCACTTCTCCTTCATACCCTTCGATACAGATTAGTCTGCATTGTCTCACTATGTGTATGTGTACGTGTGTGTGTGTATGTTTGTGTTTAACATGAATATTTGAAGAGTTGAGGCTGTTTTATAGAAAGTCACAATCTGAATCTGAGTGGGTCTTTGCTCATTATTAGATTCCAATTAAACATTTTTTCTAACAATACTACTGAAGTAATGGATAATATATTATTATTATTATATTATAATAAGTAAATATTATTTACTTTCCATTGCATCACACTAGAAGACACACTGTCATTTCATCTTATTGGTGAGGCTAAATTTGATCCCTTGATTAAATGAGTATTCACCAGAGCTCTCTCTTGTAAGGGTACCTTATTTTTATTTTCTTTTATTATTTATAAGTAATTCAAGGGGTAATAATTTTAAGCATTTACAATAATGATTTTCTAGGTTTACTGTTCTTCTATGTTTAGTAGCTAACATTCTTCTATGAAGGGCCTTCCCTTTTCCTACTTTTCAAATGTCAATAGAATACGTGCATTTTAAAAATTTGATATGATTTACATTTCACTTTTTCTGTTTTCTGGTTGTTGAAATACTTTCAAATTCAAGAGCCAGGCCAAGCAGTTCAAAGGAGCCCTGTGTCCTGTTCACATGTTTTTCTTAGTCTTCTAACTTGTCCCTGCTTTCTGGCAAAATAAAGTATTCAAGACTTACCTTGTTTTCCCTGTCGCTGACCTAAAATTTTCAACTTATTCAAAAAGTCTTGATTTCTTTTAGTCAAGACTTATAGATAGCAAATATAGAGGTAATATGAGAGCTTTGCTACTGGAGTAGTGTAGCTTTTAAATCCTTTCAGAGTACAAAGACGACATGTATTTCTAAAATATGATTAATTCATACCTCTACTTCCAATTCATATAAATAAATCATAGCATTTTCCCTTTTCTTCCCACTCTCATTGCTGTAATTTTATTTTCTTAGAGTAAGAACACTGCTTCCCCCCAATATTAGTATATTTACTCATCTGCTTCATCCTATAATACACACAAAATAATTTCAAAATCAGTACAGCAATGGCATGTCCAAAAGAAAAAAAAATTAACATTCAAGATATGTTGCCTTTTTTTTTCATTAGGATAGATTCACATATAGGATATGTCGGCTGGGTTCAAATTTTACTTGATTTATATTGTTTTTTTTTTCAGGAAGTGCTTGTGTGTGTGCATGTATGTGTGGTTATATTATCAATTTAATATAAATATATAAATATATATTTTTTACTGTTGAATACAATTTTAGAGTTGTTTGTGATGATTTTTGTGTAATTTTATTATATTCAAGAAAAAACTACATAAAAGTGTAAATCACATTAAAATTATAGATATCTATATCATGCCTGTCCATTCCCTATCATTCTTTATGGCTCAGTATTTCTGTTTGCTTCTGATTTATCTTTCCTAAGTTTACTCTTCAAAACATGCAAATATATTATTTCTTATACCTTTTTTATTTTTTGAGGCAGAGTCTCGCTCTGTCACCAGGCTGGAGTGCAGTGACGCAATCTTGGCTCACTGCAACCTCTGCCTCCTGGGCTCAAATGATTCTCATACCTCAGCCTCCCAAGTAACCGGGACTACAGGCGTGCACCACCAGACCCAGCTAATTTGTATATTTTTAGTAGAGATGGGGTTTCACTGTGTTGATCAGGATGGTCTCGATCTCTTGACCTTGTGATCTGCCTGCCTCAGCCTCCCAAAGTACTGGGATTACAGGTGTGATATTTCTTCTACGTTATTAAACAAAAGGTTCTGTGCTGCCTAATCTATATACACTTAACCAATATTTCTCATTCTTTGTTATAGCTGCATGTTTCTCCATTATGTAGATGTTCCATGGTTTAATTAACAAGCATTCTATGTGTCATGGGATCCTTTACATGCTGCTTTGCCAGCCAGAAACCTCTGTGGCTGGTGGCACTTCTGCTTGAGTTTTGCTCACATGGGCTGTACTTGTTCTGAACACTCGGCCTAGTAGGCTGTGCTTGGCTCATGTTACCAGCCTGGATCCCATGCTCTCCAAGGGCAAACCAGGCACAGAGTGGTGAGAGTGTGTCAGTGAGAGAGCACAGGGTCTGGCCACTGCACATAACCAGGTGCATTGGCTGCTGTGTTGGGGCAGACAGCTCCAGGCACCATCACAGGTGCTGGCTGCTATTGGACCAAACATACCACAAGGGTCTTCTGCTGTGAGCGCCAGCATCCGGACAAGAGGAACATGGTGGTGCCCAAAACCTTGAAGATGCCAGCAACTGCAGAACCCCAAGGGGTGGGAGTGGCAGGTGTGTTACCGCTGTCTCCTTCCCACTGCCCACAGCACAGCAAATATGTTGGGGACTGTTTCAACCCCTTTGTGTTACAGTTCATTCAGTCCCCTAGCCTCACTTGTGAGCTGGCCTGGCCCTACCATTGCTTCCTGTCATGTGTGGCAGCTGCCTGACTCTGGCAGAGGGCGTGAGGGCTATAGTGTTATAGCTCTGGCTTGGGGAATCTCAAAGTCTGGGCCCCCAGAAAAGCCATGGCTCTTCACTTCCATAGTTCAGTGAATGGAAGCATGTCACTGTCCACAGCTAGGCAAGCCAGCCAGAAAAGTATTACAGTCCTTTTCATGCTCGTGGTTTGGCGGGTCTTGAGTTCTTGTCCTGCATCCAGGAAGAATGATGTTACACAGACAACTGGAGGATAAGCAAGATGAAGAAGAGTTTTATTTAGTGGCAGAACAGCTATCAGTGGAGAGGAGAAACAAAGTGGATAGGTCCTAGCTGCAGACAGATAGTCCTAACCTTTGACTGAGTCCGGCTGAGTCTGGGGTTTTTATGAGCTCAGAATGGAGGAAGTACATGCTGATTGGTCTATGGGAGGGCCCAGAAAAAGCACTGCCCAACTGACCAAAATGAAACAAGGAAGTTCCCACTCCAGTGGTGGACTGCACCCAGAACTGGCAGCCCTTCCCAGAGGCTTCAGGCCATCCTTGACTTGAAAGTTGGGCCTTACTGGTTGCCTGCTCCTTCCCACCTAGGAATCTGTCTGCCTCTCACCACCATCATATAGATGAGTATTAAGAGTATTGTGAGTATTGGGGTATTGTGAGTATTAAGATGAGTATTGAGAGTATTATTTATGGCCAGGTGTGGTGGCTTACACCTGTAATCCCAGCACTTTTGGAGGCTGAGGAGGGCAGAGTTCAAGACCAGCTTGGCTAACATAGTGAAACCCTGTCTCTACTAAAATTTTTTTTTAAAAAATAGCCAGGCATGATGGCACATGCCTATAGTCTCAGCTACTTGAGAGGCTGAGGCAGGAGAATCACTTGAACCTGGGAGATGGAGGTTGCAGTGAGCCAAGATTGTACCACTGCACTCCAACCTGGGTGACAGAGTGAGATTCCATCTAAAAAAGAGTATTATTTATATTACTACTAGTGTAATTACTGTATTACTAATACAGTATTATATTATTACAGATAACACTTTCATTGGTGACTTTGCACTAAGTTTGTGTGTTTGTACTTTTGTGTGTGTGTGTGTGTGTGTGTGTGTGTATTGGCAGAATGTATTACCAGTTAATTTCTAGAAAAGAGATCAGTGTTTCAAAGGTTAAATGCATATATACTTTTTAAAAATATGCTAGATCTCATTTTACAGAATATATTTTCTGCACTCCTGATAGTAACATGTGAGTTTACTTCTCACACAGTGGTTTACTTCTGTCCTTTAGAAGAAGAAAATTAAGATTCATTCGTACCCAATTAAAAATGAACAAAGGAGCTGAATAGCTATTTCACCAAAGAAGATAAATACATGGCAAATAAACACATGGGTATATATTGAACATTATTAATCTTTATGAAAATTTGAATTAAAAACACAAAAACATTTGACTTCACACATATTAAAATGTTAAAAAGGTTACTATCAAGTGCCCATGAGAAGGAAGAACAATAGGAATTCTCATAAGATGGAACAACAACTTTGGAAAATAGTTTTACACTTTTCTTACAGAGATAAACATCCATCTACCATAGACTCATAGATTCTACACCTATGTAATTAAATAATTACACATATTTAATACCACAGCTATTAGATGAAAAATTAATAGCTTTACAAAGAAGTGTATAGAAATATCAAGCAACTTTATTCATAACAGCCTAATTGATCATTAATTAATAAAAAATTTAAAAATATGTGATTTACTGGGAGTAAGAGAGAGGTTGTCTATAAAAGGATATAATGAAAAGATCACTGGATGTGATGGAACTGCAAGAAATTGTGGTGGTAGCTGCACAATTCAGTGCATTCTTTATGACCCATAGAAGAGTACATCACAAAATACCTGGATTTTACTCGATGTACATGTCTAAAAATATCATCAGCTGTGTATAAGGGGAGAGAAGGAATGCAGATTGTTAAAAATGAATCTGTGTTTCAAATAAAAAGGAAGAGAAATGTAAGAGCTGATCTATATGACTTTGTAAAATTGCATTTTAGTTGAATATTGTAAAATGAAAGGCAAAAAGAACTATTCATATACCTTGCAACCTAGTTTATTGTCAATTTGTTTTTACAGAGCATGAGTTAGAAATTAAATACTAATCATATTACAGAGTTGAATAAATAATAAATCCCATATTGTAGACAGTGAAAGCCAGATTTCTCACTGTTGAAAAATGAAGGTGAGTTATAAGGAAAAGAGATAACTAGAATAAAAAGTATGATGTTGGAAGATAGTTGCAGAAATCAATATCAAAATTCTCCAGTATAAAAAAGCCAGACTCCTTGGATAACTTGTTGAGTGATGGACTGAAATAGGGGAATTAAAAGATGATCTTGGGGTATCTTTAGTGCCAGAAAGTAAGAGAGCACAAAATAAAAATAGAAAATAAATAAAGAGAGTATATCAAAAGGGCATATAATCCACCTGAACATTCCCCCAGCAGCCAAAGTTAGAATAACTTGAACTAACTAAATAAATACAATATTGGATTATAATCCCCACAAAAATAAGTAACCCTTAGTCCACATGTATATACATAAGTGAATACATAGGTTAAAGGAGAAAGTGTCAACTTTTTCTTACAAAAAAACCAATTAATACATATGGAAGAATTAAGGGAAATAAAATTTCACAACTAAGTTAAAATAATAATTTTCACAAGCAAAATTCTTCTAGGATCCTGAGATTACTGGGAAAAAGTTGAAACAGAAATAGGATATTTACAAATATCAAAGACTTCTCTTCCCCCAAATATTTGATATTTACAAGTGGCAAAGTGATAATTTTGTCTTGTGTAATACAGGCAGACCCACATTAGCCAGGTGATAAAAGTGAACATAACCAGGCAAGTTGATATAATGTGCCACTCAGTATAGTGAACTGAGAAGGGCACATCATCCAAGTGATATCCTTCCTCATAATCAATAACTTCATCCAGTCATAGGAAAACATTAGACAAACCCAAATAGAAAGCATTCTATAAAATAACTCAGTGGTACTCTATAAAATTGTCAAAGTTATAAAGGACAAGAACATATTGGGGAATTGTCACAGATTGGAAGAAAATTAAACTCAGTGGGAACTCCGGGAAGAGAGTGAGAGAGAAAAGCATTAGCGCAAAAACTTGGAAATTCAAATACCTTTTGAAAACTTGTTAAAAATATCAGACTAAGGTTAATTTCTTAGCTTTAATGCAATGCTGTGGTTATGTAAGATGACTTAAAGAAAACCATGTTATGTGCAAGTTCTGTGCTTTTGTTGTTTTGAGCAGCTTTACTGAGATATAATTCATATGCCATACAATTCACTGATTTAAAGTATTAATTCAATGTATTGTAGTATGTCTGCAAGTTCTGAAAATGATGGCACAATCTGATTTGACATAATTTCATGCTCTCTAAACGGAAACTTACATCTATTACTTTCCCTCCCCTCAATATTCCCTATTCCCATCTTCAAGCCACCACTTATTAACTTTGTATCTCTAAAAATCTACCTGTTCTGGACATTTCATATAAATGAAATGGAATCATACAATATGTGGTGTTTTGTGACTAGCTTCTTTCACTTAGTGTAATTTTTTCAAAGTTTATGTATTATTATTTAGCTATTCTAGTGGGTGTGAAGATCACCCACCATAACTTATATTTAGGTTTTCTTATTGACTAATATTGCTCAGCATTCTTTCAAGTAGTTGTTGATCATTTGTTTACCTCCTTTGGATGAATGGCTGTTCATAAAATTTGTCCATGTTTGTATTATTTTTATTACTGAATTATGAGTATTTTATATATTCTGAATACAAGTCCCCGTCAGATATAGGATTTGCAAATATTCTCTCTCATTCTGTTGGTTGCTTTTTCACTTTTGTGATGGTATTGTTTACAGCACAAAATTTGTTTTTATTATATCAACTAATTCATTTTACCTATTTCATTTTCTCTTTTGTGCTTCTGGTGTCTTATTTCAGAATTCAGTGTCTAACTCAAGGTCACAAAAAATTATTGTAACTTTTCTCCTAAGAGTATTATAATTTTAATCTCTTATATTTTGGTCTGTGATCTATTTTGAGTAATTAGTATGTATTGTGTAAGGTAAAAGTCAAACTATTCCTTTGCATGTATCTATTTGCCTCAGTACCATATGTTAAAAAGATTTTTTCCCCATTGAATTGTCTTGACATGCTTACTGAAAATCAATTAACCATAAATGTAAGGGCTTAATTCTGAACTCCAAATTATGTCTTATTGATCTGTATATCTATTCTTATGTCAGTACTACATTGTCTTGAATATTTAGTTTTATACTAGGGTTTGAAATGAGGAGATGCGATTTCTCCAATTTTGTAAGTCTTTTTTAAGATTCTTTGGCTATTCTGAGTCCCCTGCATTTCCACATAAATTTAGTATGCAATTGTCAATTTCTGCAAAAAGCCATCTGGAATATTGATAGAAATGTCTTGAATCTGTAGATCAATCTGGAGAGTATTGCTATCTTAACAATAGTAAGTTAGAGTTATGTTGTCATTTAGTGTGAGGTGGAAATAATTTCTACAAAAGTAAGCCATGGAGCTGTATTCTTTTAAACATTTTTTTTTCCTGGATATTCTCTAAACCTACACTGTCTTACATGGTAGTTACTAACCATGTAACCATATGACTAGCTCTTAGTGTGGCTGGAACAGTGGCAAAATTGAATTTGCAAGTGTATTTATTTTAGTTAATTTAAACTTAAGCTTTTATACCTATTTTATCCAGTAATTAGAAAACATTTAAATGTGTTTGAAATAACCTGGATATGTGAGTCTACTTTATCAACTGCAACTATAATAGCTAATTATTGTCAAATGGAGATATAATAGCTAATTAATAATAATAGTCATTTTAATAGTATTTAACTTAATCTTAGGTATCAACTGTACTAAATGTATTCTTTGACTATCATACCTATAATACTTTATTATATTTAAACTTTATAAACTCAATTATTAAATGCTAGTGAGTTTTTAATATGCGTCAGCTTCCAGAAATGAAGATGACTGTCTCATACTTCCACCTCACGTCTGCTACTTTTCTCTTACAGGAGAGCTATCTGAGGCCTTTCTTTTTTTTTTTTCTTTTTGAGATGGAGTCTCACTCTGTCACCCAGGCTAGAGTGCAGTGGCACCATCTTGGCTCACTGCAACTTCTGCCTCCCGGGTTCAAGCAATTCTCTTTCCTCAGCCTCCCGAGTAGATGGGGTTACAGGCGCATGCTGTCATCACCCCGGACTAATTTTTGTATTTTTAGTAGAGATGAGGTTTCACCATGTTGTCCAGGCTGGTCTTGAACTCCTGACCTCATGATTTGCCTGCCTAGGCCTGCAAAGTGCTGGGATTACAGGTGTGAGTCACCGCACCCGGCCGTCTGTCTTTCTTTATTTGCCGACAACTCCTGTAGATTCTTGAAGGGCAAGAGCTTGGAACTGAACTATATATTTTTTGACAGTTACATTTAGCAAATACTATAAAAGTGACATTTATATATAAAATTAAATTCACGGATGAGTAAATATTCTATGTTTCATAATTGAAATACTAGTTTTTCACCAATGTGTGGCTCTAATATGCTGGAAAAGAGCTTTTCTTAAATATCAGGCACATTTCTAAGATGTGGATACAATATTATTTCCTTCAAGGATAAGTTGCAAAACAATATCAGGAATCACATGAATATTAAAATTCATGTTTCTCTATATGTAAACATGTGTCTTTACTTCCTAAAGAAAATACTATCAGCTTAAAATGTCTACAAAGTCCCAATTAAAAAGATATTCCCTTAATATACAATGTTAAATAAAGCCAACTGCTTAGTATCCTCATGTGCTTTTGATTACTGTTAAGAGTAATTCAATGAATAAAAAGTGTTGTATTTAACAAAGAAGTTTGAGGAAAAGCTTAATGAAGTAAGAGTTAGTTAATCATAGGTATACTTACTGTAAGTGTGCATATTTTTAAAAGCTAGTATAATGTATAAATATTTATCCAGATTAAAGACAATGCCTTAAAATTCAGTAATGATTAAATGTTATCAAAGTATTCAGCAGAGTTCTTAAAAGTATCTTCTATTTCCAGAATTTAAACACTACAAAAGTATGCAAAACATAAATTGCTTGATAAAGCATTGCAGAAATAACAATAAGTACATTTTGATAAATTGCAAAAAGTTCTTCAGAAAAACTGTGGCCTTTAAAATATTTTAAAACTGTGTTTTAAAATATCATAGTATTGATTTTCAAAATAACATTCTTCTTCAGAAATACCTGTATATTTGTCAAATATCTGACTATTGTTATCTACTAACAGTAAACCTCTTCACTTTAAATGACAAAAGTGAAATGTTACAAGCTCAGTATGTATTCAAAGGCACTGAAGTTACCCATTGTTTCTGTAATAATTACACTAGAAAATAATTTTTAGTCAGTGACATTGGAATATGCAAAAAGTACAGTAATTTTGGTACAACTGTGAACTTACATAAGGTTCATGATTATTTTATCGCTGGCTTAAGATAGCAATCAATTACCTATAAATATGCAAGTTTCTTCAATTATTGCAGTGAAAATAACAGAAAAACACATCTCAATCTTCATTAATATGTACTCATACAATTTTGAAAAAATATTTTATATCAAAATTAAATTTTTTATAATTTTTTTTTTTACTTTAAGTTTTAGGGTACATGTGCACAATGTGCAGGTTAGTTACACATGTATACATGTGCCATGTTGGTGTGCTGCACCCATTAACTCATCATTTAACATTAGGTATATCTCCTAATGCTATCCCTCCCCCCTCCCCCCACTCCACAACAGGCCCTGGTGTGTGATGTTCCCCTTCCTGTGTCCATGTGTTCTCATTGTTCAATTCCCACCTATGAGGGAGAACATGTGGTGTTTGGTTTTTTGTGCTTGTGATAATTTGCTGAGAATGATGGTTTTCAGCTTCATCCATGTCCCTACAAAGGACATGAATTCATCCTTTTTTATGGCTGCATAGTGTTCTGTGGTATATGTGTGCCACATTTTCTTAATCCAGTCTATCATTGTTGGACATTTGGGTTGGTTCCAAGTCTTTGCTATTGTGAATAGTGCCGCAATAAACATACGTGTGCACGTGTCCTTAGAGCAGCATGATTTCTAATCCTTTGGGTATATACCCAGTAATGGGATTGCTGGGTCGAATGGTATTTCTAGTTCTAGATCCCTGAGGAATCGCCACACTGACTTCCACAATGGTTGAACTAGTTTACAGTCCCACCAACAGTGTAAAAGTGTTCCTATTTCTCCACATCCTCTCCAGCACCTGTAGTTTCCTGAGTTTTTAATGATCGCCATTCTAACTGGTGTGAGATGGTATCTCATTGTGGTTTTGATTTGCATTTCTCTGATGGCCAGTGATGATGAACATTTTTTCATGTGTCTTTTGGCTGCATAAATGTCTTCTTTTAAGAAGTGTCCGTTCATATCCTTTGCCCACTTGTTGATGGGGTTGTTTGTTTTTTTCTTGTAAATTTGTTTGGGTTCATTGTAGATTCTGGATATTAGCCCTTTGTCAGATGAGTAGATTGCAAAAATTTTCTCCCATTATGTAGGTTGCCTGTTGAGTCTGATGGTAGTTTCTTTTGCTGTGCAGAAGCTCTTTAGTTTCATTAGATCCCGTTTGTCAATTTTGGCTTTTGTTGCCATTGCTTTTGGTGTTTTAGACATGAAGCCCTTGCCCATGCCTATGTCCTGAATGGTATTGCCTAGGTTTTCTTCTAGGGTTTTTATGGTTTTAGGTCTAACATTTAAGTTTTTAATCCATATTGAATTAATTTTTGTATAAGGTGTAAGGAAGGGATCCAGTTTCTGCTTTCTACATATGGCTAGCCAGTTTTCCCAGCACCATTTATTAAATAAGGAATCGTTTCCCCATTTCTTGTTTTTGTCAGGTTTGTCAAAGATCAGATGGTTGTAGATAAGCGGCATTGTTTCTGAAGGCTCTGTTCTGTTCCATTGGTCTATATCTCTGTTTTGGTACCAGTACCATGCTGTTTTGGTTACTGTAGCCTTCTAGTACAGTTTGAAGTCAGGTAGCGTAATGCCTCCAGCTTTGTTCTTTTGGCTTAGGATTGACTTGGCAATGTGCGCTCTTTTTTGGTTCCATATGAACTTTAAAGTAGTTTTTTCCAATTCTGTGAAGAAAGTCATTGGTAGCTTGATGGGAAGCTATAATTGTTTTTATATACCCTGGATGAAGGGTTTTATCTATATTATGGGGTAATGCTCTATAAGCAAATAAATTTAAAGTATAAAATCACAAATAAAATATAGTATACTTTTTTCTGAAGAAGAAATGTCTATTTTCTTGTGTTCCATGATCTCTAGTTTCTTGAGGAAAGCAAAAATATCTGAAAGAAACTTCTTTATATTAAATGTCTCCATTCATAATTTTAGAGCAAGAAAACAAAGGGAATGCAGAAACAACAAAAAGAGGAAAGGATGAAAGGATGGAAAGTGGAAAGGAAGAAAATAGGCAAGAGAGGAAGGAATAAAAGGAAGAAGAAATTAAGGGAGGGAGGAAGGAAGAAGGAAGGAAGGGAGAGAGAGAAAGAAAGGAAGGAAGGAATAGAGGAAGAAAGAAAGGAAAGGAAGGAAGGAAGGAAGGGAGAGAAGAAGGAAGGAAGGAAGGAAGAAAGAAAGGAAGGAAAAGACCCTTCCCAGTTCTTCACAGTTTACAGAGGGGCAGGAGCCCAGCATTTTTTTTTTCTTATACTCCCTGATAGGAAATAAAGATATTGTGAGAAGAATTCTATTATTTTTTGCTTTTCAAAAATTTCTTTGGAGTATAGAGATTTTCCACTTAAAGTAAATTTAGTTACCTATACATTAAAAACTCTACAGATAGATTTACTTAAAAGAATAAAATGCCAATTTTCCAAGAAGATATATACCTAATGAGACTTACACCAACTAAAAATGGAAGGTTATCAAAATCCCCCTGCTCCAAATATCTCAATAAGATGCTCTAGGCCCTTAGAGTTTTAGGGTGAGTTTGATATATTTGGAACGGATAATTTCTATCCCTAACTGAAATATTTATTGCTTCAACTGCTGAGTGCCACTGGGCCACAGCCTTCAGCTTTCAGCATTTCAGAGATTGCTTCAGATTCAAAAGCTGAGTGACCCAAGGTCATTCTCCTTCCTCAAAAAGAACATACCACGCAGTCACTACTAAAAAACAAAATAGTTGGAGTGAACATATTAATATCAAAATAGATTCTTAGGCAATATGTATTACTAAATGTCAAAAGAAAAATTTGCAATGCAAAAAGTCTACCTCAATGGAAATTTTAAACTTGTATGACTTAGTTTTAAGTTATACACAGAAAAAAAGCAGAACTAAAATTAAAAGCAAATCCATAGATATAAAGATTTTGACAGAAAACAAGCAGATACCCCACCACCAAAAAAAATGGTATGTATATGAAGATTGGAATAACCATATCAACCAAATCAACCTGATATTTCATAATCCTAAACCTTAAAAATGCAAAATAATTATCCAAAGAGCACTATTTATTATAGTCAGTCATATGCTAGCCATCAAACAAGTTTAAATGAACAATAAATATCCAGATTATATATGAAATAAACCAAATATTAATGACATAAATATAATTTTTAAATCCAGAAATATTTAAAAATTAAGCAATATTGTTGTAAATCATCCAGGAAGAAAAATAAAAATAGTAATAGCAATTAGAAAAGCAAACATTGAAATGAATAAAAATTAAAGTATGACCTAAAAATCTAGCAGAACTAAAGTACTGCTTACAGAAAATGCATATTTTTAATGAATATATTAGAGAAAAATGTTTAACATCTAAACGTCAAATATCTAAATTTTTTCAAAAATCTTCAACATATACCCAGGGGAAGCCAAAGAAAGTAGAAAACAGGGAAAAATGAAAATAAGAACTGAAATTAGTAAACCAGAAAGCAAGTTTAGGTCAATAAAGTAAAATTTTAGTTATTTTTAGAAGAATAAATAAAACTAAAAAACTCAAACACTGATCAAGAAAATAAGGGAAAACCCCCATAAATACTTATATAAAAAATGGACTTTAGTAACAAACTAAAAGGTAACAAATAACCTCATTATATAATGATAAAGGGTTACATATATCAAGAGGATATAACATTTTAAATTTATATACATCCAACACTGGAGCAACTAACTATATACAGCAAATCTTAATAGATCTGAAGAGCAAGATAGACTGCAATACAATAACAGGATATTTAAATACTCCACTTTCAACAATAGGCAAATTATCTAGACAGATAATTAATAAGACATTGGACTTGAATTACACTTCAGTGCAAATGGACCTAGCAGACATTTACAAAGCATTTAATCAAACTGCAGCATAATGCATATTCTTAAGTGCACAGGAAAAATTCTTTAGGATAAATTATGTATTAGGCCACAAAACAAGTCTCAACAAATTTAAGAAGGTTGAAATCATATAAAGTATCTTTTTTAACCACAATGGAATAAATCTGAACATCAATAGCAAGAAGAATTTTGGAAAAATCACAGATGTTTGAAAATTAATGTGCTGTTGACCAGCTTATCGGTCGAAGAGAAAATTAAAAGGGAAATTGAAAAATATCTGGAGATAAATGAAAAAAAACCACAACATGTCAAAACTTAGAGGATGTAGCAAAAGTAGTTCTAAGAGCTAGGTTTATGGCAATAAATGCCTATATACAAGAAAATTCAAATAAACAACCTAACACTACCCTCCAAGAAACTAGAAAAAGAAGAACAAACCAAGTTGAGTATCAGTAGGAGGAAAGAAATAATAATTAATAAAGAAACAGAGCTAAATGGAATAAATACTAGAAAGACAATAAAAAAGATCAAAAGAAAAATAGTTTGTTCTTTGAAAATGTAATTGAAATCAACAAATCTTTAACCAGACTAAAAGAGAGAGAGAGAGAGAAAGAAGATTCGAATAAAATAGGAAATGAAAGAGGAGATATTGCAATTGATGCTACAGAAATATATAGAATCATGAAAGACGACTATGTACACAAACAAATTGGATAACCTGGAAGAAATGGATAAATTTCTGAAAACTTACATGCCAAGATGAAATCATAAAGAAATAGAGAATCTAAGCAGAGCAATACTGAGTAAGGAGGTTGAATTAATAATTAAAAATCTCCTATCTTAGAAAAGCCCAGGAACTGATGGCTTCACAGCAGAACTGTAGCAAAGATTTAAAGAACTAATACCAATCATCCTCAAACTCTTCTAAAAAATTAAAGAAGAGAAAATACTTCCAAACTAATTTTACGATGCAAGCATTACTATGATACAAAAGTCAGACAATTCCTCTAAAAAAGAAAATCTAGCCAATATTCCTAATAAACATAGATACAAAAATGCTTAACAAAATACTAGCAAATTAAATTTAACAGCTCACTGAAAATATCATTTACCATAATCAATGGGGATTTAGCCCTGGAATGCAAGAAAGCTTCCACATATGCAAACCAAAAAATGTGATAAACCACATTAACAGAATGAAGAACAAAAAGCAGATGATCATCTCAAAAGATGCAGAAAAATACTTTAACAAACTTTAATCTCTTTTCATGAAAAAAACTACTAAATGCATTAGGCCTAGGAGAAAGGTACCTCAACACAATGAAGAACATGTATTAAAAAACCTAGAACTAACCTCATACCCAAAGGTGAAAACTTGAAAGCTTTTCCTGTAGGATTAGGAACAAAACAAAGTTGCTCACTCTTAACCATTTCCAATACAAAGTCAACACACAAAAATCAGTAATGTTTCTTTACAATGAAAATAAAGTCTCAGAAAAAAATTGAGAAATTAATCCCATTTATAATGGCATTAAAATACTTAAAAATAAATTTAATCAAGGAAATGAAAGGCTTTTATACTGAAAACTATACAATATTGATAAAAATGAAGATCATGTAAACAAGTGTAATGATATCCTGCGTTCACATACTGGAAGAATTAATACTGTTAAAACTTCCTTAAAACCCAAAGTGACCTACAAAGTCAATGTAACCCCTACAAAAATCCCAATGTAATTTTTCAAAAAATAGAAAATACGCTCCTGAAATTCATATAGATCCACAAAACACCCTGAATAGCCAAAGAAATAATGAACAAAAAGAATAAAGCTGAAGACATCACACTACCTGATTTCAAAATCTATTACAAAGCTATAGTAAAGAAACAACATGATACTGGCATAAAAATAGGACACATTAACCAATGGAACCCTTATCTCAAAGCATATACAAAAATCTACTCAAAATATATGAAGACTTAGCATAGGACCTCAAAATATAAAATTACTGCCAGAAAACACAGGGGAAAGCTCCACAATATTGTTCTGGGAAAGTATTTCTTTAATATGATCCTGAAATTATAGAAAACAAAAACAAAAATAAACAAATAAGAAGATTACATCAAACTAAAAAAAACTTTAGCACAGCAAAGGAAACAATAATAGAGTGAAGAGAAAACTCAGGAATTGGGAGACAATATTTGCAAACCATATATCTGATCAGGGGCTAATTTCCAAAATGCATAATCAACTCAATTCTATAGAAATAAAGCAACCTAATAAAACATAGGCAAAGATATTGAACAGACTTTTCTCAAAAGAAGACATACAAATGTGCAACAGATACCTGAAAAGATGTTCAATACCACTAATCATTAGGAAAATGTAAATTAAAACATTTAAATTAATTTATATTAAAACAATATCACCTCACACATATTAGAATTGTTTTTATTAAAAAAGATAAATGATAAATGTTGGCAAAGATGTGGAGAAAGGGGATCCTTTGTACACCATTGATGGGAATGCAAATTAGTACATCAATTATGAAAAATAGTATAAAAGTTTCTCAAACAATTAAAAGTAGAGCTACCATATGATCTAGGAATCCCACTTTGGGGTATAGATACAAAGGATTTGATATCAGTATGTTAAAAGGATGGCTGCACTTCCATGTACATTGCAGAACTATTCACAATAGCCAAGATATGGAATCAACCTATCAACACACACATACACACTTACACACACACACACACACACACGCACACACTGAGCTATACAATTTAGCTTTGAAAGAAAAGGAAGTTCTGTCATTTGCAGCATGGATGAACTTGGAGGACATTATATAACATGATATAAACCAGGCAAAGAAACAAATACTGCATGATCTTACTTATATGGGGAATCTAAAAAAGTTGAACTCATAAAAGTGGAGACTAAAATGATAGTTACCCAAGACTGAGGGAGAAGGGTGAATGGGAAAATAGATTTTTATCAAGGGGTAAAAAATTTCAGCTAGACAGGAAGATTAAGTTTTAGTGATTTATTGCACAGAATATTGACTATAATTAATAATCAGTGTATACCTCAAAATTGCTGAAAGATTAAGTTTTAAATGTTCTCGTCACAAAAATAGATTAAGTATGGGAGGTGCTGGATATGTTAATCTTCTTGATGTAATTTATTCAATGATATAAACATACATAAAACATACCATTGTATCCCATAAATCTATAAAATTATTTTTGTCAATTAAAAATTAAAAAAATTAAAAATAAGAAAGAAATATCTTTATCCTGGTAGTTTTACTAATACATTCTATCCAATATTAAACAAAAAAATCAAATCTGTCAAAAACTAGAAAATAGTTTTTGACTCATTTTACGAGGTCAGTGTAAGCACAGCACCACTGGACCAAGTCATAAGAAGGGAATATTAAATGTCTCTTTTACCATAATAGATGCAAAAATTCTAAACAAACATGTACAAAGTAAATCTAGAAATTTAAATGAATTAATAACATTCTGGGTTTTATTTTGGCAATGCAAGTTTGGATTAATGTTTGAAAATCACTTAATGTAATTTTGTTCATTAACATTTAAATAAGGTAAACTATATGATTATCTTAACTGATAACACAAGAAAACATTTGATAACATCCAATACCCTTTTCTCATAAAAAATAAAATGTTCAGTTAATTAGAAATAGAAGAGAGAATCTGGAATCTCTTAAAGGGTATCTTAGAAAATCTTTCAGTTAATATCATATTTAATATATCAGAAGTAGACAAGATTGTAATATCAGCACTTTTAAGTATTTTACTTGATGTCCTAGACAAGTAAAATGCATACACAAGGATAAACAGAGAGACCATTGAAACATCATACATAGTCTGGAAACAGACTTGCACTTCTATGGGCCACATGATTAATTTTAAAAAGTATTTTTATCTCAATGGGAAAATTGTGATTTTTGTTTAACTAATGAAGCTAGTTCAAATAATTGTCTAATGGAAAAAGAATGAATCATAAACTCCACACTAAAACCTCAAATTCAATCAAAAAGCTTCATAGCCCAACATGTAAATGACAATAAACTCCTAGAAGAAAAAAGAAAATATTAGGATATAAATTATGTTTTCAATTAACTATAAAAATCGAATTTTTTAATGAAATTTTTTCACAAAAGAAACATAATAAGAATGATAATTCAAGGTATACACTGAGAACACATATTTGCCAAATATATCAATATACAGATGTATGTATTTGCTATACATATATGTATGTAGATATATTTGTGTGTATATATTTTCTAACTGCCTACATCAACAAATGAGTTCTATTCAGAATACATAAAGAGTATCTATTGATCGATAAGAAGACAGAAAAACTGGGGAAAAATCTCAGGCGATCACTTCAGAGTAACATTTTTACCAATAGCCAATAAGCATATGAAAAGGTGTTCAACATCGAGTTATTATAGTGTGTAAATGAAACTACAATAAGGTACCAGTCATTGAATTTAATCACTGAAATTAATAAAATATGCAGAATTAATATCCTTAGATATATCAAAGCACTGGTAAAAGTGCAAAGCAATCAGAACTGTCTTACTTTGCTAGTGGGAATATTAATGGACAATTTTGGAAGTGTTTGGTGTTATACACTAAAGTCAAACCTATCCCTATTCTGTCATTTAGCAATTCTTCTCCTAGATATGAACTCCACAAAATGAGTGACTTTCAAGCCACCAACAAATATGTTAAAGAATGATCATAGCATCTGTACTCATAATAGTCCTGAACTGGAAAAAACTCATATGTTCATTTACAATAGAATGGATAAATTAATTGTGGCATATTTACTGGAAGACTATATTGCAATGAAAACTAAAAACTACACAAAACATTGGTAGACTTTATATACCTAATATTGGGCAAATGAAACAAAATGCAAAAGGGACACGTGACACGTAATTCTATCTATATAGATTTTAAGAACAAGGAATATTTACCTATGGTGATAGAAATCAGTGTTGTGGTTACTTCTGGGAGTGCTGGACAAGGATATGACTAAAGAAAGCCCTCTGGGTGGCTATCCCTGTTCTATATATTGACTAAATGACAGCTTTATTCTTAATATTTATGCAACATAGAGTGTTATATCTCAACACACCCTAATAAAATTTCATTATTGATGCTAAATGGAAATTGGATTATAGAGAAACAAAACTCAGAAACTCTAGTAGCAATCTAGCTAACAGTTGATAGTAGCTTTTACTGAAGAATCAATAGAAATGAAGCAACAAATGGAGATGCAGAGGGTACTTTTGAGAACTATCAGGACCTGTTCTTGGGAATAGCTTCTGACAGCAGGTGAAATAAAATGCTCCTTTAATTGGGAAGGATAAGGAAGAGTGGAGTCAATAGACAGTCTTACACAGAACTGTAAACAGTAGACAGCAAGTCCTTAAATTCTCTGTAAGTAGTTATTTTCCAGAATGAGCACTTACCATGAAATAGAACAAAAGGAAAAAGGGACAAAACAATTTCTAATTCTAAGTTTTACAACATATGGATTCTGATATATTCTTCTACTTAACTTACATTCATTCACAATGTAATTAAATTTCTTGTTTGCCTAGTTATGTGCTTAGTATGCTTATATCTGTTGTGATAAATTATCAAACAGTCTGCACAGCTGGCCAATTTTTTTTAAAAGAAAACCTCATTAGAAATCACCAACTTATCTTTACGTTCTTTGTACATGTAGTGCAAAATCTTAATTCATGCAGTTGTTCGTTAGGTGCAGACAGTCGGCCTCATTGATCTTGACATACAATAGATAAATTTTAGAAATGGGCTGTGGAGAATGATGATTTTTGCTCATTGCTATTTAAATATTTTACAATTAGAATGTCTATCTTGTTCAGAACAAATATTTTTCAAACACTTTTTCATAATGTGTGTAAACCCTTATGAATTTAAATTTTTTTTCATTTTATGTTTCTCATCTCTTAATATTTTGCTTTAGAATGACCATATACTAGATATACTTTTCTCAGCAGAATATTATTATATATATAAAAATATTTTCATAATTCTTCCAAAATACAGTTTACCACTCTTTAATATATATTCCATTTTTTTGTAGCCTACTGTCAAAACATCATTAATCAGTTATTTTTCTCATTGAAAATATCTTTAATTATTTCAGCATTTGGTTTAGTTTTCTACTATAGGTATCATTCAACAAAAATGATTATTTAAAAACTACTGAGACTTTTTATTTTACAGTAAAATAATCAATCAATCAAGCGGGCATGGTTGCTTACACTTGTAATCCCAGAAGTTTGGAAGGCCGAGGTGGGCAGATCACCTGAGGTCAGAAGTTCAAGGCCAGCCTGGACAACATGGCGAAACCCAATCTCTACTAAAAATACAAAAATTAGCCAGGCATGGTGACACCCACCTGTAATCCCAGCTACCCGGGGGGCTGAGGCAGGAGAATTGCCTGAACACCGGAGTTGGAGGCTACAGGGAGCCAAGATCGTGCCACTGTACTCCAGCCTGGACGACAGAGTGGACTCCGTCTCAAAAAAAAAGAATTAATCAATCAATTTTTTTTGTCAGTTCCTTGATTCTAGATTCCAAAGTATTCATTATATTATGGCTATAAATGCCTGTCATAATTTAGTAATATAAAGTTGATTTAGAAATCCAATATCCTTATGAAATTATTAGAACTTAGTGTCTCCATTTTATTAGTGAAATATATGAAAGAGATCTATGAAATTGTATCCATCATCTTGACTCTTAAAACAAATTGCAAGTCTTTTATTCTCACTAAATGATCTGAAAGTCTCATGGTTTGTTCAATGGTTTTACTTTATTGATCAGTCCTGCCATATTTTCCTTCTTATGTCTAATGTTAAGTCAAAATAGGACTATATACATACAAATTCTCTATGCCTTCTTCATTTCTGAGTTTTAATAATTATATTACATAAAATGTGTGAGGTTATTGATTGTCTAAACTACTGAAATAGCCTTTTAAATGCCCTCACTATATTAACAATTTTCTACTCAAAGACATTTTTTCACATTAGGTCCAAAATGATCTTTTAGAAATGATTATGTCATTTTTCTCCTAGAAGTATTTTAATGTCTTTCTGCTTCTTTAAGATAAAAACACCAGAGTACTTAACAAGGGCTCTCAATAAGATTAGCCTAGGTAGTATAATCTTCCACATCTCAGCATGTGCCTATCACTCCAGACCCATTTCAGTTCATTCTGTGCCTCTCTCTATGGAACACTCTATGTTCCATTAATAATGCAATAAGAACAATATTTGAACTTTTTAAATGTCAGCACTTATTCCAAAATCTTAGGCTTTCCAAGTGCTCTCTTAGTACCTGAAACTGTGTCCATCTCCCTCAATTTTTTCATGTAATTAATTTCTGATTAGCCTTCATATTTAAAAACAACATTTGTGTCATTCACAATTCATTCCACATGCTGAAATTTAAGGCAAGATGCCTATTAATCTATTTGTAGTACCTTGCAAGCTTCCTCATTGCACTTATTTTTATTTAGATTTCTCTCGTTATGGATTATTTAATTAGTATCTATCATTCTTTTAAACTGCAAACTTCATGAGAGGAATCTTGTTTCATGCTTTTCATTTTATCTTATACAACTAGCATAGTCTCTTCAATATTTTAAGTGTTTAGTTAGTACATTTTAAATAAATTAAATTACCATGTCGTCTAAATATTTATTTTCCCTATTTTTTAATAATTAGTTACATCAAGATGTCAAACATAAGAAAAAGTACCTATTATTAAACTTAAAAATATATCTAATGAATCATAATATAAAATTTATCCGTACCAACTTTGTTTGGAGATACTTAATAATATAAGATACCAGAAATATGTAAAAATGACAATTCACATTTTTAACTAATCCAGTATAAGGCCAGAATATATAGCATATAGAACAATGCCTCCAGCAAGCACTCAATAAATAAATTTAAAATGGCACTAAATTATACTTCCTTGCACTGTTGTTTTTAAAGATATAGTTATGTTTCAAAACAGGGAATGTTATATTTTAAAAGTATTTTATTAGGTCATTAATACCACAAATCTGTTGATAGTTTGGGGCATGCTTTTTGTTTCCCTAAAGCACTCCTTAACAAAGTGGTCCTTTTTTGGAAATGCAGGTAATGTTTTCTCAGCTCCAATGCTGTAGCACTGAATCCTGCAGTGCTTCAGATCTATCTGTTCATTGATGAATGAGGATCACAGAGGTTACAGGGAATATACAGCTTATCAGAGGAGAGAAAAGTTGAATGTCTTTCCACAACCTCAGCTCTTCAGGCAAAACACTGCATGTAACGTGAATCCCAAGAGTGCATGCTGTGTGCAAACAGAAAGTGCAGTATCAAAAGAAAACTGTATATAAAACTAGGAGTTAGGAAATAATGAATAATCTAACAGTAGCACTATATATAAATGCTAGAAAGCATGTTATTCATATTTCTATTTTTATTCTATCTAAAATAAGTTCCATATATTGTCACACTTTATGAATACGACCCTTCTGTTACTGTCCTGAATGTAAATGGCACAAGTTTTAGGGTAACTTTTAATCATTATGATGGAGTTGTAATGTGTGTCTCTGATACCTGTTTGATGTTTGAGTAGACATTTACAATTTGTACTTATTTTCTTATTCATCCAAGAAATATAAACTGATTAGTGGCTGTGTGTCAAGCTTCATTCCAGGCACTAGAGATATAACAATAAACAGAAGAGATAAACTTCCCATTTTCGTGAATTGGTGTTCCACTGGACGAGAAAGGCAACTAAGAAAAACTGCAATAATGTAGGTAGATTGACAAACTTAGCTATGTAAATGAGGCAGGAACATGTACTGTCAATGAAATAAAACAAAGACAAAGAAAAACTATAGTGAGGGGCTGGAAAATGACAAGGAGTCTGCTTAACGCTGTTTTCTCAGAGGAAATAATATTTGAACAAAGACCACCATTGAATAAATGAAATAGTCATGTAGCTATCCCAGTGAAAATGACTTTGGAAAAAAGAAAAACCTTTAATGTTCTCTACTCCCAAACAATATGCTTGTGTGTTCAAGGCAAAGAAGCCAGTTTGAAAGCTGGAGGAAAATCCTAGGAGGTGAGTTTGGATATGTAGGCAGAAACCAGATTATATACAACACACTAAGCCTGTTAAGAATGAGAAGGTTGTCATAAATCAGATTTATAATTAAAATGTTCATTTTGGCTACTTTATGGATAATAGTCTGTGAGTGATAACTGTTTTAGCAGGACATGGTTGGAATGATCAAGGTGAGAGATGATGGTGGGAGAAGTGGAGTTGCTGAGAAAGTATCAGATTTAGGATAGATTTTGAAGATAGTAATGGAAATCAGGATATTTCACCCCAGAAATATACTTCCTTGGCATATTTTGATATGGGAATTTAGAGGGGCTGTAGACCACAAGAATAGCTCTGAAAAGCTTTCATTTGTAAGGAAGATCTGCATCTGTAGAGAAAATTTACATTAGTAAGGTAAATAGCAGATACAATAGGCTTTCTCTGAGTTTCCCGTATCCGCCTTATGTGGATCTAGGAAAGATTAACTCACAGCAAAAAGAGACTGAAAGTCTGACACTTTTAAAGGTATGACAAAGAAATTTTTATTACCAGCTACCATCTATTTTTTTTTTTCTCAGGGCATCTTGAAGATTACCTGGGAGATTTTATCTGCATAACTAGGCAGCATTTTCTCACCCAAACTTTCTTCGTTTCCCCTGTCCCTAACCTGTCTTCATCTTCCACACCTCTCTTCTCTTCTGTACAATATAAACACTTCAGTCATCTGACTTTCCTTTGAATCTCATATTTATGGGACTCTCATGTTCATGTACACATTAATGAATTTATATACTTTTTTTCCACTTAATTTGTCTTTTTGCAATTCATTTCAACAGACTTACACTCAACCTTCAGAGAAAAAGTTTTAACTTTCCTATGACAGGCACAACAGAGTTTTCTGGTGAATTAGGTATCCAGAGTGAAAGAAAAGGTTATTCAATGTTAATTTCAAAGATTTTAGCTCAATAAAATGGGAATTTTTTATAATTCTTTGTCTAAAAATACTTGAGAAATTATTTATAAAAATCCACACAAACACATATACATATATAATAAAAATGCATATTAAAAGCAACATACTGCACATTATTTTTTTACCTAAGTCATATCTTGTCTTTCTTGAAACGTGATAATTGTGTCTTACAGATATAGTTCTAGATTCTTCAGTAGAAACCAATAAGTATTGTTAAATCAAGTTTAGCCTAAAGCTGCGTACTCATATATTTTATGTTTGGCCTAAAGGTTTCTCTGTACATCATGAACTATAGCCTAAGGACTATAGTCTATTCTTGGGCCAATCACCAAGGTTTGGGCAATCAAAGGTGGCCAACTATTCAAACCTTCTTCAAATAAGGCAAACACCAAGCTATAACCAATCCAGCTGATTCTGTGCCTCATTGCCACTTTCTGTTTGGCACTTTCCTTTTTCTGTCCATAAATCTTCCACCATGTGGCTGTACTGGAGTCTCTGAGATGACTCTAGCTCATTATTAATGAATTTTTGAATTATTCTTTGCTCAACTAAACTCATTTAAATTTAATTTGGCTATTTTTTTTTAAAGATGGCATTAGAAATGAGATCTGAAGTAGAGCTTCCAGCGACCCCCAGGAGCGCTGAGGGACCAAGTCAGGTACCTGCTGGACCCATTGTGCCCATTGCTCTCTAGGAGCAGCTAGGGACTGTGGTAAGTTCTCTCTAAGATTCTGAAGCTCCACAGATTTGGGTTTTGAGCTTTCTGAACATTTCTGATCCAAACTGGGTTTGGAAGCCATGACCAAAACTGGACTAGGTACAGGATTGGATTGGATCTGATAATTTACTGGCTTGGATTCAATTAGAGGCCTCTTAACATCTGACTGGGTGAGAAAGAACCAGTAATAAATGGCAATATTGCAAAGGGTGTAAAATTTGGCTTTTGGAAATTTGCAAGGATTTTTGTATTCTACCCCCTTTGTTTCATTTTTCTTGAAGACTTAGGTATAGAAAACAAATCATTGGCTAAATTGATCAAGGGAACCTAAGAGCCAAAGCCAACATGTGAAGTAAAATGGGATCCTTAATTTGTGAAGAACTGAGCTCCTTCTGGTTTATACATGCATAAATATTAGGCTCTGGAAGCAGCAAAGTCTTACAGAAATTGCAAAATCTTACTAAAGATTAGAGTTAGAGTAGAACATTCTAAATTAAAAACACTGAAGAAGCTTCTAAAAATATTTCAATATTTTTATTTGCATTCTTTATGAAAGGCAAGTAAAAAGCTTAAGTGACTAACTGATTAAAAGAAAATTAAATCTGCTAACCTTTTGGCTTAGTTACTATCCCATCCAAAAAGTGGAAAGTTATCTTAGATAAGATGTTTATAAAAGATAGGCTCTCAGGTAAAAGAGGCTTGCTTGTTTTTCAGATCTATCCATGCTGAGTCTCGGCATACAATGCTTTCTTGCCCGTTCCTTAATGGGCTCCTCCCATTACCCTGAATTTAGCAATTTTACCTTAGAAACAGTAGCTAAGTTAAAAAGAACACTCTATTGAACTAAAATGCACCTTTCTGAAATTCAATTGGCTATATTGACCATCTTTTGTAAAAAAAAAAATCACATATAAAGGGAATCTCCATTTTTAAGGATATCCACCTATGCACATTAGAAATGCTTATTGTTCTTTTAAACTTACATAATAAGTCATACCTCTTGTTTAAGGTGCTTTTCTGGCCATCTTGTCTTAAGTGAACTTTTATTTCAGCAGTTTTTTCCCCCTTGGTTTGAGCAAATGATGAAAGAATAAGGATATAATATTTAGACCTAATATTTTAGTTCTGTGCTCATGAAATATATATATTTTTTGTTCTACCTAAGAGTTGTTCCTTTAGGAAATGCAAATTGCCTAGTTAACAATTGCTTGGGGCAATGAAACCAGTAATTGGAAGATTGATAAACTGCAAGGGGAAAAGAAAAACTATTTAGAAGGCAGCAAATGAAAATCCTTTATGAGAGCTATCAGATCTGCTTCTGTGTGTTTGTTTGTCTATATGTGTGTGTACGTGATATTTGGTAAACAAAGCTAGTTTAGAAATTGCTGGTAAAATAGAAATGGTTTCAAAATTATCAGTTAAATATAATTAGACACACGTTTGAATTGCCTGAGATTATATCTTTTATTTAGACTATCTGGATTCAAGGTTCTAGATCAGTGATCATGATGAGGTCTGGAGACATGTTTTTAGTGCCTAGACCAAAGACTACAAGCCAGAATCAAGCTCAATATGGCCTCTTCTTCCTCTGCCTTCCCTGTTTTGCCTCCTGGCTATTTTGGGAGCAGTTAGGTCCTCCGGGTGGAGTCTTCAAAGTTCTGTCTTCTGCCCTGATGCAGTGAGAAAGACCCTGACCTTTCACAGTCCTCCTGGGTGCTGCGTGGCTATTTGTGACCTAGGATTACTAGGAAAAGATATTAAGGAAGCTACGTGGGTCATGGTTTCAAAATTATTTTTAGCAATTCAAAATCTTAGAATCATGTTATGTTAAATAAAGTAATAAGTAATCATGAAATGTCCAAGTCATCTACAGTTAAGATACTAAGATATTAATTATTAAACATGAGTTTGTCTCTATATCTTAACAAGTTATTTTCATATGGTACAGAAAAGCCAAATATATTTAGACCTGTTAACAAATAATTTAAAAGACTACTTTTCTAAAAATTATAAAACGGTTTTGTCTACAAATACTGACATATATACTTCAAAATCACTTTCTAGGCTTTTCACTAGAAATTAGGGTTACAAAGAGTTGAAAACTACTGAAGTTGAGAGAAACAATTCTGTATACAGGGTGTATAAAACTGCTAACCTGAGCAGAACAAAAATTAATTGAATACTGAGAGGATACTTTGCCAGATTTTCATGCTAAATCAGCCAATATTGAAATTTTTTAGATTTACAATTTAAATGAACTCTATGGTCTATGTCAAACTACCTATCATAACCCATCAGCTATCAACGCTCTGCCTCTAAATTGGAGAAACAATTGGTATTCAAGAGGACATTAGTCTAACATTAAGCGGGGATTCATGGAGAACCAGGAAGGCCGCCTTGTCCTTCCTGAGTCCTTAAAGCTTTTGTTATTAAAAGTTATCCAAATTAAGTATATATATTCTTGTGGTGCTTCTAAATTGCTAAAATAGTTTATGGCTAATGTTTGCTTTGTCAAACTCATATTCTTGGGAAGACAATAAGAATTTCAGGTAAATTCTGCTAGCTGATGGGCCATTTAAACATTTATGGGGGATTTCATTCAATTGTCATTTTCAATGAATGTTTTCTGGTTTATAAATCTTCCCCATGCGAGAGGGTTGATATTATTAAAGTAGCTCATTATGCCATAGTGTATTTTCGCCAGGTAAAGAAAGCTTTTCATGATTTACTGACTGAGGACAAGCAGCCGCTTGATAGTCTAGAACTGGAAGATTGGATCTTCCGAGAACATCAGAGAAAGACTGCCTTGCCATCCACACTGCAGCAAAACTTCAAGTTTGAACTTTGGGTTCATAATCTCACAAATCAGAAGGGTTCCTCTACACTCTTGGAACTGTGCACCCATAAGGAACCTTAAGATAAAGCTAACCAGGGAACTTTATCCCCAAAAAGAGATAGCATCCTTGATGTGGACAGCTTTTTTATCCAAAATCACAGATCAAAACTTCTCTACTATCAGGAGACTCTTATCTTTGATTTTTTACCTTGTTTATGCCTCTATGAACAATAGAGGTGAAAAGGTTGTCTGCTGTGTGCACTCATGGAATATACTTTTATTTTTAAAGGGTTTTGAAGCCAGCCTTATACATGGATAAGGATGCCTTGATAGATGGAAGATAAAGGCCCAACATAGGTGAGAAATTTTAATGGTGTATATGTTGCCTCATAATCAGTCAGAAACAGAACATTGGTTCACTCCTCTTAACATACATCATGGGTTAAAGAGAATATAGTCAGAAGATCTAAGCTCTTCTAGAAGAACATAATGTGTTAGGTCCTTTTGTTCATTGTTTGGAGTAAATAAAGCAATAATTAGAAATTTATCCCTCATAATAGGCTCTATTGCAGATTCTACTATAAAGACTATTGTTAGACAAAAGACTTAAATTTCTTTTGGAAGTTAGGTGAAATAATATAATTGCTCTACATTACTTACTGGCTAAACAGAGAAGTATCTGTGCAGCAACTGGTACTTGCTGCCCATGGAGAAATACATCACATCAGGTATTAGAGATATTCAGTTTTAGGGAATTAACAAAGAGACTTCTTAAGGTGAGTAGACTCTTCATCTAGCTCATTCTTTGATCTATTTTATTTTAGTTGGTTTTGTTTGTGGGGACCCTGGCTAAGCAGCATACTCCAAACTCTTGGTATTATCTTCCTGATAGTTATAATAGTAACCTCCCTATTGCACTGTATTCTTTTAAAAGTTTTAAATTTTGGCATGCAGCCATCTCTAGAATTGTCCAATGGTCTCTTTTCAACTGGAATGAGAAGAGCTGAAAGAAATGTGTGATCATGAGGACACCACCTATGAATGACGTGCTGAGATTGGAAACCCAAAATCATGGTAACTAAGAGTGGCACTAAAGCCCTAAGATTTGGTTATGCTTTCACCTAAGTGAGAGCCTGGCCAAAACAGGGAAATTTTTAAATAAAGTTATGAGAGGTCATTGTTTTAGGACTGAACTCATGCACTAGGCCCCAGCAAACCAGAGCAAATTAAAATGGAGTCAGTTGTGCTGAATGTGACATAATCAAACTAAGACATTAAGGAAACACATAGATCCTAGACCAGATCAGATTTGTTTTTTCTCCTGTAAGCAGGACGTTCCTGCATAAGGAAGTACTCTCTGCTCTAACTCTTACAAAAAGAAATAATAATAATAACCTGAAGTCATTGTTCCCACATTACAAAAAAACACTATTCTGCTACTTCCCAATGGATTTCAAGACCAAATGAGTGCATTTACAATGGTGATAGTGACATCAATGACTAAAGTTTTGGTCACTCTCTCAAAATTGAGAGGATGACCAAACTGCAGGAATTGTTAAATCAAGTTTAGCCTAAAGCTATCTCCTCACATATTATAACTTTAGCCTAAAGGTTTTTCTTTACATAGTGAGATATAATCCGAACAGAGTTCTATACAGACTGTAGTCTACTTTTGTGCCAATCACCAAGTTTTGGCCAATCAAAAATGTCCAACTTTTCAAACCATGTTCAAATAAGGCAAACACCAAGCACACCAAGCTATAACCAATCTGGCTGTTTATGTACCTCACTTCCATTTTTTGTACAGTGTTTTCCTTTTTTGTCCATAAATCTTCTTTGAGTGTCTGTTCATGTCCTTTGCCTACTTTTCAATGGAGTTTTTTTTTTCATGTACATTTGTAAGTTCCTTATAGATGCTGGATATTTGATCTTTGTAAGCTGTGTAGTTTGCAAAAATTTCCTCCCATTCTGTAGGTTTTCTGTTTACTCTGTTGATAGTTTATTTTACTGTGCAGAGCTCTTTAGTTTAGATCCCATTGCATTTGATAAAATTCAATATCCCTTCTTGGTAAACACTTCAAAAAAAAAGGGTATAGAAGGAACATACCTCAATACAACAAAAGCCATATATGATAGACCCACAGTGGAAAATAACTCAAAACCTTTCCTCTGAAATCCAAAACAAGACAGGGATGAACACTTTTACCACTACTATTTAACATAGTACCGGAAGTTCTAGTTACAGCAATTAGAAAAGATAAGCAAATAAAAGGAATCCAAATTGGAAATGAATAAATAAAATTATCCTTGTTTGAAGATGATATTATATTTGGAAAAACCTAAAAACTCCACCAAAAAACTAATAGAATTGATAAATTTGGTAAAGTTGCAGGATACAAAAGCAACATACAAAAATTAGTAGCAATTTTATATGTCAGCAGTGAACAATCTGAAAAAGAATTCAAGGACATAATCCCATTTTAAACAGCGACAAGTGAAATAAAATATCTGGGAATAAACTTAACCAACAAAGTGAAAGATTTCTATGAAATATATAAACAATGAAAACTATAAAATATGGAATCAAGAAATTGGAGAAGACACAAGAAAATAAAATATATTTTATATTCATATATTGGAAGAGTCAATATTGTTAAGATGTCCATAGCCATCTACAGACTCAATACCATTTCGATCAAAATGCCAATGATATTTTTCACAGAAATAGAAAAAAACAATTTTAAAATTTGTATGGAACCAGCAAAGACCCTGAATAGCCAAAGCTATCCTAAACAAAAGGAACAAAACTGGAGGAATCTTATTACTTAACTTCAAATTATACTACAGAGTTATAGTAGCCAAAACAGCATGGTGCTGGCATAAAAACAGACACATAGAACAGTAACAGCATAGAAAACTCAAAAGTAAATCCATATGTCTATAATAGACTCATTTTGACTAAGGTGCCTAGAACTTACATTGGGGAAAGGACAGTTTGTAAATTGTACTGTTCAGTACATTGTACTAGGAAAACTGAATATTCCTATGCAGAATAATGAAACTAGACTTCTATCCCTCATCATTAACAAAGATCATATCAAAATTGAATAAAGAATTAAATATAAAACCTCAAACTATATAACTACTATAGGAAATTATTTGGGAAACTCTGTAGAACATTGATCTGGGTAAATATTTCTTGAGTAATACACCACAAGCACAAGGCAACTAAAGCAAAAAAATGGACAGATGGGATCACATCAATCTAAATTGTTTCTGCACAGCAAAGGAAACAACCAACGAAGTGAAGAGACAATGCACAGAATGAGAGAAATATTTGCAAACTATCCATCTGACAATGGATTGATAACAAGGATATATAAAGCTCTCAACTCAATAGAAAAGAACATCTAATGATCCAATTAAAAATGGGCAAAAGTTCTGAATAGAAATTTCTGAAAGGAAGACATACAAATGGCAATCAGGTATATGAAAAGATGTTCAGCATCATTTATCATCAACAAAACTCAAGTCAAAGATACAATGACATATCATCTCACTCCAATTAAAATGGCTTATATCCACAAGACAGGCAATAACAAATTCTGGTGACTATGTGAAGAAAAGGGAACCTATGTACATTGTTGGTGGGCATATAAATTAATACAATCACTATGGAGAACTGTTTCCAAATCTGGCAAAGTATCTTCTCAGTATTCAATTAATTTTTGTTCTGCTCAGGATAGCAGTTTCTCAAAAAACTCAAAATAGAGCTACCATATGATCCAGCAATCCTATTGATACATTCAAGGCTGCAGTGAGCTATGATCATGCCTCTTGCATTATAGCCTGGGTGACAGAGCAAGACCCTGTCTCTAAATAAATAAAATAATAAAAATGATACGTATATACCCAAAAGAAAGGTAATCAGTATTTCAAAGAGATATCTGCACTCCCATGTTTATTGCAGCACAATGCACATAGCTAAGATTTGAAAGCAACCGAAGTGTCCATCACAGATTAATGGATAAAGAGAATGTGGTACATATGCATGATGGAGTACTCTTCAGCCATAAAAAGGAATGAGATCCAGTCATTTGTAACAACATGGAAAAAAACTGGATATCATTATGTTAAGTAAAATAAGTCAGGTACAGAAAGATAAGCTTCACATGTTCTCACTCATTTGTGGGAACTAAAAATTAAAGCAATTGAACTCATCAAGATAGAGAGGTATCTGCCGTAAAATCTTTATCTAATGTGGTGCCTGCCATAGAGTAAATATTTAATAAACATCTGTGAATTAATGGATGGGTAAATTAGTTAATTAAACAATACTATGAGATTTATATCACCATGTTTACTTCAGTAATGAGGTAAGTTTTTGTTCATGTTTATATCTCTTAAGTGACAGAGAACCCACATCTAAAACTAGTATTATAAAACCTAAACTCCAATATCTTTTATTCTAAATATGATGCTTCATCATCCCTCATCTCATAGATATGGCAAGATATTGTCAAAGGTGACCATATAATTTAGTTAAAGGTAATAACAGCAGCAATTTTTTCAGTCTCACCATGTGTCAGTTATTCAAATCGCCTTGCATGGACAACTAATTTGAAAATGATGTCAAGTTCAATCTAACTGTTACACTGAGTTAAATGTAGAAAGGATCATATGGAACACTTGTTCATCTAACCAGGGTAGTCAACATAGGCACTTATAAAATACGGTAAATTTGAATAACAGATGGTAGTGTTTATGAGAAAGATACCCTCTCAAAGCAAAATAACTTTCTCTTCTGATTACCTTAAAAAAAGCCCATCTAAAGAACCCATAATCAAAACATTTGGATAGTCAGTAATTGACAGAGCACAGTAGAGGAACTGGTCAAATTAGAAGTATTGACTCTAGCATTTGACTCCAGCTGGTTTTCTAGGAGAAAGCACTCAGAGATAAAAGCCACCCTTCAGCACAGAGGAGGAGCAGGACTCAAAACAGAAGGAAGAGATGCAACAAGCCCATTATATGAGGTAATGCAGAAATAGAAAACTTCACACAAAACAAAAACAAAACACCTTTGCACATAATAGCAATTAACAATTTTAAAAATTAAGAAGCGACAATAAATGAAAGACATTTGTTATGAAATTTACAAATACCCAATGTAAATAACCAAAAATCTATACAAATTGGCACCCAATAGAAGAAATCTCCATGTCTACAGACATGGAAATACGACAAGGTGAATACACAAAAGAATTTTCAGCTTTAATGATAATCAGCTATCAACGAGAAAGTGAAAGAAACTTATACACAATTTTAGGCATGTTGAATGAGTAAATATTTAAATAAACAGTATAACTCAATGTTACAATGTTCATGGTGATTAGTGGTCTTCAGAGCTTCAGTATTATTACATTCTTTCACAAAAGTACTGTGGCAATAAGGTATCAAGAATTGTGAGTGAGAATCTGCCCAGTAATTACACAAATGAAAATGTAGTTTATATAAGTAATTCCAGAAATGGATGATAATTTACATTCAATGATTTAATTTGAATCCAATTACACTGCCAGAGTTTTGCATTTCAAGCTTCCAGAAATTAATATACATATAGAGAGAGAGAGAGAGAGAAGAAATGAGGAGCTAGAATCATAGAAATTCAACACCAACACTGAAAGTTAGTACCTTAATATCAAAGTTTTAAATAATCTAAATGAAAGTGATTTTCATCCTAGAAGCCCCTATTAAGCCAGAGCATCAATCAAGTATGAAGGTAAATAAAGGAATTTAAAGATACTCAAATTCTAAAAATACTTGCTCCCAGACACACATTTGCAAAATGAAAGTAGAGAAGAGAGTGATAGATAATCAAAAGAATATTTCCCTAGAATATAGTGAAAAGAGTTCTAGAAATGTGGCTTTACAATATGATTAAAGTGCATTCCAGATTGGATCGGAGATATGGATGCTCTAAAAGGGAGCTAAATATAAAACAGATCTTTTGCCCTCCTGTGTTTTACTGTATCGAGAAGTGTTTTAGAAACCACTGGAAAATTGTATACTAAATTACTGAGTGCATAGAAAGTTAAGAGGAAATACATAAAGCAATATTATCTTCAGAGAAATTAAAGTTGTATAATAAAATAAATTTAATAATATCTCTATAATGGGTTAAATATTGTCCCTTAAAAATTTATGTCCACTCAGAACCTCAGAAAATGTATTTGGAAATAAGCTCTTTGCAAATGTAATTAAGGATTAAGATGAGATCACACTGGACTAGACTGGGCCCTAATTCCAACGGAAATGTCTTTATAGGAGACAAAGGGACACACAGCACACAGAGAGGCACAGAGAAGAATGTGATGTGAAGATGAAGGCAGAAATTGGAAAGATACATTTACAAGCCAAGGAATGTCAAGGATTGCCAAAAATTTGTAGAAGTTGGTTGAGTCATGGAGTGGTTCTTCCTCAAAGCCTCCAGAAGAAAGCAACCCTGCTCACATCTTTTTTTTTTTTTTTTTTTTTTGAGACGGAGTCTCGCTCTGTCACCCAGGCTGGAGTGCAGTGGGGCAATCTCGGCTCACTGCAAGCTCCGCCTCCCGGGTTCACGCCATTCTCCTGCCTCAGCCTCCCGAGTAGCTGGGACTACAGGCGCCCACCAACACGCCCGGCTAATTTTTGTGTTGTTAGTAGAGACGGGGTTTCACTGTGTTAGCCAGGATGGTCTCCATCTCCTGACATTGTGATCGGCCAGCCTCAGCCTCCCAAAGCTCTGGGATTACAGACGTGAGCCAACGCACCCGGCCCCCTGCTGACATCTTGAACTCAGAATACTGACTCCCTAAATAGAGAGAGAATACATTTTCTGTTGTTTTAAGCCAACAAATGTATGATAGTTTATTATGGCAGCCCTGGGAGACAAATACATATCCTTATTTATTCCATTTGTGAATATCACTTATAACTATGATGTAATCACTGACATTATTTTGTTACAAGAAATACTGGAAAATGCGGGTGACTGACATCTGTGCGCATATATGCAGAGACTGAAAAATGTGCTCAGTCTTTTCAAATGTGGTTGGCAGAAGCTGGCTAGATCTTCAAGCATTTACTTTCTGGGAAATAGCTAAACAACAGTTGTATACTATTTTTATACGTACAAGTGGGCCCTTTGATTATTACTGTGTATCAGAGCATGGCCTGGAGTGATAAATAACATATATCAACCTTGTCCCTACAAATACTCCATGCTTTAAGGCCCTTTCTCTCACTTCCCTTCCCTCAATAACCAGCATTTATAGACAATCTAGCAACAGATTATAAGCTTTTGCTTAAGATCCTATCTCAGTAGAGAATCAATCTTGAGACCTGTTCAACCAGGATTATATGATTGGATTATGCGTGAGTATGATTATGTGTGTCTCCAGGTGGTATGCTGCAAGATTTTGGATGTTATGGGTTAAAGAATACATTATTGTTTGTTTGTTTTTGGTGGTGACAAGTATATATCAAGCAAGGGTCAACAAGAAGAGATGTGAGTTCCCCAACCCATATCATTTTACAAAGAGGTGTGCTAGAGCTGAAGATGCCTCTCAGAAATAGAATGGTTTGGCAACCTGAATGATGTTTGGTAAGTGAAGGGTCTTTGTCTGTTCCCTCACTTTTTCCATTTTTTTTTGGTTTTTGCTCTAGCTTCTTTATGAAAAAGTATAGGAGCACAGCATTCATTTGGCATTACAAATAGACCATGTTAATCCAAGCTGTCTGGGTTAAGGTACCAGCTCCTATTGGGAGTTGAAGCTGTTATCCAGCTGCTTCATTTTGGGAAGACTTGGAGGCCTGTGGATTTTGCAGCCTGTTCTACCATGGAAAATTAGCCAGTGTTCCTTCCCCTAAGAAGTTGAATACTCTACAACAAGAAGAGTAAAGCCCCAAATCCCAGTTGGTTCTTTGTCTAACCAATCAACAGTGAGCCCCAAGGATCATTTTTGGAAAATCCTGCTTAGCACAACACAGCAAATAATCTTTAAAATATTGTTAAGCCATTGAGATTTTGAGATTGCTTATTACAAGTTATATTTCCCTGAAAAAAATTAGAAATATTTAGATGATTTATCAAGATGAAAGATCAAAATGGAGCAGTGTCACTATGTTGTTTAAACTTACACTTAAAAAGAAAACAAGGAAAAAAAACACAGTAAAAATATTTGGGACCGGTTAATTCAGTAGAATGGGACAAACGTGCAGGGAGGTGAGACTGTGGATTGCTGTGTTTATATAATAGGACTTACATAATTATTTGATCTTGAAAACCTTTTTTAACTTTTTTTTTAATAAAAAGCATTGCATATTAATGGTAATAAAAATATTTATCACTTTTTTTATAAAATGTAAAACCTGCAGTCAACCGTCTAAGCACAGAATGATTATATAACTTCTGAATATCCAAATAATGGAGTATTACACAACTAAAAATCATAATAATGTCCAATTTATATAATAATAGGAAAAGTAATCAAATTATAAAGTAAAATTATGAATTAATCGGTATATGGAGAGCTTTACCAATTTATAAAAATATTGGCTTTATTAATAGAATATATCCTATGAAATTATACCAAAATATGATTTGAGGTCTTAGATTTATGATTATAAATAGTTTCTCTTTATAAATTTATTTTGTAACTTTAAAAAGGTCTGCAATATTATCACCTGTTTATGTGTGTGTGTGTGTGTGTGTGTGTGTATGTGTTTGTGATGTTAAAAAAATAGGGCTGATCTAAATCTTCTTCATAGAAGATTATTGGGTCAAAGGTTTAATGTATAGCTATTAATGTTATTGAAACTATGTATTTATATATATCCTCAACTATTTTTAAAAACTTTATTTGAAAGTGTTTTCCTTAATGTCTAATTTTCCTATATGTATGCCTTTATAATCTTCTGTTTGTCTGGAATTCACAGAATAATCCTCTTTATTTTACATGCCTAATACGTTCCTTGGTGTTGATGAGAAATCAATCCTGAATATTCTTCTCTTTTAATTCCATACATTCTCCTTAGTCACTTCCAAGAAATCAGTATATGTCTACATGCTGATAATTCTCCAATATATATAAAAGCACAGTGTTATTTCCAACTGATTTACCAACAGACATATCAAACTCAACACTTAACCTCCCTCGAACTTATTTCACACCCTCAATATTCCCTTTAAGTGAAAGGCACCATTATTCATACAGTTTCCCAAGTCAGAAAGATGGCTATTATATTCAAGCTTTCTGTATCTGACATAGTTTGCTGAGCATGTCATAACAAAGTAGCATGAACTGGGTAGCATAAACAAAAGCATTTATTGTCTCACAGCTCTAGAGGCTGGAAGTCCATGATGAAAGTAACACCAGATTTGGTTCCTTCTAGGAACTGTGAGGAAGAATCTTTTCAGTGTCTCTTTCTGATTCTGGTGGTTTACTGGCAATCTTTGGCATTACTTGGCTTGTAGAAGCATCACCCCTGATCTATGGTGTCACATGGTGCTCCCCCTATGTGCAGGTATCTTTGTCCAAATATCTTCTTTTTATAAGGACACCAATCATACTGGATTAAGGCCCATCATAATAACTTTGTCTTAACTAACTACATCTGCAATGTCCCTATAGCCAAACCAGGTTACATCCTGAGGTGTTGTTGGTTGGGATCTCAACATATGAACTTTAGGGGACTGCAATTAAATCCATAACAGTCTACTTCATTATTTTACCCAATTTATATCCAATAATTCACCAAATCCACCAAATACTTTGAATTCACTTACTTCTCTTCATCTCCAATGGCCCCACCTTAATCCAGAGCACTTTTGTCTAAATTATAACAGCACCCTAACTCATCTCTCTTCCTCTTTTAACTCTAGGCCATTATAAAATTAAAGTAGTACTATTACATTATCCTATTTTTTAAAAAAATTACTTCAAATTGTCTTCATGATAGATTTCAAAGTGTTTACTGTAATTTTGATGACTCTCCCACTTCCAAACTCTTTAGATAAATTCCAGCACCCAAAATCTATGTTCCAAATATGTGGAACTTATTTGTATTGATCACATATACTATGTTACATTGTCTCTCTGTCATGAAGTGTGTTATTTCTTTTCCTATAAATGTTTATTTTTCTGTCACTTTTTACCTATGTAATGATGACTTATTTTTCAGCTCTAAATTTAGATATCACTTTCAGAAAGTTTTCTCAAGCTCCTTATGTTTTGATTAGATGCAACTTTTAGGAGTTTCCCTAGAACCATGAATTTTCTCTGCCTTAGCATGCATCAGATTTTATAGAAATTTAACAATCTTTTTCTCTCTTTTAAAAATCAGACTGTAAGTGCAATGAGAGTAAGGGTCTTATATTATTTTTCCTCATTATGTGAAGTTTATCAAGTATTTTCTCTGTGACTACACACAAAACAATCTTATTTTTCCTTAGCTGACCTTCAAACATATTCTCTTGGGAGTTCCTTTCCTCACCTTTGTGGCTGTTTTGGGGGCAGATGGTGATGATCCGCTCCAGTCATGATCAGGTATAAGAATAAGTCCTATTCTGTAATTATATCCCTAGGGATTAAAATATCTCATCCAAATAAAACCAATATCCAATCAATATTCAAACAAAAGGAAGGCAGAGAAAAGGAATAAATATGGAAACAAAATTCCCTTAAATATTGAGAAATTAGAGCAATTTCTTAAAAAATCAATAAAATGATATTCAGTAAGACACTTGATAAAGAAATAAAGATAACAAGAAATTGCTAAAAAGCCCTAAATAAAAAACAAGCACACAAACAAAATACAATTCCACATATATATGCTCAAAGGGAAATAAGAAAGATCAAATAGCCCTATGTATGTTGTATACTTAATTTGAATTTAATGTTGCACAATTTTATATTAATGTATTTAAATACCTGAGTAAAAGTAATTTCTTTCTTGGGTAATATGAAGCATTAAATTTGAGTCAAGATACAATAGGAATCCAGACTGATAGCCATGGAAAAAATAGAGAATCCTATTAATATGCAATGAGGACCTTGTGAAAAAATAATCTTGCTCAGAGTGTTTTGTGCATTATTTTCAGAATATTCATTCACAGAAAGTCCATATTTTTATATTTTCCATATCAGAGATTACACATTTCTATTTTTTTATTTGATATGAAAATGTCATTAATATGGAAAAAGATTCTTCTCACTTTTGACTATAGCTGCTTAAGTAATAAAAAGATTGGCAAATTAGCTCCAGTAGTATATTAAAATAGTATACTTTTGACCAAACATCAAGCAAATTATGAATGCCTGTATCAATATTATAGATATTATTTTAGTATTAATAAGCAAATTATATACATTGATGTCTCTTAATATAAATCATTTAGGCTACAAATCACAATGTACAGTTTTAATAGTCAAAATGACAAAAGGTAACTTATCTTCATAAATGCCAAAATTATTGTTAAATATACAATCAGTTTTTGGTAAGAAATCTTAGTATATAACACAGCTAGTAATATCTCTGATAAACAATATATTCGGGTGTGTTTGCATGTATATATACATATACACATAATACATATTAAACACCATGCATAATAATAAAACTCTAAAAATAGCCTCAATATATCCTGTTATAGTTAGATATAAAACAATGTTGCTTTTTCATTATTTGAGTTTCTCATGTGCTAGGAAAATTAAATTTAAAATATAATAAGATGGTTTTCATATTTGACTATTATTATATTCAGTGAATATGAATTAAAGTGCTTCTTTCCAAAAATCGTCATCTATATTTTATAAATGTTTTAAATATTCACCAAACCAATATATTTGTTTAGAAGTTACATTTTACTTTTGTTTCAGTCTGAATTTTTTGAACACAGTAACATGTCCATGACAGTTTTAATGAAAAATGTAGTTGTAGATTCATAGATGTTTTCATTATCTAAATTTAGTACATGTTTATTACATAAACTATATTTGCTTATTTTCTAGCAAAGACACGAAAGCAATCTAAATGCCCATCAATGATAGACTGGATAAAGAAAATGTGGTATATATACACCATGGAACACTATGCGGCCATAAAAAAGAATGAGATCACGTCCTTTGTAGGTACATGGATGGAGCTGAAGGCAATTATTCTTAGCAAACTAATGCAGAAACAGAAAACCAAGTACCAAATGTTCTCACTTATAAGTGGGAGCTAAATGATGAGAAGACATGGACACATAGAGGGAAACAACACACACTGGGGCCTATCAGAGGGTGGATGGTGGGATGAGGGAGAGGATCAGGAAAAATATCTAATGGGTACTAGGCTTAATACTTGGGTGATGAAAAATCTGTACAACAAACCCCATAACACAAGTTTACTTATGTAACAAACCTGCACATGTACCCATGAACTTTAAAAAAGATTTCAGAAAACACACACACACACACACACAAAATAAAATAAATCTATATTTTCTTATTTTCTACCTGAGTGCTAGTGTGTAGCTTAGGGGTACTCCATAAGGAATTGCAATAGTGTAATCACTATTATCCTCTTGAGAAGTTGTATAAAGCTGAAAATTACGATGTAAATTAAATAATATAATTCCATAAAAACTTGTGTTCATAAAATTGACTTTTTTCATCTTGTAAACTAGATTGAATAAACTACATATAAATGCAATTATTTTTCAGGATATACATGTCTTTTGTCTCTCACAGTATTCTTACATAAAATAGCTAAAATTTGGTACAATTTTGATAATTTGGTGGGAAACAATTTCTTTGTGATTCTGGGTAAACACCTTTGGAACAAATGGACTTGTCATATCATGATAACAAATGGACTTGTAAGAATAATAGTGAGTTAGTATTTCTGTTTTTGCTTTTGGAGAAATAATAAAACACCAAGATGTTATTTTAAAGGATGCACATTTATCTATTGTTGATGTCACTACTAGAAATAATTGTGCTTAGAAAAATTATTGTCTCAGAGCTGGGGAAAGTCAGAGTCTGGCAGATATACATACTGTATTTCTCTGATGTAAGACAGATTTTTATAGCTTCCCTTTCTACTGAAAGAGTTTCCTCAATGTGCATTTACTCCTGAAAATATAAGCAGTAAAATTACAGATTTTCTTTTTCACACAAGTAGCTGTAAAACCATACAAAGACATAACTTCCTCTCTTAAAAAATGCAATTATTTCTCTCCTAGCTTTGGAAAGCAAATTCAGATAATGTATATAAAACTTTTCCCTGTTCTATTTAAAGGCTTTTTCCTAAAGGCCTTAGTGTAAAGATGGTTTATTCCTTAATTTTAAAAGTTAACAAACCCTAAAAACTGCAATACTAAGAAATAACGACAAGAATATAAAAATATTTCAGTAGCACTATGCAGGTAGTTTTTTTAAAGAGCCATACGTATATTTAAATGTTGAACAAATTTACTTTTTAATAAAAATTTCAATTATGCAATGCAATAGAGAGTATAGAGGCAAAGTTCTCTTTTGCAAGTGTACTCTCACAGATTCAAATATATAACTGTCACCCTTAAAGAATTTTATCACACACACATGCGCACACTCCCCATACATGTTCATATTTTCCTTACAAATATGACGGCCTGTCCATCTTTCTACACTCTGTTCTCTAACCCATGAGAGTGACATAGATTATATCAGTTACTAGCTTTCTGCTACCAGCTATCAGAGAGTAGAAAGAGGGTGAGGAGAGTTTTATATTCCCTGCTCCTTCTCTGTTGGGTGGACAAGAGTTGGCTCATTCCCTCTGTGAAAATCTCCATGATTTTTGTCATGATTTCCTCTTTGTATATTGTTCTTTTTAAGGGGTCTGATGGGAAAAGCTCTTAGTGACCATGCTACTGTCCTTTTTTGTCCTTTCCCCAAATCTTCTTATATATATATTTCTTAATTATTATTATTATACTTTAAGTTTTAGGGTACATGTGCACAATGTGCAGGTTAGTTACATATGTATACATGTGCCATGCTCGTGGGCTGCACCCACTAACTCGTCATCTAGCATTAGGTATATCTCCCAATACTATCCCTCCCCACTCCCCCTACCCCATAACAGTCCCCAGAGTGTGATGTTCCCCTTCCTGTGTCCATGTGTTCTCGTTGTTCAATTCCCACCTATGAGTGAGAATATGCAGTGTTTTGTTTTTTGTTCTTGCGATAGTTTACTGAGAATGATGACTTCCAATTTCATCCATGTCCCTACAAAGGACATGAACTCATCATTTTTTATGACTGCATAGTATTCCATGGTGTATATGTGCCACATTTTCTTAATCCAGTCTATCATTGTTGGATATTTGGGTTGGTTCCAAGTCTTTGCTATTGTGAATAGTGCCGCAATAAACATATGTGTGCATGTGCCTTTATAGCAGCATGATTTATAATCCTTTGGGTGTATACCCCGTAATGGGATTGCTGGGTCGAATGGTATTTCTAGTTCTAGATCCCTGAGGAATCGCCACACTGACTTCCACAATGGTTGAACTAGTTTACAGTCCCACCAACAGTGTAAAAGTGTTCCTATTTCTCCACATCCTCTGCAGCACCTGCAGTTTCCTGACTTTTTAATGATTGGCATTCTAACTGGTGTGAGATGGTATCTCATTGTGGTTTTGATTTGCATTTCTCTGATGGCCAGTGATGATGAACATTTTTTCATGTGTTTTTTGGCTGCATAAATGTCTTCTTTTGAGAAGCATCTGTTCATGTCCTTTGTCCACTTTTTGATGGGGTTGTTTGTTTTTTTCTTGTAAATTTGTTTGGGTTCATTGTAGATTCTGGATATTAGCCCTTTGTCAGATGAGTAGGTTGCAAAAATTTTCTCCCATTTTGCAGGTTGCCTGTTCACTCTGATGGTAGTTTCTTTTGCTGTGCAGAAGCTCTTTAGTTTAATTAGATCCCGTTTGTCAATTTTGGCTTTTGTTGCCATTGCTTTTGCTGTTTTAGACATGAAGTCCTTGCCCATGCCTACGTCCTGAATGGTAATGCCTAAGTTTTCTTCTAGGGTTTTTATGGTTTTAGGTCTAACGTTTAAGTCTTTAATCCATCTAAAGATATTCTTTGAAACCAACGAGAACAAAGACACAACATACCAGAATCTCTGGGACACATTCAAAGCAGTGTGTAGAGGGAAATTTATAGCACTAAATGCTCACAAGAGAAAGCAGGAAAGATCCAAAATTGACACCTTAACATCACAATTAAAAGAACTAGAAAAGCAAGAGCAAACACATTCAAAAGCTAGCAGAAGGTAAGAAATAACTAAAATCAGAGCAGAACTGAAGGAAATAGAGACATAAAAACCCTTCAAGAAATTAACGAATCCAGGAGCTGGTTTTTTGAAAGGATCAACAAAATTGATAGACTGCTAGCAAGACTAATAAAGAAAAAAAGAGAGAAGAATCAAATAGATGCAATAAAAAGTGATAAAGGGGATATCACCACCGATCCCACAGAAATACAAACTACCATCAGAGAATACTATAAACACCTCTACGCAAATAAACTAGAAAATCTAGAAGAAATGGATAAATTCCTCGACACATGCACTCTCCCAAGACTAAAACAGGAAGAAGTTGAATCTCTGAATAGACCAATAACAGGAGCTGAAATTGTGGCAATAATCAATAGCTTACCAACCAAAAAGAGTCCAGGACCACATGGATTCACAGCCGAATTCTACCAGAGGTACAAGGAGGAACTGGTACCATTCCTTCTGAAACTATTCCAATCAATAGAAAAAGAGGGAATCCTCCCTAACTCATTTTATGAGGCCAGCATCATCCTGATACCAAAGCCTGGCAGAGACACAACAAAAAAAGAGAATTTTAGACCAATACCCTTGATGAACATTGATGCAAAAATCCTCAATAAAATACTGGCAAACCGAATCCAGCAGCACATCAAAAAGCTTATCCACCATGATCAAGTGGGCTTCATCCCTGGGATGCAAGCCTGGTTCAATATATGCAAATCAGTAAATGTAACCAGCATATAAACAGAACCAAAGACAAAAACCACATGATTATCTCAATAGATGCAGAAAAGGCCTTTGACAAAATTCAACAACGCTTCATGCTAAAAACTCTCAATAAATTAGGTATTGATGGGACGTATCTCAAAATAATAAGAGCTATCTATGACAAACCCACAGCCAATATCATACTGAATGGGCAAAAACTGGAAGCATTCCCTTTGAAAACTGGCACAAGACAGGGATGCCCTCTCTCACCACTCCTATTCAACATAGTGTTGGAAATTCTGGCCAGGGCAATTAGGCAGGAGAAGGAAATAAAGTGTATTCAATTAGGAAAAGAGGAAGTCAAATTGTCCCTGTTTGCAGATGACATGATTGTATATGTAGAAAACCCCATTGTCTCAACCCAAAATCTCCTTAAGCTGATAAGCAACTTCAGCAAAGTCTCAGGATATAAAATCAATGTACAAAAATCACAAGCATTCTTATACACCAACAACAGACAAACAGAGAGCCAAATCATGAGTGAACTCCCATTCACAATTGCTTCAAAGAGAATAAAATACCTAGGAATCCAACTTACAAGGGATGTGAAGGACCTCTTCAAGGAGAACTACAAACCACTGCTCAAGGAAATAAAAGAGGATACAAACAAATGGAAGAACATTCCATGCTCATGGGTAGGAAGAATCAATATCGTGAAAATGGCCATACTGCCCAAGGTAATTTATAGATTCAATGCCATCCCCATCAAGCTACCAATGACTTTCTTCACAGAATTGGAAAAAACTACTTTAAAGTTCATATGGAACCAAAAAAGAGCCCGCATCTCCAAGTCAATCCTGAGCCAAAAGAACAAAGCTGGAGGCATCACACTACCTGACTTCAAACTATACTACAAGGCTACAGTAACCAAAACAGCATGGCACTGGTACCAAAACAGAGATATAGATCAATGGAACAGAACAGAGCCCTCAGAAATAATGCCGCATATCTACAACTCTCTGATCTTTGACAAACCTGAGAAAAACAAGCAATGGGGAAAGGATTCTCTATTTAATAAGTGGTGGTGGGAAAACTGGCTAGCCATATGTAGAAAGCTGAAACTGGATCCCTTCCTTACACCTTATACAAAAATCAATTCAAGATAGATTAAAGACTTAAACGTTAGACCTAAAAGCATCTTCCTATATTTTTAAAAGTAGTCTTTCAATTATGTTATGCTCAATTACACCATTTTGTTGTGTCATCTGTTCCCTACAGGGACTCTTACATAAGTAGATTACACACCTACACCTATTTATATTCATTTTTTTTTTCTCAGACACAGTCTCGCTCTGTCACCCAGGCTGGAGTGCAGTGGCCTGATCTTGGCTCACTAAAACCTCCACCTCCTAGGTTCAAGCAATTCCCCGGCATCAGCCTCTCGAGTAGCTGAGGCTACAGGTGCCTGCCAGCACATCTGACTAATTTTTGTATTTTAAATAGAGATGAGGTTTCACCATGTTGGCCAGGCTGGTCTTGAACTCCTGACCTCAAAGTGATCCACCCACCTTAGCCTCCCAAAATGCTGGGATTACAGGCGTGAGCCACTGTGCCAGGCCTCTGTCTCTTTCTTTATCTCTGTCTATATCTTTACTACTTTTCTCAGTCTTTTTCATATACAATAGATACCTCTGCAATGTGAATTAGCTCACATGTGATTAGAAAATACGAAAAACATGTCATATAAGCAGAGTCACTATTTTCCATATGTGCTTTTTCATGGGCAATTGCTGCCAGAATAGCAGAAATTGCATTATACTATTCTGTAGAAAATAAAAACAAGCAAGCAAACAAATAAAAAACACCTTGCCTGCTGCACTGGTGGTACAGACTGTTGTGCTTTATTTAAATTAAATTACAAACACATTACTGTCTCCAGAAATCCTCCCTCATGGACATTTATATGAAGACACAGAAAGCTTTGGATTCATGGGAAATTATGACATCAGCCTTGCCTATGTTAAAGATGACCCCATTGTTTTATGGGTCAGCCCTACCAATCTTGCCTTAGAATCTACCCTGCTTGAGTTAAAGGATGGTAAGAATATTCACTCTACTGTTTTATTTTCAATACCTACAGCGGCAGTTTCCGCGCTTTCTTGAGTAGTCCAATTATCTTCTCAAATACTATTGCTATTTTTTTTATTTTTTTTAAGGTAAGTATAAGCATTTTTGCATCACTTTTGTTATAACATTGCATAGTATTTGGGTTGTGTGTGTGTGTATGTGTATATGTATATATAAATACACGTGTGTGTGTTTGTGTGTGTGTGTGTGTGTGTGAGTGTGTGTGTGTGAGTGAGTGATTTCTCTTAAACCCTGAAATTTAATGTATGAGTATTTGGAATTCAAGGCTGTTTAGGAATACATGTAACATATGGTATCAGAATGACCACTGTATCTATTTATGTCTGTACACATATATGTGTATGATTGCCTATCTGTTCATCTATCTGCCATCTATCTTTAATAACTTTTTCACTTTCTGTCTTTTGTAGGAAGGTCAAACCCAATTTATAAAATATGTACTGCCACAATTTTGTAGTTTGTTTTTTATAATATTGAGTTCTCAATCTACTTATAATTCATTATTTCTAAAGAGTGTGAGGTGTAAATTGAGACTTTATTATTCTCCACATAGAATGACAATTGTCTCCAAGCAATTAATAAAAAAATCTTCATTTTCTACTGAGCTAAATGCCATCCTTATAGAAAAATATTTTATAGGATAGGATAGTATATTTTTAAATTGACATAGGATCAGTTTCTAGATCCTGTAAACTTTTATATAGATCTAAATTGTTTCCATTTTTATGCTAGTACCATTCTGGCTAAATACTAAGCTTTGGTAAGTGAAAATATAATTCTCTAAAACATAGTGTCTGCTCTTCAAATAGTCTCTTTCAAATGAACCTGAGGATCTTCTACCAAGTTACATAAAATATAATGTCATTTGAAAGAATTTCATTCCATTTATAGGTTTATTTCAGTAGATTTAATTCTTTAAATGATAAGAATATAAACACAAACATGTATATACATATACAAATATGTAAGTCTAATAAAATTTCATAGGCCATACTTTAACCAGTTGTTGAACATTTGATTAATTTTATTCTTTGTAAATGTTTTGATTTTAAATTGTTATTGTAAACCAGTAGTATAAATTATATTTGTTAATTAGATATTGCTGTTTTATAAGATAGGAGTTCATATTATGCCTTGACCTTATATTAGGTCATCTGTATCAATTAGGACTTTATATAGTTGCAAATAAAAAAAATTACTATAGTGGCATCCACAAGTGTCATGCCAAAAAATTAGCAACACACCAGGACTACTGAAGTACTATTTATGAGATAGATTCATGTCATTATGATTTGCTAAAGAAATATATGCAACTCCTCTGTGAAGCATCACATTCTGAGCACCACATAACAGCCTAGAAGGGGCAGGCATATTTGGGAGAGAGGGTGGGATACTCGACTGATGATAATCTTTAAGTTATATTATTTTGGTACTTCTGACAACTCCCATGATATAACCATGAGCCAAAATACAACAGCATTACCATGGTAGCATAATCTTGGCTGTCTTCTTACTGTTGGCCTCATGTTATATGTCCATTCTTATCCAAATAGCTACTAATGGCCTCATTATATGTGTCCATTCCTACCAAAATAGCTGTACGAACTAATTGTGTAGACACCAGAGTCAGTAAAAAGAGAGGTTTTTTTTTTAAATTTTTTTTAATTTGGTTAATCTATGTGTCCTTAGCAGTGCATGTCCTTTTATGGATTCTGATATAAGATACAAAGATATGCATAGTTTAGTACCCAGTCCATTCCTATTTCTAAAGTTCTTTGTCTCCCCACTTCTTACTTACCTCCTACAGACCTTCTACGAACTACCTAAGGTATTTGCTATTGTTCAGAAATGCATGTATGTACTATATCTCCCTTCTGTATGTACTAAGACCAGATTCTGTTGTACGATAGATTACTATTGTGTCTGCCCCAAATAATGATTTGTGGGGTTCACATGACGCAGATTTTGAGTGCAGCACTGGTTACATAGTTATATCACAGTCCATGATCTAATGCTTAGTTTCCAATATGGTGCAATGGCATTCAGGAGCCGCTTTTTGAGTGATGAATATTTCTTTTCTGCAGAAGGTAAGAACTTATTCTAACACCCGATAGGTATAAGCTTAATTGCTCCTCTGAGTATTCTTCACAGTGTGTTTTCATCCACTAAAGAAATCTGTAGCACTATTGAATCTACCAGGTCTCATGGCCCAAGAGCAGGGCTATTTATATTACAGCTTAAACCCTCTGAACAGTCATTGGATATAATGACCCACACTAAAATTGGTAGCCTTGTGAGTCTCCTGGTAAATAGGGTTAGAAGAACAGACTCAGGTGTGGTATGCACTGTGGTCAAAATCTTAATATGCCAACCAAAAGTTGCATCACTTTTCTAAAAAATGGTAGGTGCAAGGCACAATAAATTGTTCTCTCTCTTAGAAAGGATATCTTAGTATGAATCAGACCACTAAACCTCTAAGCATTTCACCAATCTTTCAGGCCTTAGTTTTTTTTATGTTCATCTTCTACAAAGATAAACTGTATATTGAGCCATGAAGGAGACATCAAAAATTAAGAGAATATAATAATACTATAATGGACCATAATAAAATCAAACTAGAAATAAATAAGAAAAACATAACAGGAAAATCTCCAGACATGAAAAAATTAAACAACACACTTATAAATAATTCATAGGTCAAAGAGGAAATATCAAAGAAATATATAGAAATAAATGAAAATAAAAATGCAACACATCAAATTACATGAGGCAGAGATAAAGCAGTACTAAGAGAGAAAGGCATGCTTTCATTAGAAAAGAAGAAATATCTCAGGTCAATAATCTAAAATTCCTACCTCAAGAAACTAGCAAAGAGCAATTAAAAACAAAGAAAAATAAAGACAAGAGCAGAAATTGAAGAAATAAATCAGAAAAAGAGTAGACAAATCAGTGATACAAAAAGTTCCTTAAAAACTTAAAATAGACAAATTTCTAGTGAGACTGGCAAAAATCAAAATATAAGACACAAATCACCAATATCAGGAATTAAAAGATGATATCACTGCAGATCCTGCAGTCACTAAGAGGATAATAAAGAGATCTACGAACAAATTTATGTCCATAAAATTGACAATTTTGTAAAAATAAATAAATTCATTGAAAACCACAAACTACCTGTGGTGGGCAGAAAAATACCCCTTCCCCAGTTTATGTGTCTTCTAATACCTGAAGCCTGTCAATATGTTACGTTATATAGTAAAAGGAAATTAGCAGATCTGATTAAATTAAGACTCTTGAGATAGGGAGTATTACACTGGATTATTTCAGTAGGAACAATGCAATCACAAAGGATTACAAGAAGAAGGTAGGAGTGTGAAATTCAGAAAATATGTGACAACAGAAGCAGAAGTCATAGAAAGAGAGATTTAAAGATACTATACTGCTGACATTGAAGAAAGTGGAAGAGGCCATGAACTTAGGAATTTAGGTGACCTCTAAAAGCTGGAAAAGGCAAAGAAAAGGATTCTTCCTTAGAGTTTCCCAAAGGAATGATGCTTTGCTGATGTCTTGCATTTAGGATTTCTGACATCCAGAACTTTAAATATAACAAATTTGTGGTATTTTGAAGCCACTAATTTTGAGATAATTTGTTACATTAGCAATAGAGAGCTAATACAGTATCAAAACACAATTTAGATAAAATAGACAATCTAGAAAGAATTATATCACTAAAGAAACTGAGTAAGTAACTTAAAAGCTCTCAAAAAATAAATCTCCATGCCCAAATGATTTCACTGGAAAATTCTACTAAATATTTAAAAACATTGCACTTTATCTTCCAGAAAATAGATTTTCAATTTATTTTATGAGAATAGTAAGTAATATACTAATATCAAAATCAAGCTTAGTACAAGAAAAGAAAGAAAACTGATCAGTATTTCTCAAATTTACAGGCAAAATTTCTCAACAAAATATGAGCAAACAGATCCAACCATTTATAAAAAGAGCTATGATCTGTTATGAAGTGGCAAGTATATGAGGTTGATTCAACATTTAAACGTTAGCCAATTTAACCCAACATATCGAGTGTAAAAAATAAAAAATGATATGATCACATCAAATGAAGCAGAAAAAATGATAAAATCCAACATCCATTCATGATAAACACTCTCAGAAAACTAGAAACAGAACCTTCCTCAACTTGATAAACAGCATCTATGAAAATTCCTACAGATAAAAACACATTTAATAAAGAAAAACTGAATGTTTCAACCTAAAATCACTAATTAGACAAAAATGTGTATGCTCTTCATTCCAACAATTCAGATTACTGAAAGTTTTAGACACTACTAATTTTTTAAAATGATTTTTCCAGATTCTTATAATATTTTAAAAATATGTTAATTTTGACTTATCAACCTTTTTCCAGAGGATCATTGCTACTCAAATAAAATGTAACTTTGACATTTTCCAAGATAAGTGCAATAATTTTATTTTATTAAAAATTTGTCTAGATATAAGGATTTCTGCTAGGAATGAACTGCAGATTTGACATAGAAAAAACGTTTAACGAAAAGGAAAGAGGACACTAGTGTCTGTCAAAATTGATGATTGTGAAGATTCTTTCAGATTCCCTCACCAAAGAGAATCTCAAAAAGAGCAATGTGATAGTTGAACTAGATATTGTTGATTCTGAAAGATGGATTAAATAAAGCCATATTCTTTCAAAATTTGTTAAATAGCAATGTCTTTATGATAGTATGTAAGGGACTCAAAGCCAAAATTGACTCAGCACCTTCGCATGAATTGTTTGCTAGTCTAGTGGACCTTCAAGTATTAGTCTCAGGGCCAGCTTGAATTACAGATGTTATGATTGTAGGCCTCTATCTGTTCTCTATAGAACAAAAGCACTCAAGAAAAAAAATTCAAGACAACAAAAATTTAAGGCAAGACTAAAGCACAGGAAGACTGTACAAATAGTCATGCAAAATCAAGATATAGATCAACAATGTTTGACTAATCAGGTTAATACAGAAATATTTACCAAACATTACACCAACAAATATAAAGTTCTAATAACCTCATATAAATACCCAGATCTAATTATTTAACCGTGATGTACCTCCAAAGGAAAGTAAGACCACTTTAACAAAAAGCAATTTTTAAAATATGCTAATTAGTAATAGTTTCCAGCATAACAAAATAAACTAAATACCATGAACTCTACGTATCAAACTAGAGTTTAGATTATGTCTGAGATCAAGTTACTTGACAGTAAACTGTAAAGACAAAAGGAATTTGAGTACAGAGTGCTGTTAATATGTGTACTTCCTGTTCACCTGAGGTTACCATCAAATGATACGAAGCAAGTTTATTTTTTTATTTTTATTTTTTATTTTTATTTATTATTATTTTTTTTTGAGACAGTCTCGCTCTGTCACCCAGGCTGGAGTGCGGTGGCGCGATCTTGGCTCGCTGCAAGCTCCGCCTCCCGGGTTCACGCCATTCTCCTGCCTCAGCCTCCCGAGTAGGTGGGACTACAGGCGCCTGCCACCACGCCCGGCTAATTTTTTTGTATTTTTAGTAGAGACGGGGTTTCACCGTGTTAGCCAGGATGGTCTCGATCTCCTGACCTCGTGATCCGCCCGCCTCGGCCTCCCAAAGTGCTGGGATTACAGGCATGAGCCACCACGCCCGGTCAGAAAGTTTATTTAATATAATATTGACTGAATAGCCAAAATTTCAAGGAATGAGAACGTCTCTCAATACATAAAATTATGAAGATGGATTTACTGCTTACTTCAATACAAGAGAGCTGGTCAGATGTGAATTCATTAAGAAAAATAAACTGATCTTGCATAAGGTTTTGGGGAAAATTATTTCGGATTGTGTTGGTTATGAATATTACAGTGGTTGAAATCAGTCAAAAACTCATGATTTATGTTGTCTAGAAAAGTATGTTTAATGTTGGTTTAAAGTAAGAGTAGGTTGACATTCAGTCTAGAAAGTGTGTTCCTTGGAGTGTCTGCACTCTGGCTGGTGTTCAGTGTGAGGCTACTATTAGTTCAGTGTACTAATTGGCTAGTATGCTTGCGGAAGCAAGTTGTCATTGATCACACCAGTTTATAACCCATCCTGGCGCTTACTTGTTAAAACCATTTTAATATTCACTGGCTATAAGGCTGTCAGTCTTTTCCTGGAAGTGAGGGAAATTTTTTTTTAATTTTTTAAATCTCAATAGCTATTGTCTTGGAGAATTTGCCTTTGTCTGGAAGCTAAGCTGCAGTTTATTTTTCCACTGCTACAATTGACATTGCCTCTGTCTAATCACTCTTAATATTTTGGTTATAAACGTTAAGAAACATACTTAAACCCATCCTATCTATTAATATCTCATTTCGAGAGACAATAGTCTATTAACCACTGACACAAAACCCCATGTCACATGAGACCACTAGGACTCTACAAATCCTATTTTCTCCAGTACTGGAGCCAAATTTCATAGCAGTTTCGCCTATAATCAATACTGGTTCACAGAGGACAAGATTTTCAAGAATGCTTTTGCTCTCCTCATTACTATATTCCCATCATTGTAGTGAAGTGGGTGTGATCTCTGCTCTCCTTAGAAACATAGTCAGCTGGTGTTATTTTTGGTTTTACCACTTAACATGCCAATCTCCCTGAACGTTTAAAATGGTTTGTTCTGTAGCAAGGAACTTCCAGAATCTCCATGTAATTTGTATTTTTTTCCTAAGTTCTGAAGAACTATTCTAGTAGCATATTAGAACTGACAGAAGATGACCTTGCCAGGTTATTAAATCCTGATTTTTGAGAGTGTCCTCTAGATTTTTTTTTAAAGAAAGCTCTAGTGTATGGTCTTCTGTCTTATATTCTGACACCTTACCAGCTCTTTCCGTTCTAAAGCCCCAGGCGCTTCGTGCTGATTCCAGCTGGTGCATACTAGCGGGGACTTGCAGCTCTTGAGTGAATAACTCCTTTCTTCCCATAACATGAACAGCACCTCCTCACTGAGGCCATGATCTGAATGATTTCTACATTACGGAATTCCTTGAAACTTTCATTAATAGCCTAACCCATAAACATTTAAATTGTTTTCCCGGTATTTTGAAAAATATATGTAATTTGTTTCTTGGGTGCAAATTGTCATTCTCTCTCACTGAATGAAATTAGTTAATTTTGGTGTACAAATTCCGGAAAGACTTATTTGTTTTAACCTTGATCTATTAGTTTCTGAAAGATTTCTTATACTTTATTTTATTACTTTTTCAGACACATTAATGTAGTGGTTAATTTCAAAGCCTCTGTAGTCTGGCTACTCTATATTCTATCTTAAAAATTCTACGAAACTTACCTCTGTGTTTCTCACTTTCCATATATAAAATGGTAATATTAATAGTGCTGATGTGATACAGTTGTTCTGAGCACTGGAGAACGGAGTTTCTATTAATGAAGAGGTTATCTTTATGAAGATAACTGTATTCACATCTGTATCTAGTGCTTATACATACAAATACAGATGTGTATATATAATAAATGTATAATATAATTCATTAAGGATTAATAAAAGTATATGAGAATAAATGTTGGCTATGTTACTCTAAAATCATGTTCTGTATTTTTAGAGCTAAGTTTCTAGGTTGATAAATGCTTGTTGACTTGTTTTTTGAATTATACATTTTATTGATATAAATATAATTTTAATCGCTTATAAATATTTTCAAAACATTGAATTTAACATTATCTGATATTAATATTGTTCAGAGTTGATTTCTTAGCATCTTTCTTGTGTATGTTTCTCCTTATTAAGAAATTTAATTATTTTAATTTTTTAATGTTAGAAATCTATATTTAAAGTCCAGAAAAGTATACATGTTCTGTCTATGCCACATAAAATAAACTTAGATGTCTTAATATATTAAGATTACATATATGTATATCTTAATATAATATTATATTACTATAAGTTATATGACATTACTATAACATAAAAGCAATTGGCAATTTGAATTAAGCAATCAGACAATTCTTTGGCAAATTAATATAACTAGTAATTTGATGGAGTCATTCATCTATTAGCCAGTCATTTTAAGAAGAAAAGTCAACGGACCTGTGTAGAAAAGATCCAAATATAATCATTTTACTGATTTTGCTTTATAAAATATAATTTTAACATCATATTATCTGTGAAACAATTCTAATGCTCTATTATTCCCTTTGTAACTTTGATAAGTTACATATTGTGTTTTTCTTTCACTAATACATTATTATACATTTAAATGAAAATATTTGCCATATTTTCATGTCATTGTGAATTCAATATATCATAAAAATAATTAAAACATTATTTTAACCTCTTTCCCATTTAGAAAAAAAAAATGCAGCTCACTGCCAGTGCTCATTTAATTTTACATAAGTATGCTCTTTGAGGCTGAAGGAAATCTGTCTGAAGCAAATCTGTCTGACTTTCAATGTGAAAATAAAATATACAAACTGTTCTTGGAGTTATGTCTAAACAGAACTAACATCAGAATTGTCTGAATCATCAGAATCTTCTATTTTGGAAAAATCAAATTAATCAAATTTATCTTCAGCCAACTACTACTGGAGAACAATGTTAACACCACTCATAGGAATGCTATGTTTTTTAGGATTTAACATTTTCAGCATTTGAGAATTACTATATTTTAATGAAAATACCACTATTAAAAACATAACGCTATAAATAGAATGATGTCTTCTGTTTCCAAAGGTGATATACTAGACCAATGCAAAAATAAGAATAAAAGCGAGATAGTTCATGGCAAAGTTATCTTGGGGTAAATGCTGCAGCTGCAAGTGCTGCCAGTGAGCATTCTTAGGGCAAATGGAAAATGAGATGAAAGTAAAAAATTTTATTATGTATCTATTTAATACGAATGTAAAATTTTGCTTTACATTTGTACATAATCAAAAAATGACTGAAGCAGATCTCAATTATTTTGCCAAGGTTGCGGACATGCCTGGGAAAGAGAAATACAAGTTACAGTAAAATCTATGGACTGTGATTTTTCCAAATAGGGTTTTGGGAAATTCAGTACTGAAAGGGAAAAGAGCAGACAGGAGGGGAAGGGAAAAGGTATGTGGGTAGGCAATAAGGCAAATAGTTTCATTCTTGTGAGGCTTTGATTAGCATTCAGTGAATCTATATTTTACCTGTGAAAAGGAGTAGAAGGGAAAGCAAATTATGCATTCATCTTGTGCTCAGTAAATATACATTTTATACAAGACAAAGTAAGGATGTGAAATTACAGCTATCTGGAAACAAAAGGAAGGCAGTTTGGCCATGATTCAGTTCCCAAATTTAACTTTCCCTTTGGTATAGTGAGTTTCAGGTCTTGAGATTCTATTTTTCTTTCACACTACAAAATTCAAATATTATTTAAGGCAAGTGTTTTGATTGCATTTAATACATAATAGGGACAATAGGACATGGAAGCATTTTACAAAACAAAGGGCTAGATACACCAAATGATGTTACTAAATGATGTGACAACTAATAAAGAGGTAGAATTTAAGTCATGTCTGTGTCACTGCAGATTGAATGTTATTTCCATGACATTCTATATTGTGTTTTGCACCTATATGGATTATGTTACTGAAGTGATTATGAAATAGAGGATGGTCTAATTTGAAATTAACTGTGAAAAAGATAAAACAGCAGACATAATAATAGTTACGGCAATAGCCCTATGTGTTGATTACATTAATATACTTCTTAATACTTAACTCTTTGTGTTACCTTATGAAATAAGTTAACCTTTCTTGAATTTTAACTGAATAAATGGGCAAATTCTTACTACACACAATTTAATTTTTAATGGCCTTTATTTTTTAGTTTCAAATACAAAGAAAATTTTAGAAGATAGTACATAGAAATCCTATATAACCCACATTCAGTTTTCCTATTGTCACACAATATATTACTATGGTGCATTCTTACATGTAATAAACTCATATTGAAGCATTATTATTAATTAAAGTCCATATTTTTCTTCAGATTTCTTTAGCTTTTACCTAATGTCCTTTTCTATACAAGAATTCCATCCAAAGAAGCAATTACATTTAGTTGTCATGTCTACTTAGGTTTATCTGGGCTGTGACATTTCTCAAAGGTTTTGTTGGTTTTGTTGCCCTTGGCAATTTTAAGCTTTACTATTTTGGTGTTTTATAGGTTACCTTTATATTGGAATTTTTCTGAAGTTTCTTATGATTAGACTGAGGTTATAGGTTTAGGAGAGCAAGACCACTGAGGTAAAAAGCCATTTTCAACACATCATATCAAAAGCACATATTGTTAATATGATTTATGACTATTGACATTGGCTTTAATACCTGGGTAAAGTTGTGCTTTTCAGGTTTTTCAAGGTAAAGTTAATTTTAGTTACAAAGCTTGAGTAAAGTTATTTTTTCTTTCCATGTTGCAGTCTTTGGAAGAAAATCACTATAGCTCACACTTAAAGAGAGCAGTTATATTCCTCCTCATTTATGGAGGAGTGGATATAATTTATTTAAATTATTAACATGGGACATTTGTTTCTTCCCCCCATTTATTAATTTACTAAATCATTTATTTATATTGGTATGAACTGATGGATGTTTGTTTTGTACTTTGGGTTATAATATAAATTTCTCTTGCTTCCTTCCTCCCTCCCTTCCTCTCTTCCTTCCCTCACTCCTTCCTTCTTTTCCATCTTTCTTCTTTCTTTTTTTCTTTTTCATTTTGCTTAAATTGTTCTCTCTTTGGCCACTGGAAACATTTTCAGTTGACTCCAGTGTTCCTTTGACATCCCCCTACAAATTTTTTTTTATCATTTCCTTACTTTCTGGCACTACAACATACTTGAGGTTTATTTTGTATAGTTCCCAGCCCAGCCCTAGAATTAACCTTTTCTCCAAACAGCTCTAAATTTTTTGTTGGAGAATGGTATTAGAAACAAAGACCTGGGTGCCAGATTTTAATCATTGCTACTGGGATGTTGTTTCTTTCAGACACTCTCATCTGACAAAGGAAGACAATGTATGTATATACTAACGTGTATATACACATATGTACATTTCTATATGTAAGCATTTATATTGAACTAAGCTGAAACATTACTTTTTACTGACCTTGCCAAATTTAGTCAATTACCACATGGTTAATTCTATCCTCTTCCCCTTGGTTATCTGTTTCTCTTCTCCAACAGTGAGAAATATGGCTTCCACAATCCACTGTTCATTTATTGATTGCTTAATTCCAGTGTGCATGTACAGCTGTCACAGAATTATTAATTCATATCCATGTACCTCTTGGAAAACAACTTTTCCAAGTAGACTATACTGCTCAGCTCCTTTTGCCTTTAGTCTTACAGACTGTTCTAATTTCCAAAAGTATTTAGGTCAACAATTTTTCCCTCCATTCCCTTCAGTGAGGTAGCTTCGTAGTTGCAATACAGTTAGATTCTCACATCACAGTGTCTATTTCTTTCTGGGATCCACCAAATTCATATTCATTTATATATATGGAATAAATTTGTATACATCAAGTTTAACCATTTTTGTTGAAAATTTCAGTGAGTTTTGTAAAGTACATAATGTCATGAATGGGTGTGGGGTTTTGTTAAAGGCTTTGTCTTCATCAACTGACATGGTTATGTGATTTTTTTCCTTTAGCCTGTTGATGTGGTGAATTATATCACTAAATGTTTGAATGCCACATTTGTCTGAATATCTGGAATCAATACTGTTTAGTCATGATGTACAATTTTTAAATTTATTATTAGATTTTATTTGCTAATATTTTGTTGGAAATTTTTGCATCTATGTTTATAAAAGATATTAGTTTGTACTTTTCCATTCTTGTAGTATCTTTATTTGGTTTTGGTTTTTGGGCATTTATGTCAATATAGATTGAATTAGGAAATATTTCCTCTGCTTCTATTTTAGAAAAGAGATTAAACAACATGCATATTATTTCTTCCTTAAATGCTTGATGAAATTCATCAATGAAATCCTTTGGGCCTAGCATTTTTTTTTTTTTTTGAGAAAAGCTTATTAATTTAATTATTGAGTCAATCTTAAACAGCTATTGGACTTTTCAGATTATTTTACTTGTGTGAGTTTTGGTAGTTAGTTTCTTTAAAAGAATTGGTTAGTTGTTATCTAAGTTACATAATATAGGCATATAAATGTTCATAGCATTTTTTATTATCTTTTGATGTTTATGAGATCTGTAGTGATAATGGCTATTCATTTGTAATGTTTATAATTTGTGTTTTCTCATTTTTTCTTGATTAGCTTGGCCACAGATTTGTCAATTTTGATCTTTTCAAAGAACCAACTCTTAGTTTCGTTATCTTTTTCTATTGCTTTACTGCTTTTGTATTAGTCCATTCTCATGCTGCTATGAAGAAATACCTGTGACTGGATAATTTATAAAGGGTAGAGGTTTAATTGACTTATAGTTCTGCATAGCCAGGGAGGCCTCAGGTAACTTACAATCATGGTGGAAGTAATCTCCTCATAGGGCAGCAAGAGAGAGAATGAGTGCCAGCCGGGGAAATGCTAGAGGCTTAAAAAACCATCAGATCTCCTGAGAATTCACTCACTATCATGAGAACAGCATGGGGGAAACCACCTTCATGATTCAACTACCTCCCTCCAGATCCCATGATACATGGGGATTATGGAAATTACAATGAAAGATGAGATTTGGGTGGGGACTCAGACAAATCATATTATTCCAACCCTGGCTCCTTCTAATTCTCATATCCTCACATTTGAAAACACGATCATGCCATCCCAACAGTCCCCCAAAGTGTTAATTCATTCCAGTTTTAACCCAAAAGTCCAAGTCCAAGGTTGCATCTGAGATAAGACAAGTCCCTTGCATGTATGAGCCTGTGAAATGAAAAGCAACTTAGTTATTTTCTAGATACAACAGGGGTACAGTCATTGGACAATTACAACCACTCCAAATGGAAGAACTTGGGTGAAACAAAGTGGCCACAGGCCCCATGCAGGTCTGAAATCTAATAGGGTAGTCATTAAAGGTTAAAGTTCCAAAATGATCTCTTTGAATCCATGTCTCACATCCAGTGCACACAGTTGCAAGAGGTGGACTCCCAGGATCTTGGACAGCTCCGCCCTCATGGCTTTGCACAGCACAGCCCCCTGACCTGCTGCTTTCACAGCTGTAATTGAGTGCATGTGGCTTTTCCAGGTGCATTGTGCAAGCTGTCAGTGGATCTACCATTCTGGGGGCTGGAGGATGGTGGCCCTCTTCTCACAGCTCCACTAGGCAGTGCCCCAGTGGACACTCTGTGTTGGGGCTATAACTCCACATTTCCCTTCTGCACTGGTCTAGCAGAGGTTCTCCATGAGGGCTCCAACCCTGCAGCAAACTTCTGTATGGACATCCAGGTTTTCCCGTACATCCTCTGAAATCTAGGCGGAAGTTCCTAACCTCAATTCTTGTCTTCTGTGCACCTGCGGGCCCAACATCATGTGGAAGCTGCCAAGGCTTGTGGCTTGTACCCTCTGAAGCAGACCTGAACTGTACCTTGGCTCCTTTTAGCCATGGCTGGAGCAGCTGGGATGCAGGGCACCAAGTCCAAGCTACCCACAGCAGGGAGGCCAGGACTTGGCCCAGGAAACCATTTTTTCCTTCTAGGCCTCCAGGCCTGTGATGAGAGGGGCTACCATGAAGGTCTCTGACATGCCCTAGAGACATTTCCCTATTGTCTTGGTGATTAGCATTTGGCTCCTTGTTACTTATGCAAATTTCTGGAGTGGCTTGAATTTCTCCTCAGAAAATTGGTTTTCTTTTCTGTTGCATTATCAGGCTGTGAATTTTCAAAAGTTTTATGCTCTGCCTCTTCTTGAATGCTTTGCCACTTAGAAATTACTTCTGCCAGATACCCTAAATCATCTATCTCAAGTTCAGTGTTCCACAGATCTCTAGGGTAGGGACAAAATGCCACCAGTCTCTTTGCATAACAAGAGTGACCTTTACTCCAGTTTCCAACAAGTTCCCCATCTCCATCTGAGGCCACCTCAGCCTCTACCTCATTGTTCATATCACTATAAGCATTTTGGTCAAGCCATTCAACAAGTCCCTAGGGAGTTCCAAACACCCCAAATCTTCCCGTCTTCTGTCCCCTCTAAGTATCTAGGAGGCTCCAAACTTTCCCATATTTCTTCTTTGTCTTCTTCCTGAGCCTTTTCCCACATCTTTCCTTGTCTTCTTCTGAGCCCTCCAAACTGTTCCAGGCTCTGCTACCCAGTTCCATAGTCGCTTCCACATTTTCATGTATCCTTATAGCAGTGCCTCACTCCTTGGTACTAATTTACTGTATTAGTCCATTCTCATACTGCTATAAAGAAATATCTGAGACTGGGTAATTTTTAAAAATAGAGGTTGAATTGGCTTACAGTTCTGCATGGCTGGGGAAGCCTCAGATAACTTACAATCATGGCAGAAAGCACCTCTTCACAGGCCAGCAAGAGAGAGAATGAGTGCCAGCAGGGAAAATGCCAGACATTTATAAAATCATCAGATTTCATCATAACTCACTTACTATCATAAGAACAGCATGGGAGAAACCACCTCCATGATTCAATTACCTCCCACCAGCGCCCTCCCATGACATGTGGGAATTATGAGAACTACAATTCAAGATAAGATTTGGGTAGGAACACACTCAAACTATATTAGCTTTCAATTTTATTGATTTCTGCTCCTGTTCCTCTTCTTTGTTAGTTTCCTGTGGCAGAAGCATATTTAATTAATAGTAAATATAACATTCCTTTTTTCTAATATATGGATTTAAAGCTATTAATTTTCCTTGAAACTTTGATCAGTTGTAGTTTAATTTTCATTTAGTTCAAAGAATTTTTAGATTTTGTTGAGACTCCTTTTTCATTGTGAATTTTTTTTGCAATGTATTATTTATGTTCCAAATACATGAATTTTCAGCTCTTTTCCTGTTATTGATTTATACCATAATTCCATTGTGTTCTAAGTGTATGTTTTGCATAACTTTTATTATATTACATTTGATAAGATGTGTTTTTTCTTCCAGAATATAGCCAATATTGGTTAGTGTTATATGTGAGGTTGAGAGGAATTTGTATTCTTCTCTTGTTGGATAAAGTATTCTATAAATATAAATTAGATTCAGATGATTAATGGTGCTATTCAGTTCAACTGTATTCTTACTGATTTTCTGCCTACTATATCTGACAATTACTGATAAAGGAGTGCTGAAGTCTTCAATTATACTGGTGAATTTACCTATTCATGCAATTTTATTATTTTTAAATTATTTATTTGTTCATGTATTTATTTTTGAGACAGAGTTTCACTCTATCACCCAGACTGGAGTACTGTGGCATGATATCAGCTCACTTCAACCTCTGCCTCCTGGGATCAAGCAATTCTTCTGCCTCACCCTCCTGAGTAGCTGCTACTACAGGCACCCACCACAACACTCAGCTAATTTTTGTATTTTTAGTAGAGATGGTGTTTTACTATGTTGGTCAGGCTGATCTCAATCTCCTTACCTCAAGTCATCTACCCTCCTTGGCCTCCCAAAATGTTAGAATTAAAGGCATAAGCGTCTACTCCTAGACTTTGTAATGATTTTTGATGCTTTATTGTTAGATGTATATTTGTTAATCATTATGTCCTTTTTGAGAATTAATGCCTTTATCTTTATATAATGTCTCTCTTTATCCCTAGTAATCTTCCTTGGTCTGAACTTTGTTTCTCTCAAATTAATACAGATATTTCAGCTTTGATTTCATGAGTGTTAGCATGGCATATTTTCATTCATCTCTTTACTTTTACTTTATAGATATGTTTATATTAAAGTGGTTTTCTTATAGAAAACATATAGTTGACAGCCAGGCATGGTGGCTCATGCCTGTAATCCCAGCACTTTGGGAGGCTGAGGCAGGCAGATCACTTGAAGTCAGGAGCTTGAGACCAGCCTGACCAGCCTGAAACACCGTCTCTACTAAAAATACAAAAATTAGTCGGGCATGATGGTGCATGCCTGTAATCTCAATTACTCAGGAGGCTGAGGCAGAAGAATCATTTGAATGCCGGAGAGGTTGCAGTGAGCTGAGATTTTGCATTGCGCTCCAGCCTGAGCATCGCAGTGAGATTCCATCTCAAAAAAAAAAAATCATCTAGTTGACTTATTTTATTTTTTATCCACAGTCTTTTAATTAGGCTATGTAGATAATTAACATTAAAAATAATTGTTGCAGTAATTGAGATCTATTTATTTGTAACTATTTACTATTTAATGGACTTGCCCTTAGTTTATTTCTTTTTTTTTTCCCATCTCTTTCTACTTTTTCTGGTATTAATTGAGCATTTTATATAATGCAGTCTTAACTCCCCTTTTAGCATATGAATTTTACTTCTTAAAATGTTTTGTAATTGCCTTAGAATTTGCAACATACATTATAACTCATCTTAGTCTACTTTCAAATCACACTTACTTTCCTGCTTCACAAGTAGTGTGCTACCTTAGAGTCTTTGCAATCCCTCCTACCTGTCCCTTATACCATTTCTGCCATCCTTTTTATTTATCCATATTTTATATTGCCTGATACATTGTTACTATTAGTGTTAGGAGTTCAGCTGAGCTGGAAAGAATTGAACTAGCCAAGAAAAACAAGACAAAACTGAAAGTACAAGTGGAGCCCTAATCACTTACTGAGATAGTATTACCAAGAGACTAAACTTGAGAAAGTATCTGCTCCCTGATATCACTTTTTTTTTTTTTTTTTTTTTTTTTTTGACACAGAGTCTCGCTCTGTCTCCCGGGCTAGAGTGCAGTGGCAGGATATCGGCTCACTGCAACCTCCGCCTCCTGCATTCAAGTGATTCTCCTGCCTCAGCCTCCCGAGTAGCTGGGATTACAGGCACCCGCCACAACGCCCGGCTAATTTTTGTATTTTTAGTAGAGACAGGGTTTCACCATATTGGCCAGGCTGATCTCGAACTTCTGACCTCAGATGATCTGCCCACCTCGGCCTCCCAAAGTGCTGGGATTACAGTCATGAACCACCACGCCTGGCCCCAATATCCCATTTTTCATCATGAAATGTTGCTTGTAAGGAACATATACAGGTATCATACTACTGCTGTCTTAGATTGTGCTTCCATAACAGAATAGCTGAGATTGAGAATGTATAAACAATAAAAATGTATTTCTCACAGTTTTGGAGGCTGGGAAGTCCAAGGTCAAGGTGCTGGCAGGTTCAGTATCTGGTGAGGTCCTGATCTCAACTTCCAAGATCGTGTCTTGAATGCTACATTCTCCAGACAAGACGAATACCGTGTCTTCAAATGGGAGAAGGCAGAAAAGCAAAAGGGAATGAACTTCCTCTGTTAAGTCTTTTTATAAGGCAGCCTAATTCCATTCTTGAGGGAGAAGTCCTCTTGACCCTAATCACCTCTTAAAGGTCCCAACCATTAACACTATCATATAGGCCATAAGTTTCAACACATGCATTTGTATCAATTTACCAATAATCTCTCCAAAAAAAATTCACATCCTTCTCACATACAAAATATACTACTTTTCTTCTAGTGACACCCAAAAGTCTTAACTCATTGCAGCATTAACTTAAAAGTCTAAATCCAAAGTTTCATCTAAATCAGATATCAGAGAGACTCAAGGCACCATTCATCCCTAGGCAAATTTCTTTTCAGCTGTAAACCTGTGAAATCAAACAAGTTACATTTTTTCCAGAATACAATGGTGGGACAGGAATAGGATAGACATTTCCATTAGGAAAAAGAGCAATAAAATAGAAGAAAGGAGTAACAGATTCCAAGTAAGCCCATAACACAACAGGCTGAAAAACATTAAATCTTATGTATTGAAGATAATTTTCTTTGACTACATGTCCCACCTTCCAAACACACTGGGGAGGGTGTTGGGTCCCCAAGACCTCAGGCAGCCCTGCCTCAGTGGCTTTGCTGGGTATAAGCCCACATTTCAGCACTTACACATTGAAGTTGCATGACTGTGGTTTTTCCAGGCTGGTGCTAGACACTGGTGGCTCTACATTTCTGAGGTCTCAGGGGTTTGGCACTGCCTCCACAGTCCACTAAGCATTGCCCTAGTTGGGGCTTCCTGTGATGGCTCTGTCTCTGTGGTGGATTGCTTCCTGGGTCCAAAGGATCTATGAGGCATCCTTTGAAATCTAAGTGGAGGCCGACATGCCCCCTCAGCTCTCATTCTCTGAACGCCTACATAGCACCAAGTGGACACCACCAAGGCCCACCACTTGCACCCTCCAGAGCAGTGGTTCAAGCTACAGCTGGGCACACCTGAGCCATAGCTGGGCTCACAATCTCTAAAATTCAATTGATACATTTTATATGATTTCATTTTCTACCCTTAGAATATCAATTATACTTCATTTTATATTTTTAAGGTTGCCCTAAGGTTTGTAATATACACTTATAACAAATCCAAATCTACTTTCAAATAACACTATGCCACTTTATGGGTACTCTAAGTACCTCATAATAACAAAGTAATCCTAATTTATAGCTCCCATCCCTTGTATCATCGCTGTCATTCATTTCTATTATATGTAAGAATACATAAGTGTGTGTGCATATATGTAAACACAAGTTTAAACATAAAAATACTTATTTATGTGTATATATACTTAAGTATATATTTATACTTATGGTTATCTATGTGAGTATATATGTATGTATATATATGTGTATATATACATATATAGATGAACTCAGAATAAGAAAAATAAAAGTTTTAATTTGCTTTTTATTCCTACTTTGATGCTTGTCCTTTCTTTATGTAAACTGAAATTTCTGTCCTATATTACTTCTCTTTTCTCTAAAGATTTTTTATCATTTTTTCAAGGCAGGTCCACTGGCAATGAATATTCTAAACTTTTGTTTGCCTGAGAAAGTCTATTTCTCCTTTAAATTTGAAGAATAATTTCACACAATACAGAATTTTATGCTGGTGTGTTTTTTCTTTCAACACTTTAAATATTTTATTCACTCTTTTCTTGCTTGCATGGTTTCTGTGGAGAAGTTGGCTATAATTCTTCCTCGTTATCCTTAGGTAAAGTGGTTTTTTTTTTCCCCCTCTGGCTTCTTTCAGAATTTTTTCTTTGTCTTTGATTTTCTATACTTTCAAATTAATATGCCCAAGTATGTATTTTTGGCATTTGTCCTGCTTGATGTTTTTCTGAGCTTCCTTGATCTGTGGTTTGGTGTCTGCTATTAATCTGGAAAAATTCTGTCATTATTGTTCCAAATGCTACTTTGTTTCTTTCTGTTTTTCTTCTCCTTATGATATTTTCACTCTGTATGTTACAGTTTTCATAGTTGTCCCATAGTTCTAATTTTGTAGTCTGTGTTCTTTTTACTTTTTACTTTTGGGTGTTTCTATTGCTATATCTCAAGCTCAGAGATTCTTCAGCTATGCCCAGTCTACTAATAATCCCACCAGAGGCATTCTTCATTCTGTAAGTGTAAGAACACTTACACTAATTAATTAAGAATCCTTAGCATTTTTATTTTTGGTTCTTAAGATTTCAACTTTTTGCCTCCACTGCCCATCTGTCCTTGCATGCTGTCTGCTTTATCCATTACAGCCCTTAGCATATGAATCATTGTTGTTTTAAATTCCCACTCTGATCCTTTCAACATTCCTGCCATGTCTGGTTCTGATACCCACTGTCTCTCTCGTCAAATTGTGTTCTTAGCCTTTAGTATTTCTTGCATTTTTTTTTTCTACAAGAAATAGCCAGACATGATGTACTAGGCAAAAGGAGCTGTTGTTAATAGTCTTTTAGTAATGTGGTGGTAAAATGTGGGGGAAAGAAAGCATGCTACAGTCCTATAATTAGGTCTCAGTTTGTAGTTAGCTTATGTGTCTGGACTGTGAACTCCCCTGGATCTTTTCAATTCCATCCTCGCCACCTCCTTTAGGTGAGACAGGAAGGCTAGAGTGGGCTGCTGTTGAGTATTTCTTCTCTCCCATTTGGATGTCTAGAGGTGGCTACAGTTAGCTCTTTCTCTCCCCTCAGGCCAGTTAGGCTCTGCTAAAACCACAGCAGGGTAGGCTGTGGTTAAATCATTTCTCCTGAGGGCAAGTCTTGTTAAGAAGAACAGAGTCCTCTGGCTATTTCAAAATTGGTCATCCCTGCCCCCAGCCCCTCCCAGAAGCACAAGAGGATTGTTCTCTGATATTTCCCATGAGAAACTGGTCAGATTCCTGGAAGTAAAACTCACAAGACAGTGGGAATCCCATATAACTAGGCCCTTTAGAATTTTTAAGTCTCAGATTCATCCACACCAAGCCTCCAGCAATTCGTCAGTTATAGCTGATGAATCCAACAGTTGTTGATATTTCAGTCTGTTCAGCCCTTTACTTGTTAGAATGGAAACTCCAGTCTCCTTTCATGAGGAATAGGAAAGAAGTTGACATAATTTTTGAAATTGTCTCATGCTTTTTGAATATTCCGTTCTTTATTATGTCTGTTTTTTGTTTTTACATTTTAATTTCGGAAATTTACTTTAACATACTTTTGTAACTGTCTGAGGAGTTCTTTCTGCCTGCTACACAAGTAAAGTCCAAAAATAATTTAATAGACATGAGGCTGGCCATGCCACATAGGAGACAGTTAGTACTCAAATCAATCTCACCCAAGGCCTTTAGGTAAGGGTTTTCAAAGGCAGTTTGGGAAAAAGAGTGGTGGTTGCTAGGCTTGCTGCTGATTGGTTGCAGGTGCAATTGTGGGGGTTGAAAATGATTCTTCTGCCCACTGAATCACTTCTGGGTGGGACCACAGGACCAGTCTATGGGCATAGGCTGGTCCAGGTGGAGCTATTGGGTCCAGGTGCAGCCATGGGTGTCCGGCAAGCAAAAAACCTAAAGAGATATTTTGAAAGGCCAATCTACAATCGTGGTATTCCATATCTTCAGGTTCCTGTTTTACTGCCATAATTTTCTCACTGTTATGATTTTCACAAAGGCAGTTTCACCTTCAAGCTCACTGATTCTTTTCTCAGTCAAATCCTATCATCTATTCGTGAGTTCATCAAAGACATTTTTCCTTTTTGTTACAATGTTTTCAACTTTAGCATTTGCTAGTGTTTCTTGGAGTTTCAGTATCTGTGCTTCCAATACCACCTGTTTTTGCATATTTTCTACTTTTTTGCCTTACAGACCTTAGCATATTAGTTATTTGAAATGCCTTGTCTGATGATTCCAAATCTGTGTCTTCTCTGAGACTGGTTCTGATGCTTGCTTTGTCTTTTTTCTTGCCTTTCAGCATGACTTTGTAATTTTTTTTTTGAAAGCTGGAGGTAAATATTGGCTAATAGGCTGAGTGTGGTGGCTCACACCTGTAATCCCAACACTTTGAGAAGCCAAGGTGGGCAGATCACCTGTGGTCAGGAGTTTGAAGCCAGCCTGACCAACATGGTGAAACCCTGTCTCTACTAAAATTACAAAATTAGCCGTGCGATGTGGCAGATACCATAACCCCAGCTACTCAGGAGGCTGAGGCAGGAGAATTGCTTGAACCCAGGAGGCAGAGGTTGCAGTGAGCCGAGATTGCAGTGAGCCAAGATCATGCTGTTGCGCTCCAGCCTGGCCAACAAGAGCAAAAATCTCCCTCAAAAAAAAAAAAAGTATTTGGTAATAGAACAGACATAAATGAGCATTAAATGTTAAGTTTTTTTAATCTGGATAAGAGTTGAGATATGTTTAATTTTTGCTTTAGCTAAATGTGTACTTGTCCCTGTATGGGACCTTAATGTGCATTTCTTAGCTTTTTTCCCATCTTAGTGAGACATAGACTATATAGGACTGGATCTGTGAAATTTCTTTTTGCTCTAGGTGAGGTAAGTCTTTATTAAAATATTTTCCTCTGGGGAGTAGGATTTTCTTAGGAATAATTCCCTGAGGATATTTTAAAATGGTTACTTTTTTCTCTTTCCTTCAGCAGAGATGTTAGGAGATTTTTCTTGACACTTTATGGTAAGAATCTGATGTTTCTGGAGGTAAAGTATGGGGTCCCAGAAGGCTGCAGCACCCAGGAGTTTCTCACTCTCTTGCTAGTCTACAATCAGCCTCCAGCAGTTCATCACAATTACAATTCACCTGTTTCTACTGGTTTATGACACCAGTGCCTTTCTGCTCTAATTAATCTGATCTAGGTTGTGATTCCCTGTGTCTGCCTACTTCTACAGATTTGAGATGGTTGTTTTCCTATGAGTTAAATTCTCTGATGTGCCTGTGAATAGTCTTTCATTTTAAGCTTTTTTCTTGTTATAGGACTGGGGAATGATGTCTTCAAAGCTTTTCAAATGTTAAAGACTGGAAGTCCTGTAATTTTTTTCAATAATGAAAATTAAAGTTTTATTTTAAATACAACACTTATTATTCTTGTTTCTGTGATAAATATTTAGAAGCATATTATAATTCTGATTTCAATGGATTTACCACTTCTCCTATGATTTAAATAAAAACTTCAGAAAATTATTATTTTTTTTGTTATTAGAAGGACTTTTTTGGCCTTCCAGAAAAAAAAAATTACATGAAAGAGTAACCTAATAAGAATGCATGGCTTAAAAATAAATTTAATTTGGCCAGGTGCGGTGGCTCATGCCTGTAATCCCAGCACTTTCGGAGGCCAAGGAGGGCAGATCATGAGGTCAGGAGATGGAGACCATCCTGGTGAGAGGTGAAGCTGGCTGGGCTTCTGGGTTGGGTGGGGACTTGGAGAAATTTTCTGTCTAGCTAAAGGATTGTAAATGTACCAATCAGCACTCTGTGTCTAGCTAAGGGTTTGTAAACACAACAATCAGCACTCTGTGTCTAGCTAATCGGGTACAGACTTGGAGAACTTTTCTGTCTAGCTAAAGGATGGTAAATGCACCAATCAGTGCTCTGTGTCTAGCTAAAGGTTTGTAAATGCACGAATCAGCACTCTGTAAAAATGGACCAATTAGCACTCTGTAAAATGCACCAATCAGCAGGATGTGGGTGGGGCCAAATAAGAGAATAAAAGTTGGCCACCCAAGCCAACAGGGGCCACCCCCTCGGGTCCCCTTCCATGCTGTGGAAGCTTTGTTCTTTCACTCTTTGCAATAAATCTTGCTGCTGCTCACTCTTTGGGTCCGCACTACCTTTATGAGCTGTAACACTCACCGCAAAGGTCTGCAGGTTCACTTCTGAAGCCAGCAAGACCACAAACCCACTGGGAGGAACAAACAATTCTGGACATCCCACCTTTAAGAATTGTAACACTCACTGTGAAGGTCTGTGGGTTCATTCCTGAAGTCAGCGAGACCACAAACCCACTGGGAAGAATGAACAACTCTGGAAACGCCACCTTTAAGAGCTGTAAAACTCACTGTGAAGGTCTGTGGCTTCACTCCTGAAGTCAACAAGACCACGAACCCACCAGAAGGAAGAAACTCCAGACACATCTGAACATCTGAAGGAAAAATCTCCAGACACACCGTCTTTAAGAACTTTAACACTCACCGTGAGTGTCTGAGGCTTCATTCTTGAAGTCAGCGAGACCAAGAACCCACCGGAAATAATGAATTCCAGGCATATTTTGGTGACGATGAAGGGACATCGACTATTGCTGAGTGGTGAGGACTATCAGACCCCTTTCACTTGCTATTCTGTCCTATTTTTCCTTAGAATTTGGGGGCTAAATACCAGGCAGCTGTCAGCCAGTTAAAAGCAACTAGCACGGCTGCCGGTCTAAAGACACGGGTGTTAGGCTTTCTGGGAAAGGGCTCTCTAACAACTGCCGAGTCTTTGGAGTTGGGAGCGTTGGTTTGCCTGGAACCAGCTTCCACTTTACCTGTACTTCTGGGTTGAGCCGAGGGTCGACAGAGAGGAAAACCATTCAGCTCCAGGGTCCCGATAACAAGTTGGTTGACCCTGCGGCCATAAGCAGAACTCTCAAAGTCATGTTGCCCAAGCGAGACTCACCAATCTATTCTATCTATCCTGACCCTTGCCTCCTGGGTCCTACTGCCTGTCAGACAAACTTCCTCTCACCTCTCTTCTCCGAGGCTAGTCCCACTTCTAAAAACCACTCCCTGTCTCTGTTGCTTTTCCAGTTTCTCCTGTAAGAATGATTTCTAGTATAAACTTCAGGACTCCATTACCTTCTTTAGGCACCTGGGCTCACCAATCAGAAAAACATAATTTTTGCCCAAAGCCCCATCGTAGGGGGCACTGTCTGGAATTTTAAGATCTGTCCTCAGACAAGCAGGACTAAAAAAATCTATTCCTGAAGCTAGGATATGGGGAGCCTCAGAAATAATATCCTTCCTATTCAACTGAGGGCAAAAGGCATCACTCTTCCAACTCTGGAGATCCCTCCCCTCCCTCAAGGTACGGCCCTCCACTTCATTTTGGGGCATAACATCTTTATAGGACATGGGCAAGGTCCCAATACTAACAGGAGAATGTTTAGGACTCTAACAGGTTTTTAAGAATCTGTCAGTAAGGCCCCTAAATCTGATTTCTCTTGGTCCTCTTTGTGGTCTAGGAGGACAGGCAAGGGTGCAGGTTTTTGAGAATGTGTTGGTAAGGGCCACTAAATCTCATGTTCCTTGGTCCTCCTTGTGGTCTAGGAAGAAAACTAGTGTTTCTGCTGCTCCATCAGTGAGCACAACTATTCCGATCAGCAGGGTCCAGGGACCGTTGTGGGTTCTTGGGCAGGGGGAGAAACATACAAACTGAAACCATGGGCAGTTTTATCTTTCAGATGGGAAACACTCAGGCATCAACAGGCTCACCCTTGAAATGCATCCTAAGCCATTTGGACCAATTTGACCCACACACCCTGAAAAAGAGGCAGCTCATTTTTTTCTGCACTATGGCCTGGCCCCAATATTCTCTCTCTGATGAGGAAAAATGGCCACCTGAGGGAAGTATAAATTACAACACTATTCTGCATCTTGACATTTTCTGTAGGAAGGAAGGCAAATGGAGTGTAATACCTTATGCCCAAGTTTTCTTTTCATTGAAGGAGAATACACAACTATGCAAAGTTGCAATTTACATGCCACAGGAGGACCTTTCAGCTTACCCCCATATCCTAGCCTCCCAATAGCTCCCCTTCCTATTAATGATAAGCCTCCTCTAATCTCCCCTGCCCAGAAGGAAATAAGCAAGGAAATCTCCAAAGGGCCACAAAAACCCCTGGGCTATCAGCTATGTCCCCTTCAAGCTGTAGGGGGAGGGGAATTTGGCCCAACCTGGGTACAGGTCCCTTTCTCCCTCTCTGATTTAAAGCAGATCAAGGCGGACCTGGGGAAGTTCTCAGATGATCCTGATAAGTACATAGATGTCCTACAGGGTCTAGGGCAAACCTTTGATCTCACTTGGAGAAATCTCATGCTATTGTTAGATCAAACCCTGGCCTTTAATGAAAAGAATGCAGCTTTAGCTGTAGCCTAAGAGTTTGGAAATACCTGGTATCTAAGTCAAGTAAATGATAGAATGACAGCTGAAGAAAGGGACAAATTCCCTACTAGTCAGCAAGCCATCCCCATATGGATCCCCACTGGGACCTCGACTCAGATCATGTGGACTGGAGTCATAAACCTCTGTTGACCTGTGTTTTAGAAGGACAATGGAGAATTAGGAAAAAGCCCATGAATTATTCAATGATGTCTACCATAACTCAGGGAAATGAGGAAAATCATTCTGCCTTCCTCAAGAGGCTACAGGAGGCCTTAAGAAAATATACTTGCCTGTCACCTGACTCACTGGAAGGTCAGTTGATTCTAAAAGATAAGTTTATTACCCAATCAGCCACATATATCAGGAGAAAGCTCCAAAAGTGAGCCCTTGGCCCTGAACAAAATCTGGAGGCATTATTAAACCTGGCAACCTCAGCATTCAATAATAGGGACCCAGAGGAATGGGCCCAAAAGGAAAAGTGAGATCAGAGAAACGCTGCAGCCTTAGTCATTGCCCTCAGACAAACAAACCTTGGTGGTTCAAAAAGGACAGAAAATGGAGCAGGCCAATCCCCTGGTAGGGCTTCCAATCAGTGTGGTTTACAAGTAGACTTTAAAAAAGATTGTCCAATGAGAAACAAGCCACCCCCTTGTCCATGTCCACTATGCCGAGGTAATCACTGGAAGGTGCACTGCCCCAGAGTGCAATGGTTGTCTGGGACAGAAGCCCCCAACCAGATGATCCAACAACAGGACCAAGGGTGCACAGGGCAATTGCCTGCTCATGTCATCACCCTCACTGAGCCCTGGGTATGTGTAACCATTGAAGGCCAGGAAATTGACTTCCTCCTGGACACGGTGTGGCCTTCTCAGTGTTAACCTCCTGTCCTTGATGACTGTACTTAAAGTCCATTACTATCTGAGGAATCCTGGGACAGCCTGTAACCATGTATTTCTCCCACCTCCTCAGTTGTAATTGGGATACTTTGCTCTTTTCACATGCCTTTCTTTGTTATGCCTGAAAGTCCCACACCCTTGTTAGGGAGGAATAGATTAGCCAAAACTGGAGCTATTATCTACATGAATATGGGAAAAAAGTTACCCATTTATTGTCCCCTACTTGAGGAGGGAATCAACCCTGAAGTCTGGGCATTGGTAGGACAATTTGGAAGGGTAAAAAATGCCCACCCAGTCCAAATCAGGCTAAAAGACCCCACCACTTTTCCTTATCAATGGCAATATCCCTTAAGGCCTGAAGCTCATAAAGGATTACAGGATATTGTTAAGCATTTAAAAACTCAAGGCTTAGTAAGGAAATATAGCAGTCCCTTCAATACCCCAATTCTAGGGTACCAAAACCAAATGGTCAGTGGAGACTAGTGCAAGATCTTAGACTCATCAATGAGGCAGTAATTCCTCTATATCCAGTTGTACCCAACACCTATACCCTGATCTCTCAAATACCAGACGAAGCAGAATGGTTCACTGTTCTGGACCTCAAGGATGCCTTCTTCTATATTCCCCTGCACTCTGACTCCCAGTTTCTCTTTGCCTTTGAAGATCCCACAGACCACACATCCCAACTTATGTGGATGGTCTTGTCCCAAGGGTTTAGGGATAACCCTCACCTGTTTGGTCAGGCACTGGCCCAAGATCTAGGCCACTTCTCAAGTCCAGGCACTCTGGTCCTTCAGAATGTGGATGATTTACTTTGGGCTACCAGTTCAGAAGCCTCATGTCAGCAAGCTACTCTATATCTGTTGAAATTTCTAGCTAATTAAGGGTACAAGGCATCTAGGTCAAAGGCCCAGCTTTGCCTACAGCAGGTCAAATATCTAGGCCTAATCTCAGCCAGAGGGACCAAGGCCCTCAGCAAGGAACACATACAGCCTATACTGGCCTATCCTTTTCCTAAGACATTAAAACAGTTGTGGGCATTCCTTGGAATCACCGGCTTTTGCCAACTGTGGATCCCTGGATACAGTGAGATAGCCAGGCCCCTCTGTACTCTAATCAAGGAGACCTAGAGGGCAAATACTTACCTAGTAGAATGGGAACCAGAGGTAGGAACAGCATTCAAAACTTTAAAGCAGGCCCTAGTACAAGCTCCAGCTTTAAGCCTTCCCACAGGAGAAAACTTCTCCTTATACATCACAGAGAGAGCAGGAATAGCTCTTGGAGTTCTTACTCAGACTCATGGGACAAGCCCACAACCAGTGGATTACCTAAGTAAGGAAATTGATGTAGTAGCAAAAGGCTGGCCTCACTGTTTACAGGTAGTTGCAGCGGTGGCCTTGTTAGTGTCAGAGGCTATCAAAATAATACAAGGAAAGGATCTCACTGTCTGGGCTACTTGCGATGTAAATGGAATACTAGGTGCTAAAGGAAGCTTATGGCTATCAGACAGCTGCCTACTTAGATACCAGGCACTACTCCTTGAGGGACTGGTGCTTCAAATACTTATGTGAGTAGCCCTCAATCCTGCCACTCTTCTCCCAGAGGATGGGGAACCAATTGAGCATGACTGCCAATAAATTATAGTCCAGACTTATGCCACCTGAGATGATCTCTTAAAAGTCCCCTTAGCTAATCATGACCTTAACCTAAATAATGATGGAAGTTCATTTGTAGAGAATGGGATACGAAGGACAGGTTATCCCATAGTTACAGATGTAACTGTACTTGAAAGTAAGCCTCTTCCCCCAGAGGCCACTAGCAGAACTAGTGGCACTTACCCAAGCCTTAGAACTGGGGAAGGGAAAAAGAATAAATGTATATACAGATAGCATGTATGCTTATCTAACCTTACATTCCCATGCTACAATATGGAAAGAAATGGAGTTCCTAACCTCCAGGGGAACCCCCATTAAATACCACCTGGAAATTATAGAGTTATTGCATGCAGCGAAAAAACCCAAGGAGGTGGCAGTCTTATACTGCCAAAGCCATCAGCAAGGTGAAGGAGAAAAAGCAGATGGAAACCTTCAGGTAGAGGTTGAGGCGAAAATTGCTTCCAGGCAGAACCTCCCATTAGAAATACCTGGGGAAGGACCCTTGGTATGGAACAATGCCCTGCAAGAGATTTAGCCCCAGTATTCCCCGACTGAAACAGAATGAGGACCTTAATGGTGGATAGTTTTCTCATCTCGGGGTGGTTAACAACATAAGATGGAAAGGTACTTATACCCAAAGCCAGCCAGTGGAAAATACTTAAAACCCTCTACCAAACTTTTCATATGGGTATTGAAAACACTCAACAAATGGCCAAATGCCTATTTACAGGGTCAAATCTCCTCTGGACCATCCAAGAGGTAGTCAACACCTGTGAGGTGTGCCAAAGGAATAATCCCTTGGTTCATCATAAGGCCCCTTTGAGGGAACAAAGAATAGGTCATTATCCTGGAGAGGACTGGCAGTTAGACTTCACCCATATACCTAAGTCAAAGGGATTTCAGTACTTGTTGGTCTGTGTTGATACCTTTACAAATTGGATAGAAACTTTTCCCTGCAAGACAGGGAAAGCTCAGGAAGTGATTAAAGTCCTAATTCATGAAATAATTCCTAGATTTGGGCTTCCCCAAAGCTTACAGAGTGACAGTGGTCCGACTTTTAAAGCCACGATAAATCAGGGAATTTCCAGGGTGCTAGGGATACAATATTACCTTCACTGCACCTGGAGGCCACAATCCTCAGGGAAGGTTGAGAAGACAAATGAAACACTCAGGAGGCACTTAAGGAAACTAACACAAGAAACTCATCTCCTATGGCTTATTCCTTTGCCCATGGCCTTGTTGAGAATCCAAAAATCTCCTCACAAAATGGGGCTCAGTCCATATGAAATGCTTTATAGACGACCTTTTCTCACAAATGGCCTCCTACTTGATCAGGAAACAGCCAACTTGGTCAAAGATATAACTTCTTTGGCAAAATATCAACAAAACCTTAAAAACCTACCTGAAGGATGTCACAGAGAAAAGGGAACAGAGTTGTTTCAACCAGGAGATCCAGTGTTGGTCAAATCTCTCCCCTCTATGTCCCTATCTATGGACCATTTGTGGGAAGGACCATACTTGGTAATCTTCTCTACCCTCACTACAGTTAAGGTGGCAGGAGTGGAACCTTGGATTCACCATACCAGAGTTAAATTTTGGACATCCCCCGAGGAACCTGCAGGACCGTCAGCTCAGGAGTCCCAAGATCAGCCAGACCAACCTCAATACACTTGAGAACGGTTGGAGGACTTACATCTCCTATTTCGGAAGGAAACATCCCAGACTAAAAAGGCTCCTACCACTGATCCTGAAGAAAAACCCCTTCCTCCTTAAAAAATATAAGTGAAAACCTACATAATCTTTATCTCTAACACCTCTCCTTGCCCCTTTAATGGAATCGTTTTACTATTTCATCATATTATTAAGCAGCATACTAACCATACTCTTTGCAATAGGGCTATACACTGTAGCTCCTGCTGGGACAAAAATCCTAATCACATCAACCTTCTTTTTGTCTTCCTTCCTTCTGACAGCAATTTACTCCTACCTTTAACTCAGCCTGGATAAGATGATCATATCTTCCAAAGCACCCTCTTTACCTTCCTATTTATTCTTTGCCTATCTATCTCTCCTGCTTCCTTGGATACTCCATACAATCACCCCTCCCTTTCCACTAGCTCCTAATTACCTCTACATGACTCTCAACTTAACCCACTCTCTGTTAAACCAGTCCAATCCTTCCCTGGCAACTGACTGTTGTCTTTTTATCTCTCTATCAACCTTTGCTTATGTTGCCACTCCCATTCCCACAAAAAACTGGGTCTTTACCAACGTAACCTACCACCCTCATTATGAAGGAAAAGACCTTTTCTGACTTCTAAATATGCAATAATTAGCTGACTTCTCCATCTCTGATAGGAGGAAGAATACCCTAACAGGATGTGCAATCCAACTTTTACGTTCCTACATTTCCAACCTCACCTATTACACAAGCAATGAAAAGCCCAGCATGGCCCTGTAACTACAAATACCATCTTAACTTTCCAAGCCCCTTTATGCATCCAATGCAACCTGTTATCAGGCCTGCCCCTGGGGCGCCTACTACTCCATCAGTGTAATTACACCCTACAACTTCAAGCCCCAGCTGATCATAGTAACTTCCAGGTCACCCAAACAGCTCCATTCAGATGGCTTGTCTGCTTCTCAGGGCCCCCCAAAATTATCACCTCCTCCATGCTTAACAAACAGTCCAGGTTTTTAATGGCAAGCATACTCCCTGCATGAACATTCACCCCTGGACTCCCTATTGCAGTGCCCCCACCACTAGTGAATGCCTTCTCATCCCCTCTTTCAATCACTCTCTTGAATTGTTCCTAGTAGATACAAAATGGTTCTTTTGTCCAATGGGAAAATAGAACACAGGGAACCACTCAGTTTGGTCCCAACACCCCTCTCCAGCCACTTACTGGAGCTACCTTGGCAAGTACTCTAGGAGTATGGAAAAATGAAAACAACAAACTCACACACCTTTTTAACATACACAACTAGTTCTGTCTACCCAGCCAAAATATATTCTTCTTATGTGGAACATCGACATATATCTGCCTCCTCACTAACTGAACAGGCACCTGCACCTTAGTCTTTCTAAGTCCCAACATTAACATTGCCACAGAAAATCAGACCCTATCAGTACCCGTCAAAGCTCAAGTCCATCAGCATAGCCATACAACTAATACCCCTACTTATAGAGTTAGGAATGGCTACTGCTACAGGAAATGGAATGGCCAGTTTATCTACTTCATTATCCTACTACCACACACTCTCAAAGGATTTCTCAGACAGTTTGCAAGAAATAAGGAAATCTATCTTACTCTACAATCCCAAATAGACTCTTTGGCAGCAGTGACTCTCCAAAACCATCAAGGCCTCCTCACTGCTGACACAGGAGGACTCTGCACCTTCTTAGGGGAAGAGTGTTGTTTTTACACTAACCATTCAGGGATAGTATGAGATGCTGTCTGGCGTTTACAGGAAAAGTCTTCTGAAATCAGACATGCTGCCTAGCATTTACAGGAAAAGTCTTCTGAAATCAGACAATGACTTTCAAATTCTTATACCAACCTTTGGAGTTGGCCAACATGGCTTCTCCCTTTTCTAGGTCCCGTGGCAGCCATCTTGCTATGACTTGCCTTTGGGCCTTGTATTTTTAACCTACTTGTCAAATTTGTTTCCTCCAGGATCAAGGCCATCAAGCTACAGATGGTCTTACAAATGGAACCCCAAATGAGTTCAACTAACAAATTCTACTGAGGACCCCTGGACCCACCTGCTGGTCCTTCCACTGGCCTAAAGAGTTCTCCTCTGGAGGACACTACAACTGCAGGGCCCCTTCTTCACCCCTATCCAGCAGGAAGTAGCTAGAGCAGTCTTTGGCCAAATTCCAAAAAGCAGTTGGGGTGTCCTGTTTAGAGGGGGGATTGAGAAGTGATGCAGGCTGGGCTTCTGGGTCAGGTGGGGATTTGGAGAACTTTTCTGTCTAGCTGAAGGATTGTAAATGCACCAATCAGCACTCTGTGTCTAGCTAAAGTTTTGTAAACACACCAATCAGCACTCCGTAAAAATGGACCAATCAGCACTCTGTGTCTAGCTAAAGGTTTGTAAAAGCACCAATCAGCACTCTGTAAAAATGGACCAATCAGCTCAGCACTCTGTAAAATGGACCAATCAGCTCTCTGTAAAGTGGACCAATCAGCAAGATGTGGGTGGGGCCAAATAAGGGAATAAAAGCTGGCCACCTGAGCCAAACAACTCTGGACGTGCCACCTTTAAGAGCTGTAACACTCACTGCAAAGGTCTGTGGCTTCATTCCTGAAGTCAGAAAGACCACAAACCCACTGGGAGGAAAAAACAACTCCAGATGCACCACCTTTAAGAGCTGTAACACTCACTGTGAAGGTCTGCAGCTTCACTCCTGAAGTCAGTGAGATCAAGAACCCACCGGGAGGAATGAACAACTCTGGACGCGCCACATTTAAGAGCTGTAACGCTCACTGTGAAGGTCTGCAACTTCACTCCTGAAGTCAGGAAGACCAAGAACCCACCAGAAGGAAGAAACTCCAGACACATCTGAACATCTGAAGGAACAAACTTTGGACACATCATCTTTAAGAACTGTAACACTCACCGCGAGGGTCCGCAGCTTCATTCTTGAAGTCAGCAAGACCAAGAACCCACCAGAAGGAATGAATTCTGGACACACTGGCTAACACGGTGAAACCCATCTCTACTAAAAATATAAAAAATTAGCTGGGCATAGTGGCAGCCACCTGTAGTCCCAGCTACTTGGGAGGCTGAGGCAGAAGAATGGCGTGAACCTAGGAGGCAGAGCTTGCAGTAAGGGAGCCAAGATCCCGCCACAGGACTGCAGCCTGGGTGACAAAGCAAGACTCAGTCTCAAATAAATAAATAAATAAATAATAAATAAATAATAAATGAAGTTAATTTATGGCTAGGTGGAGAAACAGGGCTTTAATTTTGGAGCCATATAGATATATATGTGTGTATATATATGCGTGTGTATATATATGTACATGTATACATAAATTTTTTTTTTTGAAACAGAATCTAACTCTGTCGTCCAGGCTGGAGTGCAGTGGTGCAATCTTGTCTCACTACAACCTCCACCTCCTGGGTTCAAGCAATTCCTGGGCCTCAGCCTCCCAAGTAGCTGGGATTACAGGCATGCAGCACCACACCGGGCTAATTTTTGTATTTTTAGTAGAGACAGGGTCTCGCCATGTTGGCTAGGCTGGTGTCAAATTCCCAGCCTCAAGTGATCCACCTGCCTGGGCCTCCCAGAGTGCTAGGATTACAGGCATGAGCCACCATGCCTGGCCTAATTATAGAGCTCTATTTAGAATGTTAGTTACATGAGCCTTTCTAAAGCTTTTACAATGTATTTTAAACACTAGTGAGGTTTTTATAATAATTATTTTTTATATGTTATGAATTTTCTATCATAGAAATAAGTGATGGGTGAATACACAGTTTTAAAAATTATAGTAAAATACACATAATATAAAATGCATCATCTTAACCATTTTTAAACGTATAGTTCAGTAGTGTTAAGTATGTTCACAATGTTTGGTAATCAATACAAAGAACTCTTTTCCATTTGCAAAAGTGAAATTCCATAACCATTAAACAACAGCTCCCTAGTCCTCCTGCCCATTCCCTGGTAACCACTATTCTACTTTCTGTTTTTATGAATTAACTATTCTATAAATTTCATTTGTAACTTTAAAGCTATATGTACATCATTTACCCATTTTTATTCTGTAAATACCTTATACCTTATGTAAGTTGAGCCATACAGTATTTGCTTTTCTATGGTTGGCTTATTTCACTCAGTGTAATATCTTCAACGTTAATCCATGACATAGCCTATGTCTGAATTTCCTTCCTTTTTAATACTAAATAATATTTTGTTGTATTTATATACCACCTTTTAAAAAATCCATTCATGTGTCGATAGACATTTGGGTTGCTTCCACCTTTTGGCTATTGTGAATCATGCTGTAATAAACATGAATGTACAGATATCTCTTAGAAAGTTTTTGTTATTCGACATTTCTATAGAAAATCCGTTTTTTTTTTTGTCCCACAGCATGAAATTCCTTAGTCAAACCACTTCTGAAAAATGCTGCATTCCATACATTCTTGTCTTAGATTCACTTTGAATACTTAAAAGACGAATATAATGCTGGAAAATTGAATTACTTTTATGGTATTTAAGCAAAAAAATGTGCAATAATTTAACTTAAATTTTGAATTTTAATGTCATATATGGCTAATGACATTTTTGTCATATGTAGCATTTTCAATAGAGAACCAATTTTGCTATAAGTTTTAGCATTCTAGAAGCAATAAGTAAAGAGCTACCTATGAGGGTAAAGAAAGATTGAGGTTATAATTGGAGGATGGATGTTGTAAAAATTACCCCTGTCCTATTAATAAGTTTTGCCTAGAGAAGTTAAATTTCATTTATAACTTTTAAGTTACATTTACATAATCTACACATTTTCTTTCTGTAAATATACAGAGGAACATCACTTCCTTAGAGATGCCTTTCTTGTCAAACTTGCCTTAGAACTCACTCCTATCTTAGTCTTTTATTGTTTATATCACACCTCTGAAATTACAAGATATTTATGTGTACTTGTTTATGTTATGCTTCCCTCACTGGAAGGAACATTATATAATGGTAAGAATATTTTTCTTATTTAACATTGTATTTTCAGGAGCTAGTAGATTCTTAATTGAAAAAAGTAAAGTATTTTTAATTCTAACATTTTATAAGATCATAAATTTGCATATTAATTTTAAGCATTTTTATTTACTAATTAACTTGAGTTGCTGAATAAAACTTCTGCAACAGAAATGATAATTTACCATTGTAACTATGATGACATCATACAAGGTAACATATTTAGAATATATCCAAAGGTATATGCTAATATTCTTGTAATTTTCTTTTATGTTATAACACATATAACAATGGCATTTTGTGTTGTGTCTCATTGTTTATCTTACAGATAATGTTTGTATAATTTTCACTTGAGAAACCTTTATTTTAGAGAAAGTTTTTCAATTAATATTTCTAACTTGAGAATGCAAATGCATATGAGCCCATATATGGGCTTAGTTATTTACAATAAAAGTAGTAAAGTCATAACCATAAACAGTGATTAACATTATATGACAAATCCAGATAAATTCACCAATGAATCTACAAAACGTTAAAAAAAAACAATTTTCTACTGTCTTTTCCAGAAGACAGAAGCAGAAAGAATAGTTCTTTATTCATTCTATGATGCCAGCATTATTCTAATATCAATCTAAAGACTTCTTTAAAAAATAAACTACAGACTAATATTTCTCATGAATACTAATACAAAAATCATCAACAAAATATTAGCAAATCAAAAATCAAATCCAACAATGTATAAAGATAATTACTATGTCATGATCAAGTGGGATTAATTCTAAGTAGACAAGCCTGGTTCAACATATATTAATCAATTGGTATATGTTGGCTGCTTGTATATCTCCTTTTCAGAAGTGTCTCTTTATGTCTTTTTTCCATTTTTTAATGGAGTTATTTGTTTTTTGCTTGTTCAATTATTTAAGTTCCTTACTGATTCTGGATATTAGACCTTTGTTGGATATATACTTTATGAATATTTCTCCCATTCTGTAGGGTGTCTGTTTACTCTGCTGATAGTTTCTTTTGCTGTGCAGAAGGTCTTTAGTTTAATTAGGTTCTACTTGTCAATTTTGGTTTTTGTTGTAATTGCCTTTGGGATCTTAGTCATAAATTCTTTCCCAAGGCTGATGCTCAGAATTGTGTTTCCTAGCTTTTCTCCTAGGATTATTGTATTTCGAGGACTTACATTTAAATCTTTAATCCAACTTGAGTTAATTTTTGTGTATGGTGAAAAGTAGGGGTCCAATTTCATTCTTCTGCATATGGCAAGCCAGCTATTCCAGCACCATTTATTGAGTAGGGAGTCCTTTTCCCTATTGCATAATTTTGTCAACTTTGTTGAATGTCGGATGGATGGAGGTTTGTGATGTTATTTCTGGGTTGTGTATTCTGTTCCATTGGTCTATCTGTTTTTGAACCAGGACCATAATGTTTTGGTTACTGTAGCATTATTGTTTACTTTGAAGTCTGGTAATGTAATGCCTCCAACTTTGTTCTTTTTGCTTAGGATTGTTTTAGCTATTTGGGCTCCTTTTTGGCTCCATATGAATTTTTGAATAGTTTTTTTCTAATTCTGTGAAAAATGACATTAGTAGTTTGACAGGAATAGTGTTGAATCTGTATATTGCTTTGAGGATTATGGCCATTTTAACAACATTGATTCATCCGGTCCATGAACATGAAATGTTATTCCATTTCTTTGTGTCACCTCTGATTTTTTTCAGCAGTGTTTAATAGTTTTCCTTTAGAGATCTTTTACCTCCTTGGTTAGATGTATTTCTAGATATTTTATTTGAGTGGCTATTATAAATTAAAGTGCATTCTTCATTTGGTTGTCAGCTTGAACGTTATTGGTGTAAAGAAAAACTGCTGATATTTGTACATTGATTTTGTATTCCGAAACTTTACTTTTTTATGAGTTTTAGAAGTCTTTTGGCAAAGTCTTTAGGTTTTCTAGGTATAGGATCACATTTTATGTCAAGAGAGTTTGAATTCTTTTTTCCTCTTTGGATGTATTTTGTTTCTTTATCTTGTCAAATTGTTCTGGCTAGCATTTCCCACACAAAGAACTTAAAATAGAACTACCATTTTACCAGCAATTTCATTACTGGGTATAGATCCAAAAGAAAATAGTTCTTTGCACCAAAAAACACATGCTCTTTCATGTTCACTGCAGCACTGTTCACAATACCAAAGACATGAAATTAACCCAGGTGCCCCGACATTAAATGGGATAAAACATATATGGTGTATATACACCATAGGATACCATGCAGCCATAAAAAAGAATAAAATCATGTTCTTTGCAGCAATATGGATGCAGTTGGAGGCCATTATCCTAAGTTAATTAACACAGGAACAGAAAATTAAATACATTATGTTCTCATTTGTACGTGGGAGCTAATCTTTGGGTTCTCATAAAGATGGGAATAATAGAAACACAGGAATGCTATATGGGAGGAGGAAGAGAACAATGACTGAAAAGCTGGTGGATGCTATACTCAATACCTGGGTAAGAGAATCATTTATACTCCAAACATCGTTTTCACACAATATGCCCAGTTAACAAACCTACACATGTACCCCCTAAATCTGAAATAAATTTGAAAAAAAGGGGAATGAATAAAGGTAATTCATCTCATAAATAGACTAACAAAAAAAAGGTACTATCAAGAGATGCAGAAAAAGCATTTGCCAACATCACCCATTTATGATGAAAAAGGAAACCACCCAACAAACAATAAGGGGAAAAGTCTCAATTTGATAAATAACATCTACAAAAAAAACCTATAACTAACATCATATTTAATGCTGAGAAACTAAGAGCTTTTCCAAAAAGATCAAGAACCAGACAATGGCATTACCTCTTACCACTCTCTTTTCAACGTTATCCTGAAAGTCTTAGTTAATGAAATAAGATGGGAAAATAATACAAAAAATGTATATATTCTAAAGGAATAAATAAATTTGTTATTGCCCACAGATGACATGATTGGCTATGTAGAAGTTCTAAAGACATCATCAACAATAACAAAAACCTACTGGAACTAACAAACGAGTATAGCACAGTTGTAGATATAAGATCAATAATGAAAGTCAATGACTTTCCTATATACCAGCAATAAGCAAGTGGAATTTAAAATTTAAAACACAATACTATTTATATTAACACTCCAAAACACTAAATATTTAGGTATAAACCTAACAATAAATATAAATGATCTAAATAAGTTGAGAGATATTCAATATTTATGAATAGGAAGACTAAATATTGACAAGATGTCATTTTTTCCCAACTTGATGTATACATTATATGCAATCCCAGTCAGAATATCAGCAAGTTATTTTATGAATATTCACAGACTAACTAAAGTTTATATGGAGAAGCTAATGACCCAAAATAGCAGACGCAACATTCAGAGAGAATAATGAAGTTTGAGGACTCACACTAACCAGTATCAAGACTCACCATAAAGCTGTAGCAATTAAAACAGTGTGGTACTGATGATAAAAACAAACAAAAAGATCAATGGAACAGAATAGAAAGCTCAGAAATAGCCTTATACAAATGTTGCCAACTGACCTTTGATTAAAAAGCAAAGGCAATACAATTGAGCAAAGATCGTCTTTTCATCAAATGGTGCTAAAACAAACACCTGCACATATGCATGCACAAAATATATATATAATAAATCTAGACACAGACCACATATATCCATAAATATTAACTCAAAATAGGTCACAAATCTAAATGTAAAACACAAAGGTATAAAACTCCTAGAAGATACCATATGATAAAACCTAGATGATCTTGGGTTATTGATGATAACTTTTTAGATACATCAAATGCATTCTCCACAAAAGAAATAATTGATAAGCTGTACTTCATTAAGCTTAAAAACTTCTGTTCATCGAAAGAGTGAGAAAATATGTCACAGGCCTGCAAAAAATAATTGTAAAGACATATCTGACAACGGACTCATAAAAACATACAAAGAACTTTTAAAATTAAACAATAAAGACAAATAACCCTATTAAAAATTAGTAAGAAATCTGAAAAAAACAGCTCGTCGAAAAAAACAGCTCGTCAAAAAAAAATGTATAGATATGACAGTAAGCATACACACAAATTCTAAAAATTATATATTCCATCAGGGAAGCACAAATGAGAAAAACATCGAGTTACCTCTATGTTGTTTTCTATACACCTGTTAGAATGACCGCGATTTAGAACACTGAAAACACTAAACATTGGGGATGATGAGGAGGAACAGGATCTCTCATTAATTTTTGGTGGAAATGCAAAACAATATGGCCACTTTGGAAGACAGCTGGGTTGTTTCTGACAAATCTAAACATACTCTTACCATATGATACAGCGATAATTCTCCTTGGTATCTACCCAAGGGAGCTTAAAACTTCTGTCATACAAAAAAGTGGACACTGATGTTTAAAGCAGCTTTATTCATAGTGACCAAAACTTGAAAGAATCTGATACATCTTCAGTAGATGAAGGGATAAACTGTGATACATGCAGACAATGGATTATTATTTAGTGTTAAAAAAGAAATAAGCCATTATGTCACAAAAAGACATGGATACATTTTAAATGCATATTACGGAGTGAAAGAAACCCATTTGAAAGTGTACATGCTGTATGCTTTCAATTTTATGGCATTCTGGAAAAGACAAAACTATGGACACAGTAAAAATAATTGGTACTAGTGATTGGTGGGGAAGTAAGGGTGAATAATCAGAATACACTGGATTCTTAGCATTGCGAACCTTTTCTATATGTTATTATAATGAGTGGTATACATCATTAAATATTTGTCACAACTCATAGAATGTACAACATCACCAGAGAACCCTAGTGTAAACTGTGGACTTGGGGTGATAATGATGTGTCAGTATATGAACGTACATTGTAACAAATGTGTGATTCTGGTGCAACCAGTTGATGTTGGAAAAGGCTGTCTATAGGGAGGATACAGTAAGTATGTGGACACCCCAATTTGTGCTCAATTTTACTGTGAACACAAAAATTGCTCTGAAAACAAAATTATTGAAAAATCTGTATTAGAAGTAAGCTTTACTACTTGGATTACACAATGCTCTAAAAAACCCCAAATAACATTTTTATAAATGCAATTATACGTGAAATTTAAAAGTTTTAAGATTAAAATGTTATGGTTCTAATAAAAGTTAAATGAACCATTGATTATTAACAGAATAAAGAGCTTTGATTATTAAATGCTATTGCAATAAGGTAAAAATTATCTAACGGTATAATTTAATGCATTAGAGAGAAACAGTATTATTTTTAAATGATTTTTTGTATATATGATATTGAAATAGTATTACAAACTTAACACTATAATAAAAATTTAAAAGTCCTTTGCAACAAAATGGAAAATACTGGATAAATTTGTTTATTTTTAAACATAGTTTTAATAGTTTGACTTTGTCCAATTACTTGTGTCAATAACCTCACATTCTTTTAAGTTCTCTGGTTACCTGCTATTGAAATTCCTGGTTATGAATTCAACTATGATTTTCACCAATATTAAATCAAATAATTTGAGTTTCTAATTACTTATTTCTAGAAGGGTATTTTTTCTTTCCCATTTCTCTTCACATTATTTATTGTTGACAGGATAAAGAGATAAAAATAAGCATAAAAACAAGTTTGTGCACTTGGCCTTAGTAAACAATGCATTTGTCAATATGTCTGCTTTTATTTTTTCTGACATAGAAATTTTGAACATATGTTGGTAAGAAGCAAACCTGAATTTCTATTAAAATAAAAATTTAAAAATTCCATGGAACTCAGATTTTGCTGCTGTTCTTTATAATTTGTTTAATTCATTACTAGAACAGAACCTAGAACTTACCAGTATCTCAGTATCTTTGTTCAATTAATAACTGAATTTAATTATATTTATCAAAAAATTAATTAAATTATGTACGGTGGCTCACACCTGTAGTCCCAAGCCGCTTGAGAAGCTGAAGTGAAAGAATCACTTGAGCCCTGAAGTTCAAGTCTAGACTGGGCAACATAGCAAGACCCCCATCCCTTTTAAAAACAATGTAAAAAAAAGTTTAATAGCCTTTCAGTCAGAAATTTTGATTTTATCTAGCAGGTGTAATATTGAAAATCTCAAAAGATATAAAATAGAAAAATTGGAATAGTGCTTATATATACACAGTATGCAGTCCTCGACTATTGGCTGACAGTGAAAATGATCACTAATTTACTCAAAACTTAGCTCAACATTAAATGGATATATAGCTTTGTCTATTTCTTAAGTATTTAAATTTGGCAATACACTTATTCCCTGTTAAAAAGCCTAAAACAACCAGTTCATAATATTTCCGACTTTGGTTTGGCACATTGTCATATGATATTTCTTAAAGATATAATAACTTGGAATTGGAACTTGGAACTTTAACCAGACCATGACATTCATAGAGATGAATGTTTCCCAAACTATCTCAGAACTTGTGTAGAAGGTTTTTCTGGTCACTCCTCCATTTTTTAAAAAAATAAATGGGACAGAATTTTGAGATTTCAGGTTAAATATTATTCCAATTTTCAGCCCCACTTAAGTTAATGTCATGATTTTTATCCACATGTAAACCTTGTGCTCTGTCTTATACTCTAGGTCAGGCATATTTTGCAAAACACTGAAAACAAGCAAACAAAAATGTTAGCTTAAGGCTACTCACTGGGCCGGGTGCTGCGTTGGCTCACATCTGTAATCCCAGCACCTTGGGAGGCTAAGGTGGGCAGATCACCTGGGGTCAGGAGTTCAAGACCAGCCTGAATATGGTGAAACCCTGTCTCTACTAAAAATTCAAAAAATTAGCTGGGCGTGGCAGCGTGCACCTGTAGTCCCAGCTACTAGGGAGGCTGAGGCATGAGAATTGCTTGAACACTGGAGGCAGAGGTTGCACTGAGCCAAGATTGCACCACTGCTCTCCAGCCTGGGAGATAGAGTGAGACTATGTAAAAAAAATAATAATAATAAATAAATAATAAAAAACTACATTGCCTCTGATTCGCTTTCTTCATGCAGGGGTAAGTATCTTTTTTATTTATCTATTTTTGGTCTAGAATTTCTATATGTTTCTTAGAAAGAGAAATCTATCTGAGTTACTATGTTGCCAGAAAATGTCAGAGTAATAGGATAGAAAAATATCTAATTCACACAATTAATAGCACAGAAGGGAAATTGAGTGGCCATTTTTTAGATGGTATAATTTTGAATTTAGACTATCCAAGTATTGCTTAAATTCTTAAATAAAATATCAAATTATAAAATTAAATACACATTAATACCAATATATCAATATCAATTATGAATTAAATATTAATATAAAATAGAACAGATAATTAAAATTGTTTTTCAAGAATAAACAAAATAGCTAGAAATAATTCTACTAGAAAATTTCAAAACTAATATGCAGAGAATTATTCAATTTAATCATAGGACAGAGGTCAGTTATCTTTTTTTTAATAAAGGGCCATTCAGAAAATATATGTGCTTTGTAGGCCATATACATTATCTGTTGGATAATGTATAATCTGTTGGATAATTCTTTTTTTATACACCCCTTTAAAATTAAAAAAATATATATTTTTACTTGGAGGTCCATACAAAAACAGGCTGAAGACCAAATTTGACTCAGGGCTCTAATTCACTTATCCTTGTTCTTTCTATAAAGCAGGAAATCTATACAAGTGTTCTGGAATAGAAAGTCATCTGCAAAATGTAATAACATTCAATATCTTAATAATATTCTTCTCTAACTTGACATACTGATTCTAAATTCTAACTTTTATCTGGAAGAGAGAGTGACAGCAGAATGGCAGAATAAGAGAACCTCACTTATGTTCTATCGTAGCAACAGTAACTTGGCAGTGTTCCACAGACAAAAGTGTATTTGTGGAAGCTTTATAATCAGGGTTGTAAAACTATAGTTAAGCTCAACACTGAGGAGGGCCATTTTGAAAATGCAGGTTATTTCCCAGGTAGCAGTCATACCAACTGTGGTATTTCAAAAAAATGAACAAAATTGAAATTCTTTAGTCATACAAACCAGGAAAAAGAGAGAGAGGCCTCAAATGAATAGAATTATAAGTGAAAAAAAGATCATTGCAATGATACCATAGAAATACAAGAAATCAATAAGAGACCACTATGAACAACAAATTGGATAAATTACAAAAAATAGATAAATTCTTAGAAACATAAAACCTACCAAAACTGAATTATAAAGAAATACAAACTATGAATAGTCTCATAACTAGTAAAAAGATTGAATCAATAACTGAAAATCTTCCCAAAAGAAAATCCCAGAAACAGAGGGCTTCACAGTTTAAATAAACTGCAAAGCATTTAAATAATTCATATTTAATAATTCATATTTAAATAATTCATATTTAACTCTTCCAAAATTTGAAAAGAAGGGAATAATTCTAAACTCACTTTATAAGGTGAACATTACCCTCAGCCCAAAAGCCAGATAAGGATACTACAAGAAAAGTATAGGCCAATATGTAAGACCTGTTTTTATCAGAAAAAAATAGTAATAACAAATAAAAAGGGTGGGAGAAGACTTTTGAAAGTGATAGATGTGTTTATGACATTGATTGTGATGATGGTTTCACGAGAGTATACCTACTTCCAAACTTAAGTTGTATACATTAAATATGTGCAGGTTTTTGAACATCAAACATACCTCATTAAAGTGGTTAAAACTGAAAAAAAAAAGTACAGGCCAATATCCTTGATGAATATAGATGCAAAATTCTCAACAAAATACTATCAAACTGAATCCCACAACAAATTTTAATTTTTGTTTATTTTCTAATTTAATTTTTAAATTTTAATTAATTAATTAATTTTAAGACTGAGCTATGAAACTGGCTAATTTTCATATTTTTGGTAGAGATGTGGTTTCGCCATGTTGCCAAGGTTGGTCTCAAACTCCTGGACTCAAGCAATTCACCTGCCTCAGCCTACCAAAGTGCTGGGATTACAAGCATGAACCATCATTCCCAGCCCCCACAGCACTTTAAAAAAATCATTCATCATAATCAAGTGGGATTTATTCCTGTGATGCAAGGATGGTTCAACATAAATAAATAAATGTGATATACTACATTCACAGAATGAAGGATTAAAATTACAGGATGATCTTAATGGATGCAGAATAGGCATTTAACAAAATTCAATGTCATTTCATGATAAAAACTCTCAACAAATTAGGAATAGAAGAAATGTATCTCAAGGTAATAAAGATCATATAAAAGATCATACAAAGGCCATAGCAAACACAGTCAATGGTGAAAAGCTGAAAGTGTTCCCCTAAGATTAGAAATAAGAGTACCTACTACCACCACTTCTATTCAACATAGTACTAGAAGTTCTAGCTTGGGAAATTAAGCCATAAAAAAATAAAAGGCACTCAAGTCAAAAAATAAGAAGTTAAATTGTATTTTATTTTTGTTTTGCAGATGACATGATCTGATATATAGAAAACCCTAAAGACTCCACCCCAAAATAGTTAGAACTGATAAACAAATTCAGTGAAATTACAGGATACAAAATCAACATAAAAGTGTCAGCTGCATTCCTATACACTTAAAATGAAATACCTAAATAAAACAAAAAAATTCATTTATAGTAGTACTAAAAGGAATAAAATAATTAAGAATACATTTATACAATGGGATGAAAATATGTACAATAAAAACTATGAAACATTGATGAAAGAAATTGAGGAAGACACAAATAAATAAAAAGATATTCTGTGTTCATAAATTAGAAAAACCGTTAGTTTTAAAATATCCATACTGTACAAAGTTATCTACAGATTCAATGCCATGCCCAATAAAATTCCCATAGGATTTTTAATAGAAATTTTAAAAATAACTCTAAAATTTGTATGGAACCACAAAAGATGCCTAACAGGCAAAGTATTATTTTTGTTGTTGTCATGGTTGTTGTTTTACTTACATTTTAGGTACATGTGAAGGTTTGTTTCATAGGTAAACACGTGTCACAAGGGTTTGTTGTACATATCATTTCATCACCCAGGTATTAATCCCAGTACTCAACAGTTATCTTTTCTGTTTCGCTCTCTCCTCCCACCCTCCACCTTCAAGTAGACACCAGTGTCTGTTGTATTCTTATGTTCATAAATTCCCATCATTTAGCTCTAACTTATAAGTGGGAACATGTGGTATTTGGTTTTCTGTTCCTGTGTTAGTTTGCTGAGGCTAATAGCCTCCAGCTCCATCCACGTTTCTGCAAAGGACATGATCTCATTTCTTTTTATGGCTGCGTAGTATTACATGGTGTTTATGTACCACATTTTCTTTATCCTGTCTATCATTGATGGGCATTTAAGTTGATTCCATATCTTTGCTATTGTGCATAGTGCTGCAATGAACATTCACAAGCATGTGTCTTTATGGTAGAATGGCTTGTATTTCCTTGACTATATACCCAGTAACGAAATTGCTGGGCTGAATGATAGTTCTTCTTTTAGTTCTTGAGGAATTCCCATACTGTTTCCCACAATGATTGAACTAGTTTACACTAATGCAAAATATGTATAAGTGTTCCCTTTTCTCTACAACCAGGCCACCTTTAATAATAGCCATTCTGACTAGTGTAAGATGATATCTCACTGTGGTTCTGATTTGCATTTATCTAATGATAAGTGATACTGAAATTTTTTCATATGCTTGTTAGCTGCATGTATGTATTCTTTTGAGAAGTGTCTGATCATATCCTTTGCCCACGTCTTAATGGGGTTGTTTTTCTCTTGTAAAGTTGTTTACATTTCTCATAGATGCTATATATTGGACCTTTTTCATATGCTTAGTTTACAAATATTTTCTCCTATTCTGTAGGTTGTTTGTTTACTGTGTTGATAGTTTCTTTTGCTATGCAGAAGCTCTTAAGTTTAATTTTATCCCACTTGTCAATTTTTGCTTTTGTTGCAATTGCTTTTGCTGGCTTTGTCATGAAATTTTTGCCCATTCCTATGTCCAGAATGGTGTTGCCTAGGTTGTCTTCCAGGGTTTTTATAGTTTTTAGTTTTATATTTAAGTCTTTAATCCATCTTGAATTGATTTTTGTGTATGGTGTAAGGAAGGGGCCCAGCTTCAATCTTCTGTATCTGGCTAGCCAGTTAAGCCAGCACCATTTATTGTTAGGGAATCTTTTCCCTGTTGCTTGTTTTTGTCATCTGTGTCAAAGATCAGATGGTCATAGATGTGTGGCCATATTTCTGGGCTCTCTATTCTGTTCCATTGGTCTATGTGCCTGTTTTTGTACCAGTACCATGCTATTTTGGTTACTGTAATTTCGTACTGTAAAGTCAGGTAATGTGGTGCTTCCAGCTTGGTTCCATTATCCCCGTCACTTTCAGGTACACCAATCAAATATAGATTTGTTCTTTTCACATGGTCTCATATTTCTTGGAGGCTTTGTTAATTTCTTACTCTTCTTTCTCTAAACTTCTCTTCTCAGTTCATTTCATCAATTTGATCTTCAATCACTGATACCCTTTCTTCCACTTGATTGAATCAGCTATTGAAGCTTGTGCTTGCGTCACGTAGTTCCTGTGCCGTGGTTTTCAGTTCCATCAGGTCATTTAAGGTCTTCTCTACATTGTTTATTCTAGTTACCATTCGTCTAATCTTTTTTAAAGGTTTTTAGCTTCCTTGCTGTGGGTTCGAACATCCTCCTTTAGCTTGGAGAAGTTTGTTATTACTGTCTTTCTGAAGCCTACTTCTGTCAACTCGTCAAAGTCATTCTCTGTCCTGCTTTGTCCCATTGCTGGTGAGGAGCTGCGATCCTTTTAAGGGGTGCTGTGGTTTTTATAATTTTCAGGTTTTCTGCTCTGGTTTCTCCCCATCTTTGTGGTTTTATCTACATTTGGTCTTTGATGATGGTGACCTACAGATGGGGTTTTGGTGTGGATGTCCTTTTTGTTGATGTTGATGCTACTCCTTTCCATTTGTTAGTTTTCCTTCTAACAGTCAGGACCCTCAGCTGCAAGTCTGTTGGAGTTTGCTGGAGGTCCACTCCAGACACTGTTTCCCTGGGTATCACCAGTGGAGGCTGCAGGACAGCAAATATTGCAGAACAGCAAATATTGTGTCTGATCCTTCCTCTGGAAGCTTCATCTCAGAGGGGCACCTGGTTGTATGAGGTGTCAGTCAGCCCCTACTGGGAGGTATCTCCAAGTTAGGCTACATGGGGGTCAGGGACCCACTTGAGGAGGTGACCTGTCCGTTCTTAGAGCTCAAACACTGTGCTGGGAGAACCACTGCTCTCTTCAGAGCTGTCATTCAGGGATGTTTAAGTCTGCAGAAGTTTCTGCTGCCTTTTGTTCAGTTATACCCTGCCCCCAGTGGTGGAGTCTACAGAGGCAGCTGGGCCTCATTGAACTGCAGTGGGCTCCACCCAGTTCGAGCTTTCCTGGCCACTTCATTTACCTACTCAAGCCTCAGCAATAGTGGACGCCCCTTCCCCAGCCAGGCTTGCTGACTCGCAGTTCGATTTCGGAGTAGCAGTGAGCAAGGCTCCATGGGCATGGGACCCGCTGAGCTATGTGCGGGATATAATCTCCTGGTGTGCCATTTGCTAAGACCATTGGAAAAGTGCAGTGTTTAGGTGGCAGTGTCCCAATTTTCCTGGTATAGTCTGTTACAGCTTCCCTTGGCTAAGAAAGGGAAATTCCCCAACTTCTTGCACTTCCTGGGTGAGGTGATGCCCCAACCTGCTTCGGCTCACCCTCGAAGGGCTGCACCCACTTTCCGACCAGTCCCAATGAGATGAACCATGTCCCTCAGTTGGAAATGCAGAAATCACCCATCTTCTGCATTGATCATGTTTGGAGCTGCAGAGCAGAGTTTTTCCTATTTGGCCATCTTGATATCGACTGGATTTTGTTAATTTTAAAAGACCAACATAACCTTAACATTATATTTCCTATTAAGTTCATTTTCTTTTGGCATCAGTGCATATCCAATTTATAATGATTTATTCTGCAAAATATACTATTAGCTTACTTAGTATCCTATTCTAGAATGAAAATTTTTCTTGGCTCAGATTCTTATAGAAATGACATTAATTATTGATATTTTATGTAAACAATTTCAGTCAAAAAATTTGAATCACTTTACAAAATAATAATTGGCTGGGAGATTTAAATATCAGCTTTTCATTTCAGAAGGGATATTTTTAGAATGGCAAATGAGAATGCAACAATCATGTTTATCATGTAGAAGTCAAGAGAAAAAAATCTTTCATATTAGTATATAAAACTAAAATAAGCATACTTTGGAAGAGTTGTGTTCACCTTGGCTTGATTATGGATAACTCTCCTTTATCTGTTAACCTTATATATTACTTTCTCCAAGAAAATTTCCCTTTACTTAATGTTAAAAAGGAAGTCTTTTCTGTGTGATTCCACAGTATTTCATGCTTACTTGTTTATTTTCAATAAGGTGCTTTTCACACTGAAGTTTAGATTATGACTTTTCCTGTTTTCCCATGTGTTTCTATGCTCTCCACACAGCATAATTCATGAGAAATAGAAAATTCATAATATTATTCATCAAATAGAATGACTAGATTAACTTGTTTTATCAACATCTTTGTTTACAACATATTAAGCTAACATTAAGTTATTCTCTCCAGAGAAAGTGCCTGTAATAGATTTGCCTCATGACTAACTTTTACTGAGTCCCACATACCACAACTAGAATATAAATTCATGAGACTGGAATTTTGTCTCAGTGTTGTTCACAGCTGTATTTACTAGGTAAAATAGTGCTAGCGTATTTTGTAGATATAAATATTTAAGGAGCAAATTTATGGTGAAAAAGGAGGGTCACCTCATAAGAAATGCTTTATATAGGCAATCTTAGGCAATGTTGACACTCAATTTTCCTTCTATCAGTGATAAACAGAATTAGTCACAAGAAACAGTATGGATATATGAAATCTTCTGAATATGAGAATGACTAATAAATGCTATAAAATATTTTCTCTGATTTCATTAACTTATGTTGAAGTTAATGTTTGTTACTACAACAATTTATATAAAAGCTTAAGGCACCATATGAAGTGAGTCATATATTTTCTCTACAATTCTAGCATTCTCACACATCACATTATAAACAGTGCATCATTCAAAACATTACCTATCAAATAGTCTCAACCTAAAAAGTAAAAGGATGTCTCTTATGTGTTTGTGAAAACTAGCGGCTTTTCATTTTATTTTTGCCTGTTTTTTTAATACAGTTAATTTTTATGGTTTTGAGACTTAAATGTAAGTGATGTAAGTGATCTGGTCAATATAAGTGTTAGACTTTAACTCTCAATATTTATGCCATGGTACACCCAGATTTTAAGTCATATAGAAAAGCTATTTTAAAGAAAATTATTTGTCTTAAAATATATTGGTAGAAAAGAGAATTCTGTGAAGAAGGCAGACTAGGAAGAAAAAGGTGACTGTCTCCCCATCAATACAATTGCACTAGCAAAATCTGATGAAAGCATTTTGGAATTCTGCAGTGTATGGAAAGCTTGCAAATTCCAGGGGAAGGCTTGGACAGTAAATTCCAGTTAATTTCAGTAAGTTTCAGCTCTTAGTACAGTAGCAGCTACCCATCCTCTAGCCCCAGCCTAGTGGCAAGCAACTGTGTGCTTGTTCCCAGAGACATCTGCACACAGCTTGCAGACACTAGAGTGGGCAAAAAGGTCCCTGAAAAAAGCCCTGTCCTCCAAATATTGGAGATCTATGTTCTAATCACTGATTGCCGCTTCTGATCACAGAGATGCAGACAAACAGGCAGGTGGCCATTGTTGATGCCCCTCCACTTATTGTTGCAAGCCCTTCCTCCTCTGGTTGAAGTTATTTCCAGGATATTTATTGAGCTAGTGCCCTTCCCCTCCATTGATTTTTTTTTCTCTTTTGTAGCCACTAATTAAAGACTAGAACATTCAAAAACAACTGCATGTATGGGGAAAACTAGAAAGTGATCTTGAATGCCCAGGGAAAGATGCAGACTGAGGAAAGAACTGAAAATGCCTTAAGTTAACACCTCAGGGTGATTCTTTTCCCAGAGACGGCCAATAATAGTGTAAACAATAAGAAACAAAAACAATTCAAAAATCAGCAAATCCTTGGAAAAGGGGAGAATCTGATATCCAGTGTTACCTCATAAGCTCAAATATTCAGTTTTCAACAACAAAAAATCTCGAAACAGAAAAGCATGGCCCATGTAGAGGAAAGACATAAATCAACACAAACTATAAAAGAAACCTAAAGGGGGATTCTGATGTCAGCAAGATGGATGACTAGAAGCTCCTAGCACTTGTCCCCTGACAAAAACAGCAAAATTAACAAACAAACAACTACATTTTGACAAAAATGACTAAAGGAAAGCAACAAAGTTTATCAAAGGAGTAACAGAAACCCTGATGAGCACAGAAACTCTAGATAGTCATTGATATGGTTTGGCTGTATCCCCAACAAAATCTTACCTTGAATTGTAGCTCCTATAATTAACACATGTTGTGGGAAGAAACTGGTGGAAGATAAGTGAATCATGGGGGCAGTTTTCCCCATGCTGTTTTTGTGATAGTGAATAAATCTCACAAGATCTGATGATTTTATAAGGGGAAAACCCTCTCACTTGGTTCTCTTGCCTGCCACCATGTAAGACATGCCTTTCACCTTCCACCATGATTGTGAGACCTCTAAAGCCACATGGATCTGTGAGTTCATGAAACCTTTTTTCTTTAAAAATTACCCACTGTTGGGTATGTCTTTCTCAGCAGTGCAAAAACAGACTAATACAGACATATAGAAAAGAGAAGGTTCTACTTGGCATCTGCCACCCCATACCCTAGCCCCATACTCTAGCTAGGATAAGCTGGGAAGCAGAAGAAGCTTCCTCTGGTGGAGACAAGGTAAGCAAGAGGAATCCAGCAGCCTCCATCAACACCTTGGACACATATAATTTTTATTATTGGGAACTCCCGCCATTCTCACAGGCACTAAGCTTAGCTGTGGGAGATTCCTTGAGTCCACACAGCTGTGTTTCCCCACAGAAAAAGCCAACACTGTGTCCTACCCCCTCTGGACCCTGTGGCTACTGAGCTATGTCATCTTGGAACTGAAACTGCTAATGGAGTGTGTTTTGCTCTGGGACTGAGTGTTCATGGCACCCTTTCCTCCCTGAGGGTAAAGTGTTGCTGAACCACCCCTGCCTGGTAGCATGATATCCCCAAGCCAAGCTGCAGGAGGCTGTTACACTCTTCCCCATGTGGCCAAGTGGTGGTGGAGATGCCCCACCTAATCCTCTCACTTGTGGATGAAACTTACCCCTTTAGGCCAGAGCTGAAGTTACACATTTCCTTCTGAAGAAACAGTGCCTTGAAGGAACTGTGCCATTTACTCCTCCCAGTTGCTACTGTACCCTGCCACTATGTACCTGAGCTGGATCTGTGCACTCTTTCACATGGAAACTGCCTGTCAGAGTCATTCCATATACTTCTTCCAGTCACTGCTGTGGTTGCCCCTTGGGACCTCAAGCAAATATTACACATTTCCTCCTAGGGAATGGTGCCTTTGTATAGCTGCTCCATCTACCCTTTCCAGTCACCATTGAGCCCTGCCCCCATCTCCAGAGTGAAAGAAACTATTCGAAAATTATTTATCTGACAAGGGGTGAATATTTGCAATTAAAAAAAACATCCAAACAACTCAACAGCAAAAAAAAAAAAAAAAAAAAAAAAAAATACGGTTAGAAAATGGTAATTGAGCTAGAGATCTCTCAAAGAAGACATACAAATGCCCAACAGTTATATGACAAAAGTCTTAATATCACTAATCATCAGGCAAATGCAAATTAAATCCATAATGAGATATTATCTCACCTCAGTTACAGGATTTTATGAAAAGGATAAAAAAAATGCTGTCAAGGATGTGGAAAAAAAGGAACTTTTTCTGTTGTACACTGTTGGTACTAATGTAAATTAGTGCAGCCATTATGGAAAACAGTATGAAGGTTTTTTAATAAACTAAAAATAGAACTACCCTATGATATACAATCTCACTAAAGGAGATATATATGTATATATATATATATGTGTGTGTGTATAATATATATATGAAAGGGAATTAGTATACCAAAGAGCTATCTGCACCCCCATGTTTACTGCAGCACTATTTACAATAGCCAAGCTATGAAATCAACCTAAGTGACCATCAGCAGATAAAAGAATAATGGAAATGTGATGTACATACACAATGGAATACTGTTGGACCATAAAAAGGAATGAAACTTTGTCATTAGTGGCAATATAGATGAGCTTTTAATATATTAAGTAAAATAAGCCAGGTACAGAAAGACAAATATTGCATGCTTTCACTCATATGTAGAGGTTTAAAAAGTTGATTTAATAAAAGTAGAGAGAATATGGTTACTATAGACTGGGAAGGTTGAGGGGAGGAGGAGTTAGTAAGAGGCTGGTTAATGAATACAAAACTATAGCTAGATAAGAGAATTAAGTTTTAGTGTTCTATAGTATCTTATTACATGTAACATGGGTGTCTTTTATTTCTTTATCTTGCCTGATTACTCTGGCAGGACTTGCAGTCCTATGTTGAATGGTACTGGTAAGAATGGACAACTCGGTCTTATTCTTGTTCTCAAGAGGTGTGTTTTTTGCCCATTCAGTATGATATTGGCTTTAGATTTGTCATAGATGGATCTTATGATTTTGAGGTATATCCCTGTGATACATAGTTTGTTGAGGATTTTTATCATGGAGGTGTTTTAGTCAGGATTCTCCAGAGGGACAGAATCAATAGGATATATTTATATATAAGAGAGAGTTTACTAGGGAGATTTGGCTCACATAATTACATGGTAAATTCCCATGATAAACCACCTGCAAGCTGTGGAAAGAGAGAAGCCAGTAGTGACCCAGTTCAAGTCTGAATGCCTCAAAACCAACAGTACAGCCTTCAGTCTGTAGCCAAAGGTCCAAGAGCCCCCAGGAGGCCACTGGTGTAAGTCCCAAAGTTCAAAGTCTGAGGAATCTGAAGTCTGATGTCCAACGGTAGGAGAAGAAGCAAATGTCCAACATGAAGAAAGAAGGAGCGAGAAGACTCCCCTTTTCTGCCTACTTTGTTCTTGATGCACTGGCAGCCAATTGGATTGTGCTCACTCACATTGAGGGGAGTCTTTCATTCCCAGTCCACAGACTCAAATGTAAATCTCCTATGGCAACACCGTCACAGACACACCCAGAAACAATATTTTACCAGTCACCTAGGCATTCCTCAATCTAGTCAAATTGACAACTAATATCAGCCATCACAGAAGCAATGCTGGGTTTTATCAAAAGCCTTTTCTGTGACTTTTGAGGTTATCATATGCTTTTTGTTTTCAATTCTGTATATGTGGTAAAGTACATTTATTGATTTCCATATTTTGAATCAACCTTGCATTGCAGGAATACAGCCTACTTGAATTACCTCTTTGATGTGTTGCTGGATTTGGTTTGCTAGTATTTTGGGGGGGATCTTTTCATTGGCCTGAAGTTTTCTTTTTTCACTGTGTCTCTATGAGCTTTTGGTATCAGGACAATGCTGGCTTCATAGAATGAGTGAGGGAGGAACTACTCTATTTTTTAAAATGTTTTTAGTGCAGTTGGTACAAGTTATTCTTTGTTTGCCTGGTAGAGTTTCACTGTAAATCCATCTGGTTCAACGTTCTTTTTTGTTGGTAGGTTTTTAGTCACTTATTCCATTTCAGAATTTATTATTGGTCTGTTCAGGTTTCAGTTTCTTCCTAGGTTCAAACTTGGGAGGTGGTTTGTCTCCAGGAATTTATTCATTTCCTCTAGTTCCCCTAATTTGTGTGCACAGAAGTGTACATGATATTCTTTGAGGATATATTGGGTTTTTGTGGGATCAGTTGCAATGTAATCTTTGTCATTTCTGATTGTGCATATTTGGATATTCTCTCTTTTTTTCTTTGCTAATCTAGCTTATGGTCTACAATTTTGTTTGTCCTTTCAAAAAAACCAACTTTTGATTTCATTGGCCTTTTGTATGGATTTTTGCATGTCAGTTTTATTTTCTCCTCTGATTTTGGTTATTTCTTTTCTTCAGGTAGATTGTAGGTTGGTTAGATCTTGTTTTTCTAGTTCCTCTAGATGCAATAATAGATTAGATTGTTAACTTGAGATCTTTCTAACACCTTGATGTAGTTATTTAATATTATGAAATTTCCTTTTAATGCTGCTTTAGCAGCACCCCAAAGGTTTTGATATGTTGTGTTCCTTTCCATTTATTGAAAATAAATTTTTGATTTCTACCTTAATTTCATTTTATGCAAAAGTAATCTAGGACCAATTTGTTTTATTTCCATGTAACTGTGTGGTTTTGAGAGATCTTATTGTTATTGATTTATATTTTACTGCACTGTAGTCTGATAGTGTGCTTCATACAATTTTCACTTTTTTGAATTTATTGAGACTTGCTTTATGTTGGAGCATGGTTGAGCTGGGAATATGTTCTATGTGCAGATGAGAAGAATGTACATTTTGGTGTTGTTGGGTGGAATATTCTATAGATGCCTATTAGGTCCACTTGATCAAGTGTTGAGTTTATGCCCAGGATTTCTTTGTTAGCTTTCTGCCTTGATTATCTGTTTAACGCTGTTGGTGGGGTGTGGAAGTCTCCTATTATTATTGTATAGCTTCCTACATCATTTTGTAGCTCTAGAAGAACTTGCTTTATGAATCTGGCTGTTTCTGTTTTGAGTGTGTGTGTATTTAGGATAGTTAAATCTTGTTGATTAAAATGTTTATTATTATGTTATGCTCTTTGTTCTTTTTGACTATTGTTGGTATTAAGTCTGTTTTATCTGATATAAGCATAGCAATCTATTTTTTTTTTCTGTTTGCACAATAGATATTTATCCCTTTACTTTGAACCTGGGAGTATTGTTACATGTGAGATGGGTCTCTTTAAGACAGCAGGCAGTTTGGTCTTGTTTTTTTTTTTTTTTTTTTTTTTTTTTGATCCCACTTTCCACTCTATGCCTTTCAAATGGGGCAAATAGGCCATTCAAGATTAATATTAATATGAGACTTTGATCCTGTCATCTTGTTAATAGCTGTTTTTTTTTTACTTTATTTTATAATTGCTATTTATTGTCTGTGTGCTATATGCTTAAGCATATTTTTGTGGTGGCAAGTATCCTTCTTTTATTTCCATGTTAGTTATTTCATTCTCTTATGAAGCTTATGAAGCTCAGTTTGATGGAATATGAAATTCTTGGTAGGAATTTCTTTTCTTTAAGCATGCTGAAAATAAGCCCCAGACTCTTGGCTTTAAACATTTCTACTGAGATGCCAGCTACTAGCTTCATGGGGCTCCCTTTGTAAGTCACCTGGCGCTTCTCTCTAGCTCCCTTTATGAGTGTTTTCTTTCATGTTGACTTTGGAGAATCTGACGACTAGGTGTCTTGTTGATGATCATTTTGTATAACTCTGGGATCATTTTGTAGACATCTCTGGGAAATAGGAGTTCTCTGAATTTCTAGAATTTGCATGTTGGCCTCTTTTTTGAGACTGGGAAATTTTTCATGAGCTATATACTCAACTATATTATGCAAGTTTCTTATTCACTCCCCTTCTTCCTCAGGAATGTCAGTGAGTCACAGGTTTGCTCTCTTTACATAATCTCATATTTTTTGGAGGTTTTGCTTTTTTAAATACTTTTTCCTTTGTTTTTGTCTTACTGTATTGATTCAAAGGACTAGTCTTTGAGCTCTGACATTCTTCCATCAGCTTGTTATATTCTGTTGTTAATGCTTCCAATTGTATTACAAATTTTCTGTAGTGAATTTTTTAGTTCTAGAAATTTGAATATGGTTCTTTTTATTAATTTTATTTTTTATTTTTTGATATTTGTAGAGACAGGGTTTCACTATGTTTCCCAGGCTGCTCTCAAACTCCTGGACTTAAGCGATCTTCCTGCCTCAGCCTCCCAAAGTGCTGGGATTACAGGTGTGAGCCACCATGTCCAACCTGGTTCTTTCTTAAAATGACTGTATTGTCTTTCAACTCCTGGATTTCTTGGATTGGGTTTCAGCTTTCTCCTGCACCTCATTGAGCTCCCTTGCCATCCAGATTCTGAATTCTGTCTGTCATGCCTGCCACTTCAATTTGATTAAGTACCACTGTTGGGAAGCTACTACAACTATTTAAAAGTAAGAAGACACTCTGATTTTTAAAATTGACGTAGTTATTGCACTCATCTAAGAGGGCTGGTTTTCCTTTATTATTTAGAATTTGCTCTTGCTTGAGTGGGGCTTTTGGTTTTCATGTTCTTTAATTCCCTTGAAGGTTTGACTGTGAGGTGAGTTGAGTATAGTTGAAGCAATCACTTCATTTAACACTTCCTTAGGAGCCATTCAGGGCCAGGAATGAATCTTGGCAGTCGGCAATCCAACGCAGGGCTTGCAGCTTTCTCCCTCTTCAGCCTTGGTGTCTGTGTTGCCTATCGACTTTCAGTATTTTGTCTCAAAAAGATCTGTTTGAAGCATGTTAATTTATTCTAAGTTTTGGTCTCACTCAGTGAGTGAGGCTCTTAATGATGTGTTTAGTCAAACATTTTGTCCCAAATCCCCTGTAGTAAGTTTTTAAATCAAGAAGTGTGAGCACCCCAACTTTTTTCAAAAGTTTTAATTCCTTTTTAAGATTGTTTTGGCTACTCGAAGTCCCCTGAGATTCCATAGATATTACATGATAAAATTTCCTGTTTAAAAAAATGCTGTTGAAATTTTGGTAGATAGTGCATTGAATCTTTAAGAAATTTTGGGTAGTAATGTCATCTTAACAATATTAGCTGTTCCAATCTTTCAGCTTTATACGTTACATCATAGAGTCATATTTACCAAATATATTTTATATTAAATGTTATTTTACATTTACGACATCTCTGGGAAATAGATAGCATTTGCCAAAGAAGAAATAGGTTCACTGTGGTGAAGAGAAAAAAACCAAAGTTGCATAGTAAGAAATGGGGTGAAGGTTTTGGCTTTATAACCTACCCACTAAAACAAGAACTCCACATATTATATATAATCCCATAAAAAGATTGCAAATTCTGTCTGAAAATAGATCTCCAGATAATACCCAATCTAATATTCAAACTGAAGTATCTTGAAATACACTTAGATTTTTTAGTGTGTAGCTTGAGTCTTCACCATTACTGCTTTCTAAACTTTATTTCATAATTTATGTGAGGGTGGTCATCTTGTCATGGTGAAAAAGATAGCTTTATAACTTATCAACTAAAGACCTCAAGATTAATCTTCAGGTTAATGTATATGCAATTATTATTTCCACTAATCTTCTCTATCACCTTGACTCCAGATAGACTTATTTATCTCTCAAAATAGGAGGTAGCAGGAAACTCTTTCCCTAAACATTTTGTGTGATTCATTTCTTACTGTTGCAATGGGAATTTTGTTTTAAAACCTTGGAGGAAAAGATGGTGGTAACATGTTTTCTACATAGATCTTAGAAAAAAATTCTCTCTAATTTATTGGTTAAAAATCTATAAGGATATAACCTTTGACAAAATAACTCTTAAACAATAGAAGGACAGGATTTAGAATTCAGACATCTCCCTGGTGGTCTTTTATTGTTGCCACAGGCAGAAAGAATAGCTGGAAGGCATTTCTGAAGCTTTTGAACAGATAATTACTTATTCTAATATCACAATATTATTGTTTTACACCTAAATAGCAGATCTTACTCTTAAGAGCCAATTCTATCTAAAATTAAAGAGTACATGTCTGAACTTTTGACACAGACATTTTAAAACACAGTAAAATAATTATTGCTATAACATTGACAAGCCTTGACTCATCTTTAGAATTTTTAAAAGCATGCTTTCTTTCTTTGTGTAGAAAATCCATTCACATTATTTGACTTCTTTGAATTTTTATTACTATTAATTACACTAGTGTAGTACAGTGATAACTTTTCTGGTAAAGTATTGCCAGTTGTGACAAGTAGAGAGTAACTGACATAACTAAATGTGTTTCCCAAACTGAATTTGCTTAACTTGTCTTCTCATTATTTGTTTTGGTGCTGGTTGTCACAGTTTATATGTTGACAGTCATAATTACATTCAAAAGAAAAGAATATCTTAACAAATGTATTAAGATTTTGTAATTACCTATATGTCTTTTATATATATATATATATTCCTATTGCTGAGAGACTTGAGTGGTATTTGTCTATATCTTTCTGGAAGTTAAGACCTATAAAAATAGTGTCAAGCATAATATCTTACACCATATTTACTTCGTGATGAAATTTAATTTCCTGATTCTGACTCTAGAGAATAAGGAAACTACAAATATTTGATCGTGTCTGGTTAGCATTCTATTTTGCTGCACACTAAAGTAAATTTTTAAAATAACATGCAAGCAATGATAATTATTCTCACAGAATCAGTGCAAAAGTTTCACAGAGGAAAACTACTTGGATATTTTATAGATATGATTACTTAGGTCAAAAAGATTAAATGAATTGGCTTGGGGTTATGTTGCATGCTCATTGGCAGTTAGAATACCTCAACTCTCTACCCATACTTGGGTACTGAGATTTCTTTTTTTATTTAAGATTTCCTCTAAGTAAAATTCCAGGGAAGTGTATTTTTCCTTTTATTTCCTTCTGTATATTTTTAATTAATTTTAGCCAAACTTACAAAAATATTTCAATTTCTGGTAGGTCCTACACTAGATAATGAGCAAAATATATTTCTATGCTTACCCATTTCATTTACAAACTGAATCATCTCAAGATGTTCCTTGACAATATTTAATTAACAATATTCTCTGACTATTCATAGTAAGCTATTTACTTTTATTTCACCTCCATTTTATTTATTATTTTATTTTTAGCATACTGACAGTTTTCCTTTAGAAAGAGAGATTGTATAACACTGATCATAGGAAGAGATAGTCCATTAATGAACATAATTCAAAATATATCTCACTATTCACCATATTAAACCAACTACAAATTTTGCATGTAATATGCTGCAAACAAGGATGCCAAAGTTTTCCCAAACTCATAAGCCCATTTTTAACCCCCTGTGAGGTCTTTTTACCCAGAAGTAGAGCCTGAGATCAGGATTTTTGGGGGAGTGCCCTCAGGAGAAGTTGAATAAAGGAAGCACAGGAAGGTAGTGTAGGAAACTAAGCAAGAATGTGGCCTTGGCTACATTGAGGTTGGTTCCACGGGAATAACCTGGAGTGCAAATAGCACTAAGAGTAAGGCTCACTTTTAGAACAGAAGGACTCCTTTTGTATCACGGTCAGTCAAGGCTGAGGGATATCCCAGTGTGTATGTGGAGTATAGCATTGTAAGCAAAATGCTTCCAGTTTGGCTAATTACTATTCTCCAGAAAAGGTAGCAGCTATGATTATTTATCAGCCAACACTCACAGCAGCTGGAAGATGGTTGGCTGAAACGTGAAAGAAATTTGGGTGAGGCATCAACACCCACTTTCTGTACCACATAGTTATACTTGTTTCTCAGGCTAAGTTACACACCTGAGGCAAAGCTTTTTTTAGGTTAATGATGTACTAAAGAGGCTTAGTGGAACAAACTATAGGCTCTGTCTCTCCAGTTTTCTCCAATGCTTTAAAAAAAATTCATCATTTCCCTTCTCCACTACTCATACTAGATAACTTTTAATCTCAACTTTTAATTTTATTTCCATTAGTTCAGGTGGTTTGTCAGGTGGGTTGCCCAGATCTTCATCTCTGAGGACTTTAAGTTCCTCAGTGTCATGCTCCTATCAAGCTATGGTTGTTGTATTTACACTCAAAACTGGGCATGAGTGTTGCAAGAGGTATACTGGAGGACCACATGAGTGGCTAACGTATTTCTCTATATCCCCATTGTAGAGCAACAACCCCATGAAGATAAAGGTCAATTACCATTGCCAGTATGCTCCCTCCTTTATTTGATGGTTGGTCTACCGGGATGAAGAAAAGAAACTGTCCATAGTTTTAGATTCACTAGGAGTTGGATTATCTTTCCTTATGAAAACATTCCTCCACCCCAAACATGTGACTAGTGCCTCTATTATCCCTGAAACCATTGAAGCTGATGGTGTAACTCTGTCTGAGAAAGTCAAGGGCTGCTAGTGCAAATCTCAGAGTCCAAAGGCCAGAGAACCTGGATCTCTGATGTTTAATGGCAGGAGAAGATGGATGACCCAGCTGCCAAAGAGAGAGGGAATTTACCCTTCCTTTGCCTTTTTTGTTCTTTCTGCTCTCACAGCAGATTGGATGATCTACTCCCCACATTTGTGAGGGTTGATCATCTTTACTCATTCTACTGATTTAAATGCTAATCTCTTTCAGTAATCAGCTCACAGACATACAGAACTAGTATTTTGCCATCTCTCTGGATATCCCTTAATTCAGTCAAGTTGACATAAAATTAACCATCGCAGAGAACAAAAAAGCAATAAGCAAACACATAGCCAAAATGGATGTCAATATTAATCAGCATGAAATAAAATATTGCTCTTTTCAGGTGGCTCTGGGTCAGATATAATTAGATTTCCACCCAGTACCTAGTAACATATCAGGGGTTTATTGTTGTCACATTTCCCCCCTATTTTTTTAATTGAAGTGAAATTCTCAAAGTTATAAATTTTAAAGTGAAACATTGAGTGGCATTTAATGCATTCACAGTACTGTTTAACAACCTCCTGTCTCTAGCTGTCACACATTTTCATCACACTAAAAGTTAAACCTTGTGCCCATTAAGCAGTTGTGCCCATTTTTGCCATCTATTCCTATCCCTACATAACCAACCATCTGCTTTTGTTTCTGTGAATTCACTTCTTCTGTATATTTCATATAAATGAAATCCTGCAATATGAGACTTTATGTCTGGCTTTTTTCATTTAGAACAGTGTTTTCAAGGTTCTTCCATATTTTAGCATGGATCATTATGTCATGCCTTCTGTGCTGAATAATATTCCGTTGTATGTACATATGACCATTTGTTTATCCATTAATGATTAATAAATATTTAGGATGTTTCTACCTTGTGGTATTTTGTGAATAGTGCTGCTGTAAACACTTATGCACAGGTATTTGTTTGAATACATGTTATGTGCATTTTGGGCATATACCTAGGGGTGGAATTGCTGAGTCATGTAGTGATTCTATTTAAATGTTGAGAAACTTCTAAACTGTTTTTTCTAATGGCTGTACTATTTTTACATTTTCACCACCAATGTAAGAGGGTACAATTGTTCCACATTTTCTCAAACACCTGTTATTTTTTTTTCATACTGTGACTATCCTAGTTAGTGTGAAGCAGTATCTCATTGTGGTTTTGATTGGCATTTCATTAATGACTATTGATATTGAGCATCCTTTCATGTGTTATTTGCCCATTTTTAATTGGGTTGTCTCCTGGTCAGTAGGTTTCACATCCATCCCAATATGAATTTGGGAAATGGGGAACTATTTTTGTTTTTGAATATACAGAATATTGCAGTCTCTTGTTACCTGCCCATCAGTCTCTTAGCATCATCATATTTAATTAGTCCTTTTTATTGGCTCCTTGATGTTGGGCATTCTCATCTCCCATTCTAAATTTTTGACCAACTATTTTGACAAGTTAGTATCCCTAATACCGTAAGTCAGTTTGCCTACTTATGTGAAGCAGTATGGTGATAATGAATAAAATAATGGAATTTTAAATAAAGGAGTATTTGTATTGAATATGGGCTCTATCATTCACTAAAAAGCTCAGCAATAATTTACTAATTTAGCAATCACTTAATCTTATGATTACTTTATCTTTAAATTTGGTATACCAGTTGTCTTAGTGAGTTCAGGCTGCTGTAATAAGATCCTATAGTCCAGGTGGCTTAAACAACCAACATTTATTCCTTACTCTTCTAGACCACAGTACTGCCAGATCTGGTGTCTAATCTGGTATCCCACTGGTTTGCAGACAGCTCTATTGTGCTTTTTTCACATGACTGGAACAGAGAGCAAGGAAGCAAGCTGTACTATTCCTTCTCATAAGGACACCTATCCCATGGTATAGAATAGCAGTTTGAAAATGACATTCATCAGTTTACACACTACTATAAAAAAAAAACCTGAGACTGGTAATTTATAAATAAAAGAGGTTTAATTGACTCACAGTTCTGCATGGTTGAGGATGCCTCAGGAAACTTACAATCATGGCGGAAGGCAAAGGGGAAGCAAGGCACATCTTACATGGTGGCAGGAGAGAGGGAGAAAGAAAGAGGCAGGGGAAGTGCCACACTTTTAAAACCATTAGATCTCATGATAACTCACTATCACAAGAACTGCATGGGGAAGATCCGCCCCCATGATTCAATCACCTCCCACCAGGTCCCTCCCCTGACACGTGGGGATTATAATTCAACATGATATTTGGGTGGGGACATAGAGCCTAACCACATCACCTACTCATGAAGACTTAACCTTCATGACATAATTTTGCCCCAAATGTCCCAGCTCCTAATACCATCACATTGGGTTTAAGATTTCAACATTTGAATTTGGGGAAGATGCAAACATTCAGTCCATAACACTAGAACTTACTTTATAGGCTCATAGTGATGATTGAATAAGCTTTAATCATAATTCCTAAATGCAATAGATGAAATCATTTATGATTATAGTTGATATTATTGTTAAAAATAGCATGAAACAGTATACATACTAAAACTAGAGACTGATGTCAGACAATATTTGAAAGTAAATACTGAGATTTGGTCATATTGTAGAAATGTATGCCTCATACTTACAGGCTGAGCATCTACTTTGCAATCTACAAAACGTGGTCAGCAGAAACAACAAGAAAAATTAACAATAAGGCTGGGCGTGGTGGCTTATACCTATAATCCCAGCATCTGGGGAGGCCTAGGTAGGAGGATTGCTTGAGGCCAGGAGTTTGAGACCAGCCTGGGCAACATAAAGAGACCTCAAACTACTAAAAATCCAAAATATTAGCCAGGTGTAGAGGCATATGCCTGTAGTCCCAGCCACTGGAGAGGCTGAGGTGGCAAGATTTGCTTCAGCCTAGGGGACAGAGGCTTTATTAAGCTATGAGCATGCAACTGCATTCCAGGCAGGGTGGCAGAGCGAGACCCTGTTTCAAAAAACTAATGAAACAGGAAGAATATTATTATTTAGGTGTTTGTTAAGCAACAGAAGAGAGGTTAACTTGGAATTGTGTTTCACAAATAATATTCTGTGCACTGATTGCCCTTGAATCATCAGGTGAACACCGACAGTTATAATGTTAAGAAAGCTATGTACTAGATACTATAGTAAGCTGTGCACTGGACATTATACTGTGTACTAAATAATATACTAAGTCAGTAATGAAGAGAGCTTACAACCATGGCAATATTTATACCAAAAGTATTTGATATACAAACAACTGTTACAAACAGACATGAAAACAGTGAACCAATAGCACTTAGTACTGCATTAAAATAAGTTCTTTGTTTTGTTTTTGGTGGTCATCAAAAAATGTTTTATATTTTATGCACAATGTTTTGGCAACAATATATCAATAACACTTGAAAATTAAGTAAACAAACATATTTCTAAGTTTTTTTTATGTTTATTGCTTTTCTAGGTTTTGGAAATGTAGTGGAGAAGAAAATCTCTATATTATTCATGGAGTTTACAATCTAGGCAGTAGTTTTCAACTAGAAGCAATTTTGTCCCCCAAGTAACATTTAGCAATGTCTAGAAATATTTTTCTTTTATCTTCCCAAGTTATTGCAACTTGGAAAGATACTACTGTTATTTAGGGGTTGGAGGCCTGAGGTGTGTTACAATACACAGGACAGTCCTCATCAACAAAGAAGTATATGCCCAGAAGGACAATAGTACCAAGAATGAGAAATTCTGGTCTAGATGGAATATGGAGAAACAATAAGTAAGTAAACAAATAAATCAACAACTATGAAATAAAAAATAATATTTACATTGCTACATTGGTTCTGAGAAAATTGATTACAAATGCACCAAAATCGATGAGACTTGGGTTAAAGAAGATTTGAGGGACAATCAGAAGTTCAGTACATGTTAAGTTTCAGACACTCCTGTATCATCTTAGTAGAAGTACCTAGTAAATCACTGAGTAGATGACTCTGAATTCAGTGTATATGTTTCCTGGGTACATATATTTAAATACCATAGATGATAAATCATTCTTCATACTAACAGGAGATGAGATCACTTGAGGGTAAGTTTAGTGAAAGAAGAGAAGAGGCTAGAAGTTGGTCCTGAAGAGCTTTATTATTTAGTGGTTCACTAGAAATACAGAGTGGGCAAATACTCCTTGAGAGGCAGCAAATTACTGCTCAAGAAATGTTGTATATCAGTCAACAAAACCAAAAACTTATAACTAATTACAGGCTTTATGCTTGGATAAGAAATCCACTTGACTTAATCTTTTAGGCTAGATACTAATCGAGGTGGCCTGTTACTCAGATAAGATTATTGTTAAAAATTCAATTTGTACTACTTAATAAGAAATGCAATAACTTACATTTAATGTTTTTGAAAAGGTTAGAAAACATCAGAATTTTTTATTTTGAAACATGCTTGTTTACTGATATACTTTATACACTTAAAGCTATAAGAATTAAATTATATTTTAAACCTTAAGGAGGTAAACAAATATCCAAATGCTAAAAATTTTTAGGTTTGTTTTACATTTTCATTATAAGCTATTTAGGAAAATATGTATAATTGTGAATGAAATAAATAAGCTAATTTACCAGAAATTAGAGAATTTGATCTTTGCCTCATAAGTAGAAATGCTATTGCTTTCAATGCGTTCACAGATTTATAATATTATTTTACTGGAGAGTGTATCACTTATTTAGAAACTAGTTGAGAATTTTACTTAGCTTTTTTCACCTCAATAAAAAATTTAGTTGCAATTATATTTTCTGTTTTATTTTATGAATTTACTTGATGACTTCACTTGAAATAATGCTCATTAAAATTCTGGAGAAATCAAAGTAGCTACAAACTTTTGCAATGACTGCAAAGAAAAACTGTACTTGATATTTTACTTTCATATACATGAGCATATTTATCATTTCCCATTGTAATGGCCATAATTTCTGGATCTTTCTTATTCCAAAAAGAGATAATTATGTCTTTCTCAATTTAAATCATTTTATTTTTTTTCTAAAGTTCAATTTTACTAAATTGTTTGAGTCAAATATTTATTTGATTTATGACATGGATAATATCTCAATCAGTATCTTTCCAGTCTCAATGTGTAATGAAATAAAACCTCTCAGATACTAAATAATATAGGTTTCCTGTTTGTGATGATTTCTTAATAATAAGCCTATAACAAATCTAGAAATAAACTACAATCAGAAACATATATCAAATATGCATGAAATAATTCCAAAATTATATTTCATATAAGTTGTTATTTAGTAAAAGTCTATTCATCTGTTGATAGGCTCTAGGTTGATTGCACATTTTGGCTATTGTGAATAGTGCTGCAATAAACATGGGAGTCCAGACATAATTAATTCAGTCATTCAGTGTTTTCTGCTGGATTTCTGTTTGGGGCCAGACTCTCTGCTAAGCCCTAAGGGTATATTTATGGGGAAAAAAATATATTTATGGGGAAAAAAAAAGTATTGTCTTATCAGTTTTGAAACTCATTTTCTAGTTAGATAGTATAATCAAATGACCACTGAAATAAATATATAATTATAGGCTTTGATGTGTACCATATATGAATTACCAAAGATTAGCTACAGCAGTCAAACACAATGATAGTGTGTACTGAAAATGTTAAAAGACATTGTTGTATTATGATAAGCCTAGTCCTCTTTTCAAATAAAACACTTAAATTATATTTATTTTTGTTTTGGTTTAATTATAGAAGCTTAGAGTAGTGTTTCCATATGAATCTTGCTAGATGTTCTATTAAAAAATCTCATATGGTTTACTCATTTATTCGTTTCACACACATTTACTGAGAACATAATGTATACCAGAAACTAATATAGTCCTTAAAGATATAGACTTGAGTAGGAGAGATAAATTCACCATCATATTCTAGAAGGGAAAGTAATGAAAAGTAAACTGAAAACAAACAGCTATAAACATGAAATGCTATCCACTGAGAAGACTCCTTAGCCACTACCCATTAGAACCACTTACTGAGTTAATGAATAACCTCATGGATATCCATTTACAGATAACATTGGTTTAAAAATTAGAGCCACCTATGACCAGGACTAATGTGTCTATCTTCAATTAATGATTCAAAAGTAGTTACCAATGCGATCTTAGATGTTGAGAGAAGAGTGACATTCTGTCAGTATATGCCACCTAGGACTCTAAGCCACTTGCACGTTAAACTTACAAGCGCCTTCTGAACTATCTTACTTTTAAAATGAATAATTTGAATTATTATGAAAGAATAAGTGATTCTCTTCCTAGCTTCCATATTGTATTAATGAGGTTCTCCAGAGAAACAGAACCAAGAGGGGGTGTGTGTGTGTGTGTGTGTGTGAGAGAGAGAGAGAGAGAGAGAGAGAGAGAGAGAGAGAGAGATTTATTTTAAGGAATTGGCTCACATGATTTTTGAGGCTGGCAAATCTGCAGGGTAGCCCAGCAAGCTGTAGACCCAAAGAAGAATTGATATTTCAGCTCAAGTTCACATTCTACTGGCAGAATTCCCTCCTGTTCTGGGGAAGTCAGCTGATTGGATAAAAACTATTTAAATTATGAAGGGTAATTTGCTTTACTCAAAGTGTACTGATTTAAATGTTAATCTGGTCTAAAAAATACCTTTGCAACAAAATTCAGAGCAATGTTTGACCAAATGTCTTGATACCATGGTCTAGCTAAGTTGACATATGAAATAAACCATCATTGTCAGAGATAAACATTGTCAGGGATCAGAAAATGCTACCCCCAAAGTACATTGAATTGAAAAAGGTTGGGAGGATCTCAGTAGCAAGAAAGCCACTCTGACTTTTCTATTTCTGTGTGAGAGCTGACCATAAGTAAATTATCTGACTTACTTGCCTGAAAGTAGGTCATAAGACCTTCATTACAGAGGGGTCATGTCTTATAGCTAGAGGGCAGGAATGCTTCACAGAAAGGCCAAGACAAATCTGGATAGGCTTTGCTGAGATTCCCCCTCCATCTATTACCATTAGATCATACAATTTTTTGGTCCAATCACATTTTTACATGACTGTTCATTCTTCTGGGAGCATAATAATACAAAGTTTTCCTTGGTTCTTTGTGTCTTCATTTCTGAAGGCTCCCATGTAATGTAAAACTTTGATGAAATAAATTTTCTATGCTTTTCTCTTAACTTGTCTTTAGTTATAGGCATGTTGGCCATAACGCTTTTGAAAGGTGAGGAAAGTATTAAATCTTTCTTATATCATTTCCAACTTTTATTTATCCTTTCTTGTTGCCTTAATTTTGAAAATTCCATTTTTAAAATTATTCCACACAGGTTGTGACTTCCTGGGTTTTCTTCATTACTTTTTTATTGGAAGAAAATAATCCTAGTTTGATCGTCTGAAGCCTTCTTCTCTCAACTCGTCAAAGTCATTCTCTGTCCAGCTTTGTTCCATTGCTGGTGAGGAACTGCCTTCCTTTGGAGGAGGAGAGGCCCTCTGCTTTTTAGAGTTTCCAGTTTTTCTGCTCTGTTTTATCCCCATCTTTGTGGTTTTACCCACTTTTGGTCTTTGATGATGGTGATGTACAGATGGGTTTTTGGTGTGGATGTCCTTTCTGTTTGTTAGTTTTCCCTCTAACAGACAGGACCCTCAGCTGCAGGTCTGTTGGAGTTTGCTAGAGGTCCACTCCAGACCCTGTTTGCCTGGCTACCAGCAGTGGTGGCTGCAGAACAGCGGATTTTTGTGAACCATGAATGCTGCTGTCTGAACGTTCCTCTGGAAGTTTTGTCTCAGAGGAGAACCCGGCCATGTGAGGTGTCTGTCTGCCCCTACTGGGGGGTGTCTCCCAGTTAGGCTGCTTGGGGGTCAGGGGTCAGGGACCCACTTGAGGAGGCAGTCTGCCCGTTCTCAGATCTCCAGCTGCGTGCTGGGAGAACCACTGCTCTCTTCAAAGCTGTCAGACAAGGACATTTAAGTCTGCAGAGGTTGCTGCTGTCTTTTTGTTTGTCTGTGCCCTGCCCCCAGAGGTGGAGCCTACAGAGGCAGGCAGGCCTCCTTGAACTGTGGTGGGCTCCACCAGTTCAAGATTCCCGGCTGCTTTGTTTACCTAATCAAGCCTGGGCAATGGCGGGCGCCCCTCCCCCAGCCTCGCTGCTGCCTTGCAGTTTGATCTCAGACTGCTGTGCTAGCAATCAGTGAGACTCTGTGGGTGTAGGACCCTCCAAGCCAGGTGTGGGATATAATCTCCTGGTGCGCTGTTTTTTAAGCCTGTCCGAAAAGTGCAGTATTAGGGTGGGAGTGACCCGATTTCCCAGGTGCCGTCTGTCACCCTTTTCTTTGACTAGGAAAGGGAACTCCCTGACCCCTTGCACTTCCCAAGTGAGGCAATGCCTTGCCCTGCTTTGGCTCGTGCACAGTGCACTGCACCCACTGTCCTGCACCCACTGTCTGGCACTCCCTAGTGAGATGAAGCCGGTACCTCAAATGGAAATGCAGAAATCACCCATCTTCTGCGTCACTCACGCTGGGAGCTGTAGACTGGAGCTGTTCCTATTTGGCCATCTTGGGGACTGGTGTACCTGAAAGTGACGGGAAGAATGGAACCAAGTTGGAAAACACTCTGCAGGATATTATCCAGGAGAATTTACCCAATCTAGCAAGGCAGGCCAACATTCAAATTTAGGAAATACAGAGAACGCCACAAAGATACTCCTCGAGAAGAGCAACTCCAAGACACGTAATTGTCAGATTCACCAAGTTGAAATGAAGGAAAAAATGTTAAGGGCAGCCAGAGAGAAAGGTCGGGTTACCCACAAAGGGAAGCCCATCAGACTAACAGCTGATCTCTCAGCAGAAACTCTACAAGCCAGAAGAGAGTGGGGGCCAATATTCAACATTCATAGCGAAAAGAATTTTGAACCCGGAATTTCATATCCAGCCAAACTAAGCTTCATAAGTGAAGGAGAAATAAAATACTTTACAGACAAGCAAATGCTGAGAGATTTTGTCACCACCAGGCCTGCCCTAAAAGAGCTCCTGAAGGAAGCACTAAACATGGAAAGGAATAACCAGTACCAGCCACTGCAAAATCATGCCAAATTGTAAAGACCATTGAGGCTAGGAAGAAACTGCATCAACTAACAAGAAAATAACCAGCTAACACCATAAGGACAGGATCAAATTCACACATAACAATATTAACTTTAAATGTAAATGGACTAAATGCTCCAATTAAAAGACACAGACTGGCAAATTGGATAAAGAGTCAAGACCCATCAGTGTGCTGTATTCAGGAAACCCATCTCACGTGCAGAGACACACATAGGCTCAAAATAAAAAGATGGAGGAAGATCTACCAAGCAAATGGAAAACAAAAAAAGGCAGGGGTTGCAATCCTAGTCTCTGATAAAACAGACTTTAAACCAACAAAGATCAAAAGAGACAAAGAAGGCCATTACTTAATGGTAAAGGGATCAATTCAACAAGAAGAGCTAACTATCCTAAATATATATGCACCCAATACAGGAGCACCCAGATTCATAATGCAAGTCCTGAGTGACCTACAAAGAGATTTAGACTCCCACACAATAATAATGGGAGACTTTAACACCCCACTGTCCACATTAGACAGATCAACGAGACAGAAAGTTAACAAGGATATCCAGGAATTGAACTCAGCTCTGCACCAAGCAGACCTAATAGACATCTACAAAACTCTCCACCCCAAATCAACAGAATATACATTTTTTTCAGCACCACACCACACCTATTCCAAAATTGACCACATAGTTCGAAGTAAAGCTCTCCTCAGCAAATGTAAAAGATTAGAAATTAAAACAAACTGTCTCTCAGACCACAGTGCAATCAAACTAGAACTCAGGATTAAGAAACTCACTCAAAACCACTCAACTATGTGGAAACTGAACAACCTGCTCCTGAATGACTACTGGGTACATAACGAAATGAAGGCAGAAATAAAGATGTTCTTTGAAACCAATGAGAACAAAGACACAACATACCAGAATCTCTGGGACACCTTCAAAGCAGTGTGTAGAGGGAAATTTATAACACTAAATGCCCACAAGAGAAAGCACATCACAATTAAAAGAACTAGAAAAGCAAGAGCAAACACATTCAAAATCTAGCAGAAGGCAAGAAATAACTAAAATCAGAGCAGAACTGAAGGAAATAGAGACACAAAAAAAAACCTTCAAAAAATTAATGAATCCAAGAGCTGGTGTTTTGAAAGGATCAACAAAATTGATAGGCTGCTAAAAAGACTAATAAAGAAGAAAATAGAGAAGAATCAAATAGACACAATAAAACATGATAAAGGGGATATCACCACTGATCCCACAGAAATACAAACTACCATCAGAGAATACTACAAACACCTCTGCACAAATAAACCAGAAAATCTAGAAGAAATGGATACATTCTTCGACACATACAGCCTCCCAAGACTAAACCAGGAAGAATTTGATTCTCTGAATAGACCAATAACAGGCTCTGAAATTGTGGCAATAATCAATAGCTTACCAACCAAAAAGAGTCCAGGACCACATGGATTCACAGCCGAATTCTACCAGAGGTACAAGGAGGAACTGGTACCATTCCTTCTGAAACTATTCCAAAGAATAGAAAAAGAGGGAATCCTCCCTAACTCATTTTATGAGGCCAGCATCATCCTGATATCAAAGCCGGGCAGAGACACAACCAAAAAAGAGAATTTTAGACCAATATCCTTGATGAACATTGATGCAAAAATCCTCAATAAAATACTGGCAAAGCGAATCCAGCAGCACATCAAAAAGCTCGTCCAACATGATCAAGTGGGCTTCATCCCTGGGATGCAAGGCTGGTTCAATATACGCAAATCAATAAATGTAATCCAGCAAATAAACAGAACCAAAGACAAAAACCACGATTATCTCAATAGATGCAGAAAAGGCCTTTGACAAAATTCAACAACCCTTCATGCTAAAAACTCTCAATAAATTAGGTATTGATGGGACGTATCTCAAAATAATAAGAGCTTTCTATGACAAACCCACAGCCAATATCATATTGAATGGGCAAAAACTGGAAGCATTCCCTTTGAAAACTGACACAAGACAAGGATGCCCTCTCTCACCACACCTATTCAATGTAGTGTTGGAAGTTCTGGCCAGGGCAATTAGGCAAGAGAAGGAAATAAAGGGTATTCAATTAGGAAAAGAGGAAGTCAAATTGTCCCTGTTTGCAGATGACATGATTGTATATCTAGAAAACCCCATTGTCTCAGCCCAAAATCTCCTTAAGCTGATAAGCAACTTCAGCAAAGTCTCAGGATACAAAATCAATGTACAAAAATCACAAGCATTCTTATACACCAATAAGAGACAGAGAGCCAAATCATGAGTGAACTCCCATTCACAATTGCTTCAAAGAGAATAAAATACCTAGGAATCCAACTTACAAGGGACGTAAAGGAGCTCTTCAAGGAGAACTACAAACCACTGCTCAAGGAAATAAAAGAGGATACAAAGAAATAGAAGAACGTTCCATGCTCATGGGTAGGAAGAATCAATATTGTGAAAATGGCCATACTGCCCAAGGTCTTATAGATTCAATGCCATCCCCATCAAGCTACCAACGACTTTCTTCACAGAATTGGAAAAAACTACTTTAAAGTTCATATGGAACCGAAAAAGAGCCCGCATCTCCAAGTCAATCCTAAGCCAAAAGAACAAAGCTGGAGGCATCACACTACCTGACTTCAAACTATATTACCAGGCTACAGTAACCAAAACAGCATGGTACTGGTACCAAAACAGAGATATAAATCAATGGAACAGAACAGAGCCTTAAGAAATAACGCCGCATATCTACAACTCTCTGATCTTTGACAAATCTGAGGAAAACAAGCAATGGGGAAAGGATTCCCTATTTAATAAATGGTGCTGGGAAAACTGGTTAGCCATATGTAGAAAGCTGAAACTGGATCCCTTCCTTACACCTTATACAAAAATTAATTCAAGATGGATTAAAGACTCAAATGTTAGACCTAAAACCATAAAAACCCTAGAAGAAACCCTAGGCATTACCATTCAGGACATAGTCACGGGCAAGGGCTTCATGTCTAAAACACCAAAAGCAATGGCAACAAAAGACAAAATTGACAAACGGGATCTAAGCGAACTAAAGAGCTTCTGCACAGCAAAAGAAACTACCTTCAGAATGAGCAGGCAACCTACAAAATGGAAGAAAATTTTCACAACCTACTCATCTGACAAAGGGCTAATATCCAGAATCTACAATGAACTCAAACAAATTTACAAGGAAAAATCAAACAACATCATCAGAAAGGGGGCGAAGGACATGAACAGACACTTCTCAAAAGAAGACATTTATGCAGCCAAAAAACACATGAAAAAATGCTCACCATCACTGGCCATCAGAGAAATGCAAATCAAAACCACAATGAGATATCATCTCACACCAGTTAGAATGGCAATCATTAAAAAGTCAGGAAACAACAGGTGCTGGAGAGGATGTGGAGAAATAGGAACACTTTTACGCTGTTGGTGGAACTGTAAACTAGTTCAACCATTGTGGAAGTCAGTGTGGCGATTCCTCAGGGATCTAGAACTAGAAATACCATTTGACCCAGCCATCCAATTACTGAGTATATACCCAAAGGACTATAAATCATGCTGCTATAAAGACACATGCACACGTATGTTTATTGTGGCATTATTCACAATAGCAAAGACTTGGAACCAACCAAATGTCCAACAACGATAGACTGGATTAAGAAAATGTGGCACATATACACCATGGAATACTATGCAGCCATGAAAAATGATGAGTTCATGTCCTTTGTAGGGACATGGATGAAATTGGAAATCATCATTCTCAGTGAACTATCGAAAGAACAAAAAACCAAACACTGCATATTCTCACTCATAGTTGGGAATTGAACAATGAGAACACATGGACACAGGAAGGGGAACATCACACTCTGGGGACTGTTGTGGGGTGGGGGTAGTGGGGAGGGATAGCATTAGGAGATATACCTAATGCTAAATGACGAGTTAATGGGTGCAGCACAGCAGCATGTCACATGTATACATATGTAACTAACTTGCACATTGTGCCCATGTACCCTAAAACTTAAGGTATAATAATAATAAAATAAAATAAAATAAAATAAAGAAAATAATCCTAGTTTATTTCCTTCAGGAAAAAATGTTTTTAAACTGTGGAACTTCTTTAAAAAGAAGCTGAAACTAAAAACAATTAAACAAATTAAAAAGTTTCTTGCTTTTCAGTATTTTTTGATAGCTTATGTAAGAGACTCATTTGTGCATCCTTTTACTATTAGTTTTTTCTAACATAGTTTTTCTCTAAGGAAGGAAAAAAATAACTGTGCTTATGCTAGCACATCAACTTTCTTTGGTCACACAAAAGCTTATAAATGAAATTTCCAGAAGTGTACTTCTGTCATATCTATCCAAAGCAATTCCAAGGAGCAATTCTAATTTAAAGGGAGAAGAAGACTTCACCACCAGATAGAAGGAGTGACAAAGTCACAATGCACGAAGCCCATGAAGGATGGATGGAGTTATTGTGACAGTCGTAAATAATAATTTACCATAGGAGGCATGAGAACAGTGACAACAGGATACAATTTTTTGTATATTTGCTTGAAAAACTAAATAGATACTTGCAAAAATAAATGTTGTTTTATACTGCATATATCAGAAGAAATTCCAAGTGATTAAAATAAGGTTTATCAAAGAAATAAAAAATTGATCATATGAGAATTTATTTTATAATATCACTGGTAATACTCTAATTAAGCATTAAACCTAGAAGCAATAAGAGAAAGTGATTTCAAAAAAAAATCACAAAAGTGAAAAAAAATTACATGGCAACAAATAAAATTTAAAAACAACCAAAACCTGAACATTCCAACAATTGGAAAATATTTATAAATTACATAGACAAAGATAAAACTTTCTGAATTTATTAGTATCTTTTTTCAAATAAGTAAAATATCAAAAACTCATAACAAAAATGAGCATATAATATGAGCAGTGAGTTCACAGAAAAGTTAATGTAAGCAATTCTTAAATAACTGAAACAAATTCTCAGCGTTAGATATAAAAAAATGCAAATCATCTCATACTGAAATATTCTCCTAGTGGATTTGTACAGACAAATGTGTGGGAAATCTCTTTAGCATTACTTGTGGGAGTGTAAATTGGTAAAACCTCTCATGAGGGTGATTTGCGAATATGTACAAAATTATAAATTGGCTTAACTCTGTATTTCTGGTAGGTTTTTCCTACAGTTATACATGCACATGTACATGCATCCATAGAGCAAATCACGATCCTGCTTTAAAAGAATGAGAAATCTCCTAATATTATGATTTATATGTTTTTATCTCCTATGTTATGACCTGTGGAATTTAATATTTAATAGTAAAAGTTATGGAGTATTGCTTGTATATGCATATACTATGTCTGGGAAAATACAGAAATAGCTAATGAGACTGGTTTCTTTCAGATTCAAGGTTTTTTTGTGAGGAGAAATTTTCATTTAATACTCTTTTGATTTTCAAATTACATAAATAATTCAAAAAATGAATAAAATAAAATAACTTTTAGTGTTTTAACATCTATTATATAGAAATGTCAGCACTGAGGTGAAACAAAATTCCATATGAGGAAGAACAGTTTTGTTACTTGGATTATTATGTAAGATATTCACGCATTGAATGGAGAACAAGACCTGAAATTATGATAACCATGCTGCAGTTGTAGTTATTTTATTTTGGACATATATATGCCTTTGATGAGTCATGTGATTTATTTTTATAATAAGTGGATGAGATTTAGAGTAGTAGTTAAAAGTATATATTTTGAAAATGAGGCAGCTTAGTCACTGAGTTAGCTTTGTAGTCTCAACTTGTCTGAGTCTTATTTTTCTCATGCTCAAGTGCAGATAATAATATATCAACAGATTGTTGTAAAAATTAGAATATATAATTTGTTCAAAATGTGTGATGTGAGGTATGATCTTATACAGAATTACACACTCAGTGAGCTCAGGTCAGTTTACACTATGATAAGAAATGACCCTCGGTCTTAGTAGCTTACAACCACAATAATGTCCATCATGGGGTTTCTACACTTTCAAACCAAGGATATAGAAGTAGCCTATATCTGAGACATGCAGATCTTAGAGCTGAGCAAGAAGACAAATGTAGAAACTACTCAAGGGCTCCTAAACTTCATTCATGAAAATTTACATGCATGCTTTATTGGCCAAGGCAAATTATATAGTGTAGCTAAAAGTATAACCTTCCTTCTGGGATAAGTCTGATAAGGAATGGGGAGAGGTAGGGAACATTAGGAAATATTTTGACAATAAGACAATTTACCATGCAAAATCAATAAATAATTATTTAATCACTTTGCTATATATTTTAGACTCATGTATTATATATAACTGTCCTATACATATTAATAGTCTACATGTAAATACATAGGTATATATATATGCACAGATGCACACATATATGTGTGTATACATATATATATATAGTCTAAACTATTTTAGCTAATTATCTCAATTGTCTTTAGCAGAAAAAAACAAATACAAAATAAAAACTAGTAAAATGGTAAGGATTTTTAAAGTCTGTCTTCTAAATTGACAATGTAGCCACATAATATTAGTGAATAACTACTTCTGACTCAAACTTTGCAAACGTCTCTACTGCATAAGAAATACAGACATTGACATGCTTACCCATGAAAAAGGTACCTGTCAGATTTATGAATTTTAAGTAAAAATACAGTTATAGTTTATGCCTCTAGTGTTTTACAATACATCTACTATTTAATATACATGAAATAATGAGAAGGGAAAATATCAACTGGCACAGCTAAACAATATGAAAGTGAAATGTTGTTCCTTGAGTCTCTCAGGATGTTTCAAATAAATAGAGGCAAAAATGTTAGTCTACATGCACCATTTTGTAAGCTCCCCACTACTTTGCAGACCTGGGTCAAAGTGAAATATTTCAGGAAGTTTCACCATGAGAAACATCCTGCCTAACCACCTGACCACAGGGCAGACAAAGAAAGGCTAAGGCCCAACTAAAGAAACATCCCTGTCACATCCTGCTGGGCAAAGACCTAACTAAAGAAACATCCCTATCACATTCTGCTGGGAGAAAATGCAAGGAATACCACATTCCAATGGAACAAGGGCCAGAACCACTTCATTATGGGAACATCTTATCAATATCCTGCCAGGCAACAAGCCATACTGCTTAGACCCCTCCTGCCCATACTTATAGGTACCCCCAGCTTGTAAGCAGCAGTGGGCACTGGCAATAGGCTGGTTCCCCACTTCTGTAGGTTTTATGCTGGACGTAAAGCCTGCATTTGCTGTCCAGCCACCCTCTTTCTGTGTGTGTGTCCTTCTTTAACCCTCACCTTCCCTTCAAAACCTAACAACAAATATAACAGGTGAAGAGGTAAACAAAGTCCTGGAAAAGCTTAAGGTTTCTGAGTATCGCTCTTATTCTCTTGCTTAAGCATATAATTAGGAGAGTTGGGGGGCATGGTCCAACTTTGTTGTGCTCTGATAGACTTCAGGATGCTGTTTTTCTTACTCTACAGGTATAACTGAGAGATACCTAAGGTTCAGTTTCTGACCGCTTCGATAAAGGTAATATTGCAATAAAGTGAGTAACATTTTTTGTGGTTTCCTAGTTCATATAAAAGTTATGTTCACTGTGATATATTAAGTGTGCAACAGTACTGTGCCTAAAATATACCATGTATATAACTTAATTAAAAATACTTTATTGCTACAAAGGTCCAAGAGTCATCCGAGTCTTCAGCAAGACTGATCTTTTTGCTGATATAGCATTTTGCCTCAGTGTTGATGGCTACTGACTGATCATGGTGATAGTTTCTGAACGTTGAGATAGCTGTGGCAATTTTCTAACATACGACAATAGGATGGGGTTAAAAAGCTGACCAAGAAAGCCAAATAGAACCCTCCAGTGATCATTCTCCCACAGGAACACCAAACTTAACAACTATCTACAAAAAATATCTTTATAAACACAAAAATCAGATAATCTATCACAGTACCTGGTTATAATGTAGTAACGAGGACAGAGACATTGAAGAGGGTAGGAAAGACAGTCTTGTTTTGCCTAGACCTTCCTTCCTTCAACTTCAGTTAGCACAGCACAGAGGGAGAATCTGTGTTCCTGGGGGAAGAAGAACAAAATGAGTTTGGGACTTTACACTGGAACTCTGTACTGCCCTGTCACAATGGAACACCTCACAGTGAAGAATTCTACTGGCTCCCATAAAGGGAGCATTTAGACAAGCTCTGAGCCGGGATAGAATCCTATATCCCACTGGAAGGAAACTGGAAGGAAATTAGTCCAAGCCAGCTTCACCACTGGCTGATTAAAGTGGCCTAGAGTCACAAATAAATGTGAGAAACAGGTTTTGGACAAGCCTTGGCGCTGTGCTGGTCCCAGAGGCAGTGGACTTGGCATTCACCCTAGTGTGACAGCAGCTATGGAGGCCATGGGAGTGCCTCTATAAACCCTTCTCCAAATGTAGACAATACAGCTCAGGGACAGACTCCTTTAACTTGGGAAAAAGAAAAGGAAGAGTAAGAACTTTATCTTGCAAATTGGGTACTAGCTCAGCCACAGTAAAATAAGCACCAAGAAGCTTCCTGAAGCTGCCAATTTTAGGCTTTTCCTTCTGGACAGTGTCTCTAGAACACCCTCTTGGTCTGGAATGCCATCAGATTCAGGTGAGACCCAGCATAGTGCCAGTTGTGGTGGCCATGGCAGTGCCTGAATCACCCCTCTCCCAACTCCAGGAAGCCCAACTTGGAGAAAGACTCCTTCTGAGTAGGAGAAAGAGAAGAGAGTGAAATCTTTGTCTGGAAACCCAGAGAATTCTGCCTTATCTTCTCCAAGGCCACCAAGGCTGCGTATGTGGGAGTCTTCAAGATTTCCTGGGATAGAACGCATGCTAGTGCTGAAATGGCTTCAGTGACCACAGGCTTAGGTCACAACACTAATAACTTTTTGAATTCTTGGAAAGTCTTCTCATGAATGACATGTACAAATAAGCCTGGGCTGAGAAGATGGAATAAATACTGAAGTCTTCAATGCCCAGACATTGATGAATATTTACACGCATCAAGAACTTCTTGGAAAATATGACCTCACCATTGACCATCCTGGAGGGACAGAGATTTGTGGCTGCTCACAACAGAGAATTCAAAATAGCTGTCTTGAGGAAGTGCAACAGACTTTAAGATAACACAGAGAAGGAATTCAGAATTCTATCAGATACATTTAATAAAGAGATGGCACTAATAAAAAACAAGCAAAAATTTTGATGCTGAAAAATTTAGTTGACAAACTGAAAAATATATTAGAGTTTCTCAACAAAATAATTGGTAAAGAAGAGGAAACAATTAGTGAGTTCAAAGACAGGCAATATGAAAATACACAGCCAAGCAGAGAAAAAAAATAAAGAGGAAGAAAGCATGCCACAAAAATCTATAAAATACCCTGAAAAGGCAAATCTAAGAGTTATTTGCCTTCTGCAAAATGTAGAGAGAGAGAAACTGGGATATAAAATTTATTCAAAGAAATAATAACAAAGAACTTTACAAACCCGGAGAACAAAATGAGTATTCAAATACAAAAAGGTCAAAGACCACCTTGAAGATTCAACCCAAATAAGAATACCTCAAAGCTTATAAAAATCAAACTCTTAAAGGTCAAGTATTACAAGGGGATCCTGGCCAGGCACGGTGGCTCACACCTGTAATCCCATCACTTTGGAAGGTCAAGGCGGGTGGTTCACGAGGTCATGGGTTCAAGACCAGCCTGGCCCAGATGGTGAAACCCCATTTCTACTGAAAATACAACAATTAACCAGCCATGGTGCCTGGTGCCTGTAATCCCAGCTACTCTGGAGGATGAGTCAGAGTTCAGAGTTACTTGAACCTAGGAGGCAGAGGTTGTATTGAGCCAAGATTGAGCCACTGCACTCCAGCCTGGGAGACAGAGCGAGCGAGACTCCGTCTCAAAAAAAAAAAAAAAAAAAAAAAAAAAGTTGTGAGGAGGGAGGGAGTGGGGAGGATCCTAAAAGCAGTAAGAGAAAAGAAGCAAATAACATATAAAGGAACCATTATTTCTAGCAACAGACTTTAGGGAAACCAGACTGGCCTTAAGGAAGTGAACAACATATTTAAAAAATACATATGATTCCAAATATTATAGCCAGCAAAATTACCACTAAATGTAAAAGAAGAAATAAAGACTTTACAAGATGTTATGGTTAGGCTGTGTTCCCACAAAAATCTCATCTTCAATACCCACATGTTGTGGGAGGGACCCGGTGGGAGATAATTAAATCATGAGGGCAGGTCTTTCCCATGCTGTTCTCATGATGGTGAATAAGTCTCACGAGATCTGATGGCTTTATAAGGCGGAGTTTTCCTGCACAGGCTCTCTGACTGCTGCCATCCATGTAAGAGGTGAGATGCTCCTCCTTGCCTTCCACCATGATTGTAAGGCTTCCCCAGCCACATGGAACAGTAAGTCTATTAAACCCTTTTTTCTGTATAAATTACCCAGTCTTAGGTATGTCTTCATCAGCAGGGTACAAATGAACTAATACACAAGACAAACAAACCCGAGAGATTTTGTCACCATCAGACGTGTCTTACAAGAAGCACTGATGTTCTTACAGGAACATCAAAGATCACTGATTATAGACCACCATAATAAATATCACAATAATAAAAAATGTTCGAGACATTTTGATTCACCAAGATGTGATGCAGAGATACAATGTGAGCACACACTGTTGGGAAAAAAAGCTGGCTCAGTGCAGGGTTGTCAAATACCTTTATCAGACGTGTCTTACAAATCAGACGTGTCTTACAAGAAGCACTGAAGAGACTTCTTCAGTCTAAAAGAAAAGGATTTTAACAAGCAACAAGAAATCACCTGAAGTTTATAAAACTTACAGGTAAAAATACACACAAATACAGAAAACCTTAACACTGTAACTGTGATTTCTAAGCCAATCATAATTTTGGTAGGAATGCTAAAAGACAAACTTATCCAAAATCTTAACAATAACAAATTTTTAGTAGACAATATGAAAATATATAAATAGAGATAATAAAAATCTAAGGGTTTGAACTGAGTTAATGTGTAGAGTGTTTTGTTTTGATTTTTTCCTTTGACAAAAAACTATAATAGATAAGCAATAAAAAGCAAAAAATTAAAACATACTACCAAGGAAAATTATTTCTACACAAAAAAAGACCAGAAGAAAGAAAGGAAGCGAGGACCAACAAAACGAGAAAACAATTAACAAGATGGCAGGAGTAAGTCCTTACTTATCAATAATATTGAATGGAAATGGGCGAAATGATCCAATCAAAAAACAGAGTGTCTGAATTGATAAAATAGGAAGACTAAACTATATGCTCCCTGCAAGAAATCATTTAATCTATAAAGACAAACATAGAAAGTCCCTGGTAGCTTGATGAGAATAGCACATGCACATGTGTGTTTATGGTGGCACTATTTACAATCGCAAAGACTTGGAACCAATCCAAATGCCCACCAATGACAGACTGGTGTATATGTGTCACATATACACCATGGAATACTATGCAGCCATAAAAAAGAATGAGTTCATGTCTTATGCAGGGACATGGAGGAAGCTGAAAGCCATCATTCTCAGCAAACTGGCACAGGATCAAAAAACCAAACATCATGTGTTCTCACTCATAAGGGGGATTTGAACAATGAGAACATATGGACACAAGGAGGTGAACATCACATCACACACCAGGGCCTGTTGGAGGGTGGGGTGCAAGGGGAGGGAGAGCATTAGGACAAATATCTAATGCATGTGGGGCTTAAAACCTAGATGGTGGCTTGATAGGTGGGGCAAAACACCATGGCACATGTATATCTACGTAACAAACCTGCACATTCTGCACATATATTCCAGAATTTAAAGTAAAATAAAAAGAAGACAAACATAGACTGGAAAGAAAAGTATGAAAAAAGATACTCAATGCAAGTGGAGAGCAAAAACAGCAGGAGCCGGGCAAGGTGGCTCACACCCGTATTCCCAGCACCTTGGGAGGCTGAGGTGGGTGGATGATGAGGTTAAGAGATCAAGACCATTCTGGCCAACATGGTGAAACCCCGTCTCTACTACAAATACAAAAATTAGTTGGGCATGGTGGTGTGCACCTGTATTTCTAGCCACTCGGGATGCTGAGGCAGGAGAATTGCTTGAACTCGGGAGGCGGATGTTGCATTGAGCCAAGATCTTACCACTGCACTCCAGCCTGGCGACAGAGTGAGACACCGTCTCAAAAAACAAAACCGAAACAAAATCAGCAGGAGTATCTATACTTACATCAGATAAAATAGATTTCAAGACAAAAACTAAAAAGAGACAAAGAAGGGTTTATGAATGATAAAGGGCAAAGTACATTGAAAACCTTCTGGAAGGGATTGATAATCCTAAATGCAATTAAGAACATATGTGATTCATGGAAAGAGATAAAAATATCAGCATAAACAGGTGTTTGGAAGAAGTTGATTCCAACCCTCATGGATGACTTTGAGGGGTTCAAGACTTCAGTGGAGAAAGTCACTGCAGGCATGGCAGAAATATTAAATGAACTATAATTAGAAGTTCAGCCTGAAGTTGTGACCAATTACTGCAATCTCATGATAAAACATGAACAGATGAGGTGTTACACCTTATGAATGAGCAACAAAATTAGTTTCTTGAGGTGGAATCTGTTTCTGGTAAAGATGCCATGAACATTGTTGAAATGACAACGAAGAGCCTAGAGTATTTCAAAGACTTAACTGATGAAGCATTAGAAAGTTTTGAGACGATTGACTCCAATTTTGAAAGAAGTTCTACTGTGGGTAAAATATTATCAAACAGCATCACAGTTTACAGAGAAATAGTTCATGATAGAAAGAGTTCATGGATGTGGCACATTTTATTGTTGTCTTATTTTATTTACTTTTTATTTTTGTGTTTCTAATCATTATGAATACCTTAGAGTTGTACATATTTATGAAGTACATGTGATATATTGACCCTAGCATACAATGTGTAGTGATCAAACCAGGGTGAGTGGGATATCCATCACCTCAAACATTTATCATTTCTTTGTGTTAAGAACATTGCAATTATACTCTTTTAGTTATTTTGAAATATACAATACCTCATTGTTAACTATGGTTGTCCTATAGCGTTACCAAATAATAGATCTTATTCCTTCTATTTAACTGTATTTTTGTACACAGTGACCATCTCCTCTTTATCCTCCTCTTCCTACAAACCTTCCCAACTTCTGGTCATCATCATTCTACTTTCTAACTCCCTAAGCTCTTTATTTAAGTTCTCATACACAAATGAGAATGCACATTTGTCTTTCTGTGCCTAGCATATTTCACTAAACATAATGACCTCTAGTTCAATTTATGTTGTTGCAAATGACAGGATTTTATAGTTTTTATGGCTGAATAGTCAATGAATTATTGATCTATGAATAGCCATTTGGATTGACTTTATATCTTGGCTATTGTGTATTGTGCTACAATAAATAAGGGATTGTAGATATTTCTTCAGTATACTGATTTTCTTTCTTTTGGGTATATACCTAGCAGTGGGATTGCCAGATTATAATACTTCTGTTTTTATATTTTTTAGTAAACTCTATGCTGTTTTCCATAGTAGTTGTATTAATTTACATTTTCATCAATAGTGTTCCTCTTTCTCTGCATGTTTTCCAGCATTTGTTATTACCTGCCTTTTGGATAAAATCCATGTTAACTGTTATTGTAGCTTTAACTTGCATTTCTCTAATGATTAGTGATGTTGAACATTTTTGTATATATTGGTTGACTATTTTCATGTCTTCTTTTGAGAAATGTCTATTAAGATCTTTTGCCAATTTTTAAATCAATTTTTTTTCTCCTATTGCACTGTGGCACCCCAAGACAATTACATTAGTAACATCAAAGATCACTGATTATAGACCACCATAATAGATATTGCAATAATAAAAAATGTTCGAGACATTTTGATTCACCAAGATGTGATGAAGAGATACAATGTGAGCACACACTGTTGGGAAAAAAAGCTGGCTCAGTGCAGGGTTGTCAAATACCTTTAATTTGTTAAAAATGAAATATCTGCAAAGCACAAGAAATCAGTGTGCAGGAAAAAAGTATGCCTGTGTATGGCATTCTGGAAAAGGTGAAACTAAGGGTACAGTAAAAATATTAGTGGTTGTTAGGGGTTAGCAAAGAGGGAGTGATAAAAAAGCAGAGAACAAAGGATTTTTAGGACAGTGCAACTATTCTTTATGATGCTACATTGCTGGATGCATGACATCCTACACTTATTAAAATCCATAGAACTTACTCAACATACGGTTGCCACAAACCTACAATTTGTAAAAAATAATATCTATGAAGTGCAATAAAGCAAATCATAACAAAATGAGGTATGCCTGTACAGTTATTTATAGAGATGCCTTTAGACACCAAAAATTGAAAAAAATATGTACTATGTTTTGACTCTGTTCATGGAGAAAGATAAATTTCTTTCTGGTACTATGTTCATCTGTTTTGTTTATTTCCCATTCTGTCTTATCAAGCCTTCTATCAGGGCTTGTAATTTTATTTCCCTCTATTAGGCCATAGAGTATATCAAACCTACCTAATGTTTAGTCTCCAAGTATCTGATTTATTTTATCATGCTGTAATGACAGTTGTTCATGTGGTCTTATGAGATTTTTTAAATGAATGAATTACATACAATATCATGCATTAGAAAGCAGATCGTGATCATAGCAGAACAGAAGACCTACTATACATTACTTTTAACTATAATTTTTGTATTATTTTGCTTGTGTTTTTTTTTTTTTTTTGCATCAATTAAAAGACACTCACTTTTAAATAACAGGAAACCTAACTCAAGCTGCTCCAAAACTGTATTGGGTCATGTGGTAGTAAGGTGGCTGCAGTAATTCTGCTTCTTATTTCCACATATACCATGGTTCATTTTCTGAATCTTAACAAAAAGAATAAAGAAGACTGTCAGTATTTCTTAGCGAACCACTGTGTGGGACTCATTGGTTTGATTCACATGATTATTATAAACCAATCACTGGCAAGATGAATGGAATTACCTGTACACCAATCAGCTGTCTCAGGAGCCGAACATGGAGTCAGCTCTAGCCGAACACCTGGGCTAAGTGATGAAGCATAAAATTAAATGATACAGGGTTTCTGTAGGGAATAAGAAAGGGAGAAGGCAGGCAGAACAGATTAGCAATAATATTTATTCAGACATGTTTTAAAATGTTTCTTCTCTTTTACTCATCACTTTTTTAAAAAGATTCAACTTTTATTTTTAAATTCACAGAGTGTATGTGCAGGTTTGGTACATGAGTATATTGAGTAATGCTGAGGTTTGGGGTATGACTGATTCCATCACCCACGTAATGAGTGTAGTACGAAATAGGTGGTTTCTCAGCTCTTTCCCTCCTTCTCCTCTCCTCCCTCTAGTAGTCCCCAGTGTCCATGTGTACTCTATGTTTAGCTCTCCCTTATAAGTGAAAACATGCAGCGTCTGATTTTCTGCTCTTGCATTAATTTCCTCAGAATAATGGCTGCATCCATCTTTGTGCTACGAAGAACATGATTTTGTTGTTTTTATAGCTATGCATTATTCCGTGGGGTATATGTACCATAATTTTTTATCCAATCCACAATTGATGGACACCTAGGTAGATTCATGTCTTTCCTATTGTGAATAGTGCTGCAATGAACATAAAAATACATGGGTCTTTTTGGTAGAACAATTTATTTTCCTTTGAGTATCTACCCAGTAATGGGATTGTTGGGTCAAATGGTAGTTCTAACTTCTTTGAAAAATCTCCAGGTTGCTTTTTGCAGTGGCTGAATGAATTCACATTTTCACTAACAATGTATAAGCATTCCCTTTTCTCTGCAGCCTTGCCAACATCTGTTTTTTTTTTATTTGTCTTTTTAATAGTAGCCATTCTGACTGGTGTGAGATGGTATCTCATTGTGGTTTTGATCTGCATTTCTCTGATGATTAGTGATGTTGGGTGTTTTTTATATTATACTTTAAGATTTAGAGTACATATGCACAACGTGCAGGTTTGATACATAGGTATACATGTGCCATGTTGGTTTGCTGCACCCATCAACTCATCATTTACATTAGGTATGTCTCCTAATGCTATCCCTCCCCCAGGCCCCCAACCACCAACAGGCCCTGGTATGTGATGTTCCCCACCCTGTGTCCAAGTGATCTCATTGTTCAATTCCCACCTATGAGTGAGAACATGCGGTGTTTGGTTTTCTGTCCTTGTGATAGTTTGCTGAGAATGATGATTTCCAGCTTCATCCATGCCCCTACAAAGGACATGAACTCATCCTTTTTTATAGTATTCCATATATTGCAGAGTATTCCATGGTGTATATGTGGCACATTTTCTTAATCCAGTCTATCACTATTGGACATTTGGGTTGGTTCCAAGTCTTTGTTATTGTGAATAGTGCCGCAATAAACATACGTGTGCATGTGTCTTTATAGTAGCATGATTTATAATCCTTTCGGTATATACCCAGTAATGGGATGGCTGGGTCAAATAGTAATTCCAGTTCTAGATCCTTGAGGAATCTCCACACTGTCTTCCACAATGGTTGAACTAGTTTACACTCCCACCAACAGTGTAAAAGTGTTTCTGTTTCTCCACATCCTCTCCAGCATGTGTTGTTTCCTGACCTTTTAATGACTGCCATTCTAACTGGCATGAGATGGTATCTCATCGTGGTTTTGATTTGCATTTCTCTCATGACCAGTGATGATGAGCATTTTTTCATGTGTCTGTTGACTGTATAAATGTCTTCTTTTGAGAAGTGTCTGTTCATATCTTTGGCCCACTTTTTGATGAGGTTCTTTGTTTTTTTTTTTTTTTTATACATTTGTTTGAGTTCTTTTAGATTCTGGATATTAGCCCTTTGTTAGATGGGTAGATTGCAAAAATTATCTCCCATTCTGTAGGTTGCTTGTTCAATCTGATGGTAGTTTCTTTTGCTGTTCAGAAGCTCTTTAGTTTAATTAGATCCCATTTGTCTATTTTGGCTTCTGTTGCCATTGCTTTTGGTGTTTTAGTCATGAAGTCCTTGCCCATGCCTATGTCCTGAATGGTATTACCTAGGTTTTCTTCTAGGGTTTTTATCGTTTTAGGTCTAACAGTGTAAGTCTTTAATCCATCTTGAATTAATTTTTGTATAAGGTGTAAGGAAGGGATCCGGTTTCAGCTTTCTACATATGGCTAGCCAGTTTTCCCAGAACCATTTATTAAATAGGGAATCCTTTCCCCATGCCTTGCTTTGTCAGGTTTGTCAAAGATCAGATGGTTGTAGATGTGTGGCATTATTTCTGAGGCCTCTGTTCTGTTCCATTGGTCTATATATCTGTTTTGGTACCAGTACCATGCTGTTTTGGTTACTGTAGCCTTGTAGTATAGTTTGAAGTCAGGTAGCATGATGCCTCCAGCTTTGTTCATTTTGCTTAGAATTGTCTTGGCAATGTGGGCTCTTTTTTGGTTCCATATGAACTTTAAAGTAGTTTTTTCCAATTCTGTGAAGAAAGTCATTGGGAGCTTGATGAAGATGGCATTGAATCTATAAATTATTTTGGGCAGTATGGCCATTTTCACAACATTGATTATTCCTACCCATGAGCATGGAATATTCTTCCCTTTGTTTGTGTCCTCTTTTATTTCGTTTAGCAGTGATCTGTACTTCTCCTTGAAGAGGTCCTTCACATCCCTTGTCAATTGGATCCCTAGGTATTTTATTCTCTTTGTAGCAATTGTGAATGGGAGTTCACTCATGATTTGGCTCTCTGTTTGTCTGTTGTTGGTGTATAGGAATGCTTGTGATTTTTGCACATTGATTTTGTATCCTGAGACTTTGCTGAAGTTGCTTATCAGTTTCAGGAGATTTTGGGCTGAGAAGATGGGGTTTTCTGAATATACTATCATGTCATCTGCAAACAGGGACAATTTGACTGCCTCTTTTCCTAATTGAATAACCTTTATTTCTTTCTCTTGCCTGATTGCCCTGGCCAGAACTTCCAACACTATGTTGAATAGGAGTGGTGAGAGAGGGCATCCTTGGCTTGTGCCGGTTTTCAAAGGGAATGCTTCCAGCTTTTGCCCACTCAGTATGATATTGGCTGTGGGTTTGTCATAAACAGCTCTTATTATTTTGAGATACGTTCCATCAATATCTAGTTTATTGAGAGTTTTTAGCATGAAGGGCTGTTGAATTTTGCCTTTTTTTCATACATGTGTTGGCCACTTTATATCTTCCTTTGCCAAGTGTCTGATCATATTCTTTTCTCACTATTTAATGAAGTTATTTGGTTTTTGCATGTTGAATTGTTTACATTCTTCATAGGTTCTGAATATTAGAACTCTTTAGGATGCATAATTTGCTAATATTTTCTCTAACTCTTAGGTTGTTTTTTCTGTCGATAGTTTCTTTTGCTGTGCAGAAGCTCTTTAGTTTATTTAGGCCACGATTGTCAAATTTTGTTTTTTTTTTGTGATTGCTTTTGGGGACTTAGTCATAATTTTTTTGCCAAGGTTGATTTCCAAAATCTAGAAATTTTATAGTTTGAGGGCTTAAACTTGAATTATTAATCCCCCTTAAGTTAATTTTTATATATGGTGAGATATAGCTTCATGCTTCTGCATATGGCTAGCCAGTCATCCCAGGAAAATTCCCCATTGCTTATTTCTGTTGACTTTTTCAAAGATTAGATGGTTGTGGGGCTTTATTTCTGGGTTCTCTATTCAGTTCCATTTATCTATGTGTCTGTTTTTGTACCAGTACCATAATATTCTGGATAATGTAACCCTATAGTATAGTTTGAAGTTAGGTAATGTGATGTCTCTGGCTTCCTTTAAGACACATGCACTTGTATGTTCATCATAGCACTATTATTTTTGCTTAGAATTGCTTTAGCTATTCAGGCTCCTTTTCAGTTCCATACGAATTTTAGAACAGCTATATTTTTTTCTAATTCTGTGAAAAATAATGGTAGTTTGATAGAAATAACATTCAATCTGTTGATTGCTTTGTGCAGTATGGCCATTTTAATGATATTGATTCTTCCAATCCATGAGCATAGAATGTATATCCATTTGTTTGGGTCCACTATGATTTCCTGAAGCAGTGTTTTTTAGTTCTCCTTGTAGAGATCCTTTACCTCTTTGGTTAGATGTATTCCTAGGTAATTTATTTTTTTATTACTCATCACTTTGAGTCTGATATTTATTTTAAATATTTCCACAGTAAAGGAAAGTTGTGCTATATGAAATGTATTAATTCAGATATTTTCTTGGTACATTTTACCAGGCTGATATTTTATTGTTGATAGTATCAAGTTTCTGTGGAAAACATCTGTTTAAAAGGGTAATCCATCTACCTCTTATACTGTAGCAGAGTACATGTTTGGAAGTAGGGTCAGAGTCATAGATCTCAAAGAAAAAAACAGTACACACATGTAAGTAACATTGACATTAGACACACTTCAATTTCTTCAATGACAACGACACAAACTTTGTAGAACTGTTTTGTCTATTGTTTTATAAAAAATACCAATTCATTTAGAGATTAGTTCTATCACTTTCTTTTCACACTACATGGATTGTATGAATTAAAAATAAATCAAAATAAATTTTGTTTTTCTTTTAGTACTGGACATGTGAACACTCTGTCATCCACACATCAAAAGATATACTATCTCACAATTAACTGTTGAAAATAATGAGAAAACTACACAAATAATAATATAATTTAAATTAAGTATATAACAGCTCATATAAATGCAAATTTATGGATCTAATACTTCAATATTCTTCATTCTGAGCCCACAAGTTAGTTGAGGGCGGACGCTACTCTGAATACTATTTTTTTTTTTTTTTTTTTTTTTTTTTTTTTTTGTGACCGAGTCTGCCTCTGTCTCCCAGGCTGGAGTGCAGTGGCGCAGATCTGGGCTCACTGCAAGCTCCGCCTCCCGGGTTCACGCCATTCTCCTGCCTCAGCCTGCCAAGTAGCTGGGACTACAGGCGCCCGTCACCACGCCGGGCTAATTTTTTGTATTTTTAGTAGAGACGGAGTTTCACCATGTTAGCCAGGATGGTCTCGATCTTCTGACCTCGTGATCCGCCCGCCTCGGCCTCCAAAGTGCTGGGATCTGAATTCAATTTTGCAGGTATGTAAACGAACTTAGATATGCCAGGTTCATCTGATGGATAGGTAAAAACGTTGATATTAGAATAGCCTTACTTTAGTTCACTGTACTTTTCAACTAAGAAAAAGATGTTTGTGAGATAACTGATTTTGTTAGAATTTAAAAAACATGAGTGTCATAAAATGATATAAGCAATTGTTTCATTTTATCACTTTGAATTGATATTTTTTTCAAAGTTAAATTGAAGGAAAAACATTTTGCTTTATGGGGCCTATATAGTCCACTTTTAAGAAGGTAAATGCCAAAATGTTGACTAAGTCAATAATTTTTCTTCATTATAAAAGTTGTTTTTCTGATTATTGATGCAGCAAATATTCATTGAAGATTATAAAAGTTGAGAAAAACGGGGAAAAAAGTAAAGTCAGAAAAAAGTCACTACAACTAGACAAAAATCACCTTTTCTATTTTGGTTTGTTTATTCCTGTGTAATTGAAACATATACATTTAAATTATCTCCTTAAACATGAATCCATGTCTACAAATATAATAAGGGTATTCCCTTTGTCTTCAAAATTTGTTAAATTAATAATGCCATATCTCTGAAATAGTATATTGAAGGTATTTTAGTTTTTAACTCTATTTGTTACTTTTTATAACGATTTCTCTTAGTATCATTATTAATTTTGCCTATTATTTCTGTAAAATAAATTATTAAATATAGAATAATTTGGTAAAATATTTCACCTTTTTTGTGCAAATAAATAGACAAATTTTTCCTTATAACATTCACACCAATTTATACATTTGTCAATTACTTATGAGATGGCTTTATCCCACGTATACATGACGTATATATTATTTAAGATATAAAATTTGTTTCTGAAAAGCTTATTATTAGTAAAATTAAATACTATATTGTAATTTAAATTTTTATAACTAGTTTATGAACTATATCCTCATACTACATTATCATTTTATTGTTGACTATTCTTCAAATTATTAATTTGAAAGCTCTTCACATATTGACCCTGATCTAATATATCTCTAAGCACTAATCTAACACCGAAGTTATTATGATAGAAAAGACAAAACTAGAAAGAAAAAAATTTATGTATTTTTTCTTTTTGATAAATTTGCTAGATAGGTATTCTGGTATCCATTCTTGTGAGGTTCTTTTTTTTTTTTTTTTTTTTTTTTTTTTTTTGAGACCAAGTCTTGCTCTGTCGCCCAGGCTGGAGTGCAGAGTGCAGTGGCGCGATCTCTGCTCACTGCAAGCTCCGCTTCCCGGGTTCACGCCATTCTCCGGCCTCAGCCTCCCGAGTAGCTGGGACTACAGGCGCCCACCACTACGCCCAGCTAATTTTTTGTATTTTTAGTAGAGACGGGGTTTCACTGTGTGAGGTTATTTTCTTTAATAAAATGTCCAGAATTCAAGAATCCTACATGTATCAGATTTCCTTGCAACAAGCATTCTGTACAGTAATTATGTTTTGCAAACTAGATGTTCTTCAGTGTGATTTGGAAGGTAGAAATCAGAGAAAGACCATATTGTCACTGCTCTTGACTTTCACTGCTATTGACTTGTGTTGGTACACAAGGTTGTGAGAAATAAATGTCAATACACAGTTGCAGAAGCTGGTGTTAGTTGTGAAATGCTTAAGTTGCCATTTAGGTGCACAAAAGAGGTGTTAAGGCAAACACATCTTCCTCATCCCAAGCATGCTGATCATTAGATTGTTACTATAGTGCTGTGTTCTTGAATTTAATAGTTCCAGTCATGTTCTGAACCCCAATGTTTCAGCTCCTCTAAATTTCAGTTCGCCATATTTTATTAATTCAATACATCTTGATGGATGCAATATGTATTAACAGATCATGTGTCCTCTTAAATTTGTGTATTTGTATAATAGCAAAGTTATTTCTGTTTCTTCTTTAATTTTATAATAGGTATTTCTTCTAATCCGGCAAAGCACTTTCAAGCAAATTTTCCTGTTTTTGTTTTGTTTTGTTTTGTTTTGTTTTGAGACAGAGTCTCGCTCTGTTGCCCAGGCTGCAGTGCAGTGGTGCAATCTTGGCTCACTGCAACCTCCACCTCCCAGGTTTAGGCAATTCTCCTGCCTCAGCCTCCCAAGTAGCTGGGACTACAGGTGCCCGCCACTACGCCCAGCTAATTCTTTGTATTTTTAGCAGAGATGGAGTTTCACTGTGTTAGCCAGGATTGTCTCAATCTCCTGACCTCGTGATCCTCCAGCCTCAGCCTCCCAAAGTGCTGGGACTACAGGTGTAAGCCACCATGCCCAACCTCAAGCAAATTTTTATAATCCATGTTGAGCTAGTGGTGGAATATCATTAGTCATACTTAAATAGATAAAAGACCATAAGATTCTCAGCTGCATTTTCCCTCAAGATTTTACCAAAACCATTCTTAGTATTTTAAGTAAACTATTTCTGAGAACATTATCAAATGGCTCCTCCACAATTTTTGAATAATTTCATACTAAAAACACTGGCATATTTAGCTATTTTTTTTTTCTTTCAGGCAGGTGTTTGGTCACCACTTCTCACCAAGATGTTATATTTGTTATAGGAACTGAAGTAGTACACACACTCACATGTTTCTCTTCTGCTGTTGACCTCTTCCCATCACAGTGGCATCTTAATCTCTGAATATCTGAATAAATTCTGGATGAGAATGAGGTCCAGCTCTTTGGCTATAGCTTTGTGGGGTTTGGAGGGTTGTACACCTTCTCTAATATTTACCCGCAATTTCCTCAGGTGTGCTTGCTCTGATTTTTCCTGTTCAGTGTGTCAATGAACACTGGCCATATTTCACATAGCTGAAATCAATGTTAATTTAAATTTTCCACTCAGATATTCCACAGGTGCCTCGAAATCCACATTTTCCAATTGAAACATGACCTCCACCTTTCATACAATGTCAAGATTCAGCTGTTAATATAAGGTGACATATTTCAAAGATAGTTACTACCTTTCATTTCATTATGCCGGGAAGTTGTGTACTATCCTTGATCCTATTTTCTTCTTCATTCTCCACACGCATAAATTATGGCTTCATTTTGACTCCTAAATTGTTTCCAAGTCTATTTATATTTTCCCTCTCCAGGGCCACTATTTTAAGTCAAGTCAATATTATTGCATTCTGAATTCACTCTATATTTCAGTCAAGTTTTGCTCATCCTGAATTTAATCTCTATCTTATGTAAAGTGATTGTCTTAGCCTGGCCATATTATCATTGCTAAGAAAAGTGAGAATTAATAATTATTAGATTTAAAAAATATGTCTGAAAAGTTTATATTACTTTCTATCACTCATATTCTGTTTCATAATCCACAGTATTTGCCAGTTATATGTAATAATTTATGGTTGATGTTGCTGTAATCTTTTTTCTTAATGATGGTGTGTTTCCTTCAATTTCTCATTATTTCTGCTCTTTTCAGTCTTTATCAGTAAAGATGATTTAAGAAAACTGAATAATCACATCAGCCAAATATTTTATACATTTGATACCCTCCTGTTTACCACTCCTCACTTTTTTTTTTTTTTTATGGGACATCGGTTTTCCAGAGGAGTTCTAGTTTTGTCTTAATTCTCAGATGGAAACTGGAAGTTTTCAACACTCACTAACGTTTTCTCGTATTCTTTATATCCTGAATTCAGCTGTTTAAATTAAATATTGACAGCAGCAGAGCTTAAAATAGGGGGTTCATTTGTTGGCACACAGCCATCAAATTGGAAATACATACAACTATTCCTTTCTCCTTTTGATATGAGTTACTAATGGAGAGTGTTTCACAGTGATATGGAATTGAATTTGATGCCATTTTATCATCTGGAGATTTTGAAGATCAGTGGCCAGTGTTTATCAGAGTTGTCTGAGAGTCAAAGGCTCCTGTCAGAGTAGTCTCCCCTACCTGTTTTGAAGTGAGGCTTTATATAATGATACACTGACTCTTCACATTAGGGAAGTGCTACATTTGAGGCAGGAGATGAGTCTGGAGACAGGGAACCTAAGGCTGTTTCACGCGGACTTCCTAGAAAAAAAATGAAAGAAAAACCTTAACTTTCCACGCCAAAGTAACAAAAGGACTAGAGGCTACTCCCTTTGATTTGTTCTGCATAGAAGATGGGAAATTGACTGTCAGCAACAAATCAGACTGATAGCTCATCCAGTCTTCATTTGTAACTTTGTAACTTCTCCCTAGCCTCTGATTGCAACCAATCAGATGTTTGCACAGTAGTGTGACCTTTGTAACTTCACTTCTCTTCTGGTTGGCGGCTCTCTGCAACCAATCAGACTGATTGCCGGCTACTACTTCAGTTACATGAGTGGAGCATGAAGTGGCCAATGGGAAGCCTCTAGGGGGTGTTTGAACAAAAGAAGATTCTGTATCTGGGCCCTTGAGCCACTACTCGGGTTCGTTTCCACACTTTCGTTTTCAATAAATCCCTGCTTTCTTTCTTTTGTTGCTTCATTCTTTCTTTGCTTTGCTGGGCCTTTTGTCCAATTCTTTGTTTGAAATGCCAAGAACCTGGACAACTTGCAATCCCGACCCTCTACCGGTGACACATTGATTACTTCTTTCCTTGAGTTCTGTTCGAAGACATAGATAGACCAAGCAAATATAATTTGCTAATTTCTCTGGCTTTTCTTTGGATTATCATTGTTCTTCAAGTTTCTCTAAAAATATCACAAACATTTGTCACAATTTGTTGATATTGCCATTTTTATCAGAATGAAAACTTTGAATGTTGTTTTCTGATCAGCATGCTGTTTGTGGATCATTCGTTAACAGTTAAAATCTATGCTTAATGAGGGGTTCAGCTGCTGCTTAAAAAGCTGTGTGATTTTTTCAAGTATGACTATAGGCAATTACAAAGGTTTTACATAACAGGCCTCACTGGGTCTTCATTCCTGGGTTTCTTTATCGAGATCTTGGGCAGAGATCTTCATCAGGTATCTCTACCAATATATCTCTGTGGGATAAAGAGGAGGGGGAAACTTTGAAGACACTTTCTCCAACTCTGACTCAGTACCCAGTAGTTTTCTACTTCTAGCCCTTCTCCCTCAGTCTCTCTTATTCCCCACAGCCTTATAAAACTGCTGGAGCCTTTTGGGTCTTCAATAATAGTGTGATTATCCCCACATCTGCACTGATCCACCTGGCCTGGACTGGTGCACCATTTCTTGGGGGAAACAAATCAGGGGGAGTTGGCACCTTCTCTGGTTTTAGGTTATTGTTCATACCATCATAGTAAGTAATTAAAGAATTAACTCTTTGATGGATTGCTTTAATTGGCTATACCAAGCCCTGGAAGCTCAGCACTCTTTCTCTTCCAGCTCAGCTAAAACTCCAACATTTAACATAAACTTACATTTAGGAGAACTTAATTTTACTAAAATGAAACTAATACAGGGTGACATTTACACAGTGGGGAATACGGAGAAAGGTGAATATTTTTATGATCATTTATTTTATGGTAGGTTGCCTTCATATGATCTTATCCTAAATTATACATAGCATTGTCAACATTTGTCTGAAATCACCAACTGATACGATTTGGCTCTGTGTCCCCACCCAAATCTCATGTTGAATCATAATCCCTGCTTGTTGGAGGAGGGGAGTGGTTGGAGGTAATTGAATCATAGGGTGGATTTCTCACTTGTCGTACTCCTGATAGTGAGTGAGTTCTCATGAGATCAGATTATTTAAAAGTGTGTGACACTTCTCTCTTCTCTCTGTCTCTCCTTCTCTGCCATGGTAAGATGTGATTGCTTCCCCTTCGCCTTCTGCCATGATTGTAATTTTCCTGAGGCCTTCCCAGCCATGCTTTGTGTACACCCTGTGGAAATGTGAGTCAATTAAACCTTTTTTTCTTCATAAATTACCCAGTCTCAGGTAGTTGAGAATGGACTAATATACCAAGTGTTTAAGTCATTTTAGTATCATGATATGTAAATAATTTTAACCCAAGGTCTTGAGTTAATAAACATGCCCAGGTATTTTTTACTAAATTTACATGATTTCCGAATTTTGATTACAACCTAGCAATATTTTTTTTACAATGTAATCATTCTTAATGGCATAAATTTAAGTAAATAATGTTTGAAATTTGTTCAATAAGAGTTATTTAAAATTTATTTAGTCCTTGTTCTTTACGTAGCTCTAAATGGACTCACAGTTATGCATACTTTTCCTTAGCATTATTGAAAGCTTCTACTTCTTCTGTATTTTATTATTCCCATATTATTTTTATACTTTTGTATTCCTATTCATACATAGTTAATGTTTTTCTGCTGGTTATTTATGAATGTTGTGGGAAGAGAGTTATCTTTGAAATTGGAATTGTTGCATAAAAAGAGAACAGGATATATTTTTCTCAGAATACTCAGTCACTCTATCCCTTTCTTTAAGAGTATTTGGTTATTATATGATATTCAACTTTTCTCAAATATTTTCTACTTGCTTTTCTAACATTAGCACTAAATTCAAATTTTCTGTTAAATACACAAAGCATGTTCCTCTTAACTCACAATTTATTTTAATAATGGGCATATCACATGAATTAATGTCTTCTTTTATTAGGCCAGTCATAAAGTATTCCTAAATATTCAGTTATAGAACTCATATAATCTTAAGACAACTTCACGATTATTTTTTCTCCTACTTTGAATCTCATATCTATTTCAAGATGCAAACAAATATTGGATGACACCCAAAAGAGTTTATATTAAGATGTTAAATTAACAGAAAATGATACCATGCACAATAAAGACCACATAGAATGGTGATATAATGTCATCAACTTTGAAGAAGTCAGAATTTCAATTCTGACTGCAGTTTTCTTTTACTATATCCTTAGGCATAGTTGAATATTATCTTCTTATCCTGTATTTCCTCATCAAATGATACATAACTCATACAGTTGTTGTAAGAATTAAATAACATAGTGTGTAAAGACAACTCAGCTTTATGTGGCAGGTCATAAATATGAAAGCAAAATAAGTTGCTATCATTTATATTAAATTGATATCTATGAATGCCTGTGCAAATTTGATTTTAAAAATCCTACTGTCACTTAAATATGGTGGAGAGAAGTCATTTTACACACACTTGGAAATCTAAAATAAGGGAAAAACAGCTATAACAAAAAAATAGAGAAAAGAAACCACAGTTTTTATACTTGTGTCTTTATATTATAAATTTAAAGTTAGTGACATTGGTTTACTTTTGTATGCCTACTACATAGTACACTGGATAGCTTAAGTGGGTATTAATAAGTGATTGTAAAATGGTAGCCTAATGTATTTTTTATTCCGGAATTTATACCCATTATATATCTTTCTCCATTTATCATATAACATCAAGTTTCCTATGAATAATTGTATAGTTATTAAGAATTAGTAATGATGTGCTTTTATAATTCGTATGCATTATTCACAGGTGCAATATTATTTTAATGAATTATAGCTTTGGGTTAAAAAAAAAATCTTTAAAATCCAGATGTGGGCTTTCACTAGTATGGAGAAAAAATAAAGATTGTCTTTAACTTTGCAATTTGAAGTCTTAATGAGTGGTGATTATTACTCACTGAAATTTCTATATTTTAAAATACTACCCAAAGATGAACTTATACATATGCTCTATACTGTTTAGTTATGAAGAGTTGGAGGTTTTTGTGATACTTAATCACCGGTATTTCTCAAGTCTTATTTACTAAAAATCTATATTTACTGAATGTATAGTAATATGGTATACTCAAAAAACCACAAACGAGGAAAATAATTCTCAGAAATTGCAAACTAATCAGTGGGAGGCAATTTATGCTAAATCATAGCACTGGAATGCAAGATTGAAGATAATCTAGTTTATGTCATTATTTTATAACTGGGGGGGGACACTGATGACCAGAAATATTAACTGACTTATTGTGAATTACACAGCAAGTTAGTAGCAGAGACTTTCAATCCTCTGGTGTATTTTTTATAATAATTATTGATAATTAATTATTTTGATATATAGTATATGGTATTTGCAAGGATAAACTAGAGATTTAAAAAGACATTTAATCTTCTTAATACCACTGCATTTCTTGCCTACAATTCTAAAGAAGCTATCAGTTGAATAGAAAATATGATATACTTTATTTTGAATTCAAAAATTTAATATGTTTTAAAGGTTGCATAATTTAAAATAAAACAAAAACATTCTAACCCATAGGAAGCCAAAGAAAGTGAAAGGATCCTAGCAAGTTTCCTGAACACATCAACTTCAGGGTTATGGCCCACCACAAGGGATATTCTCAAGGGTTGAGGTAGGTAGAAATGTAAGTTAAAACAAGGAATAATGGGCAAAGAAACATCCTCCATGGTACATGTATTCTTACCGTGGAACAGTTTACTTTAAGCAATATATTTATGCCCATCTGGTCGGCTTTATTTTTAGTCTTAGGCCACATCCATTTCTATTCATTTCTTCATTGTGGCATACATAATTTGTCAAATTATAATGAGATTATAATGCAAAAAATGATTTCTAAAAATTTTTTAAATGACTTAATATGTTTTCAAATTCTTTTTCTGTAATGTTTTTCTTTTATATTGCTAACTCTTTTCAATTATTTATGGTGTTTTTCTTTTCTTTACTTATCTTTGTGCTATGAGAGGGTTAACAGAACCTAGGAAACTGTAAATTTTTAAATTGCACATTGATTTTGTTTTCTTGTTGGCCCTTACTGTTCATATGGCTGTTAGTAGAAGTACAACTTCTGATATAAAGTGAAAGTAGTGCTTATTCTATATACTTTCTGATTTTATTTTTTAATCTTCTTTTGTATTTCATTCATGGCACATCTTCGTAGCATTGGATTCCTGTTAGCTACTGCCTACTCTTTTCACTTAAGAAGAAATGTTTATTTGTGAGAACATTATACAAGCCATCTTTTCCTTTCAGCACCATCTTCACACCACACAACTTCCAGGATTATCTCCTTCCAACCACCAGAGTCACATCCTGCAGGTAAGGTTGTATCCATTGGTGACTTCTGTACCCAGTCATAAAACATCACTACAATAAGGCCAGAAATGGAGTCTTTACTGAGTAGTCTAGTTCTGGAACATAACTATGAGTTAGAATGATCCCATGCAATAGAAAGGTTGCACTTTGCCTCCAGGTTAGCATAGTTTTCTTTTTCTTTTTAAAGATACATACCAAAGGTAAATATTTATACAGATCCTCTTACTCCTAAATGGTCCAGTGGTTTGCTTTGTGGCATCTGAATTATAATTAGTGGAAATTGATTCAGATATCTAGAAGAATGTTGATCAATATGAATAGCTGAAGAACTCTTTGACTCTTATGTTTTGCTTTCAACACTATTTCAATGGCAAGTGGAAATGGATGATTCTAGTTTTGCAAGCTTTCTTTTATCATGAACCATAAATCTCTACCTAATATTCCTTAATAAATTGGGGTACATAGGACTCTATTAGCCTAAAAAATTTCTTAGCCTCAATATGACTTTCATCCACTTATGTACTTTAAAATCAGCTATTGAACATCTACTATGTAATAAATACATACTCTGCTAGTCAATAAGGAAGGAAAAGTAACAGACATATTCTCTGACTGTCACATTCTAATGAAGGAAATAGGCACATCATAAGTAAGCAAAAGAAAAAAAAAGAGTATTTTGTTTTAATAAATACTTTGGGCTGGGCACGGTGGCTCACGCCTGTAATCCCAGCACTTTGGGAGGCCGAGGCAGGCAGATCACGAGGTCAGCAGATTGAGACTTGCCTGGCCAACATAGTGAAACTCCATCTCCACTAAAAATAGAAAAATTAGCCGGGCATTGACCAGGCATGGTGGCTCACACCTGTAATCCCAGCAATTTGGGAGGCCGAGGAGGGCAAATCACAAGGTCAGGAGATTGAGACCATCCTGGCTAACATGGTGAAACCCCATCTCTACTAAAAATGCAAAAAAATAAGCTGGGCATGGTGGTGGGCACCTGTAATCCCAGCTACTCAGGAGGTTGAGGCAGGAGAATGGTGTGAACCAGGGAGGCAGAGCTTGCAGTGAGCCAAGATCATGCCACTGCACTCCAGCTTGGGAGGCAGAGACTCCCCCTCAAAAAAAAAAAAAAAAAGATATGAGGGGTTTCCTCTTTGATTTGTTAAGGCAAATCGGCTTTCTTATACCTATGTTTTGGTTTTCTTTTTGGTTGCTGTTGTTACAGGTTCTTTTGGGGATTATTGAAATAGCAGTCTTTTCAAAAAAATCTAGAAGTAACCATGATATATTCTATAAGCCTACACAAGCAAACTGTCAGGTAAAATTTAGAATCCTGTATTAGGGGAAAAATTAAATGAGCTATATTATTTATTTATTTTCTTTTTTTAATTAAATTTTTTTTTTTTGAGATGGAATCTCACTCTGTCACCCAGGCTGGAGTGCAGTGGCATGATCTCGGCTCACTGCAACCTCCGCCTCCCAAGTTCAAGCAATTTACCTGCCTCAGCCTCCAAGTAGCTGTGATAACAGGCATGAGCCGACATACCTGGCTAATTTTTATTTTTGTATTTTTTATTATAGGTGGGGTTTTGCTATGTTGGGCAAGCTGGTCTTGAACTCCTGACCTCAAGTGATCTGCCCTCGTTGGTCTCCCAAAGTGCTGGGATTACAGGCATGAGCCACCGTGCCTGGCCTATTATTTCAATTTTTTCTTCTTCACGATAGCAATCCTAATTTACTATTTAAATTTACTGCTTTAATTCTTATTTTCCAGAAATTAAAATCACCAAATTAAAACATTTAGTAAAAATCCAATATAATTACTAAGATACATAGAGAGAGAGCACGTGAGAGAGTATATAGTATATAATATATATTTGTATACTTATTCATGTAGACACACTAGTTTGTAAAACTGAATTTGAAGACAATTGTTATATTAAGGAAGTAGTATTAAATAAATTCCAATGGACCACAAGTATACATTAACCAAAAACTCTAAAAGAAATGTTTAAAAATTAAAATAAAAATTACTGATTATTTAGCATTGCTCTTACAGAACATTACTTAATGCTACCATTTAAAAAATGCTTTGCATTTATGTATTAAAAATTCATTTAAACTAAAATAATTATACTAAATAAATATTAGTATTTATTTAGTAATTATTTAGTTTAAATATTTATTTAGTTTAAATAAATTTAAACAATTTTTTTATTTATTTGAATGTGTCTTTAAACATTTAAAGATACTAGGAAATTAAAATGCAATACATATATAAATGACTTATTAAACATAATGAGAAATAAGATACATAGAAAATAAAATATAGATTTAATAAAATAAAAGAAAGAATTTTTTTCAAAATACTAATAAGATAAATACATTTTATTGACTCTTAAATGCTTTGAGACATTTATATTCTAATATTTCTTTTAAAAAGTTTGAATTTCAAGTGAATAAAAGAATATTAATTACAAAATATATCTTGAAAATTATAAGATAATAATTCGTGCAATATTAAGCTAATAAATTTGAAAACTAAAATTAAGCTGTTACAGAAGATAAATATTTCCAAACCGGAATTAGGAGACTTTAAAAGCCTGAAGGCCTCAATAACCGAATAAAACACGGATTTGGGATTCAAATATCTGCTTGCCTACCACCTGCTTTAATCCTCTACCTTCAACTCAAATATACAAGCTCAGATCATATATTTTTTTACAGATAATCCACTTTCTACTTATTTTATATATATATAGACATACGCCATGGATGACTGGTAAATCGTTACTGCTTGAAATTGAATTTATACATTAAAATTGTTTAAATAAAATAATTAAAAGAGTTGATGGCCTGGCCTATGCAGTGGATTAAAAAAAGTAAGTAAAATAATTACAGAGCAGAGGATAAAATGTTTTGAATTTTCAAACAATATTTATGTATTTAGACTACCAAAGAAAATTAGTGTTATAGTTTAAAAGTACTTTAGAAAGTACTCACCACCCCCCCACATAATAGAATAGACAATAAAAAAAAAATGATTCATTAAACTATATCCAGTACGATGGTAACATAAAATGCGCACACACACACACACACACACACACACACACGCCTATGTAAACTACACAAACGTGCATGCACACATATATATGCATAGAAAAGGGAAAGCTATTAATATCTGTAGCGTGGATACCTCTGGAGAAGACTGCCATTGAGAATGGTAATAAGTCAGGTATCTAAAATCATCCTAAAATTAGCTTGTCAAGGGGAATGATGTAATCTTTGAAAGCTGTGCCTACTTTAGTTTTCCTTATTTCCAGTAAATGAAAGAATAATCCACCCACTTAGCCAGGACAAAACCCAGATTTCATACTTAATTCTTCTACTTATCTCATAATCCATTAAAAAGGGTATACTAATGCCCATAATTTGTATTATTTTCTCGAAAGTCCATTCTCTACTCCAGGACAGTTGTACTCAAAATTTCTTCTTCTCAAAACTTTTCTACACTCATTTCTCCCCTTTAAAATTTTGTCTCTACAGAATATGTCAGCCAATGAATAAATACTAAGTTACTTTTCATTATCTGGCTAACAGATTGTAATTTGCATCATGTCAAATCTTTAGAAGGTAACTATTTTTAAACTAAAATAATCATATAAAAGAGGGGCAATACTGTGCAGGTAATTAGAGAGTCAACCTAAACCTTACATGTGCTTAATTACATGACTCAATAAATCTGAAAAGTGCAGCATCCATGTAGATTTTGAAATAGAAATATATTATTATTATTATTTGATGACATAGCTTTAGGCAAATTATTTGGCAAGTATCTACGAAAATCAGAAGTACAAACAACTTTATCATAGTGATTTTAAAACTGTCTAAGACAACTATTTGTTCATTATGTTATTTTATACTGTAACTGTCATGATGTTACCAGCCTGTTGACTTATTAAATAAAAGATACTGCTGGTTGGGAGAATCGCTTGAACCCAGGAGGCAGGGGTTGCAGTGATCCGAGATCGCACTACTGCACTCCAGCCTGGGCAACAGAGCGAGGCTAAGTCTCCAAAAATAAATAAATAATTAAATTAAATTAAATGAAAAAGTTACTGTTGGTGGAGTAAGAGATGGCTTCTGATGGGAGATGCTGCTAGGATGGAATATAAGAGAGGGGTGATAAATAGTTCCAAGAATTCACGCTGATTCCTACTTACTCAGCCACATTAGACATACTAAAGAGTTGATACTGAACGTTGTTCTCTTTCCAGTTTATTATGGAAGACAAGGAAAAGAAAAACTTTTGTCATTCTTTATGGGTAAACTAACTCCTACCAAAACTTGAAATTTAGTATTTCTACATCGTATTTTGATTACTACAATAGCTTAAACTATACGTTGTTGCCATTCTTACAGATTGAAATGGTAATGTCAGCAACTTCATGTGGTTCAATCTAATTTGATGTTTTTTCTTTCAATTTTGCATTTCTGTATGAATAAGTTCATGTGCAATATTATATATATTTTAATGCTATTAATAATTAGCAAGTAAAATTTAGGGAATAATTATTTGACACCCTTTTGAAATGATAAATTTTATTTTATTTTCAAAGATACTCTCCTCTCTGGCCAATTAACAAAATACAGGTATATTCAGCATAAACACATTTTTAGAGGCTCTAATTATTAAAGTAAGCATTAATTCTTGACCAGATTATTACTATGTCTTAAAAAAATTACTCATCATATTATTTGTCCAAATAAGTTATGTAATATTTGATGCTATTTTATCATAAAATGAATTTATTTAATAAGTAAAATTCAAATTTATTTAATAGATGTATTTATTGCTTATTGGAAAGCAAAAAGCATTTTCAAATATGATTAGGACATGGAATATTATCATAATTTCTGATTTTTACATAGATTTTATATTTTATCATTTTTCAAATACCAAACTTTATCTGTAAGAGAGGGGAGATCAACATGTTTTCTAAAAGAATATTTTTAAGTATCCAAGATCATTGGATTTATACACACAGATACTAGTGTAATGTTATTAAACATTGCAATAATGCAAATAAAAATTTTCATCATTTATGTATGATCGACATTGAAAAAATGTTAAAATTTTTTAAATGGATAAAGCTATTTTAAAGTGAACAGTGAACAATAATACATTATAACTTTTTAGTTGTAAAGCAGACAACGATTTAATAGAGTATAGTCATTACTGTCATTAATAAAATTGGCTTAATTGGTGGTACAGGAATTTATGACACACTAAGTTCTCATAAATTAGAAATGCAATCCTATGAATAATGTAGACATTATCCAATACTTTCTCACTTATTTTATTCCCACAAAATTTTCTTTTTTAAAATGAAGTTAAAACTCTTTTGTTGGACTTTATAATAAGAAAATTTGTTATTAGTAAAGTGCTATTGTAGAAATATATAATGCCTGAGTAAGAAATATTTTACATATGTTTATGTGTAAAAAATGAGGAAAATTGATAAAGTAGGATAATATAGTTTGGATATTTGCCCCTGTTCAAATCTCATGTTCAATTGTAATCCACAATGCTGAAGGTGGGGCCTGGTGGGATTATGGGGGTGCATCCTCCATGACTTGGAGCTGTCTTTGTATAGTGAGTTCTTGCAAAATCTGGCCATTTAAGAAGTGTGTGGCACTTTCCTCCATTCTCCTTCTCTCTTGCTCCTGCTTTTACCATGTGACATGTTTGTTCTCTCCTCACCTTCTGCCATGATTGTAAGCTTCCTGAGTCTTCCCAAGAAGCTGAGCAGATGTCAGTACTATGCATCTTGTAAAGCCTGCAGAACCATGAGCCAAATAAACCTCTTTTCTTTATAAATTACTCAGTCTCAGGTATTTCTTTATAGCAATGCAAGAACAGCTTAATATATAGGACTTTAATATTTTGCTATATAATAAGTTTCATTTTAGTCACTAGTATTTATCTTCAGATGGTAATCAAGTGTAGATAAAATCTCTAAGAATTAAATAACTTATTTTCATATAATTTGAATCAATATCTGTATCTATTTTCTCCAGTAACCTAGATTTCACCTCATTTTCCTATTTTTTTTTCTATTTTCTACACCAATTCATTCCTTTTGCTAATAAAAATAAACTATTTTAAATATATTTACTGTACTTTAAAATTACAATGTTGTACTTCAATATTCTTTCTTATACAAATGGATCAATTCTGACCCAATATCAGTAGGGGACACTGTAAGTCATTTTTCTAATTTTGTTATATTTGCCTTCAAACAAAATGAAGGACAAATGGGACACAGTTGAAAATTGGACTTTTCTCAGATAATCTCATTTGATACCTATAGGTTTAATTTTTATTTTCATAGATGAATCTCTGTTATCTCTAAGAGCCAGAATTAGGTGGTGATGGTGGGAGGAGCACAAAAGACCCAAAGCTAGAAGATAAATTCCCTCTTGTGCTCACACAAATGAGCTCATTAGATTTAATTATTCTAAATATTGGTCAATATCATGTCTCAGGTCAGAATAAGCATGACTGCAGGTACTCAGCATAGAATAAGAAAAACTACACAGAGCTCTAATACAGAAATTGATTAGTCTATTGCATAACCAGAGAATGCACTGGCAGTTGTTAACAGAAGGATCAGTGTCGTATAAAAGCATCATATCAAAAAGTGTGCCCTCAACATTTGATGTGTTTTGTTGTTGTATGCCTAAAGTATGTTCTTCCGTATCCTTTTTTATACATAGTCAATTTCATCAATCTTTTCATTAATGGTTTCATAGGTATGAATCTTAATTGTATATATTTTTTCTATTGCTACTCTAAATAATTCTGTTTTCTTCTAAGACATTTTTTAAAGTTAAATTGAAATTCTAAACTAATCATTTATCTGATGTCAAGTATGTGAAAAGAAATAATAGGTGACAATATTGGTCATTATTTACATTTAAAATGATTAACCTTACTAATTATTTGATAATACTAACCAAACAAAGTAAAATCTATTTGACTGTAGCAGACAAACTTTTTAATACTATCAAGGCTGTTCTAAGAGTATAAATTGTTCTTGAATGTCATTTGAAAATATTCATTAAACACTCAAAAATAAATATAAATATTAATGAATGAATATCATTCTTGGTTATGTCACCAGTTGTCTTATATGATGATTTTTCACCAAAAGTAATCACTACCAATGGCTAACAATGATGGATGGATTGTACTAATTGTTAAGTATTTATATATGTGTAAGATAGTAGCTATTAAAATAATGATTTAGAATATTTCAGTGACATAACTTTGTTACTTATGTTACTTGAGTTGAGTTTATATCTTCTATGCTTTCAGATACATGGATACACGTATCTAAATGCATAAACATGTATTTATTCATATATTATGTGAGTAAATAATATGTTAATAATGAATAACTAATAAAATATAATACAAATACATTTTAAAGTTAGTTTTATTATTTATGAATTATGGGGTTATGCTTCTTATTGGTTGTTGATAACAAGAATACACTTAAACTAATTTAAGCAGAAAATTTTCAATTCAAGGAATTAGGAGGCTTACATTTATTTGAAAATCTAGTAACCTAGATTTCACCTTATTTTCCTGTATACTTTTTTCCATTTTCTACATTAATTCATTCCTTTTGCTGATCAAAAGAAACTATTTGCATGAGAGGACTATTTCTCCCAGAACAATAATTCAAACTTAGTCTTTGAAGGGAACAGTGATGTAGTCCAAGATATCGAAGCTGAGTAATCAGGTAACATTGTCAAACATGCTGCCTCCAAAACCACACCACTTTTTCTACAATCTCCACAACCAAACTGTTGAACCAACTATCACATTCACAAAGCTAGCTAGTAAACTCTGAAATTCAGTTGTAACTCAGCTTCTGCATTACTTACAACACCAAAGGCATAGCCTTTATTCCAAAGTATCCGTGTTGGTCTTCAAAATCTATTTCACATGTAGCTACCTGGCAGTAGCCATATCCCATGCAAGATCTGAATTATACAAAAGTTTGGGAAGCCGTCTTTAACATCCCAGTTCCATGCACAGTAAAACACATGAGAATGAGCCAATCAATAGTACCTACCATACATATATTTTCAATTGTTTCTTTTAGCTTTCATGCCTTTACCCAATAGTCTGAAACAAAGTTTTGTTTTAAATCTAAATATTCAAACACTGTCAGAGTCATTAGAATCACACAGTACCTGTATTAGAAACATTAATAGAAATACAAATTCAGTAACCTCCTCCCAATAGGATCTCTTTCTGTCACCCAGGCTGGAGTACGATGGCATGATGATAGCTCACTGCAGCCTCTAAGTCCTAGGCTCAAGCATTGCGTCTGCCTCTGCCTCCCAAAGCGAAGATGGGATTATAGGCATGAACTGCAGTGCCCAGCTGCCTCAACATTTTTTTAGCACTCTGTAATGGATTTATAATTTTCTTTAAAATGTATGCTGAAAGCATTAATTGTAAGGACTAAAAATATCTGGAATTGAATGGTCAGTAACTATTTTCAGCTATTATTCTGTGGTTAACTATATCCTACATTTTGTTTCATAGGAGTTTAAATCAGTTTTGCTTAACTTGTACTAATCGGCATACACTATGGTATTTTATCAATAATTTCTTAAAGAGTAGAGAAATTGGTATTTTTGTTCATGTGATTGGCCATCCTCTGATGAAAATCAAATGGCCTGGGTAAATAATGAAATTAAGGCAGAAATCAAGAAATTATTTGAAACCAATGAGAACAGAGACAATATACTTACTAAACATAAGATCTTATAAAATTAAGTCACCTACAATCACCCCAAAATAAGCACTATTATCAGTTGCTTATATAATATTTATAGTAGCACTTATAGTATAAATATCACACATGATTTTAAATTTTCTGTTATATAAAAAGACATGCAGAGACAAGTGAAATAAATTTTAACAGTATATTTTATTTTACCCAGTACTTGCCAAATATATAACATGTGTAATGATTAATTTTAATCATCAACTTGCTGGGTAAGGGTGCCAAGGTATTTGGTCAAACATTAGCCTATAGTTGGGCAAAGCTACCTAGCACAAAGCCTATTTTGTAACGGTATATGAGATATTCAACACTTCATTACAATTAATTAGCCAGGCCTGGTGGTGGGCGCCTGTCGTCCCAGCTACTTGGGAGGCTGAGGCAGGAGAATGGTGTGAACCCGGGAGGTGGAGCTTGCAGTGAGCCGAGATGCGCCACTGCACTCCAGCCTGGGCGACAGAGCAAGACTCCATCTTAAAAAAAAAAAAAAAAAAAAAAAAAAAGGTTGTCTGTGTATATATATGTGTGTGTGTGTATGTGTGTATGTGTGTATAAATATACATGAGTATAGTAAGAGATTTGGACATATTTAAGGTAGGGTAGGCTAAGCTATGATGTTTATTTGGTTAGGTATCTTAAATGCATTTTAGAATTAACAGTATTTTCAATTTACAATGAGTTTATTGGAACATAAGCCTATCAAAAGTTAAGAAGTTAAGGAGCCTCTGTATATGTGTGTGTGTGTGTGTGTGTATGTATCCTATTGGTTCCATTTCTCTGAAGAACACTGATTAATACAACATGTAATTAATATGTTATTAATATAAAATATTGAGTTATTTCACTTTCTATTTTATACTAAGTCATCAAAATCCTGTGTGTATTTAAGACTTACAACACATTTTAATTTGAAGTAGCCACATTTCAAGTGTTCAAAAACCACATGGGACTAGTGGTTACTATAATAAATGTCACAATACTGTGGTATCTGAAGCTTGTCTTTTTCTCTCTTTTTCACTGTTTAATATATTTTTTACATTAGCATATGCTTATAAAAACATTATTTTGATATCTACCTAGTACTCTTTCATCATATAAATGTAGCATAGTTTATTTTATGAATTTGTATTTTCATTGTTTAAAGTGTTTCTCACTTTTGAATCATAAATACTTGTGGCATCAGAATTTATTTATATAAATGTTATGTTCATCTTGGTTGATTTCTTCAAGTCAAAATTTTAGCAATAGAATTCCTGGAGATAAAAGAGAATCAATATTTTAATGCTCCTAATATGCATTGAAACTGGATCTCAGTGGCAATGTTCCTGTACCCTTACTATACAAAGGGTTCAAGAATGCTTTTCAAATGTCACATTTATTTAAAAGAAATTCTAAAATGGAAGGGCTTTACCGCAGTATAATTTTATTAGTATTTTTTAAAAAAACTAGGGGTTTGCCATTAACTTGTGACAGTTTAGTGGGATGGCTAGAATATATTCCTTTAACTATCCCAGACTTTAGTGCCCATAAAAATAACCTGATGTTTGTATCAAACACAAATTCCTGGGATCTATTAACAAAAGACTCTCATCCAGCAGAAAGACGGAGATCAGGAAATGGAAGGTCTGATAAGTCCCAGTTTTATTAAATGTAACAATGCTTTCTCAAACTGTGACATGGAGTCAATTTTCATTTTTCAGTGCTACTAAATATTTTAGGTCAGCCATAGCATTTGCTTTAGGGGAAAACAGTGCTGTTTCCTGATATTTTTTTCCAATTTGAGGCCACAAAAGGAAGTATAATTCTGTATAATGGTGATGGTTCACACAAAATCACAAGGTATATTTAGATATACAGGCTAAGTAATTGAAATGTATAAAAATTGGGTAATTATTTCAATTAATTACCTCTGATTTCTATCACCTTGAAAATTGTTTTTGCTTTAACTGGAAGATACTTTGCTCAGCATACATCAAAATTAAAGTTTCTTCTGTTTTTTTTAATCACAAGCCAATTTTCTTGTGAATTTTACATGACAAGCTAGATTTCTCAATTGCCAAGAATACATACGTAATTAGTAAAAGGTCTGAGAAATTAAGTACACATTATTCAGTCTTTTCTTTTTCCATTATTTAATTTCAAAGACATTCATTTGTATTAGCTATTCCCAAGTTACTAGTCAAATTTAAAAATGCTTGAGTCATGTTTCCTAAAACTATATATAATTTATGATCTGTTTCTCATATGTTAAACTTACAAGCAAAACTATGTTTTCTTGTAATTTGTAGGAGTCATTGATTTTTTTTGGTGGGGTGGGGCAGTCCTTGTCTTTTCAAGTACCATTAAGCTGAATAATGAGTGTAGCTACACTCATTAAGTAAAATTGTATTAAGTAAATTTTATTTCCTCTTAATATTTTCCTGCAGAGATACATTTTACAGTCTGATGGAAATGATGCAGAATCTCCTTTAACATCATCCTTTTGTCTAGAATCCTTTTTATTAGTCTCATTTTCATATAATCCCTCATGCATCATTCTTATACATTTATTTTCAATTTGATTATTTTTTTCTACACCGATTAGTACCAACTGGATGCTTTGTTTGATGATTGCTTTTTGAAAACTGTCTTCCACACAGTGCAACTGTCTCTAGCAAGAAGTGGGAAGGAATCCTGATTATAAAAGCGTTACAGCAATTTTTACTGAAGAACAGGGAACTTATTTATTCTTTCAAAAGTTTATTTTAGAACATGCAATTGCAAAGTGTTGTTGATTCAAGCAAGCCTAAGGGACTCTGGTCTCAGGTGATAATACAAACTGCATAACGTCTCAGCCACAGATGATTTCTCAAGCTCATAAAACATAAAATATTTAAATACGTGTCAAAAAAGATTTTCCAGTTTTAAAATAACAGCTTTTATCAAGCCCTATTTCTGAAACGTCCCAGTGCATTCTTTATATCTTTATCTAGCAAAATATGAAAGTATTAAGCAAAAATTTTTTTCATCAGAAACAGAAGAGTACCAAAACTGAAACAGTTTTTAATTACAGTCTACATATATTCATATTTCAATGTGTAGAAGGAACAGTAGTAAAAGATGAATCTGAAAATATGTTAAAGATCACACATATCACTAAATGACAAATAGGAAGTTAGGACTGTATTCATTAGACAATGGGAATATTTACAAGTTTTAAGCCAGAAAAGTGGCATGATTATAATTGAGTTTCAGAAATGTAACTCTGAAGACAGGTGGAGAACTTATAAGAAGAGAGTCAAGGAAGTAAGTACCTGATACACTGTACTATTAGTATAAGAAAGCATGAATGAAAGGCTAAAGATTGTAGTCTTGAGTGTGGAAAGACAAGGAACAATATGGGAGTATATTTCATATGTTGAATAAATTGGACACAGTTTCCAAATTGTGATGCACTGAAGGAATGGAAGAACATGAGCAACTAAACATCACAAAATGTTAATGTTTTAGAAAAAAGTGTAAGCAGTAACTTTTAAGAGGCATTTAAGCTTAGAATGAAAAAGGTTAGAAATAAAAGTTTACTGCAAATAAAATTGATGTCATAAATTGATCAGGATTCTTTTTCAAAAACTTTATGAGAACCATCTCATATCTTATATAAAGCATAATATTCTAATGTTTGAAATTAATGCCCTTTGGAAATAGATCCAACTAATACCACCAATCTTCTCCTACTTTACAGGAACCCACAGATATAGCTATGGTATTTTTTTTTAATAATTTTTTTTTTTTAAGACAGAGTCTCACTTTGTCGCCTGAGCTGGAGTGTAGTGGCATGATCTCGGCTCACTGCAACCTCCACCTCCCGGGTTCAAGTGATGCTCCTGCCTCAGCCTCCCTGGTAGCTGGGAATACGGACGTGCACCACCACAACTGGCTGATTTTTGTATTTTTAGTAGAGATGGGGTTTCACCATGTTGGTCAGAACTCCTGATCTCAAGTGATCCACCCACCTTGGCCTTCCAAAGTGGTGAGATTACAGGTGTGAACCACCGCACCCAGTCTTTTCTTTTTTTTTCTTTCCTTTTTTTTTTTTTTTTTTTTTTTAATAATTGAGTCAGGAGTGTGTGGAAGTTTTCTTCCAGGTGGAAAGATGTTAAATAATTTATCTTTGCTGGCCTTTCTCCCCTCTATTCATATACTTCTCCCCAGTTACTGGGGAGAGACTTATCTTATTATTAAAGTTGTTAAGAGAAACTAGACTCCTACAACACAACACCTTTCTTCTTTTAGGAGCAGACTACATATATGAAATTTGTGTTTTCTCCTTTGCTCCTATACACTATAAAATTCAACCCCCATTCATTTTGGCCTCTGTTTGAATAAATAAGTCTGTATATCCTGGGTTTCTATATTAGGAATTTTAGAGGCTATAGCTTCTTATCTGGTCTCTAGGCATTCTTCAATTCATTAATACTTCCATTTTTCACACTTTCCATAAGTATTCATTGAGTGTCTACTATGTGCCAGCACTGTTCCAGAAATGGGAGATACACAAGCGAACTTTAACAAATAATACTACTTTATGAGTCTCATCTGATACATGTTAAAGGATATAGATATGTTGATTCCTGTCTACCAACTTCTTATTTATCAATTGTTATAGAATTTGAGAAAAAGAAATGTCATTTATTAAATTTTATTTCTACTCTTTTTATCTGCAAAAGCAACCAATTCTGAGAATTTTATTTCCACTCTCATGTCTTATTCTATTTTACTCAACTTGCAATACCTTTTCTATTTAACCTTCAATTTCAGTTGACATGCCACTACCTCAATTTTGTCACTGAGAGTGAAATTATATTTTCTTTTCTATGCTTTTTACTATGTTTTTGCTATGTTTTACTTTGTACTTTTTACTATGTTCACTTATGCTTTCACTGTATCTTTTAGTTTATACATAATTTAGCTAAGTAGATGACAGATTAAATAAACATGATTTTTATTATGAAATATTTAAAAAATAAAAAATTAGATGTTTGTATATTCATAATATATTGACTATATTGATATATTGAATGCTATCTCAAAATCTTATATAATCAATATGCAGTTTTAATAATTATTAATACATGGTCAATTTATTTTATACAAATCGCCAATACCTTTCTGAATATATTATTTTGAAATAAATTACAGGGAACTTATCATTTAATTAGTAAATATTTTGATATTTATCTCTAAAAGATGAGAACTTTAACACACCCACAATTTTTCATTCCTGAAAAATAAATAGAAATTTCTTTGTAGCTTCAAATATGCAATTAATGTTGTATTGTTCAAAATTTCATTTTTCTCATAACTTTGTATTGTTTTCAATTTAATTAAACGATTAAATAAGTCCACACATTGTGATTACTTGATATGTCTTTCAAATCTCCTTAATATATGAATTCTCACTCTATTATTTTGTAAGTTTATTTATTGAAAACTCTGTCTCACTTGTCCTGTAGAGTTTCCCACTTCAAATATTTTGCTGGTTGCATTCCTTCCCTTACCTGTATCTCAAGATACTATTTAACATGTTATTCTGGCTTCTTTATTTACCATCAATTGTACTTGAATATAGTGTCTTAATTTAGCTTACATTAAATTTTTTGGTGAGTGTTTTTCATAAATGGCCAGTAATACCTCCATCAATATATGTATTATGTCTACCTGTCTCCATTTAGTGATAGTAGTAGTTGTTGAATATCAATGCCTAGATTCATGAATCTATGGGCATTACAAATAGCGATATTCTAATTCTAATATCCCTTCTCACTGTACTAGTTGAAATACTTCTCTTTACTTACTTTTAGGTTACTCAGTGACATCAAAGGTAAAGTAAATGTTTTCTTTTGCTTAATTTACCAGTTTAGAATAAAAATTACATTTTTTACAACCACTAAAGTGACCAACTAATGTTGTTCATTTGGTCAGCATGAAATCGTGGATACAATCATATGTGATGTGTTTTAATCTACAGCAATTATTAAAGAGACTGATACAGTTTTTTATATTTGACCAATAGCTCCTGGGAAATGTTGATGTGATCCTGTTGGTGATTGGTTTCCTCATCATAATGTGGTATGAGAATATATTATAGTTTTATATTCTACATTCCTGACTCCACCCCCATGAAGAGCCATGTTTCAAGACCACAGGATGGTCAATATTGGATTAATTGCTACTGGACTTAACATTGCTAAGTGAAAGGGGCAAGTTGGAGAGAACTGTATGTCACTATCTAGTTAAGGTCAAATATGCGAAGATAATATCTGTTTATAGTTTTTTTTAAATAGAATAAACAATAAAATAAATTTAGACGGCTATCTATTTAGGGGAGAAGGGGAAATAGCTAGAGGAGACAGGGCAAAAAGCTAGACTTTTTTGAAAATAACTGACAATAAAAATGTGACTGTGAAACAGTGTAAATATGTTAATTTTGAAAGTATAATCAAATACAAAGGCAAAACCTAAATGTCAAAATAAAAATAAACAAATGAAGAAAAATATGCACCTAGTAAGTGACACACTATGCAGAAAGGGAATATTCCAAGGGATTCCTGAATTTAGGCATTTAGTTGTACTGTCAAATTGAGTAGTGCACTGTGGTCAATAAATAAACAAAATAAAAATGTAAAATAAGATCCTAAACTATTTTCAGTTATTAGATGCTTGTTATTAGTGTATACATGGTTCTGAGAGTATTGATTATGAGTAAATTATGAATAAAATAAGCAAAATATTAATTCAAAATATTAAACCAAGTGTTATTGACAACTGGGAACTCTAACATGGAAGAAAGAGGATATAAGATGTAAGATAGGAGAATTTAAAAAATGTTTATTGGAAAATTGGAAATTTTGGTAGAAGTTCATTATATATTTTATTTATATCTATTTGTCTATTTGACACATGTAGTTTTTAACTCTACATTCAAAATACCCAGAAACAATTCCATGTGATTTTATTCTGATAATTATTTTCTACTCATATTTTTGTCTCCCTTTCCTTCTGCCCATCACTTTAACTTAGGATCCTGCTTCTCAAATAGTAGAGGCTCAGAAATAATCTTTTTAATGAATTGAGCCTAGCTAGCATTAAATTTGAGAGACCAAATAAGCAGTCATTTGTTTTATTTTATTTTATTTTATTTTTATTTTACTTTGAGTTCTGGGATACATGGGCAGAATGTACAGGTTTGTTACATAGGTATACAGGTGCCATGGTGGTTTGCTGCACCTATCAACTGTCTTCTAGGTTTTAAGCCTTGCATGCATTAGGTATTTGTCCTAATGCTCTCCCTCCTCTTGCCTCTCACCCTCGACAGGCCCTGGTGTGATGTTTCTCTCCCTGTGTCCATGTGTTCTCATTGTTCAACTCCCACTTATGTGTGAGAACATGCTGTGTTTGGTTTTCTGTTGCTGTGTTAGTTTACTGAAGATGATGGCTTCCAGCTTCACCCAAGCCCCTGCAAAAGACATGAACTCATTGTTTTTTAGAGCTCCATAGTATTCTGTGTTGTATATGTGTCACATTTTCTTTATCCAGCCTATCATTGATGGGCATTTTGGTTGGTTCCAAGTCTTTCCTATTGTAAACAGTGCTGCAGTAAACATACATGTGCATGTCTCTTTATAGTACAATGATTTATAATCCTTTGGGTATACCCAGTAGTGGGATTGCTGGATCAAATGGTATTTCTAGTTCTAGATCCTTGAGGAATCTCCACACTGTCTTCCACAATGTATGAATTAATTTACACTCCCACCAACAGTGTAAAAGCATTCCTATTTCTCTACAGCCTTACCAGCATCTGTTGTTTCCAGACTTTTTAAGGATCACCATTCTAACTGGTGTGAGATGGTATCTTATTGTTGTTTTTATTTGCATTTCTCTAATGACCAGTGATGATGAGCTTTTTTTTTTCATGTTTTTTGGCCACATAAATGTCTTCTTTTGAGAAGTGTCTGGTCATATCTTTTGCCCACATTTTAATGGAGTTGTTTGACTTTTTCTTGTAAATTTGTTTAAGTTCCTTGTAGATTCTGGGTATTAGACCTTTGTCAGATGGGTAGATTGCAAAACCTTTGTCCCATCCAATAGGTTGCCTGTTCACTCTGATGATAGTTTCTTTTGCTGTGCAGAAGCTGGTTAGTTTGATTAAATCCCATTTGTCAATTTTGGCTTTTGTTGCAATTGCGTTTGGTGTTTTAGTCATGATATCTTTGCTCATGCCTATGTCCTGAATGGGATTGCCTAGATTTTCTTCTATGGTTTTTATGGTTTTGGGTTTTACATTTAAGTCTTTAATCTATCTTGAGTTAATTTTTGTTTAAGATGTAAGGAAGGACTCCAGTTTCAGTTTTCCATATATGACTAGCCAGTTTTCCCAGAATGATTTATTAAGCAGGGAATCCTTTCCCCACTGCTTGTTTTTGTCAGGTTTGTCAAAGACTGGATGGTTGTAGATGTGTGGTGTTATTTCCAAGGTCTCTGTTCTGTTCCTTTGGTCTCTATATCTGTTTTGGTACCAGTACCATGCTGTTTGGGTTACTGTAGCCTTGTAGTATAGTTTGAAGTCAGGTAGCATGATGCCTCCAACTTTTGAACATCAGTGAGAAAATCCTCAATAAATTACTGGCAAACCAAACCCAGCAGCACATCAAAAAGCTTATCCACCATGATCAAGTCAGCTTCATCCCTGGGAATGCAAGCCTGGTTCAACATATGCAAATCAGTAAATGTAATCCATCACGTAAACAGAACCACTGACAAAAACCATATGATTATCTCAATAGATGTAGAAAAGGCATACAATAAAATTTAACATCCTTCCACGCTAAAACCTCTCAATAAACTAGGAATTGATGGAATGTATCTCAAAATAATAAGAGCTATTTATGAGAAGCCCATAGCCAATGTCATACTGAATGTGAAAAGCTGGAGGCATTCCGTTTGAAAACTGGCACAAGACAATGATGTCCTCTCTCACCACTCCTGTTCAACACACTATTGGAAGTTCTGACCAGGGCCATCAGGTAAGAGAAAGAAATAAAGGGTATTCAAATAGGAAAAGAGAAAGTCAAATCATCTGTGTTTGTAGATGACATGATTGTGTATTTATAAAACCCCATCATCTCAGCCCCAAAACTCCTTAAGCTGATAAGCAACTTCAGCAAAATCTCGGGATACAAAATCAATATGCAAAAATTACAAGCATTCCTATACACCAACAATAGACAACCAGAGGGCCAAATCGTGCTTGGACTCCCATTCACAATTGCTACAAAGAGAATAAAATACCTAGAAATACAACTTACAAGGGACGTGAAGGACCTCTTCAAGGACAACTACAAACCACTACTCGTGGCAATAAGAGAGGACACAATCAATGGAAAAACATTCCGTGCTCATGGATAGGAAGAATCAATGTCATGAAAATGGCCATATTGCCCAAAGTAATTGATAGATTCAATGCTATTCCCATTAAGCTACTATTGACTTTCTTCACAGAATTAGAAATAACTCCTTTAAATTTCATATGGAACCAAAACAGAGCCCATAAAGTCAAGACAATCCTAAGCAAAAAGAGGAGTCATTTATTTGTTAATACTTTATTTTTCAAAATATGCCCATAATCTTGCAGGTTGCTTGGCATTGTTTGGTACATAAGGAAAAATTGCAGACACTACTATCTCCTTCCTGCCCATCAGAGCATCTTTCCAAAGAAACACACATATAGTACTACTTTTTTTCCCTACTATTTGCAACCACATCTTAATATAATAAACTTTTACTGCTATTTTTCTTTTATAATTTTAAATATATGTATTTACTTTCTATTACAGAATGTAAGTACATAGTAATTTTTTTGTTTGCTTGTTTTTGAGATGGAGTCTTGCTCTGTCGCCCAGGTTGGAGTGCAGTGGCGCGATCTCGGCTCACTTCAAGCTCCGCCTTCCAGGTTCATGCCATTCTGCTGCCTCAGCTTCCCGAGTAGCTGGGACTACAGGCACCTGCCACCATGCCCGGCTAATATTTTTTGTATTTTTTAGTAGAGATGAGGTTTCACCATGTTAGCCAGGATCTTCTGATATATAGTATATATTACTATATACCCGAACTGTATATAGCAATTTTTATACATCTGCCTCAGCCTACACATTACCATCTCTTTAACTCCTCAATATGCATGAATCACAAATTTTGGCTAAATTAATTTATTTACTGCTGATTCATTCGAAAGATAATGATTGGTTTATCATTCTGTAACTTTCCCACTGGACATGGTACATGTATTCCTTTGTTTAAATCATTTTCTACATACTTCTCTTTACGACCTTCAAAATTCTCAAACTAAACTTTGAAAACTCTGCTGATTACTTTTGACATTATTAGACTTATCAGAAAATCTTTCAGATTCTTTCTTTTCCTTTATAGAGATATTCCACATGAAACTTCCTCTTATCAGATCTTGTAACTATTGTATTAATTTTGATAACTTGTCTTCTATTCTGTTTGCCTCTTTTATTTTTAGGTTGCCGTTTCCTTAGAGTGGGGCTCTTCTGATACATCATGGAGAAAGACTACTTAGAGATACATTTCTTGTATTTTTACATATCTAGAATGTGATGGCTTAACATTGAAGAGACAGGTTTTCCAAGTATAAAAGTTAAATTTGAAAATAATTGTCTTTACAAAATGTTGAAGGTATTTATATACTCTTCAACTATCGAGAAGTCTGATCACAATATGTACCTTAATCTTTGTAAGTTTTCCACGTTATCTATAATTTTTCCTCTGGTAGATTTTGGATTTTTCTGCCTGAAATGGAGTTCTGAAAGTATATTAAGAAATGGCTGGATGTGGTGTCTGTCCCCATATGCTCGTCCTAGATTTTACTTTTATAAATATCAAGTAATCATATAATTAAATTATTTGACTGGGATTTTTACTGTTTGTTTTAGAAGTTTTCATATTTTTATTTCGGAAAGTATTCTTGACTTTTCCTTCTAAATCATTTATTCAGCTTTTGAGGCTTATAAATACCTTCTCCTTCTCTGATTGTTCCTTTTAAATCACATCTTTTTTTAAAACAGATTCAGTAACTTATTTAATATATCTTAGAATATTATATATTAATGAAAACAGTTTCTGTCTTCTATAGTTTGTTTATAGTCTTCCTTTTTCCTTCTCCTTCTCCGTCTTCTTCTTCATCACTGTGTGTGTGTGTGTGAGTGTGTGTCGGGGGGCATCTTCATTTTCTTTATATTTGTTTTCATCGGGTTCCAAAATTTATACTTGGACTTTCATTTAATATCTGGCATTCCTTTTTTGTTTTCTTCTTGAAGACAGAAGCACTAAATCAATTACTGGAAGCTCTACTATCATGGACACGTTATTTTTTTTTTCAATAGCTTTTGGGGAACAGGTGTTTTTGGGTTACATGAATAAGTTTTTTAGTGGTGATTTCTGAGATTTTGGTGCACCTGTCACCTGAATAGTGTACACTGCACCAAATATATAGTTTTTAATGCTCACCACCTTCCACCCTTCCCCCAAGTGCCCCAAACCCATTGTATCATTCTTATGCCTCTGTATCCTCATAGCTTAGATCCCACTTATAAGTGAGAAATACAAAATTTGTTTTTCCATTCCTGAGTTACTTCACTTAGAATAATGGCCTCCAGCTCCATCCAAATTGCTGCAAATGCCATTATTTCTTTTCATCTTATGACTGAGTAGTATTCCATGGTGTGTATATACTACATTTTCTTTATCCACTCATTGGTTGGTGGGCATTTAGGTTGGTTCCATCTTTTTGCAATTGCAAATTGTGCTACTATAAACATGTATGTGCAAGTGTCTTTTTCAAATCATGAATTATTTTCCTCTGGGTGGATAGCCAGCAGTAGGATTGCTGGATCAAATGGGAGTTCTATTTTTAGTCTTCAAAAAATCTCCATACTGTTTTTCATAGTGGTTGTACTAATTTACATTCCCAGGAGCAGTGTAAAAGTGTTTCCTTTTCACCACATCCACAACAACATTTATTGTTTTTCGATTTTTTAATTATGGCCATTCTTGCAAGAGTAAGGTGGTAGCTCATTGTGGTTTTAATTTGCAGTTCCCTGATAATTAGAGACGTTGAGCATTTTTTTCATATGTGTTTTGGTCATTTGTATATTTTCTTTTGAGAATTTTCTATTTATGACATTTGCCCACTTTTTGAATGTCTTTTTTGTTTTTTTTTTGCTGATTTGTGTGGATTCCTTGTAGATTCTGTATATTAGTCCTTTGTAAGATTCGTAGTTTGCAAATACTCTCTCCAACTCTGTGTGCTATCTATTTACTCTACTAATTGTTTCTTTTGCTGTGCAGAACCTTTTTAGTTTAAACAGGTCCCATTTATTTATTTTTGTTTTGGTTGCATTTACTTTTGGGTTCTTGGTCAATAATTCTTTGCCTAAGCCAACATCTAGAAGTTTTTCCAACGTTATTTTCTAGAATTTTTATAATTTCAGGACTTAGATTTGTGTTTGATCCACTTTGAGTTGATTTTTCTATAAGGTGAGAAATTAAGATCCAGTTTTATTATTCTATTTGTGCCTTGCCAATTATTCAAGCACCCTTTAATGAATATGGTGTCCTTTCCCCACTTTATGTTTTTGTTTGCTTTGTCAAAGATCAGTTGGCTCTAAGTATTTGGCTTTATATCTAAGTTCTCTATTCTGTTCGTTTGGTCTACATGCCTATTTTTGTACCAGTACCATGCCTTTTTGGCAACTATAGCCTTGTAGTATAGTTTGAAGTTAGGTAATGTGATGCCTCCAGATTTGTTCTTTTTGCTTAGTCTTTCTTTGGCTATGAGGACTCTTTTTTGGTGAATTTTAGAATTTTTTTTCTGTGAAGAATGATGATGATATTTTGATGGGCATTACATTGAATCTATATATTGCTTCAGGCAGTATAGTCATATTCATACTATTGATTCTACTTATCCATCATTATGGGATGTATTTCCATTTGCTTTTTGTTGTCTCTGATTTCTTTCAGCAATGTTTTGTACTTTTCCTTGTAGAGATCTTTCACCTCTTGGTTAAGTATATTTCTACATATATTCATATATATATATATATATATGTTCAACTGCTATAAAAGGGATTGAGTTCTTGATTTGATTCTAAGCTTGGTGTTTGATGATATATAGCAGGGCTACTGATTTGTGTACTTTGATTTTTTTGTCCTGAAACTTTACCAAATTTATTTACCAGATAGGAACTTTTTGGATGAGTCTTTAGACTTTTCTATGTATATGGTCATATCATCAGCAAGCACTGACAGTTTGACTTCCTCTTTTCCAATGTGGATGCTCTTTATTTTTTTTTTTCTTTTTTCCGATTGCTCTGGCTAGGACTTCTAGTAATGTGGTGAATAGAAGTGGTGAAAGTGGTCATCCTTGTCTTGTTCCAATTCTCAAGTGCAATGCTTTTAACTTTTCCCTATTCAATGTGCTGTTGGCTATAGGTCTGTCATAAATGGCTTTTATTCCTCTGAAGTATGCCCCTTACATGCTAATTCTGAGAGTTTTTTCATAAAGGGATGCTGAATTTTGTCAAATATTTTTCTGTCTCTATTGAGATTGTCATATGATTTTCATTTTTGATTCTGTTTATGTGTTGTATCATATTTATTGACTTACATATTTTAAGTCATTCCTGAATTCCTGGTATAAAACCCATCTGATTATGATGTATTATCTTTTTGATAGTTGTTGGATTTGGTTAGTTAATATTTTGTTGAGGATGTTTTGCAGCTGTGTTCATCAGGGATATGGGTCTGTAGTTTTATTTTTTTGTTGTGTCCTTTCCTGGTTTTGCTATTAGGGTGATACTGGCTTCAAAGAAAAACTTAGGGAGGATTCCCTTTCTCTATATTTTGGAATACTTTCAGTAAAATGGTACCAATTCTTCTTTGAACATCTGATAGAATTCAGCTGTGAACCCCTCTCATCACGTACTCTTTTGTTGACAATTTTTTTATTACTGATTCAATTTTTGCTGCTTGTTATTGGTCTGTTCAGAGTTTGTATTTTTTCCTAATTTAATCTAGTAAGGTTCTACATTTCTAGGAATTTATCCGTCTCCTCTAGATGTACTAATTTGTGCACATAAAGATGTTGATAATAGGTTGAAATAATCTTTTGTATTGTGTGGTATTGGTTGCAATAGCTCCCATTTTGTTTCTAATTGAGCTTATTTGGATCTTGTCTCTTCTTTTCTTGGTTAATCTCTCTAATGATCTATCAATTTTGTTTATCTTTTCAAAGAACCACTTTTTGTTTTACTTATCTTTTGTAATTTTTTGTTTCAATTTTATTTAGTTAGGCTCTGATTTTTGTTATTTCTTCTGCTGGGTTTGGGTTTGGTTTGTTCTTTTACCTTAATTTGGGTGAGTCTGTTATGTGTTAGGTGAGTAGTTTCTTGAAGATAGCAGATAGTTGGTTAGTGAATTTTTATTCATTTGGCCATTTTATATCTTTTAAGTGGAACATTAGGCCATTTACATTCAATGTTAGTATTGAGACTTGAGATATTGTTATATTCATCATGTTAGTTGTTGCCTAAATACCTTTTTTATTGTGCTATTGTTTTATAGGCCTTTTGAGGTTTATGCTGTAAGGGGGTTCTTATTTTGGTGTATTTCAAGGTTTTATTTCAAGATTTTTAATTCCTTTTAGCATTTCTTGTTTTACTGGTTTGGTTGCAGCAAATTTTCTCAGCATTTGTTTGTCTGAAAAAAAAATTTTATCTTTCCTTCATTTCTAAATCTTAGTTTTTCTGGATACAAAATTCTTGGCTGACAACTATTTTGTTTAAGGAGGTTAAAGATAGGACCCCAATACCTTCTGGCTTGCAAGGTCTTTGCTGAGAAATCTGCTGTTAATCTGATAGGTTTTCCTTTATAGGCTATCTGATGCTTTTGCCTCACAGCTCCTAAGATTCTTTTCTTCATCTTGACTTTAGATAACCTGATGACCTATCTGGCTAGGTGATGATCTTTTTGCAGTAAATTTCCCAGGAGTTCTTTGTATTGTATTTGGATGTCTGTATTTCCAGCCAGGTGAGGAAAGGTTTCCTCAATTATTCCCTTAAATAAGTTTTCCAAACTTTTAGATTTCTCTTCTTCCTCATGAACATTAAGTATTCTTAGGTTTGTCCATTTAACATAATCCCACATTCTTGGAAACTGCTCATTTTTTAAAATTCTTTTTTATATGTCCTTGTCTGGTTGGGTTAATTTGAAAACCTTCTCTTTCAGTTCTGAAGTTCTTTCTTCTACTTGTTCTAGTCTATTTTTGAAAATTTCCACTGCATTTTGTATTTCCCTGATGTGTCTTTCATTTCTAGAGGTTGTGATTATTTTTATTTTATGATATATATCTCTGTATAATTTTTTTATCCATATCCTGCATTGTTTTCTTAATTTATGTAAGTTGTTTTCACCTTTCTCTGGTGTCTCCTTGAGTAGCTTAATCATAATGCGTCCAGAATTTATTCCTTCCTGTGGGTTCTTGGTCTCATTGACTTCAAGAATGAGGCCACGGACCCTTGTGGTGAGTGTTACAGTTCTTAAAGATGGTGTGTCCAGGATTTGTCCTTTCAGATGTTCAGATGTGTCCAGAGTTTCTTCCAGTGAGTTCGTGGTCTTGCTGACTTCAGTAGTGAAGCCACAGACATTTGCAGTGAGTGTTAAAGCTCTTAAAGGTGGCGTGTCCAGAGTTGTTTTCTCCTCCTGGTGGGTTCGTGGTCTTCCTGACTTCAGGAATGAAGTCGCAGAACCTCACAGTGAGTGTTATAGCTAATAAAGGTAGTGTGGACTGAAAGACTGAGCAGCAGCAAGATTTATTGTGAAGAGCGAAAGAGCAAAGCTTCCACAGCGTGGAAGGGGACCTGAGTGGGTTGCCACTGCTGGTTTGGATGGCCAGCTTTTATTCCTTTATTTGGCCCCACCCATATCCTGCAGATTGGTCCATTTTACAGAGTGCTGATTGGTCCATTTTACAGAGTCCTGATTGGTCCATTTTACAGAGTGCTGATTGGAGCATTTACAATCCTTTAGCTAGACACAGAGTGCTGATTGGTGCATTTTTAGAGTGCCGATTTTTGTGTTTACAATCCTTTAGCTAGATACAGGGCGCTGATTGGTGCATTTATAATCCTCTAGCTAGACAGAAAAGTTCTCCAAGTCCCCACTCGACCCAGGAAGTCTAGCTGGCTTCATCTGTCCATAATTCTTCTGAATTCTTTATCTGGTAATTAAGAGATGTCTTCTTGATTTGGATCCATTGCTTGGGAGCTAGTGTGATCTTTCTGACATGTTATAGAAACCTGCTTTGTCATATTACAAGAATAACTTTTCTGCTTCCCACTCATTTGAGTAGACTACTTCCTAAAATTTATATTGAATTTGTTTTTGATTGAACTTTGTCTTTTAAAAAATTTAAATTTCTTTTTTTCCTCTCTTAAGGATCGGACTTTAATGTTTATTTTAGCTGGATTTGATTCTTGGTGCTTGATTGTGTGAAGACTCTGTATAAGTTCCTTAGTTATAGACAGTCTTTGTGCACTGGCTTTCCTGGATACTGGCTGCAGTAGTTATGTTGTTGGTGTGTGGGTGAGTTCACTGTCTCCTGTGGAATTGGAATGCCAGGGATCTCTTGAACTTATCTCCTTCTCTTGTGGGATACACTTTATTTATTTATTTATTTATTTTCTGGTATTTTATTTGCTGAGTTGATTCAGGTTTCAGTCCAATAAGGAAGACATCTCTGGGTAGGCAATGGTTGTAGCTAAGGCAGATGGGTATATGTAATACCCAACAGTGGGCTAAGGTGCTAGCCTTGATGAGGGTGGCTGAGGGAGCTCTCAGATGTGCTGAGGTTTTACCATGGTGAAGAGTGGGAACTACCTCAGCTCCCCTGCCAGGCCTGCAGGAAAGCTCTTCACCTCACAGCCTCACTCGTATTCTAGTGTTTCAGCTACTCAAATCTGACAGCCACCTCTTTTCTTCTATAGAAATGTTGATGTTCCAAGTAGAAAGGAACTGTGACTCTGCCTCTCATGCAGACCTGAATCTGGAGTGTGCTCCTCCTGTGGGGTTGTGCTTACCCTGGATTGTTCCAGGAAGGCTGTCTATATGTGCCTTCACTCTGCATTCCTACGGGGGAAGCTCCAGCTGTGTCTGCAGTGGAGTGCCAGGGAGTAAGAAGGACATCTTCTCACAGAGGCTGCCTGCCTGTTGTAGTAGAGAGGTGCAGACTTTCCCTACTACACTCAGCATTTCAACTGTGTCTCTGCTGTAATAAACTTCCCACCAGTGGAAAGACCTGGAATTCAGGCCTGATGTTCAGATTATTTTATCTTACAACATGATCTCTTGATGTGGTACTCTCCACCTTTCCTTGAGAATGGGGCTTCTTCCTGAGAGCTGAATTGAAGCAATTGTTATTGCTCTTCTGGGTCTAGCCACCAAATGGAACTACCATGCGTTGGGCTGGTGCTGGAGAATGTCTACAAAGAGTGCAGTGATGTGACCAATCTTCAGGTCTCCCAGGCATTGATGCCAGCACCTGGCTATGGTGGAGATGGCAGGTGAGTGCTGTAGACACTGAGTTTCCTTGTTTGTAGATAGGTTTAGTGCACTGGTTTCCTTGAATACTGGTTATGCTACCAGTGAAGTTGTCATGTGAACAGACTCAGGACCTCTGGTTAGCCAGGGTGTTGCAGGCAGTGCTGTTGTTTTCTCCTTCCTGGGAGCAGTGTTATTCTGCCAAGAGTTGCTGTAATGGCTGCCTCTGCTGTGCAGTAGGTTCGTCAGGGGAGTGGGGAATGACCAGCAGTGATTGGCCTCACCCAACTGCCCCCACACAGTTGGCAAGGCAGGTTTCGCTCAGCAGTGCCCTGCTAAACAGTGCTGAGTTTAGATCCAGGCCACTAGCACATAGAACTCAGACCTGCCCCAGGCCATAATCTTCCCTGATGAGAAAGCAAGCATGGCTTTTGGGCCATGCTCTTCCCCATCTGCTTGCAATTCTGGGTGTCCTGCACCTGCATTCCTATCTGCTTCAGTTCTTGTTCATACCACAAATTCTCTTCAAGGAAGTTCATGCCTTCTCAGAATTATCACAAAATTCATTTAGGAGCTTCTTCCACTCTGCAACTTCTCCGTAATTCTACTACCTGCCTTCCCTGTGAAATATAGTCAGGAATGGCTTCCCTGGATTCTAGTCGGAAACTGGGAATGCCTACAAGGCCTTTCCTGCTGCTGCTTCTACTTTTATATTTCAAGTCACTCCCTAAATCTGTTACAGCTCTAGGTGGAGTTAAAGCCTTCTTCAGTGATCTGGATTTATGTGTCTTCAGAGGCAGGCTTTTCCGCTTCACACTCTGAGAACTTAGTATTTTGCTTGTCTCAGGGAGTTTGCAGCAATGTGCCACTTTTTTTCAAAGGATTTGTGAATACTTTTGGTTTTCCTGGTATGTTTTTGTGGTGGTTCTTGGAACAAAGATTCACAGTGTGACTCTCTACACATTCTTCTGTTTATCCAAGTTGAAGATGCACACTAGCCCTGCTTCCTATCCAATCCACATGTTATTTGTGACAACAACTCTCCAGTAATTTTTGGTTCCTCTTCCTCTGAGAACATACATGCCCAGACATCTTAATTTTCACTAAGAAACTTTTCATTATTTCCTTATATCCTTCTGGAAATATTTTTCTTCCTAACTTCTGCAGTACCTATTATATCATTGAATGGACCATTTCCGCATACATTTCTACATAGAATAAAACCTTTGACTTTTACACGGTTTGAGTCAGTTTATTTGCAAAGATGATTTGGACAGGGAAGGCAATGGGGTATCTAGATATTCATTTACAAAAGTTTGAGCAATCTTTTTGTTTTCATTATTATGCCCCATCTCAACCTCAATATACATTACATGATGCTTTCCATATCTGAACCTGTGTTTGGTTCTGTGATGAGAATTGGTGTACTTTTCACTTATGTCTCCTTCTGTAGATACCTGGTATTTAGATCTTTCATATTTGCTAAATCCTCTACCTACTGTACATATGTTAAGAATTTGTCCAAGTGCAGTGGGTCACACCTATAATCCCAGCACTTTGGGAAGATGAGGCAGGATGATTGCTTGAGTCCAGGAGTTTGAGACCAGCTTGGGCAATGTGGTGAGACCCCTCACTTAACAAAAAATGAAAAAAAAACTAGGTGTGGTGGTACATGCCTGTAGTCCCAGCTACTCAGGAAGCTGAGGTGGGAAGATCATGTGAGCCCAGGCATTTGAGACTGCAGTAAGCCATGATCATATCACTGCACTCCAGCCTGGGTGACAGAGTGAGACCTTGTTTCCAAAACAAACAAACAAACAAAACAATTATATAGGCTTTTATCTTCAAGTATTTTTTCTTTAGGTTTATACTTTTTATTTCTCTATTAATATTTTAAGTGAATGTAAATTGTAACAAAGGTAAACATATTGAACAGAGTTCCAATTCACCACTTTTAACTGGAACTCAATGATATCTTTCTTACTTATAGTTCTTGTGTCATCAAAATGCCAGGGATTCGGTCTAGGTCCTGCTGTTCGCTGCACAGAAAGTCAATCACTGAGACAATGAACATTTATTGCCAGGGGGAAAAAAGCTTACTTTGAGTGCTGTAGTTGAGGAGATGACAGATCAGTCTCAAATCTATTCTCCTCCACCCCTAAAATTAGGGGTTTATATAGCTGGATAGAAATTTTACTACGTGTGGGAAAACAGGAACTAGGGAAGGATAAAGAAAAAGAGTTGGTCAGCAGGCAGCTGGTGGTCACTTAGGCAATCATGATGGGTGTGGGGTCCAGCGTCTCACTGTCCAGGTGAATTGATCTGGTAAGTTTCAGGTCCATGATACTATCTGCCATGCTTGATGGTTTATTTTTGGAGAAAGGAACTCAGGTAAGTTGAAAGTAAGTTTCTCAAGTTTTAAGGCTGAGGAGGGCATCCATTTCCATGTTTACTGAGAAGAAACCATAAATATCAGTTTTATGAGACAAGTGGTCTAGTTTCATTTGGTATTCTTACATTTCCCAATCTTGTAATCTTTCATCATAATTCTGACTCCTGGACTTTTATGTGGTTATAGCAAGGAGTAAATCTAAGAAAAGTCATTATTTATAAAGTTATTACAGAATATGTGTGTAGTTTTAAAGTTAATTCATGTTAATAATTGATACAGTTAACATTTTTGGCCTTAAAAAATCCCCCCGAACATAATACCTTATAATAACAGTTATTTATTAAACCCATGAATCTGTAGGTATATAATTTAGTATAGGCTCTACTGGATGCCTTTTCTGGTCTGGGCTCAACTCAATTAATCAATGGTACCTCAGATGGGAACACTGAGCTAACCAGAAGCTCTGGCTGACTCCTAGATTTTTATGTGGTTATGTCAAGGAAGAAATCTAAGAAAAGTCACTATTTATAAAATTATTATAGAATATGTGTGTAGTTTCAAAATTAATTCATGTTAATAATTGATGCGGTTAGCATTTTCTGCCTTAAAAATCCCCCAGAACATAATACCTTATAGTAACAATCATTCATTTAGTCCCTGAATCTGTAGGTACATAATTTATTATGGGATCGACTGGATGTCTTTTCCTGTCTGGCCTCAACTCAACTAATCTCTGGTACCTCAAATGGGAACACTGAGATGATGAGAAGCTCTGGTCCCCTTCTCCACCTAGTTTGTCATTCTCCAGCAAGATAACTAGGGCTTCTTTACATAGTGGTGGTAGAGTTTGAGGAGCAGCAAGTGTATAGACTCCAACAAATAAGCCAAGGCTAAGTTTCTATCATGTCTTCTATTGTCCCATTGACTAAAGCAAATTTGGTCAAGCCCGGATTCAAGGGGTAGAAGAATAGACTTCACTGCTTTATGCAAGATGGTGTAAAATTGCATTGCAAAAGTGAAATGCAAACATACACAGAAAAAAAAGTAGTCATTTTTGCAGTTTGCCACCATAATCTGAATCTTTTATAGGAGAAACATTTTTATTGAATGTCATTAAAAATAAGTAAAATAACATTATCTTAAATACTTATTTATTGGTAGCCAAACCAAACCTGTTAATATTTTTCATATAGAACTCTCTACAATTTGGGGATATTAGCAGCATTCACTGATTACAGCCCACAGTCAACTACAAGTCATTAACGCAGAAATAAAGGACCAACAATTAATATTCATAACCACCATCTGTCACATAACATATTCCTAAGCAAATATATTATACTTAACTTTCAAAGGATTAGTATTTGCATTAAAATATATTTTTATAGAACAAAAACATAAGAAATATTTATTCATAGAAAACCTGAAAATTGATTTTGAAGAGAGTGTGTCATCTTTTTTTCAATATGGATTGTATTCACAAGTGCTAGAGGGATTCAGTTACTCTATTCTGAGCATAGCATAAGAGAGAGGTGAGATATGAAGTGCTAGTAAGTTATAGGAAAGCAGGTAACAAGTTTCTTCCTTGGTTACATGTCCCATTTTTTAAAAAAGTATTTGTGAGAATGATATATATGAATAAAAGAAAATACTATTCTCTCTAATTTCATAATTTCCTAGGTAATACATATGAAATTGGCAAAGAAAACAAACTATTACATGAGCATATATCTGTGGGTATAAAAGACACAAATGATATATATTCATTTAACTCAATCTTGCAAAAAACAGAATATTTCATATAGGCACAGAAGTAATATGGTTGTATTTGTAGAGATCAATATGTCTATGTTTGAATATTATTCTATCCTTTATATTTTGATTTTAGAATTCATTTGCTAAGGATTATATGAAGTATGAGTCAGAGGGAAGACAACCAGATAATTATGATATAATTAACATTTTAGAATACAAACACTCTGGAAGAAAAAAAGGACAATCAGATGATCCAAAATGACTTTCCCTTGTAATGTTATAAAAGACACCACATTTGTATGAAAGATAAGGTACATGTGAACATACACCTAATTTCAAAGTCAGTTCTTTTGGTGATATATAGAACTGTAAGACTCATAATGATATCTTCTTCAAATGATGCTCAATGTCACTACAAAGTATTTACTGTAAGCACTGAGTCGATTTTGATTCAGCAACTAAAATGATATTAATAATTGTCTACAGTGAACTATACCTTCAATATGCATATTTGTTTCTAATTTACAAATTACACAGGTAAGACAAATATTTAACAGACATAATGTATACTTACTAATGAAATGTATCTTTTGTTAGATGAATAATCAAAACTATATTCTTAAGTTCTGTGGGGTCATGGTTTTACATCCCATTACCTAGGATGGGAGTAATCAATACATTTTGTGAAACAAATTAAATTCTCCATTTTTTATGTATGTGTACTGTCTTCATTATTTTGCAAATATATCTCATGAGTAAGAGCATATTCAAAGTTAGATCAAGTCAATATCACAAAATTGTTAATTAACAGCTTCAGGTAAAACTTGAATACATTGCTATTTCTTAGCTGTGTTTACCAGAATTTGTACTGTAGTCTGTATTTTACATAGTGTCCTGAGGCATAGTCCCATTAGTTCTTCATGAAGCATGTGGAATGAAACTGACCTGTCTCCCAGTGACTGGTGCTTCTCTTTCAACTTAAATAGCATGGTATAATTTATCCTTGAGATTCTTGTTATCACTTGATTTATGGTTTCCAAGGGGGAAAAACTGTATCCAGCAAATAAAAAACTTCAAGTTTCTTAGCATTTTTAAGCTAACATTTTTAAGCATAATTATTGAGGTAAATCATTAAAAAATAAACTGCACATCCTGAATAGTAATATATAGATATAGATGTAGATGTAGATTTAGATATATCCGTGAAACCATCAATATAATCAAAATAAGGACTATATATTATCCCCCCAAAACTACCTCTCCCCTCTTACTTCCCCCTTACACATTGCCAAGCAACCACTGCTCTGCTTTCTGTCATTACATATTAAATTACTTTTTTTAGAATTTTATAAAAATGGAATAATATAGCATATATTCTCTATTGTCTTTTTTTATTTCTTGGAAATTTATAATGTCTTGTTTTTGTTGTTTTAATTTTATTCTCATTACACTGAATTTCTTCTAGAAGTATTAGTCTAAGTTTTAGTACTGTCATCTTTGCTTGAAAATTTGAATAGAAAATTCACTGGGGACAAAAAGTTATTTCTTAGATAACTTACAGATTTAACGTAAAGGTAGAGCTATAATTAAAAAAAAGAGAGTATAATATAGTACTTGCTGTAGAGACAATACCAATCTTTACATTGATGTAATGAGAGTTTGTATTGAAGGAAAATTTTAATTATAAAATGAATTCTTACAGATTTCTGCTTTTCAGAAAGCTTGAGGTAAGATATACATATAAATACATATTAGAAAACCCCTAGAGAATATCTATTGACATTTCTGCAGTTAAGTTTCATTGATTCCACAATTTGCTACTTTCTATATATTGCAATGATAAAAAAAAGCCTCAGGAGATTTCTGAAATGCTGATCAACACAACACTTAAGACTTTACAGTTTTAAATTCTTCAGTGTGTGCCTTTTATAAACAAAAGTATAAACCATGTAAATGAAGATCCAACAGTGCATGTATGTGTGTGGGCACACACACACACACACACACACACACCATATTCATTATCCTTTAGGTTTCAGAACAAGTTTAAGTTCTTTAGGCCAAAGATACAAACAATATTTGATTAACACCACCTGGTATGTGACTGGGTCTTGATCAAGATAGAGTATTTAATTATGAAAAATAAAGTGACCATAAAGCGAGAGTGCCTATCAAAAGATTAATGATGCAGACCAACACATTGTAAGGACCCACCAGCAATATAACACATGATAGAAGCGGGGCAACTATAATTAATTATAAGCAGGGAAAGAGGGCAAATGTAAGGTGCATGAACAAATGAAAGGGGCTGGGCTTTCCACTCTTCACAGCTTCATATGTTAATCTGTAACTGTTTTATTGCGACTGACAGAAGACACAAAACTCCTGATACAGAGACAATGGACTTTATTATTCATGACACAGCAGATAACTTAAGATTTATGTTAGCATTGATACCTCTTATCAATTGATACCAGGCTCCACAAGTCCTGGAGGGACTATGCAGATGAGAGTAGATGTATACTATGCAGCGTCACAGCTGAAAAAAACTAGCTTTGGTATGTACCACATTTAAAGCAAAGCTGGTTCTTATTGAGAGAGAAACATTACCTCAACCTTCGAGGTTTTTGTTGTGACCACAACCATGAGAAATGGCACAAGTAAAGGGTGGTCAAGGGTTTGCATTCTTGACATAACCAGGAAGCCATGTCAGAAGATAAGAGACCCATGGAAGACTGTAGTTCCCTATACAGTTTGTCCATGCACCATGTCATCCACTGCCATGTCGCACCATGTCTTTCACTGCATGTGACAATAAGTGTGAGCTGAAAAAGAATCACTGGCAAAGTTGTCACATGGGGTGATTTTTTATGACCAATTGATAGAGGAAGAGAAAGGATAACTTGATTCATACATGAGTTGACTTGTCCTTAGGATACAGATTAAAAAATAGACTTATTTCTCACAGCAGCTTAATTCATTTGAGCACCCGAAAAGGTAATGAGAAAAATCTCCTAAAAGGCACAATTCTAAGCAGTGCATGCAGTCACATGCATGAAATGAGGTGACCTGTGATAAGACTATATAGTGAATCATGGTCAGTGGTGAGTGGCTTGGCCACTTGATCACTGTCCTGAAAGGAAATAAATGGAAGTCTAGGGAGGAGGCAAGGAGATGGTCAATAAAAATAATGTGCCAATTATGATTTTTTTTTTGATACACAGTCTTGCTCTGTCACCCAGACTAGAGTGCAGTGGTGCAATCTCGGCTAACTGCAGGCTCTTCCTCCCAGGTTCACGCCATTCTCCTGCCTCAGCCTCCTGAGTAGCTGGGACTACAGGTGCCTGCCACCACGCCCAGCTAATTTTTTGTATTTTTAGTAGAGATGGCATTTCACCATGTTAGCCTCGATCTCCTGACCTCGTGATCCACCTGCCTCGGCCTCCCAAAGTGCTGGGATTACAGGCGTGAGCCACCGCACCCGGCCTGTCAATTATGATTTTGGGACCACACATAAACATCCATCATAGAATATCCAACACAAAACACACCAAAGTAAATATAATGACTTGGTCAGTCGATGTCAGGCAGCCTCTGATCTCAGCTTCCACAGAGCTGACACAATGTACTCTTAAACAGTGTAGATGTGGTGGAAGGGATGGAGAGTATCTGTGGGCCCAACAGCATAAAACCACATTCAAGGGTAATTTATCAAGGCTGCATAGTATCCTGCTTTATTTCAACAGGAACAAATACTGGGCCCTGAATAGAACACTATCTCTCATAAAGTCTAGGAGCCACTTGGTGACAAGTTGTTTGTATTGCATCTTTAATCATGGAAGGGATAATGATTTATCTTGCCTGTGCATGATTCACATTTTGCATATTGGTTTACTTTTTGGTCTACAGGGCCTCAGATAGTAACACTCTCTGAGAGCTTGCATAAAGTTTGCTCCACGAGCATAGGATCCCACATACAATAACAATAGCAAAGTATGACATTTACAGAAAAATAATTGCTTCAAGGGCACATGATAATGGTATCAACTGACTCTATAATACCATTGACCACTTAGAAGCTTCTAACGTGGTAGTGAGATGGGGTGAGATTTTGAGGATGTGGTTAATAGACTAGTGCGTAGAGAAGATCCAATAGAGTAAGGATGTCTTCCTCAAGTATGCATTGTTCACCTTAAATAAATACATTTATATGGATCAGTGTTACCAAAGATTCTACTGGATGGGTCCAAAAAATGTAGTTTGAATAGCAGTGATCCAGCTTTCAACAATTCCAGTGACACAGTGCAGTATGTGTTTTATCCTCCTATAACTCGGGACTCCAAAGGCTTAGTGTTCCTGATTCTAAAAAGGACAACATTTTTAACAGAAAACATACTTTTAAGCCCTGAACATTGAACTATTGATGCTACTCAATCATTCTGGGAATGTTTTGCCAAAAATTAGCAGGAAAGAAACAGCCATTTTTCCGGCAAAAGTAGTGGACTCTGAATTTTTTTTAACTTTTATTTTAGGCTCAGGGGTACATGTGCTGTTTTTTTCAAATAGGTAAACTCTTGTCACAGGGGTTGGATGTACAGATTATTTTATCACCCAGGTTCTAAGCCTAGTATCCAATAGATTTTCTTTTTTCTGCTCCTCTCCCTCTTCCTACCCTCTGTTCTCTGGTAGGCCCTGGTGTCAGCTGTTATCCCCTTTGTATGCAAGTGTTCTCATCATTTAGCTATCACTTATAAGTGAAAAAATGCAGTATTTGGTTTTCTGTCTTTGTGTTAGTTTGCAAAGTGCCAAGACCAGCTCAGTCCGGGAGACCCTAACCCAGCAGCTCTAGAGGAATTAAAGACACACACACTGAAATATAGAGGTGTGGAGTGGGAAGTCAGGGGTCTCACAGCCTTCAGAGCTGAGAGCCTTGAACAGAGATTTACCCACATATTTATTGACAGCAAGCTAGTGATAAGCATTGTTTCTATAGATTATAGATTAACTAAAAGTATTACTTATGGGAAACAAAGGGATGGGCCGAAATAAAGGGATGGATTTGACTAGTTGTCTGCAGCAGGAGCATGTCCTTAAGGCACAGATCGCTCATGCTGTTGTTTGTGGTTTAAGAACATCTTTAAGCGGTTTTCTGCCCTGGGTGGGCCAGGTGTTCCTTGCCCTCATTCTGGTAAACCCACAACCTTCCAGCATGGGCATCATGGCCATCACAAACATGTCACAGTGCTGCACAGATTTTGTTTATGGCCAGTTTTGGGGCCAGTTTATGGCCAGATTTTGGGTGGCCTGTTCCCAACAGCAAAGGATAATGGCCTCCAATTCCATCCATGTTTCTGCAAAGGACATGATCTCATTCACTTTTATGGCTGCATAGTATTCTGTGTTATATATGTACCTTATTTTCTTTTTTCAGTCTTCCATTGACAGGCATTTAGGTTGATTCCATGTCTTTGATGTTGTGAATAGCACTGCAATGAACATATGCATGCACGAATCTTTATGGTAGAATTATTTATATTCCTTTGGATCTATACCCAGTAATGAGATTGCTGGGTCAAATGGTAGTTCTATTTTTAGCTCTTTGAGGAATTGCCACACTGCTTTCCACAATGGTTGAACTGATTTACACTCCCACCAACAATGTATAAGTGTTCCCTTTTTGCCACAACCTTGCCAGCATCTCTTATGTTTTCACTTTGTAATAATAGCCATTCTGACTGGTGTGGGATGGTATCTCCTTGAGGTTTTGATTGCATTTTTCCAATGATCAGTGATACTAAGCTTTTTTTTCATATACTTGATGGCAGCATGTATGTCTTCTTTTGAAAAGTGTCTTTTCATGTCCTTTGCCCACTTTTTAATGGGGTGGATTTTTTTTTCTTATAAATGTGTTTAAATTTCTTCTAGGTGCATAGATATTACACTTTTGCCAGATGCATACTTGCAAATGTTTTCTCTCATTTTGTAGGTTATCTGTTTACTCTGTTGATAGTTTCTTTGATTGTGCAGAAGTTCCTTAGTTTAATTAGATTCTACTTGTCAATTTTTGTGCTTTTTGTGTTTGCTTCTGGTGTCTTTGTTATTAAATCTTTGCCAGTTCCTATGTCCAGAATGATACTGTCTAGGTTGTCTTCCAGGGTTTTTATAGCTTTGGGTTTTACATTTAAGTCTTTAATCATATTGAGTTGATCTTTGTATATGGTGTAAGAAAGGGGTCCAGTTTCAATCTTCTGCATATGGCTAGTCAGCTATCCCAGCATCATTTATTAAATACAGAGTCCTTTCCCAATTACTTGTTTTTGTCAGCTTTGTGGAAGATCAGATGATTTTAGAAGTGTGGCCTTATTGCTGGGCTTTCTATTCTGTTCTATTGGTTTATGTGTCTGTTTTTGTAGCAGTACCATTCTATTTTGGTTACTGCAACTCTGTAGTGTAGTTTTAACTAAGTTAGCTTGGCTTGATGCCTCCTGCTTTTTTTTTTTTTTTTAAGCTTAGAATTGCCTTGGCTATTTGGGCTCATTTTTGGTCCCATATGAATTTTAAAATAGTTTTTTCTTGTTCTGTGGAAAATGCCATTGGTAGTTTGATAGGAATAACAATGAATCTGTAAGTTCTTTGGGCAGTATAGCCATTTTAATGGTATGAAATCTTTCTGGCACATGGAAAGTTTTCCATTTGTTTATGTCATCTCTGATTTCTTTCAGCAGTGTTTTCTATTTCTCATTGTAGAGATCTTTCACCTCCTTGGTTTGCAGCATTCCTAGGTATTGTATTCTTTATGGCAATTGTGAATAGAATTGTCTTTCTGATTTGGCACTTGGCTTGGCTTTTGTTGGTGGATAAAAATGCTAGTGACTTTTGTATGTTGATTTTGTATCCTCGGAGTTTGCTGAAGTTGTTTATCAGCTTAAGAAGCTTTTGGCTGAAACTACTGGCTTTTCTAGATATAGGATCATGTCATCTGTGAACAGGGATAGTTTGACTTTCTCTCTTCCTATTTGGATGCCCTTTATTTATTTCTCTTGCCTGGTTGCCCTGGCCAGGACTTTCAGTTCTATGTTGAATAGGAGTAGTGAGAGATGGCATTCTTATATTGTGCCAGTTTTCAAAAGGAATGCTTCCAGCTTTTTACCATTCAGTATGATGTTGACTGTTGGTTTGTCATAGATGGCTCTCATTATTTTAAGGTATGTTCCTTCAACACCTAGTTTATTAAGAGTTTTTAACATAAAAGGATACTGAATTTTATTGAAGGCCTTTTTTATGCCTATTGAGGTAATTATGTGGTTTTTGTCTTTAGTTTTGTTTATATGATGAATTACATTTATTAATTTGTGTATGTTGAACCAACCTTGCATCCTGGGGATGAAGCCTACCTGATCATGGTGGACTTTTGATGTGCTGCTGGATTTAGTTTGCTAGTATTTTGTTGAGGATCAATGATCCTTTGTTGAGCATCAATGATCATCAAATATATTGATCTGAAGTTTCCTTTTTTGTTGTGTCTCTGCCAGGTTTTGGTGTCAGGATGATGCTGGCCTCATAGAATGAGATGTTGAGAATGAGTCTGATCTTTTCAGAAAGATATCCTAGGCATATAAATGACTCAAATATGGCCTTTGTGTATTGTCTCCTTTTTTTTTTTTTTTAGAAACAAAGTCTCATTATTTTGACCAGGTGAGTGTCAAATTTCTGGCTTCAAATGATTCTCCTGTCTCTGCTTCCCAAAGTGCTGGTATTATAGGCTATAGATTGTAATCCCACCCCTGACCTGATTCCTATATTGCTTATTTCTTTACTGCAGGCTGAGACCCATTATCTCAAAAGTCCACTGGTATAAAATCATTTTGTTGTTGTTGTTGTTGTTGAGACAGAGTCTCACTCTGTTTCCCAAGCTGGAGTTCAGTGGCGCAGTCTTGGCTAACTGCAACCTCCACCTCCTGAGTTCAAGCAATTCTCCTGCCTCAGCCTCCTGAGTGGCTGGGACTACAGGCATGCACCACCACATCTAGCTAATTTTTGTATGTTTAGTAGTGACGGGGTTTCACTGTATTGGTCAGGCAGGTCTTGAACACCTGACCTCGTGATCCACTTGCCTCAGCCTCCCAAAGTGCTGGGATTACAGGCATGAGCCACTGAGCCCTGCCCACAAAATCAAATTTTTAAACATTCAGCTGTTTTTAAAGTAGCCCAAGCATGCAGATTTAGACCCATTAAGAGCATTTGCATGTTCCACGGTACCTCACAGAGTAGGTATTACCCATTGGTAAGATAGAGTCTTGTATTTATGAGTCCCCAGGCTGATGCAGTCCTTCAGAGGCCTCTGACCTGCTGTTGAGCACTGTGCTGCTGAGTAACATCACCTAGACACATAACTCTGTCTTCTCTTCCCCTTTCCCCTGGGAATTCCCTCCCATATTCTCCTCCCCTTCTGGAAGGCAGCACCCACATTGGGAGCCTCTGGATTTTTTTATTCTTGGAGGTACTTCTCCTCTCATGCCACCCTGCCCAAGCACCACCCAAGAAATTTTGCTGTGTCTCATGGTCTTGTTTTTCCTTTATCAGTTCCCAAATTCATCAAAGTGACATCCCATCCAGTTCTAACTTTCAAGCAAAAGGAAGACCAATTCAGAAGGCAAGCCTTATGCTCAGAGGACATGCTCGCATCGTAGGCCCAGAGGGCAGAGCATCAAACCACAAAGGATTATTCTCAGGCCTTAAAACATAAGGGGATTTGCTTGATTTTGCACTTGCTTGAATCTAGTATCTTCTTCATTTCTTCCAGATTCTTCCTTTGGGAATAGAAATGTCTAACCTATGCCTGTGCCACCATTATATCTTAGAAGCAGATAACTTCTTTGCAGATGGGGAAGAAATGTTCCTATGATGGATCATATCCAGGAAATGAATGACCCACACTGAATTTAGATGGTTTCAAAAATAAGATTCGAGATTTTTTGGGTTGATGATATTTAGATGAGATTTTGGATTTAGAGTTGATGCTGGAATTGGTTAAGATTTTTAGAAATTGTAGGATGAGGTGAATGTATTTTGCATGTGGGAATAATATACATTTGGAAGGGTAGAGAGTGGATTGCAGTGGATTGAATGACATTCCTCCAAATTTCATGTCCACCTAGAATATGGCCTTATTTGGAAATAGGTTTTTTGTAGATGTACTTAAGAGAAGGAGCAAAATGAGACCATAATGGATTAGGGTAGGTCCTAACTAAATCCATTAAGAGTATTCTTTTACAGAAAAGGACACATAGAAATATAAGGAAGAAAGCCATGTGAAGGCAGGGCAGAGATTGGAATTATGCTGCCACAAACCTAGATATGTCAGGAGCCACGAGGCTCTGGAGGAGGTGAGAGAGTCTTCTCCCCTAGATTTTTTAGAGGGAAGCCAGCCCTGCTAACACCTTTATTTCAGACTTGTGGCCTCTACACACTTGAGAGAATAAGTTCCTATTGTTTTCTGCCACCAAATTTGTGGTAATTTGTTACTACAGCTCTACGTGATTACCACAGACCCCCAGAAGTCCTAGCTAAGGATTAGAAGAATCTCCAGTGAGTGAAGCAGAGAGGTGAGGAGCATTAATTACCATCTTGAGAACAGCTGCAGAAATGAAAATGGGAGTTTCTCCTATTTATCTTAGTCTCTCAGCTTTCCCAGAAAGAGCTCAACCAATATTCTGGGGAAGTACTTCTCACGATTCCTTATTAAAGAAAATGGGTTTGAGCACTACAAGAGGAACACTAGATAATGCCCAGCCCAGATCTTCTATTGGTACTGAGATATTCATCTCTCCATCTGCTGGGAGTGCTGTTGAGAGCATGTTAAAAGCTGAGACCCCCTCTGAGAATTGTTGTGGTTGAAAAGCTCACCTAGCTAATGTCATTTTACCTTCCCCAGGGTGCAGTATGCATCTAATGACAATTCTGTGTATTGTGTCACAGCTCTCATTTCTGCCTGAAGTTGAGACAATTCTGAAAAGCCACCTCAGGTCCAGAGCACTCCATAAGACAAGGTAACAGCATTTCAGTAAAGCTCTTCCTTATGCCCAGTCTGCTTTCTTCACACCCTCTAACGTGTTCGTGCTGAGAGTACTGCCAAGTGTACTTTCACATGTTGATCTCCATCTAGGTTTCTGCTTCCCAGGGAGTCCAAACTAACAGAAAATTAAGTTTTAATTTTATTTTATTTTTGATAAATGGGCATTATTATTTTTTAACCAAATACATGTAGAAACTGATAATCCACAATTTTAATACAGTTTCATAAAATTTTCATTATGTTGAAGTTTAATAAAAAGCAATTTATAGACATATTTATAAGGTAAAATTATTTTTCCCATAGTGTCAAATTCTTAGCCTTTCAATTTTTTTTTAACTTCAATAGAGAATGTTACCCTTTTGGACATCCTACCATCCAACTGCAGTCTTATTTCTAAAAGCCCATATGTTGTCCAACATTGGCCTTGGAAAACTTTTTTGGAGCTCTGGAGGTAATGTTTTCTTCTCAGTTGTGTATCCAAAGTTTCAAATATTCCAGGAGAGGTTCTCTAGTTTTGTGTGGGAGAAGTAGAAAAATAAACTCAGATATTTTCTTTCGGCATAATATTATGTATGCCTTCTCCCTGTGGCTTTTTTGTTTGTTTTTAAAATCACCACTGTCAATCTTTACGCCCTTGGAGGCTTTCATTCTTATGAATTTGTTAGACACACTCTCTTGAGTACTTTACAGAAAATAAATAACAGTGCCCTATATCAGTGCCATATCTACATTTAAGTGGTGAATTCATAGGTTTGTGTATTAAAATACAAATCAAAATATAAAGACATATTTGGAATAAAGGTAGTATATTTCTGACATTATAAGAGTACAGTATTAAAATATATATTTGTAAAAGGATATGGTCTTTATTTTAAAAAGTTTATCATAAAAACATTATTCTCTAGGGAAATGCTGTGCTGTCTTTGGAGCACTCAATTGTGGGCGGAATTCCCCGAAGAGATTATCTGGATCACTGGAGCTTTAAAATGTAGGCTAATCCCCTGAAAGGATTATTGAGTCCCTAGAGTTTCTAAAATGATTTGGAATAAAGGATTTAGTGTAAATATTTTCTGAGTATCCACTGAAACAGTGATAATAATAACAATTTAACTTTCATAAAAAATAATTTCAGGTACAAATTCTGCATCAAAACCTTCAAATAAACAATTAAAACAATTATACATGTGGTTTTAGATCTGAAGTTCATATCATAATTCAATGGTAGATAACTAAAGGATTCATAATTATCTCCATTTGGAACAAAGGGCAATGCATGTCATTCTGGATATTAGAAGACCATTGCATATCCCTCATTCCAATCACAAATAGAAGTAAGAAGGTGATTGCTATTACGTCAATTTCCTCACAGAGACAAAATGCATAAGTTATAGAATAGATGCACTTGCCTTGAGATCCAGTAACTACTCACTGAATATATAATTTGATCAAACTATTTTGTATCTTAAGATCTGTATTTAAGTGTGCATAATAGGGACAAGAGAATCTATTTTACACATTAAAGGTGATATCCTACGTAAAATGACTAGTACAATGCCTGGAACACTTGTAGATGTGGAAGCAATCCTATATTTTATTTGTTATCAGGTTATTACAAGGTATCTCACCAGCAACACAACCAAGATGTTGAAAGCCTTGATAATCTGCTATACTTACAAGAGTTATGCAAACGTTTAACTAAGAAAACATTTTAGAATAATTTATTTAAGTCTGTACCTACACTATTTCCAAGACAGAAATGTATTATTCAAAAGTAGAGTTTTGGTAAAAATCATTAAAAATGTCTTTACCATGGGAAGTAACTTTATAGCAGAGAACTGTAACAAACAAACAAACAGCTATAGAGAAAAGAGTGTAAAATGATGACCTATTTGGGCTACATTTTTACTACATTTTTATTCAACAGGGAACCAGAGCAAGACATTTAAAAAATGCCTTTTAGCTGTGGAGCATGACAAACTGCTTCCCCCGTTTCCCAATCCGGTTTAATATACTGCATGTAGTTTAGGAAACAACAGGAGACAGTGAACACTGCTGACACCCATATTTGTTGTGAGCTTTTAAAATCTTACAAAGTTTATAGTGTATTCCAAATGAGTCATGATGTTTATAGACATCCCACTTTACATTAAAATCAACCTTAAAGGACTACAATTTTAATTTGTGTTTATTTTCTAATTATTGATGCATGAATAAAACTACAGTGGTACCCATTTTCAACTAAAGATGCATAATACAACAAAATTTTCTTTTCCTCTATCAACTCTAACTGAATTAGGCAAGAGAAATAAAAACATATGCATATTATGAAAACGTGATCTTAGCAATTTCTCTGAAGTCAGGTGGAATGAATCTGCTAAATGAAAGAATGTGAACCACAGCTGCTGCCGCCAAATTGTTCTATTTAGGAGAACATATCTGTTTAATCTTTCATGATGTATCATGACACAAAAAGCATCTTGACATGAACTAAACTTGACATTTGCCAAATTAATTTCTCATTTTCTCTTCAGAAACAAGAAAAGCTGTTAATTTGCAGCATATTCACAACATATACTAACATTTATGTAATTATGTAACATATGGCAAATGATAAAATGTTCTATGAGACATTGTATTCAAAATGATCACTAATTCAAGCAGGAGTTTACTCAATTCCAGCTAAGTGCCTATATGTGATTCCAGTAAAGTACTTGGTTTTGAATATATATGTTGTTGCTCTTATTCTTCGTCTAACTTTTTGTCAGAGAGGGAGGTTTGTTCAGTTTGTGTCATCAATGTTGACATAAAATTAATGTATTTTCATATTAAAACAAATTAAAAGTGAATAAGAAATAATATAATAATTGAAAATACTTTAAAGAATGTTTTTTCTTTTTTTTTTTTTTTAAATTTGGAAGACATGTTAGTAGATAAGAAGGAGAAAATATAAATTCATGAAGCCAGCCCTCAAATTACACTCTGTTTGGGAACAGGGATAATTATGATGCAAAAGTGTATTAAATTGATATTGAATGAGAACGAAGTAAAACAGATATCTCTGCATAGGTTTTTTTTTCTTTTTTTCTTTTTTTTAGGAAGGCAGCATATTCAAATTGTAGTTTAATTCTCAACGTTATGTGTATTAAAGATCTAAAAGAAATAAGCATAAAGCAGATAAGCCAGTAAGAAAGCTATTTGGTGAGGTCAAGTGGAAGATGATAATGTATTCTGCCAATGTGACAGCAATAAAAATAGAAATAAATTTACAAAAAGGGAAGTTTTAGAAATAAATAATGAGTTAAGGCTTAGATATGTTGATTTTCAGATACCTAAATTTCACTTTACAAATGAGTATAATTTATCGTGGCCACAAGAGACTCCGTCTTAAGTTAGTGTGAATCTCAAAGGAAAAACAACATGAGAGTCCTAAGTGTCTAGTGCAAGATTTAAGTCACTGAGCATAGGTGAGATCACTTCAGAAAAAAAAAGACACTCTCTTTTATACTGGGTGAATCATTTTTCATTAGCAGTGCAGCTGCTATCAGCTTGTAGCTCAATTTACATAGACGAATAGGCATTCTGAAACATTATTTTATTGGGAATTCGGTATGCTGATCTAGTTAAATAAAATAATTGCCTTTCTTTAAAGACATTGCTTCCAAGAGACTATACTTGAAAACCTCATATTGGAAAATGCAAGTTGGATTTCATGTACTTTATCTTACAAATTTGCTGCTGCTTAACAATATACAAGTTAGCTTGTCTTAAAATTATACAAAATAAGCATTATTTCAGTATATCAAAATATTTAAATCATTCTCTTTCTGATAGCACTTAATTAGGTTTTACCAGACCAAGCTTTATCTATAAAATAATTATAAATTCTGATAAATATTTTGGAAAACAGCTATTTGTAGGCATTTCTTTTCAGAAACAAATGGGCAAATCTAGAGGTAAAAATACGATTAAAGAAGAGAACTAAAATTTATACTTAACGAGAATTTTTACTTGAGTACTTCCTAAACCATAGGTATCAGAGAGTTTTGGGAACTCAAGGAGAATACCATTTTTTTCTTCCTAAATAGTAAAATATTAATAGTTTGGGATTACCGGAGCAACTGAAAGGTGAAGATGAAAATCACAGAAAGGAAGGACTTGCAAATGGAGAATCTGCAAATTTTCATATAACTCTGCATAAATCCATGGATGACCTCATAAACTGCATTTACTGAAAGAATCCAGGGAGCTATTAATAGTAGAAAGTGAGCGTGTGTGTGTGTGTGTGTGTGTGGGTATATAAATACACACACAATTCTATATATCTATTAGTCTGTTTTTACGATCCTGATAAAGATGTACCTGAGATTCAGAAGAAAAGGAGGTTTAATTGGGCTTACAGTTCCACATGGCTGGGACGGCCTCCGAATCAAGGCAGGAGGCGAAAGGCACATCTTACATGGCAGTGGCAAGAGAAAATGAGGAAAAAGCTAAAGCAGAAACTCCTGATAAACCCATCAGATCTTGTGAGACTTATTTACTATCACAAGAATAGCACGGGAAAGATTGGCCCCCATGATTCAATTGCCTCCCCATGGGTTCCTCCCTCAATACTTGGGAATTCTGGGAGATACAATTCAAGTTAAGGTTTGGACAGAGACACAGACAAACTACATCTATATATTATATATAGATGTATATATATATATATATATATACATCTATATATATATATAATACACACACACATAATTCTCTTAGAAGAATAACAGAGAGAGAAGATGCAGAAAAAATGTATATAAAGAAATATTGACTGAATATTTCCCAAATTTGATTCTAAAATAATGTAATTTACAAGTCCAAGAATTTCAGGATGATCTAAACAGGAATAAAAGACGCAAACAAACAAAAAGCACACCTAAGCTTATCATAGACAAACTGCTGAATACAAACAAAAAGTCATTAAAGAGTTTGTGGTATATATAAATATATCACAAAGAGTTTATTGTGGTATATTAATATACATCACAAAGAGTTTAATGACTTTTGTGTGTCTTTTGTCTGATAGGTTCAGGGTGGGGCTGGTCACCAGAAAGACCAAAGCAAGATTAGAAGGTTGGGACTTCCTGCTCCAACCACCACAACTGCCTGGGAGAGAGAGAGAGACTGAAGGTCACATTGATCACCAATAGCCAGTGGTGTATTCTATGATGCCTATGTAATGAAACCTTTACAAAAACTCAAGAGGACAGGGTTCGGGAGCTTCTGAATAATTGGACATGTGGAGCTTTCTTGAGGGTGTTGCATCCAGGGAGGGCATGGAAGATCTGTACCCCCTCCCTCATTCATCATCCTATACATATCTTCATCTGTATCATTTGCAGTGTTCTTTACAATAAACCACTAAACATTAAGTGCTATCCTGAGTTCTGTGAACCACTCCAGCAAGTTAATTGAACCCAAAGACAAAGCCATTGGAATATCAACTTGAAGCTGGTCAGTCAGAATTTCTAGAAGCCCATACCTGCTACTGGTGTCCGAAGTGGGAAGCACAATGTTGGGTACTGAGTCCTCAATCTGTGGGATCTGTGACACTATCTACAGGTAAATAGTGTTGAAATTGAATTGGATGACACCCAGCTGATGCCCCTGTTCGGTGTGTGAGAAGGATCCCACACACATTTGGTCACAGATGTCTTCTGTGTCAGTAATTGCTGGTGAGAGGTGAGGAAAAATGTGGTTTCAGATAGAGATGTTTTTCTGACACATTCTTGTATACTGACAGAAAGCAAAGAAAAAAAAATCATATTACCTTCAAGGGAATGACCACATTAATGAGGCTGACTTCTAATCAAAATAATGGAAGCTAGAAGGCAAAGGAATGAAATATTTGAAGTACTGAATTAGGAAAAAAAAATCAACCCAGTATTGTATATCTAGTGAAATCATCCTTCAAAGATAAAAGTAAAATAAAAACATTGTCATATGCCAGGTGGAGTGATGCATGCCTGTAATACCAGCTACTTGGGAGGCTGAAGCAGGAGCATCACTTGTGTACAGGAGTTCAAGTATGCCATGAGCTATGATTGTGCCAGTGAATAGCCACTATATTCCAGCTGGGGCAACATAGCAAGACCCTATCTCTTAAAAAACAAAAACAAAATTGTCATGTAATTCTTAACAGTAAGAACTCATCACCAGCAAATTTGTATACTGTAAGATATGCCAAAGGAAGTTTTTTAGACTTTGGGAAAATAACATCAGAGAGAAACAGATCTTCAAGAAGGAATGAGCAATAGACATGGAAAACTAAAAATCATTATACCATATCGTGATTTAAAAATATATGTAAAGGTAATGTACATGACATTAACTACACAAAAAATAGGGTAGTAAATGAAATTGTATTACTAAAAAGTTCTTAAATTTTTTGTGAGGTAGTAAAATATTAACTCTAGGCAAGCTGCATAGGTTAATGGTGAATATTATAATATACCTAAATCAAGCACTGAAAATAAAGCAAATAGGAATAGGTTCAAGTTAAATAGAGTAATTAAAATGCAGTATCATTTTATTAACATAGAAGAAAAGAGGAAAGAGTAATTAGGAACTCGTACACTGTTTGGAACAAAATAATGAAAAAATGAAATACAAGTAGCAAAAATAGTAAATTTAAATCATTATATTAATAATTATATTATATTTAAATGCATTAAACTTTCTAAATGAAAACATAGAACCCATGTTGGGAAAGGACAACTTCTCTGTTCTTCTTAGTGTATACTTTATGTCAGTTCTTATTATTGATCAAAGGATCTTTCCTTCTTACTCTTATGGCTGTACCATGCCATGCCAAACCATACTTGTTTAATGAATTTTAGCACTGAAGGCCACAAGGAGACTTTGTTTTAATATTGATCTTTGAATTTCATAGCTTATGGAAATTCCTCACACATTCATGGTCTTTTTCAATCTGAGAATGCTGGTTGTAGTAGGAGTTTTTACATTTTCCATTGTTATATTTTTATAAAGATTTTAATAAGAATTTGGAATTAATTGCAGTACAATTTTATGTATTTCATTTTCATTCAAATATTGCAGTATATTATTCTATTTATTATAATTTATATAATCAGCATATTTGTAGCTATTACAGACAAAGGATGGTTTACCAAATACTTTCCTAAGTTTTCTTGCAATTATTTTAGAGTATGATTTTCTCTGAATTTAGATTGCAATAATCGGAATTTTATTAGAAAAAGTAAATTATTTAGCACCCATAGGTACTATTAATATTAGTGTTACTTTCTGTTTATGTTACATAATTTTAATTTAACTTACAATTGTATGAAGAGGGAATAACCAGAGGTTTAGAAATTGACTGTTTATTGATTCTACTTTTTCCCCTTAGTGTTTTACAAAGAATTGTAAAAATTTTTCTGTGCATCTGAAGCCAGATTGCATATCAATGTAGACAGGTTACAATAATGGTGAGATACACATACTCTAAAACCAAAATGCTACTATCTAAATCTCAACTATACTATTTGCTGTTGTTAATGCAGGCAAATTACCAGTTTTTTTGCATTGGTACAAAATGATAAAACAATAGTACCTGTTTCATAAGATGAATTTAAGAATTAATTATGTTAACACACATGAAGCTCTTTGAAAATTAGGTGGCACAGATTGAGTCATTTTTGTTTGCTAATATTATTAAAATATTAATGTATTAGTCAGTGTTCTTCAGAGAAACAGAACTAATAAGATGTGAATATGTAGTTGGCCCTTGAATAACACAAGTTTGATATGAACAGGTCCACTTATATATGGATTTTTTTTCCAATAAATACATTTGTCTCTCTATATCCTTGCATTCACAAGGAAACATAAATAGAAAGAACAGTATTATTAATAGAAGAAACCCATGAATACAGAGGGCTGACTTTTCATATACAGGGGTTCCTCAGGACCTAATGCAAGACCAGAGTATGCATGGATTTTGGTATATAAGGGGGTCCTGGGACCAATCCTTCAATCCTTTGGATATAACAAAGGATAATTTTTCTGTGTGTGTGTGTGCACGCACGTGCGTGTGTGTGTGTGTGTGTGTGGAGAGAGAGAGAGAGAGAGAGACTTATTTTAAGGAATTGGCTCTTACAAACATGGAGGCTAGTAAATCTAAAATCAGAAGGATAGGACAACAGGCTGGAGACACAGGGAAGAACCAATGTTTCGGTTCAAGTTTAAAGGCAGTCAGCTGACAGAATTCTTTCTTGCTGAGGGGAGGTCAGGCTTTGTTTCAGTGAAGCCTCAACAAATCGGATGAAGCCCATTCGTGTTATGAAGGTAATCTGCTTTGCTCAAGGTCCACCTGACTTAAATGTTAATCTCATCCAAAAACTCCTTACTAGAATCATCAAGAATAATGTTTGACCAAATATCTGGACATTGTGGCCCAGCCCTGTTGACATATAAAATTAACTATCACAATTATCACAATTAATAACATAGCATTCCCTTACATGAAATAATTCTCCTGACAAAGAAACAATCTCCATCTTTTGCATTTTATCCTCTAAATATAAAGAAGCACTTGATGCATTTAATTATTTTACTAATAGAGATATATAAGGAGTAAAATTTCTTTATTTCATTACACTTAAGTTTGGCCTTTCAATTACTTCACTCCTCAGAATTATTTTGTATCTTATTAATAATTTTTTTTCCACACTATCATGAAATAAAAATATAAATTATATTTCACAATATGGGTAGCAGACTGAATATAGAGTTAAAACTTCAACAACACTGGGATGAGGTGTGTTGACCTACTCTGTCACAGTTGAAAAATCTATGTATAACTTTTGTCTCCCCCAAATTGTAATAACTCATAGCCTCCTGCTGACCTTATGGATAACTTAAACAGTCCATTAACGCATGTTTTATAGGTTATGTATACTGTACACTGTATTCTTACAATTGAGTAAGAAAAATAAAAGAAAATGTTATTGAGAACATCATAATGAAGATAAGATATGTTTATTATTTATTAAGTGGAAGTGGGTCATTGGAAAGGTTTTCATTCTCATAGTCTCTACACTGATTAGGCTGAGGAGAGTCAAGAGGAGAAGGTTGTCCTGCTGCTTCAGGGGTGGCAGAAGCAAAAGAGGTGAAGGAGGAAGCAGGAGAGGCAGTCACACTCAACTCACTGTAACTTTTATTGAAAAATAATCTACATGTAAGTGGACCTGCTCAGTTCAAACCCATGTTGTTTAAGGGCCAAATGTATTTGCCAAATATAAGGTGATTCCAGACATAATTATTTTATTGTTAAAACTGTGAAAGGAAAATATCTTGTGCCCCCAAAGTCACTAAAGAAAACTCAAACTGGCAACTGCTTAGGGCAAACCTGCCTGCCATTAGATTCAAAGTCACCCCTCTGCCCACTGAGATAGATGAACATCTGGTTTGCCTCCTTTGGAAAGGCTAATCAGAAACTCCAAAGAATGTAACCATTTGTGTATCACCTATCTGTGCTTCTCTCCTAGCTTTGAGTCTTCCTATGTTTGCTTAAAGTTGTCCCACCATTCCAGACCGAACCGATGTACTTCTTACATATATTGATTCATGACTCATGTCTCCCTAAAATGTATAAAACCAAGCAGTGCCCCAACCACCTTGGGCACATGTCATCAGAACTTCCTGAGGCTGTGTCACGGAGTGACCTCAGTTTTGGCAAAATCAACTTTCTTTTTTTTATTATTATTATATTTTAAGTTTTAGGGTACATGTGCACAATGTGCAGGTTTGTTACATAAGTATAAATGTGCCATGTTGGTGTGCTGCACCCATTAACTCGTCATTTACATTAGGTATATCTCCTAATGCTATCCCTCCTCCCTCTCCCCACCCCACAACAGGCCCTGGTGTGTGATGTTCCCCTTCCTGTGTCCCTGTGTTCTCATTGTTCAATTCCCACCTATGAGTGAGAACATGAGGTGTTTGGTTTTTTGTCCTTGCGATAGTTTGCTGAGAATGATGGTTTCCAGCTTCATCCATGTCCCTACAAAGGACATGAACTCATTATTTTTTACGGCTGCATAGTATTTCATGGTATATATGTGCCACACTTTCTTAATCCAGTCTATCATTGTTGGACATTTGGGTTGGTTCCAAGTCTTTGCTACTGTGAATAGTGCCACAATAAACATATGTGTACATGTGTCTTTATAGCAGCATGATTTATAATCCTTTGGGTATATACCCAGTAATAGGATGGCTGGGTCAAATGGTATTTCTAGTTCTAGATCCCTGAGGAATCGCCACACTGACTTCCACAATGGTTGAACTAGTTTACAGTCCCACCAACAGTGTAAAAGTGTTCCTGTTTCTTCACATCCTCTCCAGCACCTGTTGTTTCCTGACTTTTTAATGATCGCCATTCCAATTGGTGTGAGATGGTATCTCATTGTGTTTTGATTTGCATTTCTCTGATGGCCAGTGATGATGAGCATTTTTCCATGTGCTTTTTGGCTGCACAAATGTCTTCTTTTGAGAAGTGTCTGTTCATATCCTTTGCCCATTTGTTGATGGGGTTGTTCGTTTTTTTCTTGTGAATTTGTTTGAGTTCTTTGTAGATTCTGGATATTAGCCTTTTTTCAGATGAGTAGACTGCAAGAATTTTCTCCCATTCTGTAGGTTGCCTGTTCACTCTGATGGTAGTTTCTTTTGCTGTGCAGAAGCTCTTTAGTTTAATTAGATCCCATTTGTCAATTTTGGCTTTTGTTGCCATTGCTTTTGTTGTTTTAGACATGAAGTCCTTGCCCATGCCTATGTCCTGAATGGTATTGCCTAGGTTTTATTCTAGGGTTTTTATGGTTTTAGATCTAACATTTAAGTCTTTAATCCATCTTGAATTTTTGTACAAGGAGGAAGGAAGGGATCCAGCTTCAGCTTTCTACATATGGCTAGCCAGTTTTCCCAGCACCATTTATTAAATAGGGAATCCTTTCCCCATTGCTTGTTTTTCTCAGGTTTGTCAAAGATCATATAGTTGTAGATATAAGGCATTATTTCTGAGGGCTCTGTTCTGCTCCACTGGTCTATATCTCTGTTTTGGTACCAATACAATGCTGTTTTGGTTACTGTAGCCTTGTAGTATAGTTTGAAGTCAGGTAGCATGATGCCTCCAGCTTTGTTCTTTTGCCTTAGGTTTGATTTGGCAATGGTGGGCTCTTTTTTGGTTCCATATGAACTTTAAAGTAGTTTTTTCCAATTCTGTGAAGAAAGTCATTGGTAGCTTGATGGGGATGGCATTGAATCTATAAATTAACTTGGGCAGTATGGCCATTTTCACAATATTGATTCTTCCTACCCATGAGCATGGAATGTTCTTCCATTTGTTTGTATCCTCTTTTATTTCGTTGAGCAGTGGTTTGTAGTTCTCCTTGAAGAGATCCATCACATCCCTTGTATGTTGGATTTCTAGGTATTTTATTCTCTTTGAAGCAATTGTGAATGGGAGTTCATTCATGATTTGGCTCTCTGTTTGTCTCTTATTGGTGTATAAGAATGCTTGTGATTTTTGCACATTGATTTTGTCTCCTGAGACTTTGCCAAAGTTGCTTATCAGCTTAAGGAGATTTTGGGCTGAGACGTTGGAGTTTTCTAGATATACAATTAAGTCATCTGCAAACAGGGACAATTTGACTTCCTCTTTTTCTAATTGAACACCCTTTATTTCCTTCTCCTGCCTGATTGCCCTGGCCAGAACTTCCAACACTCTGTTGAATAGGAGTGGTGAGAGAGGGCATCCCTGTCTTGTTCCAGTTTTCAAATGGAATGCTTCCAGTTTTTACCCATTCGGTATGATATTGGCTGTGGGTTTGTCATAGATAGCTCTTATTATTTTGAGATACGTCCCATCAATATCTTATTTATTGAGAGTTTTTAGCATGAAGGGTTGTTGAACTTTGTCAAAGCCCTTTTCTACATCTATTTCTTATCTATGAGATAATCATGTGGTTTTTGTCGTTGGTTCTTTTTATATGCTGGATTACGTTTATTGATTTGCATATGTTGAACCAGTCTTGCATCCCAGGGATGAAGCCCACTTGATCATGGTGGATAAACTTTTTGATGTGCTACTGGATTCGGTTTGCCAGGATTTTATTGAGGATTTTTGCACCGATGTTCTTCAGGCATATTGGTCTAAAATTCTCTTTTTTTGCTGTGTCTCTGCCAGGCTTTGGTATCAGGATGGTGCTGGCCTCATAAAATGAGTTAGGGAAGATTCCCTCTTTTTCTATTGATTGGAATAGTTTCAGAAGGAATGGTACCAACTCCTCCTTGTACCTCTGGTAGAATTCGGCTATGAATCCATCTGGTCCTGGACTTTTTTTTGGTTGGTAAGACATTAATTATTGCTTCAATTTCAGAGTCTGTCATTGGTCTATTCAGAGATTCAACATCTTCCTGGTTTAGTCTTGGGAGGGTGTATGTGTCAAGGAATTTATCAATTTCTCCTAGATTTTCTAGTTTATTTGCATAGAGGTGTTTATAGTATTCTCTGATGGTAGTTTGTATTTATGTGGGATAGGTGGTGATATCCCCTTTATCATTTTTATTGCATATATTTGATTCTTCTCTCTTTTCTTCTCTATTAGTCTTGCTAGAAGTCTATCAATTTTGTTGATCTTTTCAAAAAGCCAGATTCTGGATTCATTGATTTTTTTGAAGGATTTTTTGTGTGTCAATCTCCTTCGGTTCTGCTCTGATCTTAGTTATTTCTTGCCTTATGCTAGCTTTTGAATGTGATTGCTCTTGTTTCTCTAGTTCTTTTAATTGTGATGTTAGGGTGTCAATTTTAGATCTTTCCTGCTTTCTCTCGTGGGCATTTAGTGCTATAAATTTCCCTCTACACACTGCTTTGAATGTGTCCCAGAGATTCTGGTATATTTTGTCTTTGTTCTCACTGGTTTCAAAGAACATCTTTATTTCTGCCTTCATTTTGTTATGTACCCAGTAGTCATTGAGGAGCAGGTTGTTTAGTTTCCAGCACAGCAGTCTGAGATCTAACTGCAAGGCAGTAGCAAGGCTGGGTCAGGGCGCCTGCCATTGTTGAGGCTTGAGTAGGTAAAAAAGTGGCCAGGAAGCTGGAACTAGGTAGATCCCACCACAGCTCAAAGAGGCTTACCTGCCTCTGTAGACTCCACCTCTGGGGGCAGGCCATAGCCAAACAAAAGGCAGCAGAAACCTCTGCAGACTTAAATGTCCCTGTCTGACAGCCTTAAAGACAGTAGTGGTTCTCCCAGCACGCAGCTTGAGATCTGAGAATGGAGAGACTGCCTCCTCAAGTGGGTCCCTGACCCCCAACTAGCCTAACTGGGAGGCACCCCCCAGTAGGGGCAGACTGATACCTCACACGGCTGGGTACTCCTCTGAGACAAAACCTCCAGAGGAACGATCAGGCAGCAACATTTGCTGTTCACCAATATTCACTGTTCTGTAGCCTCCACTGCTGATACCCAGGCAAACGGGGTATGGAGCGGACCTGTGGCAAACTCCAACAGACCTGAAGCTGAGGGTCCTGACTGTTAGGAGGACAACTAACAAAGAGAAAGGACATCCATACCAAAACCCCATCTGTACATCACCATCATCGAACACCAAAGGTAGATAAATCCACAAAGGTGAGGAAAAACAGAGAGAATAACTGAAAATTCTAAAACTCAGAGCACCTTTCCTCCTCCAAAGGAATGCAGCTCCTCACCAGAAATGGAACAAAGCTGGATGGAGAATGACTTTGATGAGTTGAGAGAAGAAGGCTTCAGAAGATCAAACTTCTCTGAGGTAAAGGAGGAAGTTCAAACCCATGGCAAACATGTTAAAAACTTTGAAAAAGATTAAACAAATGGCTAACTAGAATAAACAATGCAGAGATGTCCTTAAAGGACCTGATGGAGCTGAAAACCAAGGCACAAGAACTATGTGACAAATGCACAAGCTTCAGTAGCTGATTCGATCAACTGGAAGAAAGGTTATCAGTGATGGAATATCAAATGAATGAAATGAAGTGAGAAAAGAAGTTTAGAGAAAAAAGAATAAGAGGAAATGAACAACGCCTCCAAGAAATATAGGACTATGTGAAAAGACCAAATCTACATCTGATTTGTGTATCTGAAAATGATGAGAATGGAACTAAGTTAGAAAACACTCTGCAGGATATTATCCAGGAGAACTTCCCCAGTCTAGCAAGGCAGGCCAACATTCAAATTCAGGAAATACAGAGAACGCCACAAAGATACTCCTCGAGAAGGGCAAATCCAAGACACATAATTGTCAGATTCACCACAGTTGAAATAAAGGAAAAAATGTTAAGGGCAGCCAGAGAGAAAGGTCGTGTTACCTACAAAGGGAAGCCCATCAGACTATCAGCTGATCTCTCAGCAGAAACTCTACAAGCCAGAAGAGAGTGGGGGCCAATATTCGACATTCTTAAAGAAAAGAATTTTCAACCCAGAATTTCATATCCACCCAAACTAAGCTTCATAAGTGAAGGAGAAATAAAATACTTTACAGACAAGCAAATGCTGAGAGATTTTGTCACCACCAGGCCTGCCCTAAAAGAGCCCCTGAAGGAAGCACTAAACATGGAAAGGAACAAACCAGTACCAGCTAACTGTAAAACCTGTACCAGCCACTGTAAAACATGACAAATTGTAAAGACCTTTGATGCTAGGAAGAAACTGCATCAACTAACAAGCAAAATAACCAGCTAACATCATAATGACAGTCAGGTTTAGTAAGGAAAGTTGTAAAGAAAAGAGACTAAAATTGTGTAAAAAAAGGTCTTGTTTGGTTAACTTTAGTCCTAAAGTAAAATGGTTATTAAAAAAAATTAAGACAAAATGAAAAGTCCACTCATGTTATGGATGGTCTTTGTAAGTTATATGTAGTTTTTTCCTGTTTCTGTGTATATCTGTCTTTGTACACATGCAGACAAAATAGAATGTTGGAAAAGTTTAGCTAGTATAATATTCTTTAAAACCTGATAGAAGTTGGGCACAGTGGCTTATGCCTGTAATCCCAGAACTTTGGGAGGCTGAAGGGGGGTGGATCATGAGGTCAAGAGTTTGAGAAAAGCCTTGCCAATATGGTGAAACCCTGTCTGTACTAAAAATACAAAAATTAGCTGGGCATGGTGGCAAATGCCTGTAGTCCCAGCAGTTTGGGAGGCTGAGGCGGGAGAATTGCTTGAACCAGGGATGTGGAGGTTGCAGTGAGCCAAGATCACACCACTGCACTCCAGCCTGGGTGACAGAGCAAGACTCTATTTCAAAAAATAAAAATAAATTGAGAGATGAGGCCAACTGGTCTCCTGGGTTGGGTGGGGACTTGGGGAACTTTCTGTCTAGCTAAAGGATTGCAAACACACCAATCAGCACTCTGTGTCTAGCTAAAGGTTTGTAAATACACCAATCAGCACTCTGTGACTAGCTAATTGGGTGGGGACTTGGAGAACTTTTGTGTCTAGCTAAAGGATGGTAAACATAGCAATCATCACTCTGTGTCTAGCTAAAGGTTTGTAAATGCACCAATCAGCACTCTGTCAAAATGGACCAATCAGCTCTCTGTAAAATGGACCAATCAGCTCTCTGTAAAATGGATCAATCAGCAGGATGTGATTGGGGCCAGAAAAGGGAATAAAAGCAGGCCACCTGAGCCAGCAGCAGCAACACACTTGGGTCCCCTTCCACACTGTGGAAGCTTTGTTCTTTTGCTCTTCACAATAAATCTTGCTGCTGCTCACTCTTTGGCTCCACGCCACCTTTAAGAGCTGTAAAACCCACCATGAAGGTCTGCAGCTTCACTCCTGAAGCCAGCAAGACCACAGTCCACCAGGAGGAATGAACAACTCTGGATGCACCACCTTTTTGAGCTGTTACACTCATCGCGAGGGTCCACAGCTTCATTCTTGAAGTCAGCGAGACCAAGATCCCACTGAAAGAAACCAATTCTGGACACATTTTGGCGACCACAAGGGGACCATTATCTATCGCCAAGCAGTGAGTACCATCGGACCCCTTTCACTTGCTATTCTGTCCTATTTTTCCTTAGAATTTGGGGGCTAAATACCGGGCACCTATCAGCCAGTTAAAAGCGACTAGCGCAGCCGCTGGACTAAAGACATGGGTGTCAGGCTTTCTGGGAAAGGGCTCTCTAACAACCACTGAGTCTTTGGGGTTGGGAGCATTGGTTTGCCTGGAACCAGCTTCCACTTTTCCTGTACTTCTGGTATGAGCCGAGGGTTGACAGAGAGGAAAGCCATTCAGCTCCAGGGCCCCGACAAGCTGGTTGACCCTGCGGCCATGAGCAGAACTCTCAAAGGCATGTCGCCCAAGCGAGACTCGCCCATCTATCCTATCTATCCTGACCCTTCCCCCCTGGGTCCTAATGCCTGCCAGAAAAACTTCCTCTCACCTCTCTTCTCCAAGGCTAGCATCACTTCTAAAAATCACTCCCTGTCTCTGGTGCTTTCCTAGTTTCTCCAATAAGAATGATTTCTAGTGTAAACTCCAGGACTCTATTCCCTTCTTCAGGTACCTGACCTGAACAATCAGACACAATTTTTGTCCAAAGCCCCATCGTAGGGGGGACTATCTGGAATTTTAGGATCCCTCCTCAGACAATCAGGCCTAGCAAAAGCTATTCCTGAATATAGGATATGGGGAGCCTCAGAAATTGTATCCTACCTATTCATATAAGTGAGGATGAAAGGTGTCACTCTTCCAACCCTGGAGATTGCTTCCCTCCCTCAGGGTATGGCCCTTCACTTCATTTTTGGGGCATAACATCTTTATAAGACACAGGTAAGGTCCCAATACTAACAGGAGGATGCTTAAGACTCTAACAGGTTTTTGAGAATGTGTCAGTAAGGGCCACTAAATCTGATTTTTCTCAGTTCTCTTTGTGGTCTAAGAGGAAAGGCAAGGGTGCAGGTTTTCCAGAATGTGTCAGTAAGGGCCACTAAATCTGTCCTTCCTCAGTACTCTTTGTGGTGCAAGAGGAAAACTAGTGTTTCTGCTGCTGCATCGGTGAGCACAACTATTCCAATCAGCAGGGTCCAGGGACCTTTGCGGGTTCTTGGGCAGGGGTTTTTCTGCTGCTGTGTTGGTGAGCGCAACTATTCCAATCAGCAGGGTCCAGGGACCACTTTGGGTTCTTCGGCAGCAGGAGAAAAAAACCAAAACCACAGGTGGTTTTGTCTTTCAGATGGGAAACACTCAGGCATCAACAGGCTCACCCTTGAAATGCATCCTAAGCCACTGGGACCAATTTGACACACAAACCCTGAAAAAGAGGCAGCTCATTTTTTTCTACACTATGGCCTGGCCCCAATATTCAATCTCTGATGGGGAAAAATGGCCACCTGAGGGAAGTATAAATTACAACACTATTCTGCATCTTGACATTTTCGTAGGAAGGAAGGCAAATGGAGTGTAATACCTTATGCCCAAGTTTTCTTTTCATTCAAGGAGAATACATAACTAGGCAAAGCTTGCAATTTACATCCCACAGGGGGACATTTCAGCTTACCCCCATATACTAGCCTCCCTATAGCTCCCCTTCCTATTAATGATAATCTTCCTCTAATCTCATCCACCCAGAAGGAAACAAGGAAAGAAATATCCAAAGGACCACAAAAACCCCCAGGCTAATGGTTATGTCCCCTTCAAGTTGTAGGGGGAGGGGAATTTGGCCCAACCTGGGTACATGTCCCCTTCTCCCTCTCTGATTTAAAGCAGATCAAGGCAGACCTGGGGGAGTTTTCAGATGATCCTGATAGGTGCATAGATATCCTACAGGGTCTAGGGCAAACCTTCGACCTCGCTTGGAGAGATGTCATGCTATTATTAGATCAAACCCTGGCCTTTAATGAAAATAATGCGGCTTTAGCTGCAGCCCAAGAGTTCAGAGATACTTGGTATCATCTTAGTCAAGTAAATTATAAAATGACAGCTGAAGAAAGGGACAAGTTCCCTACTGGTCAGCAAGCCATCCCCAGTATGGATCCCCATTGGGACCTTGACTCAGATCATGGGGACTGGAGTCATAAACATCTGTTGACCTGTGTTCTAGAAGGACTAAGGAGAAATAGGAAAAAGCCCATGAATTATTCAATGATGTCCACCATAACTCAGGGAAAGGAAGAAAATTCTTCTGCCTTCCTCGAGCGGCTACAGGAGGCCTTAAGAAAATATACTCCCCTGTCATCCAAATCACTTGAGGGTCAATTGATTCTAAAAGATAAATTTATTACCCAGTCAGCCACAGATATCAGGAGAAAACTCCAAAAGCAAGCCCTGGGCCCTGAACAAAATCTGGAGGCATTATTAAACCTGGGAACCTCAGTGTTCCATAATAGGGACCAAGAGGAGTAGGCCCAAAAAGAAAAGCAAGATCAGAGAAAGGCTGCAGCCTTAGTCATGGCCCTCAGACAAACAAACCTTGGTGGTTCAGAGAGGACAGAAAATGGAGCAGGCTAATCACCCAGCAGGGCTTGTTATCAGTGTGGTTTACAAGGACACTTTAAAAAAGATTGTCCAATGAGAAACAAGCCACCCCCTTGTCCATGTCCACTATGCTGAGGCAATCACTGGAAGGTGCACTGCCACAGAGAACAAAGGTTCTCTGGGTCAGAAGCCCCACACAAGATGATCCAACAACAGGATTGAGGGTGCCCGGGGCAAGAGCCAGCTCATGTCATCACCCTCACTGAGCCCTGGGTACATTTAACCATTGAAGGCCAGGAAATTGACTTCCTCCTGGACACTGATATGGCCTTATCAGTGCTAATCTTCTGTCCTGGACTACTGTCCTCAAGTTCTGTTACCATCCAAGGAATCCTGGGACCGCCTGTAACCAGGTATTTCTCCTACCTCCTCAGTTGTAATTGGGAGACTTTGCTCTTTTCACATGCCTTTCTTGTTATGCCTGAAAGTCCCACACCCTTATTAGGGAGGGATATATTAGCCAAAGCTGGAGCTATTATCTACATGAATATGGGGAACAAGTTATCCATTCATTGTACCTGACTTAAGGAGGGAATCAACCCTGAAGTCTGTGCATTGGAAGGACAATTTGGAAGGGCAAAAAATGCCCACCCAGTCCAAATCAGGCTAAAAGACCACATCACTTTTCCTTATCAAAGGAAATATCCTTTAAGGCTTAAAGCTCATAAAGGATTACAGGATATTGTTAAACATTTAAAAGCTCAAGGCTTAGTAAGGAAATATAGCAGTCCCTCCAATACCCCAATTCTAGGAGAACAAAAAGCAAATGGTCAGTGGAGACTAGTGCAAGATCTTAGACTCATCAATGAGGCAGTAATTCCTCTATATCCAGTTGTACCCAACCCCTATATGCTGATCTCTCAAATACCAGAGGAAGCAGAATGGTTCACTGTTCTGGGCCTCAAGGATGCCTTCTTCTGTATTCTCCTGCACTCTGACTCCCAGTTTCTCTTTGCCTTTGAGGATCCCACAGACCACATGTCCCAACTTACATGGACAGTCTTGCCCCGGGTGTTTAGGGATAGCCCTCGCCTGTTTGATCAGGCACTGGCCCAAGATCTAGGCCACTTCTCAAGTCCAGGCACTCTGGTCCTTCAGAATGTGGATGATTTATTTTTGGCCACAAGTTAGGAAGCCTCATGCCAGCAGGCTACTCTAGATCTCTTGAACTTTCTAGCTAACCAACGGTACAAGGGTCTAGGTTGAAGGCTCAGCTTTGTCTACAGCAGGTCAAATATCTAGGCCTAAACTCAGCCAGAGGGATCAGGGCCCTCAGCAAGGAACACATACAGCCTATACTGGCTTATCCTTGCCCTAAGACATTAAAACAGTTGTGGGGGGTTTCTTGGAATCACTGGCTTTTGCTGACTATGGATACCCAGATACAGCAAGATAGCCAGTCCCCTATATACTCTAATGAAGGAGACCCAGAGAGCAAATACTCATCTAGTAGAATGGGAACCAGGGGCAGAAACAGCCTTCAAAAACTTAAAGCAGGCCCTAGTACAAGTTCCAGTTTTAAGCCTTCCCACAGGAAAAAACCTCTCTTTATACATCACAGAGAGAGCAGGGATAGCTCTTGGAGTCCTTAGTCAGACTCGTGGGACAAATCCACAACCAGTGGCATACCTAAGTAAGGAAACTGATGTAGTAGCAAAAGGCTGGCCTCACTGTTTAAGGATAGTTGTGGCGGTGGCCATCTTAGTGTCAGAGGCTAACAAAATAATACAAGGAAAGGATCTCTCTGGACTACTCATGATGTAAATGGCATACTAGGTGCCAAAGGAAGTTTATGGCTATTAGACAACTGCCTATTTAAATACCACGCACTACACCTTGAGGGACCAGTGCTTCAAATACATATGTGTCTGGCCCTCAACTCTGCCACTTTTCTCCCAGAGGATGGGGAACCAATCGAGCATGACTGCCAACAAATTATAGTCCCGATTTATGCTGCCTGAGATGATCTCTTAGAAGTCCCCTTCGCTAATCCTGACCTTAACCTATATACTGATGGAAGCTCATTTTGGAGAATGGGATATGAAGGGCAGGTTATGCCATAGTTAGTGATGTAACCATACTTGAAAGGAAGCCTCTTCCTCCAGGGACCAGAGCCCAGTTAGCAGAACTAGTGGCACTTACCCGAGCCTTAGAACTGGAAAAGGGAAAAAGAATAAATGTGTATACAGATAGCAAGTATGCTTATCTAATCCTACATGCTCATGCTGCAATATGGAAAGAAAAGGAGTTCCTAACCTCTGGGGGAACCCCCATTAAATACAAGGAAATTATGGAGTTTTTGCATGCAGTGCAAAAACCCAAGGAGGTGGCAGTCTTACACTGCTGAAGCCATCAAAAAGGGGAAGGAGAGGGGAGAACAGCAGCATAAGTGGCTGGCAAAGGCAGGGAAGGACCAGCAGAAAGGAAAGAGAGAAAGAGACAGAAAGCCAGAGAGAGAGAGAGAGAGAGAGACAAAGAAGTAGTCAGAGAGAGACAGAGAGAAGAAGAGACAAGAGACAAAGTCAAAGAAGGAAAGAGAGGAAGAGACAAAGAGGGAGTCAGAGAGAAAGAGAGAGACAGACAAAGAAGAAGTCAAAGAGAGAGAAAAAGAGAGATAGAAGTAGTAAAGAAAAAACAGTGTACCCTATTCCTTTAAAAGCCAGGGTAAATTTAAAACTTATAGTTGATAATTGAAGGTCTTCTATCTTTAACAACTCTCCTTACCCCTTTAATGGAATCCCTTTACTATTTCATCATGTTATTAAGCAGCATACTAACCATACTCTTTGCAATAGGACTACATACTGTAGCTCCTGCTGGGACAAAAATCTTTATCACATCAACCTTCTTTCTAACTTCCTTCCTTCTGACAGGAATTTACTCTTACCTTTAACTCAGACTGGATAAGATTATCTCATCTTCCAGAGCACCTTCTTTACCTTCCTATTTACTCTTTACCTATCTATGCTTCCTGCTGCCTTGGATACCTCATACAATCACCCCTCCCCTTCCACTAGATCCTAATTGCCTCTACAAGACTCTCAACTTAACTCACTCTCTGTTAAACCAGTCCAATCCTTCCCTGGCAAATGACTGTTGGCTTTGTATTGCTCTATCAACCTCTGCTTACATTACCACTCCCCTTCCCTCAAAAAACTGGGTGTTTACCAACTTAACCTACCACCCTTGTTATGAAGGAAAAGACCCTTTCTGACTTCTAAATATGCAATCATTAGCCAACTTTCCCATCTCTGATAGGACCAAGAATACCCTAACATGACGTGCAATCCAACTTTTACATTCTTACATTTCCAACCTCACCTATTACACAAGCAATGAAAAGCCCATACATGGCCCTGTAACTGTAAATACCATCTTAACTTTCCAAGCCTGTTTATGCATCCAACGCAACCTGTTATCAGTCCTGCCCCTGGGGCACCTACTACCCCATCAATGTAATTCCACCCTACAACTTCAAGCCCCACCTGATCATAGTAACTTCCGAGTCACCCAAACAGCTCCATTCAGATGGTTTGTCTGCTTCTCGGCACCCCCAAGAATCATTGCCTCCCCACTGCTTAACAAACAGTCCAGGTTTTGTAATGGCAAACATACTCCCTGCATGACCATTCACCCCTGGACCCCCTGCAGCAGTGCCCCCACCACTAGCGAATGTCTTCTCATCCCCTCTTTCAATCACTCTCTCGAATGATTCCTAGTAGATACAAAATGGTTTTTTCTCCAATTGGAAAATAGAACACAACACAGGGAGCCACTCAGTTTCCTCCCAAAACCCCTTTCCAGTCGCTCACTGGAGCTACCTTGGTAAATACTCTAGGAGTATGGGAAAATGAAAACAATAAATTCAAATTCATACACCTTTTTAACATACACAAGTTCTGTCTACCCAGCCAAGGTATATTCTTCTTATGTGGAACATTGACCTATATCTGCCTCCCCGCTGACTGGACAAGCACCTGCACCTTAGTCTTTCTAACTCCCAACATTAACATTGCTCCAGGAAATCAGACCTAATCAGTACCCCTCAAAGCTCAAGTCCATCAGTGCAGAACCATACAACTAATAACCCTATTTATAGGGTTAGGAATGGCTACTGCTACAGGAACCAGAATAGCCAGTTTATCTACTTCATTATCCTACTACCACACACTCTCAACGGATTTCTCAGATAATTTTCAAGAAATAACGAAATCTATCCTTACTCTACAATCCCAAACAGATTCTTTGGCAGCAGTGACTCTCCAAAGGCACTGAGGCCTAGACCTCCTCATTGCTGAGAAAGGAGGACTCTGCACCTTCTTAGGGGAAGAGTGTTGTTTTTACACCAACCAGTCAGGGATAGTATGAGATGCCACCTGGCATTTACAAGAAAAGGCTTCTGAAATCAGACAACGCCTTTCAAACTCATACCAACCTCTGGAGTTTGGCATCATGGCTTCTCCCCTTTCTGGGTCCCGTGGCAGCCATCTTGCAATTATTTGGCTTTGGGCCCTGTATTTTTAACCTTCTTGTCAGATTTGTTTCCTCTAGAATCAAGGCCATCAAGCTACAGATGGGTCTTACAAACGGAACCACAAATGAGCACAACTAACAACTTCTACCGAGGACCCCTCTACCAGCCCACTGGCCCTTTCACTGTCCTAAACAGTTCCCCTCTGGAGGACACTACAACTGCAGGGTCCTTTCTTCTCCCTTATCCAGCAGGAAGTAGCTAGAGCAGTCATCAGCCAATTCCCAACAGCAGTTGGGGTGTGCTGTTTAGAGGGGGAATTGAGAGGTGAAGCTGGCTGGGCTTCTGGGTTGAGTGGGTCTTGGGGAACTTTATTGTCTAGCTAAAGGATTGTAAACACATCAATCAGTGCTCTGTGTCAAGCTAAAAGTTTGTAAATGCACCAATCACCACTCTGTGTCTAGCTAATTGGGTGGGTACTTGGAGAACTTTTGTGTCTAGCTAAAGGATTGTAAATGCACCAATCAGCACTCTGTCAAAACGGACCAATCAGCTCTGTAAAATGGACCAATCAGCTCTCTGTAAAATGGACCAATCAGCAGGATGTGGGTGGGGCCAGATAAGGGAATAAAAGCAGGCCACCCAAGCCAGCAGTGGCAACCCGCTCGGGTCCCCTTCCAAGCGTGGAAGCTTTGTTCTTTTGTTCTTCGCAATAAATCTTGCTGCTGCTCACTCTTAGGATCCATGCCACCTTTAAGAGCAGTAACACTCACTGCAAAGATCTCCAGCTTCACTCCTGAAGCCAGCAAGACCATGAACCCACGGGGAGCAATGAACAACTCCAGATGTGCCACCTTTATGAGCTGTAACACTCACTGCAAGGGTCCATGGCTTCATTCTTGAAGTCAGCGAGACCAAGAACTCACCGGAAGGAACCAATTCCAGACACACCAGCAGTTTGGGAGGCTGAGGCAGGAGACTTGCTTGAACCTGGGAGGTGGAGGTTGCAGTGAGCCAAGATCACACCACTGCACTCCAGCCTGGGCAACAGAGGAAGACTCCGTCTCAAAAAATAAAAAATAAATAAATAAATAAATAAATAAATAAATAAATAAATAAACAAACTGATAGAAAATTGGAGAAATTTGGAATTTTGCTAATTAACATTGCTCATAGTTAAGAATCTTAATTTTGATGAAGATAAAAAATAAATATTATAAAGAAGTACATTGAGAGTTTGGCAATTTTTTTTTCTTTTTCTTTCCTTTTTTTTTTTGAGAGGGATTCTCACTCTGTTGCCCAGGCTGGAGTACAGTAGCAAGATGTTGGCTCACTGCAACCTCCACCTCCAAAGCAATTCTCCTGCCTCAGCCTCCTGAGTAGCTGGGATTACAGGTGCCCACCACCATGCCCAGATAATTTTTCTATTTTAGTAGAGGTGGTGTTTCACCATGTTGGCCAGGCTGTTTTTGAACTACTGACCTTAAGTGATCTGCCTGCTTTTGCCTTCCAAAGTGCTGCAATTACAGGCATAGGACAGCACACCCTTCCTGGCAATTCTTTTTTAATGTAGTTAAGCATGAAGCCAAATTTCACTCACATGCTTGCATTGCTTTATGCTATAGTTGCTATATTGCATAGATGGTCTAGCACTAAAGTAATTACTGGTCATGTATCTAAGTAAATTTTTTCATTGCACAAAATGGATAGTGTTATCAGTGGATTTAAAGACATTAATTTGTATACCAGGAACGAAATATCTATTATGTGTTCTTTTAGGCTCCAGATAATACTCTAGCCTCCAAGGTAATCTGAGTAGGAGAAAAATTGGGGGTTGGTTTTCTGTTTGTTTGTTTTTGTTTTAATTGTTATTTATTTGCTGTATGATCTTTTTTGGGTTTTAATTCTGTATGCATATATTAAAACTATTTTTTTTAGTTTCTAATGGAAGGTTTTTATTTGGTTCTATGAATAGTCATTGTGTTTATTATGCATTTCCAACAATTCATTATTTGTTCTTTTTATTTAGAATTCTAAGCTACCTTTGTCAAACCTGAAAAAATTGATAAAGGACACTAGCCATTTAAAATTTGGTTGGTTATGCTTACTTCTGCTGCTCAAGAAAACTACAAAAGCTTTAGGAGTCCTGGCCAAAAAAATCCCCAAAACCTATTTTACAAGCTCTGAACAGAAATAGTACACTATTTATTTTGTTATTTAAAAAAGCAGGGGAGAATAAAAATGTTTAAGTAGTGTCTACCTCCAAGGTAATTCAACTTAGTCAATGATTTGAGTTGGTTTCAGATCTTTCCCATTGGGTAATGACGAAAAACTGTGACGTGGGTACAAAATTATAATGTTAAAGAATTATTGGCCTTATATTTAAGGAAGTTGTATTGATTGGGAATTTTCTCAAACTACTTTAGTTGTGCTTACTATTATTAAAATTAAATGACATTCATTAGCATTATGTAGTGCTAAAACTGTGAGACTTTCTGGTGACCTTTGATCCTGAGCCATTTATCTTGGATGGACCTTTATGTGTGTACTTGAAAACAAAAATATTCAAGTGTGACACTGGTTTGAAGATTTTAGTGATGAAAGTGACCTAATCAGTTGTCAGTACTGTATCTAGAAACCAATTTTAGAAATGCATGATGATGCTCTTCAAATAGTTGAAAAGGAATTATTGGGTGCTTTTGTTCTTAGTTTTTCCTTGTTTTATTGTATAATATTTAAGTGAAAGGAGATTATTTATCCTTATATTGAACTTTCAAAACTAAAATTTGCATTTACTTTTTTCTAATGATGGAGAGAAAAGTTAGTTGTCTTACTTAAAGTTTGGCATAGGACCTAGTACATTTTCAGTGCTCTTGATCACAGTTCTGTCACTAGAATGCCAGGAATTAGACATATGCAGTGAGTAATCAAATACTTCAATACAGTGGTTTGAAACGCTACAGACAGTAATTCATAGACACCAAATCAGAGTGTTTTAATTTGTGACATGTTAGAGAGTATGATAGAACTTTCTGTAGTATAAATAAATGTTCTTTTAACTAATTATTGTGTTGTTAAGTTACAGGGCATTGACTCTCTGGATCTGAAGAAGGCACCCATCCCTGCTAAACTGTGAGTATTGAAACCAGCTGCAGCATCGTCTTCAGACTCAGGAGAAGCTGACAATCAAAATGAACTGCTTTTGTGAGACATGGTGCCAGAAATTAAAACTATTAAATCATTATTAAATCCCTCTAGGACCAGGGACTATTGGGAAAATGAGAGCACATGTGATTCTAAGGGCTGATTTTGAGGGATAAAATTAATTCACAGTTTTTCTATAAATTAAACATTAATATCAAAAGTACACTGATGCAAGTCTAGCATCTGAGCCTGTGTGTTGGAATAACGGGGTTCTTTTGGAACATTAATCTCATTTTTTTTTGTTTTATTGATCTTCTTTTCAATAGAAAATCATAAAAAGTTATAAAAAGTTTATGGAAATCTTACCTATGGTCGGTCTGATTTAAATTAGATTTGTTTAAAAGATTTTATTAAAATTAGCTTTAACATTAATAATATACCATTCAAAGGTAAAATTTGGTTTTCTCTTTTGAAGAAAATTTTTATGTAAAAGAGGATACAAGATTTGTGTTTACCTTTTGAGTAAATTGCAGGAAAACAATGAGGGGGAGACACAAATTTAGTTGGCCTATGCCTTCTTAAGTATTATGTCTTATTATTTGGGAAACAATCTCCTTTCTATCAAAAGATAGATGTTTTGTTTCATCATATTGGCTAAATGAATGACTATTATATATATAGTGACCTGTTATTCTATTTTGTGATATCAGGTGTCTTAAAACTGATATTTTCAGGCCGGGCACAGTGACTCACACCTGTAATCCCAGCAATTTGGGAGGCCAAGGTGGGTGGATCACGAGGTCAGGAGATCGAGACTATCTTGGCTAACACTATGAAACCCCGTCTCTACTAAAAATACAAAAAAATGAGCCAGGTGTGGTGGCAGTTGCCTGTAGTCCCAGCTACTCGGGAGGCTGAGGCAGGAGAATGGCATGAACCTGGGGGGCGGAGCTTGCAGTGAGCAGAGATCGCGTGACTGCACTCCAGCATGGGCAACAGAGCCAGACTCCGTCTCAAAAAAAAAGAAAAAGAAAAACAAACTGATATTTTCAAGATCAATATTTCAAGTTCTAAATTCAGTCTTTTTGATGTCAAACTAACTTTCTGGATATGAGGTTCCCTGAAGTCCAAGAGACACATATTAGGTTTACTAAGCTTTTGTGTTATGATAGAATTATGCAAGAAGCATTGTCAAAATTCAGTGGTGTTTAGCTTCCTTGTATGTTGTAGGATTGTATGAGATTTCTAAAATTCTGATATGTCTTAGCAATAATTATGATTATTATGTCAACTTGTGGTATGCCACAGAAATAACCAAATTTCCTTGTCAACTGTGTCTTTAACTATGACTATCTTAAGATTTTTGTTATCCAAATTTTATGTTTTGCTTTGATCCTTCTCAAAACAATGGCATAATCAGCTACAGTCCAGGGCTTGCTTTATGGAGGGAGTTCCTGAAAAGGACTCTTTAATGCAGATTTCTGATAACTTTGGATATTGTGCCATCACATTAGGGAAAAAAAACATGCTCTGCTCTAATTGAAAGGCTGACGTGTTTATAAAGATTACTAGCGCAATATGAAACAAGAGCTGATTGCATGGACTGAACTATTAGAGGAGTGAAGTAATTTTTATGTCTTTTTTTTGCTTGGAATATTGCTGATTCTTTTTTTTTTCATGAACTGTAGATTTTCCTGTGAGCTATTTATTGCCTTGATATATACTTCAAGTGTATTGAGTTTACATTTTCATTTTTTTTTTTTTTCAGATGGAGTCTCACCCTGTCCCCCAGGCTGGAGTGCAGTGGCATGATCTCAGCTTACTGCAACCTCCACCACCTCAGTTCAACTGATTCTCCTGCCTCAGCCTCCTGAGTAGATGGGATTACAGGCAACCACCACCACGCCTGGCTAATTTTTGTATTTTCAGTAGAGACAGGGTTTCGCCACTTTGGCCAGGCTGGCTCGAACTCCTGACCTCAGATGATCTGCCTGTCTCAGCCTCCCAAAGTGCTAGGATTGCAGGTATGAGCCACCACACCCGGCCTTCAGTATACATTTATAAACACAATTTGAGTCATATTTCTCTCTCTCTCTCTGTGCCTAATTGCCCCAGAATTAAAAACTATTTGTGAATATTCATAATTCATAGCAATATATTTGTTTGCATACGTTTAATAAGAAACTGTTTCTTTTATAATGAGACTCAGTTAAGAGACCTGGTTATTTTTCCAGAGCTTAGGCTAAAGTGACGCTGTGAAAGGTTCCAGCAAAATCAGTTCAGGAAAACCTAAATGGGCAATTCTTGTACTCTGAGTGAGCAATCAGGCCAAGTATACGGTACTGATGCTGTTTTGCAGGTGGATTGGTCCTGCTGTGATTTGTTTTTGGTGGAAGTAGGGGATCAGAGAGAAACATTGTGTTTCAGAAGAAAATTCTAGCATTAGATTAACTTTTGATTCCTGGATAGCCACATGGTCACCCATTGTATGGAGCTCCCTATGATAGTCCTCCTCAGCATGAAGCAGTCAGGAAGATTGATGACCAGATTCCCCATGCTGGAGTGCAGTGGTGAGATCTTGGCTCACTGCAAGCTCTGCCTCCCGGGTTCACACCATTCTCCTGCCTCAGCCTCCTGAGCATCTGGGACTACAGGTGCCTGACACCACACTTGGCTAAATTTTTGTATTTTTAGTAGAGACAGGGTTTCACCATGTTAGCCAGGATGGTCTCAAACTCCTGACCTTGTGATCCACCCGCCTCAGCCTCCCAAAGTGCTGGGATTACAGGTGTAAGCCACCACTCCAGGCCTATAATTTTTTTATCTAAGTTCCTTCCTCAGGAAAGGAACTTCAGGCCTCTCAAAAAATTATTAAAGAAATGAAACTCACCAAATCACCACATCCAGACAGTGAGATGGCTAACCCTCGTTCATCATGATTGCTTTCTTTCCCTTCATTTGTTCCTGTTTTGTTATACATTGTTTCATTTTTTTTTCCTGCTATATAAACTACTAGTTTTAGTTTCTCAGGGTGATGGATTTGAGATTGAGTTCTCATCTCCTCAGCTGCAATGAACGATTAAAGCCTTTTTCCTTGGCAATAGTCCTCATCTTAGTCATTGGATTTCTGTGCAGAGAGCAGCAAGACCCACATCAAACCCTCATGTTTTGGTAACAAAGTGACCATAGATTTTTCATTTGTAATTAAATTATCTTTTCTCTACAGTCAATCATGATGTTCCATGTGTCAAGCATAACAGTGAAAATTATAAATTAAACATTAAGAATGATAAAAGACTATAACACTTTAAAACTAATATTAAAAGTAAAACAGCACAAACTAAATTTATGAATTTAAATAAATAGTGAGATTAAAAATAATGTATAACTGTAAATAAAAATTATATAATGAAGATGAACAAAAATGACATAATATTTTCTCACAAAACTAGAGATAAGATTTTTGGTATATCTAAAAGAAATGCATCTTTAGTGAGGTTAAGTTACTATATTAAATAGTTTAAAGAAATTATAGTTTCTAAAGGTTATAATTTATTTACTTATTTATATTTTTATATTTATTTTATTTATTTATTTTTGAGACTAAGTCTCTCTGTCGCCCAAGCTGGAGTGCAGTGACAGCAACCTCAGCTCACTGCAACTTCCGCCTCCTGGCTTCAAGCAATTCTCCTGCCTCAGCTTCCAGAGCAGCTGGGATTACAGGTATCTGCCACCATGCCTGGCTAATTTTTGCATTTTTAGTAGATATGGGCCTTCACCATGTTGGCCAGGCTGGTCTCAAACTCCTGACCTTAAGTGATCCAGCTGCCTTGGCCTCCAACAGTGCTGGGATTACAGGTGTGAGACACTGCACCTGGCCTAAAGGTTATAATTTAATTAATCAGATCTTCCAGTGGGAAGTTCCCAGCATAGGGCCATCAACATGTGGAGTGTGGGCCTTTGCAGTATTAAACCTTCAGCATGGTCTCGTTAAATATTACCTTTATGGAATACACATTCTCCTTTCACAAACACACTTCAAGCTCCTATATAAAAATAAATATTGCTTGCTAGATTATTTATCGTTTGTTAATTGAACATCTACTAAAATTATTTAACATATTTGTTACTAAAGTTTATTACAAATTAAAAGATTTAAGTAAATATTTAACCTGGAGTTTTTTAGTAAAATTAGTTTTCTAGATGTAATGTTTTAATATATTTGGAATAACTGAGGGACAACTCAAAATAATATGCCAGGAGGAGAAAAGTGCATAGTGTTTTTAATCCATATTCTATACATAAAACTTTAAAAATATTGTTATTTTTTGGGTTTATAATACAATTGACCCTTGGACAACACGAGTTTGAACTGAACAGGTCCACTTATACATGGGACTTTTTTTTCCAATATGTATAATGAAAACAGTTTTGGAGATTTGCAACAATTTAAAAAATCTTACAAAAAAATTTTATAGCCCAGAAATATTATTTTAAAAAAGGGAAAGTTTGCTGTTTATGTATGCACACAATATTTAAAAGTATGTCTATTTTATCATTTCCTAACATAAGATATACACAAATCTATTATAAGTAATTTATCAAAACTTATACACACAGACTGTACATGGCATCACTCACAGAGAAATGTAAACAAATGTAAAGATGCAGTATGAAATTATAACTGCATTACATTAACTGTACTACATATTGTACTATTGTAACAATTTTGCAGCAATCTCCTGTTGCTATTGCAGTGAGCTCAAGTGTTCCTAGCATCTGCTTAAAACACTGTGTGATGCTAATCATCTCTTCATGAGCAGTTGTCTCTACAGTAAATTACATATCACAGTAAAAAAATGTCTCGTGGCTCTTGTGTATTTTTTATCGTGTTTAGTGCAATACTGTAAACTGTGACCAACACTGTGAGACCCATACAAAGTGCCACTGGTGATGCTGGAAGTACTCCAAAGAAGCAGAGAAAAGTTATGACATTACAAGAAAAAGTTTAATTGCCTGATATGTACTACATATACACGTGTCCCATAGAGTGAAGTCTGTAGTTGCTGTTTCCCACTATTCAGGCAGATGATTCAGCTTACAAACAGATGAGAAAAATAAACTTACATTCATAGAAATTTCTAGAGAGTGAGTCTACTGAACACTTAAAGCTTGATAATCATATATTAAGGTAGTTTAGCAATCAGATCTTGCTGGTCTACCCTATATACTAAACTTAAAACACTGCTATGATTGTTAATACTAAGTATCAACTTGATTGGATTGAAGGATACAAAGTATTGATCCTGAGTGTGTCTGTGAGGGTGTTGCCAAAAGAGATTAACATTTTGAGTCAGTGGGCTGGAGGAGGCAGATCCACCCTTCATCTGGTGGGCACAATCAAATCAGGAGGCAGTGAATATATAGCAGGCAGGAAAACATAAAAAGGAGAGACTTGGGCGGCAGAGACAGGAGAATGGCGTGAACTCAGGAGGTGGAGCTTGCAGTGAGCTGAGTTTGCGCCACTGCACTCCAGCCTGGGCGACAGAGCAAGATTCTGTCTCCAAAAAAAAAAAAAAAAAAAACAAAAAAGGAGAGACTGGCCTAGCCTCCCAGCTACATCTTGTTCCCATGCAGGATGCTTTCTGCCCTCCAGAATTGTACTCCAAGTTCTTCACTTTTGGGACTTTGACTTGGACTGGTTATACTTGCTCCTCAGGTTGCAGACAGCCTATTTTGGGACATTGTGATTATGTAAGTTAATATTTAAAAAACTCCTATATATATAGGAGTTTATATATAGGACTTATAAATAGGTTTATATATAGGACTTAATAAACTCCTATATATATACACATGTATATATAACTATATATAGGAGTTTATATAATATACATAAGTATGTAAGTATATATATTATATACTATATATCCTATATATATACCAGAGATAGTATATAAAGTATATATATACTATAGATCGTATATAAAGTGTATATATACTATAGATCGTATATAAAGTATATATATACTATAGATCATATATAAACTCTATATATACTATAGATAGGACACATAGTATCCTATCTATAGTATATATAGACTTTATATATGATCTATACTATAGATAGGATATAAGTATATATATATACTATAGATAGAATATAAGTATATATATATAATATAGATAGGATATAAGTATATATATATATATACTATAGATAGGATACTATGTATCTATCCTACAGATAGGATACTATGTATCCGATCTATAACATATATAACATGTATCCTATCTATAGTATAAATATACTATATATCCTATATTATACTATCCTATAGTAGAGTATACTATGTATCCTACATATACTATATATCCTACAGTATATATATACACTACATATCCTGTATATACAATATATCCTATAGTATACATATACTGTATATCCTATTATATATATATACTGTATATCCTACAGTATATATACTGTATATCCTATACTATATAAACTGTATATCCTATAGTATATATATACTGTAAATCCTATAGTACATATATACTGTATATACTATAGTATATATACTGTATATCTTATAGTATATATATACTGTATATCCCATATATTCTACATATGTACTATCCTATATATAGTATATATATACACTATATATATATGCTATATATAGGATATATAGTATATTATATATACTTATATACATATATAGGATATATACTATATATACACTACATATAATGTCTATATAGGATATATAGTATATATATACTATATATATAGGATATATAGTATATATATAATATATATAGGATATATAGTATATATATAATATATATAGGATATATAGTATATATATAATATATATAGGATATATAGTATATATATAATATAGGATATATAGTATATTTACACTATATATAATGTCTAATAGGATATATAGTATATATATAATATAGGATATATAGTATATATATAATATAGGATATATAGTATATTTACACTATATATAGTGTCTATATAGGATATATAGTATATTTACTTATATAATTATATAAGGATATATATAGTATATATCCTTATATAATTATATAAGGATATATAGTATATATATCCTTATATAATTATATATAGGACATATAGTATATATATATTTATATAAATATATATAGGATATGTAGCATATATATACTATATATAGGATAAATATAGTGTATATATATCCTATATATACACTATATATAGGATAAATAAGTATACATATAATATATATCATATATACTATATATACTAAATACAGGATATATAGTATATATATAGGATATATATATAGTAGGTATATAGTATATATAAACTATATATAGTAGGTATATAGTATATACATACTATATATAGTAGGTATATAGTATATACATACTATATATAGTAGGTATATAGTATATACATATACTATATATAGTAGGTATATAGTATATATATATACTATATATAGTAGGTATATAGTATATATATATACTATATATAGTAGGTATATAGTATATATATATACTATATATAGTAGGTATATAGTATATATATATACTATATATAGTAGGTATATAGTATATATATACTATATATAGTAGGTATATAGTATATATATACTATATATAGTAGGTATATAGTATATATATATACTATATATAGTAGGTATATAGTATATATATACTATATATAGTAGGTATATAGTATATATATACTATATATATGAGATATAGGATATATAGTATATATATAGTATATATACTATATATATACTATATATAGGATATAAAGTATACATACTATATATATCCTTTATATAGGATATATAGTATATATATACTACATATGTACTATATATAGGATATATAGTATATATATACTACATATGTACTATATATAGGATATATAGTATATATATACTACATATGTACTATATATAGGATATAGAGTATATATATACTACATATGTACTATATATAGGATATATAGTATATATATACTACATATGTACTATATATAGGATATAGAGTATATATATACTACATATGTACTATATATAGGGTATATAGTATATATTCTATATATACACTATATATAGGATATATATACACACTACATGTAGAACATACATACATATATATATACATAGTATATATATCCTATATATAGTATATATAGTATATATAGGATATATAATCTATATATAGTATATATATACTATATATATACTATATATCCTATATATAGTATATATATACTATATATCCTATACATAGTATATATATACTATATATAGGATATATATATATCGTATATATAGTATATGTCCTATATATATGATATATAGTATATATATCGTATATATAGTATATATAGGATAGATAGTATATATATAGTATATATATTGGATATATAGTATATATAGTATACATATATTATGTATAGGATATATAGTATATATATAGTATATATATACTATATATAGGATATATAGTATATATATAGTATATATATACTATATATAGGATATATAGTATATATATACTATATATAGGATATATAGTATATATATACTATATATAGGATATATAGTATATATATATTCTTTTTTGTATCCATGGAGTATTTTTTTTTATTATTATACTTTAAGTTTTAGGGTGCTGTATCCATGGAGTATTTTTTTTTTTATTATACTTTAAGTTTTAGGGTACATGTGCACAACGAGCAGTTGTGTTACATATGTACAAATGTGACATGCTGGTGTGCTGCACCCATTAACTCATCATTTAGCATTAGGTATATTTCCTAATGCTATCCTTCCCCGCTACCCCCACCCCACAACAGTGCCCAGAGTTTGATGTTCCCCTTCGTGTGCCCATGTGTTCTCATTGTTCAATTCCCATCTGTGAGTGAGAACATGCGTTGTTTAGTTTTTTGTCCTTGCGATAGTTTACTGAGAATGATGATTTCCAATTTCATCCATGTACCTACAAAGGACATGAACTCATCATTTTTATGGCTTCATAGTATTCCATGGTGTATATGTGCCACATTTTCTTAATCCAGTCTATCATTGTTGGACATTTGGGTTGGTTCCAAGTCTTTGATATTGTGAATAGTGCCACAATAAACATACGTGTGCATGTGTCTTTATAGCAGCATGATTTATATCCTTTGGGTATATACCCAGTAATGGGATGGCTGGGTCGAATGGTATTTCTAGTTCTAGATCCCTGAGGAATCGCCACACTGACTTCCACAATGGTTGAACTAGTTTAGAGTCTCACCAACAGTGTAAAAGTGTTCCTATTTCTCCACATCCTCTCCAGCACCTGTTGTTTCCTGACTTTTTAATGATTGCCATTCTAACTGGTGTGAGATGGTATCTCATTGTGGTTTTGATTTGCATTTCTCTGATGGCCAGTGATGATGGGCATTTTTTCATGTGTCTTTTAGCTGCATAAATGTCTTCTTTAACTCATTTTATGAGGCCAGCATCATCCTGATACCAAAGCCGGGCAGAGACACAACCAAAAAAGAGAATTTTAGACCAATATCCTTGATGAACATTGATACAAAAATCCACAGTAAAATACTGGCAAACCGAATCCAGCAGCACATCAAAAAGCTTATCCACCATGATCAAGTGGGCTTCATCTCTGGGATGCAAGGCTGGTTCAATATATGCAAATCAATAAATGTAATCCAGCATATAAACAGAACCAAAGACAAAAACCACATGATTGTCTCAATAGATGCAGAAAAGGCCTTTGACAAAATTCAACAAACCTTCATGCTAAAAACTCTCAATAAATTAGGTATTGATGGGACGTACCTCAAAATAATAACAGCTATCTATGACAAACCCACAGCCAATATCATATTGAATGGGCAAAAACTGGAAGCATTCCCTTTGAAAACTGGCACAAGACAGGGATGCCCTCTCTCACCACTCCTATTCAACATAGTGTTGGAAGTTTTGGCCACAGCAATTAGGCAGCAGAAGGAAATAAAGGGTATTCAGTTAGAAAAAGAGGAAGTCAAATTGTCCCTGTTTGCAGATGACATGACTGTATATCTAGAAAACCCCATTGTCTCAGCCCAAAATCTCCTTAAGCTGATAAGCAACTTCAGCAAAGTCTCAGGATATAAAATCAATGTACAAAAATCACAAGCATTCTTATACACCAATAACAGACAAACAGAGAGCCAAATCATGAGTGAACTCTCATTCACAATTGCTTCAAAGAGAATAAAATACTTAGGAATCCAACTTACAATTGATGTGAAGGACCTCTTCAAGGAGAACTACAAACCACTGCTCAAGGAAAGAAAAGAGGATACAAACAAACGGAAGAACATTCCATGCTCATGGATAGGAAGAATCAATATTGTGAAAATGGCCATACTGCCCAAGGTAATTTATAGATTCAATGCCATCCCCATCAAGCTACCAATGACTTTCTTCACAGAATTGGAAAAAACTTCTTTAAAGTTCATATGGAACCAAAAAAGAGCCCGCGCCTCCAAGTCAATCCTAAGCCAAAAGAACAAAGCTGGAGGCATCGCACTACCTGACTTCAAACTATACTACAAGGCTACTGTAACCAAAACAGCATGGCACTGGACCAAAACAGAGATATAGATCAATGGAACAGAACAGAGCCCTCAGAAATAACGCCGCATATCTACAACTATCTGATCTTTGACAAACCTGAGAAAAAGAAGCAATGGGGAAAGGATTCCCTATTTAATAAATGGTGCTGGGAAAACTGGCCAGCCATACATAGAAAGCTGAAACTGGATCCCTTCCTTACACCTTATACAAAAATTAATTCAAGATGGATTAAAGACTTAAACATTAGACCTAAAACCATAAAAACCCTAGAAGAAAACCTAGACATTACCATTCAGGACATAGGCATGGGCAAGGACTTCATGTCTGAAACACCAAAAGCAATGGCAACAAAAGCCAAAATTGACAAATGGGATGTAACTAAACTAAAGAGCTTCTGCACAGCAAAAGAAACTACCATCAGAGTCAACAGGCAACCTACAAAATGGGAGAAAATTTTCTCAACCTACTCATCTGACAAAGGGCTAATATCCAGAATCTACTATGAACTCAAACAAATTTACAAGAAAAAAATAAACAACCCCATCAAAAAGTGGGCGAAGTATATGAATGGACACTTCTCAAAAGTATATATATATACTTATATACTATATGTATTATATAAACTCCCATATATATATGGTTCCTATTAATTATGTCCCTCTAGAGCACCCTAATACAAGTGCCTTTTATCTCTTTAGTCCAGAATATGTTGTCAATATGCATTGAAATAATCACTTCTTTTTAACTTCATTTCCACATTTAAAAAAGTAATTTTGTATCTATCCCAATGTAGTCAGTTTCAGAAATATTAGTAGAAACAATATTTTTTTCTGGTTGTATGGTTTCTACATATGTGGGTTTAATAAAAATAATATATTTATTTGGGGAAAGATTAAAATTACAAATATTAAAAATCAGAAAAAAAACAATCTATTATATCTTTTTAATTTGTAAATGCCTTTCCAATGTCATTTTTAGTATACTATAATAGTATTTTAGACAATTTTAATCAAGCTACTTTTTTACATTTTTCCTCCATTCTCTCAGAATGTAAAAGCAACTTTTAATGACAATAATGCTTTACTGTACTTGTGCTGCTTTTCCTCCTGCTTTTAAGCAAGACATAAACTATAAGTGCACATTTTATTAAAAAGAATGTAAGAAAAACATTGCTTTCAGATTTTAATTTGTGTGAGATTTATTTTTATGGAATTAACTTTTCAGAATCCTTTTAAATTTGCTTAAAACTTCTGTATGAATGCTCCTTCTCAAAATTTAATTATTTTATATATATATATATAACATATATGCGCTATGATCTATTTAAAGTTTCAGGTTCTTAATGAAGGAAATGCAAATTTAAAAATCAATATTTTTCAATACATATTCAATTATAAAAATATCTGTAAATTAGATTACAAAATTGACTATGTTACCCTAATATCAGGGGTTCAGTCTAGGTCCTGCTGCTTACCAAATAGAAAGCAAATGACTGAGATGATGAGTATTGCCAAGGAAGAAGGCTTTAGTTGGATGCCACAGCCAAGGAGATTGCAGATCAGTCTCAAATCCATCTCCCTCACCAACTAAAACTAGAGGTTTATTGGAGAAACCCCATCTCCACTAAAAATATGAAATTAGCCAGATGTGGTAGCTCATGCCTGTAATTCCAGCTACTCATGAGGCTGAGGCAGGAGAATCACTTGAACCTGGGAGGTGGAGGTTGCAGTGACCTGAGATCGCACCATTGCACTCCAGCCTGGGCAACAAGAGCAAAATTCCATCTCAAAAAAAATAAATAAATAAAACCCCAAAAAACTAGGGGTTTATATAGCAGGGTAGAAATCTAACAATGTGTTAGAAAATAAGAACTAGGGAGGGGCAAGGAAGCAATCATAATTAATGAGAAGTCCAGCATCTCACTGTATGGATGTAGTGATCTGGTAATTTTCAGTTCTTTGATGCTTTTCTTGACAGGCCTGAAGATCATTTTCTGAGGGAAGAATGCAAGAAAACCAAATGTAACTTTGAAGCTTTAAAACCAGAAGGTCCATTTTTATGTTTAGCCAAACAAACAGACAACCACTATATAAGAAAAAATGACTCAGAGTACATAAAAAACTAAATGTAACAACTACAACTATAAAATTCTTAGGAAAAGAAAAAAAATGTAGATGTATATCTTCCTGAACTTGAATTAGGAAATGATTTCTTACATTTGACAACAAAAGCATAAGCAACCACAAAAACAAAAAGTATACAAGTTGAATCTTATAAAAATAATATTTATGTTCTATATGTGATATATATATGTCTCAAAGTGAAACCTGCCAAATTGTCCCATAGAACTGATATTTATGGCTTCTTTGAATAAACATGGAAATTGATTCTCTCAGTCTTATGAGAAAGTTACATTTGTCTTATTTGACTTCCTTTGTCAGAAACTCATCATCATGTCTTCTAGATAGTATCAAGGAGCTGAAACTTACCAAATTCCTGCATCTGGACAATGGAACACTGGAATCTTTACTCATCATGATTGCCTAACTGACCACTTGCTTCTCCCTGACCAATTACTCTTCCTTACCCCTCACTAATTCCTGTTTTCCCACAGATGGTCACACTTCTTCCTTGCTATGTAAACCCCTAATTTTAGTCAATCCGGGAGAGGGATTTGACACTGATCTCTCATCTTCTCAGCTGCAGCACATGATTAAAGCCTTCTTAACTCACAATACTTGTTGTCTCAGTGATTGGCTTTCTGTGCAGTGAGCGGCAAGGCCCAGACCAAATCACTGGCATTTTGATAACAAAAGGATGCTATCAATAAAGTGAGAAGTCAACCCACAGCATGATATACAATATTTCCAAATTACATTTCTGATAAGGGAGTAATGTCAGAATATACAAAAATCCAATTAAAAATAAAAATACATGTGATCCAATAATACATGGACAAAAGATTTAAATAAACATTGCTTCAAGAGGATATATAAATGAACAATAAATACAAGAAGATATGTTCAAATTAATAAGTCATTCAGGAAATGCAAGTTAAAATCATAATGCTATAGCACTTCACAGGTTAAGTATAAGAAAAAAATGGATCATAACAAGTTTTGGTAAGAAAGCAGAGAAATTAGAACCCTCATACATTGTTGGTGGGAAGGTACAATAGGGCAGCTTCTTTGAAAAATAGTGTGGTATGTTGGTGGGAATGTAGATTAGTTCAACCCTTATGCAAAATTATGTGGAGATATCTCAAGGACCTAAAATTAGAACCGTCAGTTGACCCAGCAATCCCACTACTGGTTATCTACCCAAAGAAAAAGAAATCACTCTATCAAAAAGATATCTGCATTCATATGTTTATTGAAGCACTATTCACAATAGAAATGTCATGGAATCAACCTAAGTGCCTATTAATGGTAGACTAGATAAAGAAAATTTGGCATATATACTCCATGTAATACTACAGAGGTGTAAAAAAGAATAAAATCATGTCATTTTCAGCAATGTGGATGCAGGTGGAGGTTATCATTCTAAGTAAATTAACACAGAAACAGAAAATTAGATATTGCACGTTCTCGCATATAAGTGTGAGGTAAAATATGCGTACACATGGACATAAAGACGGAAGTGATAGTCACTGGGGACTCCAAAAATGAGGAGATGGGAGGAGGGTAGGATTAAAAAAAAACACCCACTGGATACTATGTTCCCTATTCCTGTGATGGATTCAAGAGAGCTGAAACTTACCAAAGTCTGCAACTCAGCATTATGTAATATTCCCTTGTAACCAACATCCACATGAATCTAAAAAAAATATATAGTGTGGTAGATCCTCAAAAAATGAAACATACAGTTATGTTATGATCATCAATTCCTCTCCTGGATACATACCCTAGAAAATGGAAAATATATGTCTACATGAAAAACTAGTGCATTCATTATTATTGATAGCATCATTTTTAATAATGGAAAAATAGAAGAAACAAATGTCCGTTTGCTGATAAATAAATAAACAAAATTCATATTTTCATACAATAGATCAATACTCTGTCAAGAAAAATAATGAAATGCTGAGACATGCTGCAATATGGATGGACTTTGAAAACATTATGCTAAGTGAAAGAAACAGAAACAAAAGGCTACATATTGTAAGATTCCATTTATGTAAAATATCTAGATTAGGTAGATTTTTAGAAACAAAAAGTAGATTAGTTGTTTTACAGCCCCCTGTAAAAAGGGAGAAACAGAGAATGGCTGCCAATCGGTATCGGATTTCTTTTAGGGGTGGTGAACACGTTCTAATATTAGTGAGGATGGTTACAAAGCTTTGGAAATCTACTAAAATTACTGAATTATACACTATGAAGGGGTAAATTTTATGGTATTTAAATTGTATCTCTTTGTAAATACAAATGATTACATTAATATTTTAAAATTTGTACTTATATATGCATTAATTTTTTTAGTTAGGTGATGATTACATGGAAGGCTTTTGTAAGTAAACAATTATTTTAAAAAATAGGAATATAAGGCAAAACATTGTATATTAATTGTTCTTAAGTAGTAATTACAAATTATCTTTTATGAAATATAAACTTACCATGCAGGTTGCTGAAACTTGAAATTAATTTACTTCATTTACAAAAACAAACATTTTATTAAATTAATAAAGTGTCTGGATTTCTGTTAGGTGCAGGAGTTAAAATGATTCACAAAATAAGCTTAGCCTTTCTCTCAAAAAATGTAGACTAATGCAAAATACTGGCAGATAAATGAAAAAATGCAACTAAGTATGATCAGTGCTAAAATAAGGAGAACACACTGTGGTGTGGGAGAACATGCAAGGGGTATCTGTGTAATTTCCTAGGGCTGCAGTAACAACTGGGAGTCTAAAAACAATGTGATTTCTATTTTACAGTTTTGGAGGCTGTAAGTAAGCAATCCTATCAATTTGGGTATACACTCAAATAAATATAAATCATTCTACTGTAAAGACACATGCACGTGAATGTTTATTGAAGCACTATTCACAATAGCAAAGATATGGAATCAACCTAAGTGCTCATCAATGACAGATTGGATCAAGAAAATGTGGTACATATACACCATGGAATACTATGAAGCCATGAACATGAAGGAGAACGTCTTTTGCAGGAATATAGATGGAGCTGGAGGCTATTATCCTTACGAAACTAATGCAGGAGCAGAAAACCAAATACCACATGTTCTCACTTAGAAGTGGGAGCTGAATAATGAGAACTCAAATACAAAGAAGGGAACAACAGACACTGAGGTCTACTTGAGGGAAAAGGGTGGGAGGAGGGAGATGAGCAGAAAAAACAACTATTGGGTACTAGGCTTAATACCTGTGTGATAAAATAATCTATTTAACAAACCCCTGTGATACGAGTTTACCTATATAACAAACATGCACATGTACCCCTGAACCTAAAATAAAAGATTTAAAAAAAAACAAATCAATGTATTAGCACGGTCATGCTCCCTCTCAAGTCTCTACTGGAAGATTTTTTCCCTGCCTCTTCCTAGCTTCTGGCGGAGTCAGACATTCCTTGGTTTGTGGTGACATAACTCAAATATCTGTATCTTTACATAGCTATTTTCTCCTTGTATGTGTCCATCACTTCACATTACATTTTTTTTTAAAGTACACTACACTAGTAATACTGGGTTAGGAGACAACCCTACTAGGGAATTATGATAATTAAGTTTATGTGTCAACTTGACTGGATCAGGGAATGTCCTGATACCTGGTTAAACATTATTTCTGGATTTGTGTGTGAGGTTATTTCTAAAGAGATTAGCATTTGAATTGGTGGGCTTATTAAAGCACATAGCCCTCCCCAATATGGGTGACCATCATCCAATTCATTGAGGGCCCACATAGAGCCAAAAGGTAAAGGCAGGGAGCATTCACTGGCTCTCTGCTTGACTGCTTGAGCTAACACAGCAATTTTCTCCTGGCTTCATCGCTCCTGCTTCTCAGTCTTTCAGGTTTAAACTGCAAACTATCAATCATAGTACCCTGGATCAAAGAGACTTTCCAAGTATATGTGCTGAGTAAATACTAATACTTAACATGTATTATTATGTACCAGACACTCCTCAACAATGATTGATTAATTAAAAAGATAAATATATTTCAAATGCATATTTAATGATAATAATCTATGTGGTAAGTACTGCTGTTTTTATTATTACCATGTATAGATATGGAAATGGAGGAAGAAATAAATTAAGTAACTTGACCAGGGTCACAAACCTAATGAACACAAAGGACAGAGCTGGAATGTGAAGCAGGCAATCTGGCTTCTGGCCATATTCTCCTGGCCAGTTCAAAATGCACTATATTTTAGTGGTTGTTTTTTCTTATAGGACTCTTAGGAGGGAGTTTGTATGAAGAGAGTGACTCAACTGAACTGAAGATCTCAAAAGAGAGAGAGAAGGAAAGAGGGAGAGGGGGGCATGGTTGCCTCACAATTTAAATGTAAAATATTTGTTTTTTTTTATAACGGGTACAGAGGTATCTCCTTTACTGTTGTGGAACTGAATTCAGAGAAAGACTCCTTTTTATTCAGGGAAAGCTGGATTTTACTGTTTGCTTTCAGTGCTTTTCTCTAGCATGAAAACACTAACATATATTTTAATCATCTTTTGATGTTTCCTGGCATGCCACATGATAAATCAACTTTGAACATCCTCTGGGACTTCATAAAACTCATTCTTTATTTTTCTCCTTGCTTTTTAGGCCTTTGGTAGCTCAACATGGTGTTCTTTAAATAATGGAATCCCACCAAGACCACATCTGTCCAAATCACTTTCTCTTTTTCTAAGTTACTAAACATAAAACATTTAAATATTAATTGACTCACAATGTTGCTTTAACAGCAAAATGGATATGTAGTTTCTGCATATTAAATTTCATACTTTATTATGTAAAGTTACTTTAAAAATATTTACTTGTTTTAAAATGCTAATCTCCTTACCTCTATATGTCTACATGAATTACAAGTATAGATTATAATTTACTAATTTTATAATATTAATCAGAACCTAATGGAAAGAAAAATTTGGAAAATTAATAGCACTTTCACCAGATTAATTAGCTAGTTAGTATATATTTGCACTGAAAAATAAAATTTCCATATATATGAAACTTAAATAAAAGATTAAATTGTAGTATGTCAATGATATAGCTTTCTTTCACCTGTTTCTTTTGCAATTTATATTTTATTTAAAATTAGTATAGACCTTATATATTAACATATATTTTATATATGTAAATAATATATAATATAGAAGTAAATACAAGTGTGTTTTTATATATATATATCACACTTGTGTGATATGTACACACATATGCACACACAAATATATATGTAACTATAGAAGGTGATAGATAACGTTAAATCACTTACCTGTAGTAATAACTTAACTATAAATATGTATATGAAAACATCATATTATCTACCTCAAAAATTTATACAACTAAAACATAGTTTACTAGAATTTCATGGAGTACATCAACACATTTTTTTTCAACTTTTATTTTAAGTTCTGGGGTATATGTGCAGGATGTGCAAGTTTGTTATATAGGTAAATGTGTGCAACAGTGGTTTGCTGCACAGAAAAACCCATCCCCTAGGTATTAAGTTCAGCATCTACTAGTTATTCTTTCTAATGCTTTCCTTTTTCCTACCCCCACGGACAGGCCTCAGTTTGTGTTGTTTCCAACCCACCCTACCATGTGTCTGTGTGTTCTAATTGTTCTGCTCCCACTTAGAAGTGAGCACATGTGTTTAGTTTTCTGTTCCTGTGTTAGTTTGCTAAGGACACTAACTTCCAGCTTCATCCATGTTCCTGCAAAGGACATGATCTTGTTCCCTTTTATGGCTGCATAGTATTCCATGGTGTATATGTACCACATTTTCTTTGTCCAGTCTCTCATTGATGGGCATTTCAGTTGATTCCATATCTTTGGTATTGTAAATAGTGAGGCAATGAACATATGCCTGCATGCATCTTTATAACAGAATGATTTATGTTCCTTTGGGTACATACTCAGTAATGGGATTGCTGGGTCAAATGGTACTTTTGTTTCTAGAATTTTGAGGAATTGCCACACTTTCTTCCACAATGTTTGAACTAATTTATACTTTCACCAACAGTGTAAAAACATTCCTTTTTCTCAGCATCCTCACTGGCATCTGTTGTTTCTTGACTTTTTAATAATTGCCATTCTGACTGGAATGAGATGGTATCTTATTGTGGTTTTGAATTGGATTTCTCTAATGTTCAGTCATGTGATTTTTTTCATGTTTTTTGGCCACAAGAATGTCCTCCTTTGAGAACTGTCTGTTAATGCCTCTTGCCCAATTTTTAATGAGGTTGTTTGGTTTGTTTTTTTCTCATAAACTTGTTTTAATTCATTGCAGATTCTGGATATTGGACCTCTCACAGAGAGATAAATTGCAATTTTTTTTTCTAATTCTACAGGTTGTCTGTTCACTTTGATGATAGTTTCTTTTGCTGTGCAGATGCTCTTTAATTAGTTTCCATTTGTCAATTTTTGCTTTTGTTGCAACTGCTTTTGGCATTTTCATCATAAAATCTTTGCTTGTGCCTATGTCCTTAATGGTATTGTCTAGATTTTTTTTTCTAGCATTTTTATAGTTTTGAGTTTTACATTTAAGTTTTAGTTCATCTTGAGTTAATTTTTGTTTAAAGATAAGAAAGGGGTCCAGTTTCAATTCTCTTCATATGGCTAGCAAGTTCTCCCAGCATCATTTATTAAGTAAAATATCTTCTCCCCATTGCTTGTTTTGTCATATTTGTCATAGATCAAATGGTTGTTAAGTGTGCAGTCTTGTTTATGAGTTCTCTATTCTGTTCCATTATCTATGTGTCTGTTTTTGTAACAGTACCATGCTGTTTTGGTTACTGTAGCCTTGTAGTATAGTTTAAAGTCAGGTAGTGTGATGTCTTCATCTTTTTTTGTTTTGTTTGTTTGTTTTTTCTTAGGATTGTCTTGGCTATAGGGCTCTTTTTTGTTTCCATATGAATTTTAAAATAGTTTTTTTTTCTTATTCTGTGAAGAATGTCAGCGGTAGTTTAATAACAATAACATTGAATCTATAAATTACCTTGGGCAGTATGACCATTTTCACGACATTTATTCTTCCTGTCCATGAGCATGGAATATTTTTTCATTTGTTTTTGTCCTCTCTGATTTCTTTGAGCAGCAGTTTGTAGTTCTTCTTGAAGATGTCCTTCACTTCCCTTGTTAGCTGTATTCCTAGATATTTTATTCTCTTTGTAGCAATTGAGAATAGGAGTTCATTCATGATTTGGCTCTCTGCTTGCCTGTTCTTGGTGTATAGGAATGCTAGCGATTTTTGCAGATCAATTTTGTATACTGAAACTTTGCTGAAGTTGCTTATCAGCTTAAGAAGCTTTTGGGCTGAAACAATGGGGTCTTGTAGATATAGGATCATGTCATCTGCAAACAAAGATAATTTGACTTCCTCTCTTGCTATTTGAATACTCTTTATTTCTTTCTCTTGCCTGATTGCCCTGGCCAGAACTTCCAATACTATGTTAAATAGAAGTGATCAGAGAGGGCATTCTTATCTCGTGCTTATTTTCAAGGGGTGAATGCTCCCAGCTTTTTCCCATTCAGTATAATATTGGCTGTGGGTTTTCATATATGGCTCTTATTATTTTGAGGTATGCTCCTTTAATACTGAGTTTATTAAGAGTTTTTATACTAAAGGGAATCTGAATTTCATCAAAGTTTTTTTGTGTTTATTGGGATAATCATGTTGTTTTTGTCTTTAGTTTTGTTTATGGAATGAACTACATGTATTGATTTGTATATGTTGAACCAATCTTGCATCTCAGGAATGAACCTTACTTAATCATTGTGGGTACGCTTTTTGATGTGCTGCTGGATTCTGTTTGCCAGTATTTTATTGAGGGTCTTTGCATCAATATTCCTTGGGGATATTGGCCTGAAGTTTGCTGTTGTTGTTTGTTTTTTTGTATTTCTAACAAGTTTTTATATCCAGATGATGCTGGCCTCAGAAAATGGGTTTAGGAGAAGTTCCTCCTTTTCCATTGTTCGGAATGGTTTCTGAAGAAATGGTAGCAGCTCCTCTTTGTACCTCTGGTAGAATTTAGCAGTAAATCTGTCTAGACCTGGGCTTTATTTGGTTGGTAAGCTATTTATTACTGCCTCAATTTCAGAACTTATTATCAGTCTATTCAGGGATTCAATTTCTTCCTGGTTCAGTCTTGAGAAGGTATATGCATCCAGGAATGTATCCATTTCTTTTTGATTTTCTAGTTTATGTGCATAGAGGTATTTATAGTATTCTCTGATGATTGTATTTCTGTGGGATCAGTGGTGATATTCTTCTTATCATTTCTGATTCTATTTGATTATTCTCCTTTTTCTTTATTAGTCTAGCTAGTGGTCTATGTATTTTATTAATTTTTTCAAAGCCAAAAAAAAAAAAAAAGCCCAGGTCCTGGATTTGTTTATTTTTTGAAGGGTTTTTGTGTTTCTATCTCCTTCAGTTCTACTCTGATCTTTGTTATTTCTTGCCTTCTGCTAGCTTTGGTGTTTGTTTGCTTTTGGTTCTCTAGTTCTTTTAGTTGTGATGTCACATTGCCAATTTGAAATCTTCCTAGCCTTTCGATGTGGGCAGTTAGTGTTATAAATTTCCCTCTTAGCACCACTTTAGCTGTGTCTCAGAGATTCTGGCATGTTGTCCTTTTGTTCTCATTAGTTTCACAGAACTTCTTGATTTCTGCCTTAATTTCATTATTTACACAGGAGTCATTCAGGAGCAGATTGTTCAATTTACATGTAGTTGTGTGTGTTTGAGTGGGTTTCTTAACGTTGAGTTGTAAGAGAGTCTGAGAGACTGTTTATTATTATTTCAGTTCCTTTGCATTTTCTGAGGAGTGTTTTACTTCCAATTACGTGATAAATTTTAGAGTAAGTGTATATCTCTTGTTTTGGGGTAGATAGGTTTGTAGATATCTATGAGGTCCACTTGTTCCAGAGCTGAGTTCAGTTCCTAAATATCTTTGTTAATTTTCAGTCTCAATTATGTAATATTGTCAGTGGGGTTTTAAACTCTCCCACTATTATTCTGTGGGAGTCTAACTCTCTTTGTAGGTCTCTAAGAACTTGCTTTCCGAATCTGGATACTCCTGTATTGGGTCCATATTTATTTAGGATAGTTAGTACTTTTTCTTGAATTGAACCCTTTACCACTGTGTAATGCCGTTCTTTGTCTTTTTTGATCTTTTTTGGTTTGAATAAGCCTTAACTGTTTATTCAGCTTTCTATTCTAGGGCATTTAGTCCATTTACATTTAAGGTTAATATTAATGTGTGTGAATTTGATCCCATCTTCATGATGCTAGCCAGTTATTTTGCAGATTTTTATGTAATTGTTTCATAGTGTTACTGGCCTTTATACTTTATTGTGTTTTTGTAGTGGCTGGTAATGGTCTTTTCTTTCCATATTTAGTTCTTCCTTCAGAAGCTCTTGCAAGGCAGGCCTAGTAGTGACAAATTTTCATAGCATTTGGTTGTCTGAAAAGGATCTTCTTTCTCCCTCACTTATGAAGCTTAGTTTGGCTGGATATGAAACTCTGGGTTGGAAATTCTTTTCTCTAAGAATGAATAATTATATTGGCCCCCAATCTTTTCTGGCTTGTAGGGTTTCCACTGAGAGGTCCACTGTTAGTGTAATGGATGATCTGGTCTTTCTCTCTGGCTGTCCTTAACATTATTTCTTTCATGTCAACCTTGGAGTATCTAGTGATTATGTTTCTTGGGGTTAGTTTTTTATGGAGTATCTTACTGGTGTTCTCTGAATTTCCTGAATTTAAATGTTAGCCTGTCTTTCTAGGTTTGGGAAGTTCTCCTGGATGATATCCTGAAATATATTTTCCAACTTAGTTCCTTTCTCCCTGTTTCTTTCAGGTATGCCAATCAGTTGTAGGTTTGGTCTTTTTACATAATACCATATTTCTGAGAAGTTTTGTTTGTTTCTTTTTATTCTTTTTTTCTCTGTTCTTATCTGCTTGTCTTATTTTGGAGAGATAGTGTTCAAGCACTGAGATTATTATCTCCATTTGATCTATTTGGCTATTGATACTTGTGATTGCATTGTGAAGTTCTTGTGTTGTGTTTTTTAGCTCTATAATGTCATTTATGTTCCTCTCTAAACTGGCTATTCTGTTTATCATCTCTTATAATGTGTTATTATGATTCTTAGCTTTTTTGCATTGGGTTAGAACATGCTCCTTTAGCTCAACAAAGTTTGTTATTACCCACCTTCTGAAGCCTACTTCTGTCAATTCAGCCATCTCAGCCTCAGCCCAGTTCTTTGCCCTTGCACGAGTGAGATTATTTAGAGGAGAAGAGGCACTCTGGTTTTTGAGTTTTTGGTGTTTTTGCATTGATTCTTTCTTTTATCTTTGTGGGCTTATCTACTTTTGATCTTTGAGGTTGCTGACCTTTGAATGGGTTTTTTGTGGGGTCTTTTTTGTTGATGTTGTTGTTGCTTTCTGTTTCTTTGTTTTTCTTTTAACAATCATGCCCCTCCTCCATAGGGCTGCTTGAGTTTGGTGGGGGTATACTCCAAACCCTAATCACCTGGGTCCATCCTGCACCTGGAGGTGTCATCAGCAAAGGCTGCAAAACAATAAAGATAGCAGCCTGCTGCTACTTTTGGGAGCTCTGTCCTAGAGGGGCACTGAGCTGATGCCAGCCCAAATGTTCCTGTAGGAGATTTCTGGAGACTTCTCTTGAGAGGTTGCACCTAGTCAGAAGGAATGGGGTTAGTGATCCACTTAAAGAAGTAGTTGGGTTGCCCCTTGGCGGAGTGGATGCATTGCGTTGGTGGGAACCTTCCTTGTCTAGACCACCCAGACTCTCCAGAGCCAGCAGGCAGGAAAAGATAAGTGGGGTGAACTTCAGAGACTGCAGCAGTCCCTCCCGCCAGGGTCTCTGTCCCAGGAAGATCAAAGTTCTCTTTGTAACTGACTGGAGTTGCCGAAATTCCTGCAAGGAGGCCTCATCCGGTGAGGAGGAATGCATTGTGTTTCCACTTAAAGAAGCAGTCTTGCCATGATATGCCACAGCAGTGGAGCTGCACTGTAGGAATTTCCTCTCTGTCTGAACTGCGCAGACTCTCCAGAACCAGCAGACCAGGACAGCTAACTTGAGCCAAAGAATGGCGACCACTTTTTCCCTATGGGAAATCAGTTGTCTCAGGCAGTCTCCAGCCTGCTGCTGCTGTGCTGCTGGCTGGCTGGAATTCCAAGTCAGGGGTTGTTAACATGTGAGTTGGTTCTGCTGAATGACGTTGCTTGACTCCCTGGCTTCAACTCCTTTCCTAGGGGAATGGATGGATCTCTTGCCTCACCGGAATTCCCAGGGCCAAAGTATGCAAAAACACCTGTGTCTCCATGCATGCCCAAGCAGCCATGGAGAGTCTGCATGCCTCTGTGATTTGAACCCAAGGCCCTGGTGGCATGGGCTCATGAGGGGATCTCCTGATCTGTGGATTGCAAAGATCCATGGGAAAAGCTTGGCTTGCCAGGTGGGGTTGCTGCCTCCCTTGGCTGCCTCCCTTGCTCTAGGTGGGAGCTCTCCTCACTCCATGCTATTCCTGAGTGGGCTGTCACTCCAATCTACTTTTCCTCACTCTCCATATGTCTCACTGACTGCTTAGTCAGTCCCAGTGTGAGAAACTGGATACCTCATTTGAAGGTGTATATTTCACTCAGTGTTTTTGTACTTCTCTGTGAGAGGTGCAGACCAGAGCGGCTTCTAATCAGCCATCTTGGTCTGCCCCAACAAGTTGTTCATGACAAGTGCAGATGTATAGCCAAGGAGCAGCAGGAAGAGAGTGTCAGTGAATAGAAAATTACTGAAAGGAAACATCAAGGGTAGGGAGATAGATGGTTGTTAAACCAACCTAATAGGATTCTTGTTAAAGACAGGCCAAAGAATTAGACAAAATGAGGGAATGCAGAATGTTATTATATATCAAAAGGGTGCGGATTCTCACTAAACTAACTAAGCAAGATCCTTTCTAAGACTGGGGTAAGCAGGCAAAGGCAGGATGAGGGCCAGGGCCAAGGGCTGGTCAAGAAGAGTGCCCCAAGGAGTCTGAATATAGTTTGGTGAAGTACAGTCTTTGTCAAAGCCCAGTATTGTCTCACACTATTTAACAACATTGTCGTCAACAATAGTTCACATGTGTAATGGTGGTCCCATAAGATTCTAATGGATGTGTCACTATTGCCTAGTGATATAGCCATTTTAATATTATACCATGAGGCATTACACATATGTGAGGCTGATATAAACAAACACATTGATCTATCAGTTTTATAAAAGTATAGCACATACCATTTTGTACAGTACATAATACTTGATAATAATAAACAACAATCTTATGAGTTTATATATTACTATATTATACATTTTATTTTTTATACTGTAGTTTTTACTTATTTTAAAAAGTTAACTGTAAATAGTCTCAGGCAAGTTCTTCAGAAGGTACACCAGAAGAAAGTGTAGGAGATGACAGCTCCATGCATGTAATTACCCCTAAGTATTATTTATTGGACAGATGTGGAGGTGAGAGATAGTAGTATAATTCTGACCCTATGTAGACACATGCTAGGTGTGTATTTTAACAAAAATGTTTAAAAATAAAAAAAAATAAATTAAAAAATTTTGAAAAGCTTCTAGAATAAGGATAAAAAGAAATAAAATGTTTTGTATAGCTATAAAGTTTGTGTTTTAAATTATTACAAAAGAGTCAAAAAGCACTCAATATTTAAAAAAAGTTTTTTAAAGTAAAAATGTTACAGTAATCTAAGGTTAATACATTACTGAAGAAATAAAGATTGAGTGTGGTGGATCACTCTTGTAATCCCAATACTTTGAAAGGCTGAGGCTGTGAGCCCCAATGGTGCTACTGCACTCCAGCCTGGATGACAGAATAAGAACTTGCCTCAAAAAAAGAATCCACAAAAATAAGAAATAAATATACTCATATAAATTTATCATACCCTAAATGTAAAGTTTACAGTAGTGTACAGCAAAGGTCCCCAACCACTGGGCCATGGGCCAGTAGTGGCCTATGGCCTGATAGGAACAGGGCTGCACAACATAAGGTGGGTGGCAGGTGAGTGAGTATTACCACCAGAATTCAGCCTTCTGTTAGATGAGTGGTGACATTAGATTCTCATTGTGAATTGCACAAGAAAGAGATCTAGGCTGCATGCTCCTTATGAAAATCTAATAACTGAAAATCTGAGATGAAACAGTTTTGCCTCAAAACCATACCCTGTACCAACAGTCCATGGAAAATATTGTCTTCCATGAAATTGGTCCCTGGTGCCTAAAAATGTTGGGGACTGCTGGTGTATAATAACGTCCTTGACTGTTTTATTGGCTTGTTTTTTTAATTTACTCACAACTCACTCACTGCTTCACCCACAGCAACTTCCAGTTCTGCAAGTTTTATTCATGGTAGGTGCCTTATTTAGTTGGACTATTTTTAATCTTTTATACTGTATTTTTACTGTAACATTTCTATATTTAGATACACAAATGCCATTTTGTTATAATTGTTACATGCTGTACAGATTTGTAGCCTAGGAACAATAGGCTCTACTATATAGCCAAGCTGTGTAGTAAGCTATGCCATCTAGGTTTCTGTGAGTACACTTTACGATGTTTGTAAAATGATGAAATAATCTAATCACAAAATGTAAATTTTAGTTCTATTACATATTCACTTTATATTTTATGTTTAGACAAAAGTGCAAACAATATATTTAAACACATATCCAAAATCTGATAAAACTCATTTGGAGGCAGGGTACGATGGCTCACGCCTGTAATCCCAGCACTTTGGGAGGCCGAAGTGGGCGGATCATGAGATCAAGAGATTGAGACCATCATGGCCAACATAGTGAAACCCCGTCTCTACTAAAAATACAAAAATTATCTGGGTGTGGTGGCATGCGCCTGTAATCCCAGCTACTCAGGAGACTGAGGCAAGAGAATCGCTTGAACCTGGGAGACTGAGGTTGCAGTGAGCCGAGATTGCACCACTACACTCTAGCCCGGTGACAGAGTGAGACTCCGTCTCAAAAAAAAAAAAATTCATTTGGAGTTAGTGCTTTACAATAAGAAATTGCTAAATTTCATACAGAAATAAATTATTTAAATTATATTATTATAATTTATAACATTTAAAAAGTTTATTTTAATCATGGGTATATTTTTAAAATTCTCAAATGTTACATTCAGTGAGAAATTGAGATAGGTTTCTCATTTTTATGAAGGTAATTATATCTTCCCTTGATTATTTTATTTTTAATTACAGAATAGGATTTGATGTGTTTCTATTTTTATAATTGGAACATTTAGTTTGTTAAAAAGTTGTGTTGAAAATTAGCATAGGGTTTTTTCTATCATTATTTTTAATAAAATATAGTTAACTTGCATTTTTACTTCAGGCTTCAATTAGGCACCTATTATAATACCCTTTATCTACCAGGGAATTCTACTAAAATATCCCTAGGAAGTTTCATTAAGATTACTCATTTTAAATGAATAGGGTTTATATTTAAAGATGGTAATACATATTGCGTAACCAATATCTTTATTTTCCAACCTCATCCCCTAATATACAGAAAGTCTTGCACACACCCAATAATTGTCTTGTATGCTTTCGTATTTTCTAAGACAGCTGGAAATATCTTTAGCCCTGCTTATGCAGAATGGGTGTACGTAGTGAGATCAGTTTTAAAAAAATCTCAAGGAGTCTCCTGCCTTTCACATCACTCATTATGTTGCACTTGTCCTTTCCATAAATATTAATATCTCTATCTGTATCTATATCGTCAATTCAAATGTTTCTGTTTCATCAGATTTTAAAATTTACAGATATTACTACCATTTAGGTAATAGTAACACAGTTCATTTAAATTGTTTCTTGAATAGTTCACATAAATTGAACTATTATTAAGACGCTACTTACCAAGCGAGTCTCTATATGAATGGCTGTTGAGGGAAACCAACACTAATATACATTGCTGATCCACTCTGCCATCTTCATCTGAGAGCATACTTTGTGAAATTTCTATTGCTTTTTATACATTTCAGGGTTTCTCTTATGGCCCAGAATGTGATCTATCTTAGTGAACATCCACATGAGCTTGAGATAAATGTGAATTATGCTATTGCAGGATGGAATAGTCTGTATTTTATAACTGTCAATTACATCAAGTTCATTGATTGTGTTTTTGTGGTCAATTTCATCCTCACTGGTTTTATGCCTGCTTGATCTACTAGCCACTGAAAGAGGGGTGTTTAATTATCTACTGTGTAATAGTAAACTTGACTATTTCTCCTCTTAGTTGTACCAAATCCTGGCTCATATATATATCCTTTGTCATATGCATACACATTTAAGACTTTTATGTCTTCTTGGAGAATTGTTCCAGTCATTATCATGTAGTGTCATTTTTTTATCCCAAATAACTTTTATTGTTTTGAATTTCACTTTGTCTGAACTTACTACCCTAGGTTGTTAATTTTTGGTTTTGTTTTTGGTTAAAGTTAACATTATATATCTTTATACATTCCTTTACTTTGAACCATTTAGAGTTTTTACATGTCGAGTGCCATTTAAGAGAATATATATACTTGCATCTTCTTCCATTATTATAATTCATTCTGACATTGCCTATCTTATAAATGGTATGTATAGACCATTCATAATAGCATGATTTGATTATTGAGATATAAGAATGAATATCTACCATTAGTGTAACTATTTTCTTTTTTTTTGGAGACGGAGTCTTCCTCTGTTGGCCAGGCTGGAGTGCAATAGTGTGACCTCAGCTCACTGCAACCTCTGCCTCCCGGGTTCAAGTGATTCTCCTGCCTCAGCCTCCCGAGTAGCTTGGATTATAGGCACGTGCCAGCACACCTGGCTAATTTTTGTATTTTTAGTAGAGATGGGGTTTCACCATGTTGGCCAGGCTGGTCTCAAACTCCTGACTGCAGGTGATCTGCCTGCCTCGGCCTCCCAAAGTGCTAGGATTACAGGCTTGAGCCACTGCACGTGGCCCCGTGTGTTTAACTATTTTCTATGCATTGCATTATTAACTGTTCTATTTCTTCTGTTGCTTTTGTCTTCTCTAATTTTAACTGAGAAATATATATAATTTTATATTTTATGTCTGACAATATCAAAGTCTATGTCATATTGGAATATGATTATGATGAGAGGTTTGTTTCTTCAGACTGTCTTCTCTGACTTTAAACATCTTCTATGATTTTTTTGTTTGAAAGTTGAACATAATATTAATATATATGAAAATAACTGAGATAAATAGGTTTCAGTGTGTTATTTTATGTACATTTTAACAGGAGTTATTAATGTTTGTGGATAATTGTAGCTGTGTGTGCTAGAGGCTTCAAACCCTCTACTGTCTTTGTTTTATCCTCCCCTGTTTTTGATATAGTTTGGATGTTTTGTTCCTTCCAAATCTCATTATAAACCTCTTTTTTATAGATTACCCAGTGTTGGGTATTCTTTCATAGCAACACAAATGGGTTAACACAGAAAGTTGGTACCAAGAGGTGGGGTATTTCTACAAAGTTACTTGAAGATGTAGAAGCAGCTTTGGAACTGGGAAATGGACAGAGGTTGGAAGAGTTTGGAAATATCAGAAGAAGACAAGAAAAAAAGAGTAAATTGGAGTTCCTTTGACACTTGTTAAGATGCTTTGATAAAAAATTTGATCAAAATATGGACAATAAAGGCCAGGCTAAGGAGATCTCAGTTAGGACATAAGAAACCTATTGGGAACTGAAACTAAGGTCACCCTGTTACTCCTTAGCAATGACATTGGCTGAATTGTGATTGGGTCCTAGGGATCTGTGAAAGTTTGAACTTAAAAGTGATGACTTATGGTATCTGAGGAAATACATTTCTAAATGGCAAAGTATTCAATAATTGGCCTGGCTGCTTCTAATAGCCTAGTATCAGATACAGGAGCAAATTAATGACAAAGTTGGAAATTATAATGAAAAGAGAAGTAGAGTTTAAAAGTTTGAAAAATTTGCAGCCTAACCATGTGGGAGAGAAGAAAAAAGCATTTTCAGAAGAGAAATATAATCAGAATATGGAGAAACCTCCTGCTAAAGAGATTAATATGACTAAAAGGGTGCCAAGTGCTAATGGCCAAGACAATGGAAAAAAGTCTCAAAGGTATTTCCAAAGTCACTGGGACAGTCCCTCTTATCACTGACTCAGAAGCCTGAGAAGAAAGAATAGTTTGGGCACCCAAGCCTAGGGTTTCACTGCCCTTCACAGCCTTGGGACACTATTTCCTGCATCCCAGCTGCTCTAGCTCTAGCTCCATTCATGACTCAAATGTCCCCAAGTACAACTCCAGCTGCTGCTTCAGAGGATGCACGCAGTAAGTCTTGGCAGCTTCCATAAGATGCTAAGTCTGCAGGCATGTAGAATGCAAGAGTAAAGGAGACTTGGCAGCTTCCACCTAAATTTCAAAGGATGCATGAGAAAGCCTAGGTGCCCAGGCAAAGGACTGCCACAGAGGCGGAGTCCTTGAAAACAGACTCTCATAGGGCAATGTGAAGGGGAAAAGGTGGCTGGAGTCCCCACACAGAGTTTCTACTTGGGTACTGCCTGGTGAGGCAGTGGGAAAAGGGCTACTGCCCTACGGGCCTGAGAAAGCTATAGCCACTGGCCGCTTGCACTCTGAGTGTGGAAGAGCCACAGGCACACAACTCTAACCCACGAAAGCAGCCTTGCAGGCTCCCCCTGCAATGCCACAGAGGCAGAGCTGCCCAAGGCCTTGGGAGCCCACCCCTAGCCCCAGTGTGCCCTGGATGTGGGACACGGAGTCAAAGGAGATTATCTTGGATCTTTAGGATTTAATGACTGCTCTGCTTGGTTTCAGACTTGTGTGGGGAATTTTGCCCCTTTCTTTTGTCTGATTTCTCCCTTTTGGAATGGGACGGTCTACTTATGCCTATACCAGCATTTTATATTTGAAATAAATAACTTCTTGATCTTACAGGCTTGTAGGTGGAAGGGACTCGCCTTGAGTCTCAGATGAGATTTTGGACTTATGAGTCAATGCTAGAATGAGTTAAGACTTTGGGGACTATGGGGAAGAGATGATTATATTTCACAATGAAAGGAGGACATGAGATTTGTGGGGCCAGGGGTGGAATGATATTGTTTGGATGTTCTGTTCCTTTCAGGCCGTATTTTGAAATGTGATCTCCAATGTTGCATGGGAGACATGGTGGGAGGTGTTTGGGTCATGAGGGCAGATTCCTCATGAATGTCTTGGCCTCATTGTCATGGTAATGAGTGAACTCTCACTCTAAGAGTTCACATGAGATCTGATTGTTTAAAAGAGCCTAGAACTTACTGCTTGCTCTCTTGCTTCATCTCTCACCATGTGATGTGCTGGCTCCTCTTCCCTATGGCCATGACTAAAAGCTTCCTGGGTCTTACCAGAAGCCAAGAAGATGGTGGTAGCATGCTTGTACAGCCTGCAGAATCATGAGCCAAATAAGCTTTTCTTTATAAATTACCTCATTTCAGATACTATTTTATAGCAATGTAAGTGGACTGATATAATTGTTGTTGGGTTTCCCTAAGAGCTCCTTTTCAAGTATAGCCTGTATTTTAAGCTTTGACAGCTATAATGCAGTTTATTATAATAGAGCCCTGTTAGTGTTTTGGTAAGGGGTGTGGGAAGGGGAATATTCTATAATGTTATGATTAACTTTCTATATTTATTTGCACTTGTGTCTAAGCTAATATTTTCACAAGTTTTTTTTCCTTCTTCTCTTAGATGAGAAAATAAAGATACAGGGAGCTAGATTCAGAGAAACATCCTTAGCCCATATTTGATAAGATTAAGTCTTTTACCATGCAAAGTTGACTCTGTTAATGGAGAACTCTCAGGTACATTTTAACATGGGTATATTTTTCTTATTGTTTTCCAGAGCCACTGGGAAATTATTCTTGGCTCTTCACAGTGAGAATCTTGTGGGATTGCTAAAGGATACATGCGTAAATGTGTGCCCCCCTCCCCCCAAGACTGAAGTCACCTGTAGTTTCTCACTTTCAATGCAGTCCACAAGAAGTCTGTAGAAACTTATCAGAATTACCATTTAAGTATTCCACCCAGTTTATGCCTCTAGCTGACAGAACTTCTGCTTCAGGTAAGACCTTGGCCGTTACTCTTGATTTGCCTGTGTGTCCAGGTTTCATAAGGGTGGTTTACCCTACAAGCTCTGTTATCTAATGGGTACGAAAAATATGTTGATCTTCAGTTTGTTCTAATATTAGTTTTTGTAATGATGGAAGTGACAAGTTTCAAGTTGTTTATATATTGAAGCTGAAATGAAACTCCAAGTATGTGAGTTATAATTTGGAATTTATAGGAATCTGTCAAAACTAGCAAGACATAAAAGAAGACACAACAATACAACCAAAACCAAATAAAAAGAGAGGAAATAAAAGCTACAGTAGATCTAAATAACTAGATTCATTCGTCATGGACTTTCAAATAACTATGTTTTATATAATGAGAACATTGAAATAAATGATTGATAATTTTTTTTGAGTAGCTGAGCTGACATTTAATGGAAAACAGGAAACAATAATAAAGAAAAAAACAAATTATAGAAGTGAAAAAAATAATAGGGTAAATTACTCAACTGATTGGTTTAGCACTAGTTTAACTCATGAAACTCTGAACTGAAGAAAAAGTCAAAAAAATATGCAGAATGACACATGAAAATAAGAAATGTTGAAAAACATAAAAGCATTTTAGTAAAGTATTTTTATGGTGAAAAAGCTTGCATATGTGCATTTTAAGTCTCAAAAAATGATGAGAACTAATAAAGGCAAAAGCATTAAATAAATAAATAATTGCTGAGTGATTTTGAATTTTAAAAATTAATACAAATTAATCCACAGATTCAAGAAGAGTCACAATTCCCAAACAAGTACATACCATTGTCTCATAACAGGAAAAAGTACTGAAAATCAAAGACGAAAATATCTTAAAGCAGTCTGAGAGATAAAGGAGAGATTATGTTTTAAAAGATTAACAGTAAAACTGACTTTTACTTCTTACAAAAAAAAAAAACTAACAAAACAGAATAAGCCAGAAGACAATTAGTTTATATATTTAATTTCTAAAGATTACAAGTGCAATGTAACAATTTAAAATACATTTCATGGCATATGCTGTATTTTCCTTGTTTGCAATCACAGAAAAGCATTATTTTAATTCACCTAAAAATCATTAAAATATTTATTACAGGATCAAATAAAGAGAAGATGAATATATAGACAATTATTTGTAATTTTGATTCTGCATTTTCAAACATAAAGCTATCCTCAGCAAGCTCATTCCCACCCACTTTAATTTTCACCTGTTGTAACAGGATAGTATTTAAGGTAACATTGAATTTATTGGATCTACTATTAAATGGAGTATAATTGGCCAGGCGCGGTGGCTCATGCCTGTAATCCCAGCACTTTGGGAGGCCGAGGCGGTCGGATCACGAGCTCAGGAGATTGAGACCATCCCGGCTAACACGGTGAAACCCCATCTCTACTACAAATACAAAAAAAATTAGCCAGGCGTGGTGATGGGCCCCTGTAGTCCCAGTTACTCGGGAGGCTGACACAGGAGAATGGTGTGAACCCGGGAGGCGGAGCTTGCAGTGAATCAAGATTGCGCCACTGAACTCCAGCCTGGGTGACAGAGCGAGACTCCGTCTACAAAAAATAAATAAATAAAAAAGAAGTATAATATCCCCTTAAAATAGATTAAAAGTATACACACACACACACACACACACACACACACACATATATATGTATACATATATACATATCTATGTAAGTATATATATACACACACAGGCACACAGTTTAAATGTGTATATATATATATTTGTGTATATCTAATGTATATATATTTTAAGGTAAATTGTGACAAAATGAAAAGTAAACTATAATTTTATGTTGCATTATTTAATTAGAAACAGCTGTTTGAAGTTTACTGAAAAGCTAATAAGCCTGAAGTTTTGGGAGACACTTAGAATACATTGATTAGTTATGAGAAGCTAGGAAATTGCTGTTTTAGTATCCATGATTTTAACATTTTGCTTATTTTGCAGGACCTTTAATTACGCAACACAACGTCTCACAGTATTATAAAATTATCCTAAGATTACAAAGTTGTTTACTTTTAAAGGACAATTAAAACTTTATACAGTTGATGATTATAGCGTCTCTCTTAAGAAAATTGTGGATTCAGTAAGATATGGAAGAGATCTCATGGCTCTGAGAGCCAGAGTGAGATAGTTAGCACAAGCAACCTCCGAAGTTGCAGCTTCATATTTACCCAGAGTAAGACTGTACTATAGAAAATATTATCCTGAAATATACATACTATTTTCTTGTACTGAAAAGGACAAATAATTCAAAAGTTTTAGATAATTAAATTAAGGAAAGATGACTTATCGAAAGACTTCAGGGTCTGTGTAGCTCCCTCTACACTTCCATTTAATTGCGTTTTCCTTTACTTCCTGAAATTGTTTTAATTCCTTGGATAGCCTTGGATACCCTAGTATATCTGGAGTTAGGGTAATTAATCCCTTTACTTGAATGACGCAGAGAGGTTTAGACAAATATAGATAAAGTGGAAAACTTGTTTTAAATATCTTTTCAATAATAAATAATTAAATGTCTGTTAAAGTAAATTTTGAGGCCAACACACTTATTGCTGTCTTCAACAGCCTCTCTCTCAGTCTCCTGAATCTTAATGCTGCTTTCATCATTTTGCATGTAATCTGACTAAAGACTCAAAAGTTTGCACGGAAACACCTTTCAACAGATGCAATGACCTTTTACTCTGCCTAGAATAGTGAATCTCAAAGCATGACCAACTTATCACCTGCTTCAGGATGTTTGTTTAAATTCCTTGAAGAAAGATGCAGAAATCTGTACTTATGGAATCTTTTAGGGTAGGTATTAAGCATACTAAGAATTTAGAGCCTTTGGTCTCAAATAACCCATTTATTTTTTCCATTTTCCTATAGGTACCAAAGACTTGAACTTAAAACCATAGCCTGGATCTTTCTCTTTGTCAATCTTGATGATCACAAATATTCATGAATCCTCACGTCACAAGAAAAAAAAGTTTTGAATTGTTCTCATCACCTTGATGCTTATATTTATGGTGTTTGAAGTTACCACTTCATATAAATGTGCCATGGGAAATTATTATCATTCTTTAATTTACCCTTTAGTTTTTGTTTTGGTTATCCTAGTAAGCATTATCATATTGCTGTGGGTTTGAAACTATCATATTTCTATGGGTTTATGTGATTGGGATTTCAATATAATATTTTCATTTATATATTTCTGTTGGAGAGAGTTGGCCCAGTTACTCATAAATTTAGCTGCTGTCTGGAAACATTTTCTGAAAAGAATGAATTAAAAGAAACTAGAGTTGAGTCTTGAACAATGTGGGTGTGAGGAGCACCAAAATCCTGTGTAGCTGAAAACTTGCATACAATTTTTGAGTTTTAAGAAGTTTAATTACTAACAGCCTACTGTTAAGTAGAAGGCTTACCAACATCATAAACAGTCAATTAACACATATTTTATGTGTTTTATTAATATGTATTGTATATTGTATTCTTACAATAAAATAAGCTAGGGAAAAGAAAATGTTATTAATCATAAGAGAGAAAATATATTTACTATTTACTGTGTGGAAGTAGATCATTGTAAAGGTGTTTATCATCATAATTTTTATCTTCACATTGAGTAGGGAGAGGATGGGGAGGGACGAGGGGAAAGCATTGGTATTGTCTTTGGGGGGCAGAAGTGGAAGAAGTGGAGGAGGTGGGAGGGGAAGCAGTAGAGGCAGGTACACATAATGTAACTTTATGCAAAAATATCAACATTCCTGTCTGAATTTTGCTTTTTCATGTCTCTAAAAATATTTCTATAAGGTATCAATCCTTCTACTGTTTGCATTATTGCCATCAAAAGTAGTCTTGAGTAAACATCAAAAGGAGTCTTGAATAGACATCAAAAGGAGTCTTGAATAATCAGAACTCTTCTGCCAGATTGTCTAATGTTAATTAGTTTCCATTTGTTTTCTGGAAATTGCTTCTTCTACATCTTCTTCCTTATTGTCTGGCACTGGTTCAGAAGTACTCATCTCCATCAAGTTAAATCCTGGTGCTTGCTTCTCTTCCTTACTAATAAGCGTCTTTTGTAGCCTTTTTGCTGTTGTGGTGGTAGTGGTTATTGTTGCAGAGTAGAGCACTTTAATCTGTATTAAAGATACCTGTTCAGGTAGATATCTTTTCTCTTCAATAATTTTCTTAATTGTGTCTGGAAACTCGTCTGCTCCCTCTTGGTTGGTAGAAGCTGCTTCTTTATCTTGACTTTTTTTTTTTTAAGGCAAACCTTTTTCTGAAATTATCAAACCATCCTTTGCTGTCATTAAACTCTCCAGCTTTAGATCTTTCACTTTTCTTTTGCTTTAAGTTGTCGTGTAATTATTAATAATTGCTTTTTCTCAAATCATAGTAAAGTCTATAGGTATGCCTTTCTTACCACAATCCTGAACCCACATAAAAGCTGCATTTTTGATACAAGATAAAAAGGCATTTACAAGAAGTGCCAGGTTTCTATGCATTGTAGCACAGCTATAGCAACAGATTTACAAATTTTCTTTTCTTTTTAGTTATAGCCCTTATATTGGACTCATTTATTTTGAAATGGTGAGCAAGTACAGCTACAGACCTCAATCTACAGTATGTATCAAATAATTCTATTTTTTTTCTGGTAATATTATGACTTTTCTCTGCTTCCTTGAAGCACTTTCATCCCACTAGTGGTACTTCATATGGGTTCCATGGTGTTATCTGAAGTTTATAGTACTGCAGTAAAAATAATGAAAAATACTCAAGAACTATGAGAGGTCCCTTTTTACTGTGATACACAATTTGCTAGGGAGAGGGATTTCTCAAGCAGAGATGATTAGTGTCAAAGAGTGTTTTAAGCAGATACTTGCAACACTTGAGCTCACTGCAATAGCAACAGGAGGTATCTACAAAAGTATTGCAGCACAGTACAGTATGTAGCATAGTTAATTTTATACGGTTATGACTGAATATTGGCTCAAGGTTTGTTTACATTTCTGTAGACTGTAAGTGGCTCCCTGTATAGTCTATAATTGTGTGGGTGAGTTTTGATTAGCTTTTTATGATAGATTTGTGTATATTTTATGGTAGTAAAAAATAGACTAGTATCTTTAAATATTTTATGTATTCCTGTCATACCTCCATTTTTCTTATTTAAAAATATTTCTAGACAACACAGTTCATCTGCAAGTTTTTCAAATTTTTGCTAATCTCCAAAAACTTTTCCAATATATTTATTTGAAAAAAATACATGTACGTGTGGACCTAACCATGTTTTTCAAGGGCCAACTATACTGACTTATCTAACTTTCTTTATATTCCATTTTTTTTTTGCTCATAATTCTGTGTCCTATTCAAAATATTGTTCTTCATAAATACTGAAAGTGGATAAGACCAATTCTGAATACATCACAACCTCTAAATGTCTAAAACAGTGTCTAAATAAGACACTGTTTGCTACTGCTCTGATGGGTTAATTTTAAGCTATTTCAGTGCCTTGGTTGCCCAGTCCAAATATCTCCCACACTCACTGGTCCTGATTTCTATCTTTCCAGCAAACCTCTTGGTTGAGATGGCAATCTTTTTGACAATCTCTCACAGAGAGATTAAATTTAGAAAGCCAGATTCCCAAATAGTTGTACAATACATATCTTTGTTTAGAAATACAGAGTTCCAGTGTTATGCACATACACCCCCCACCACACACACACGCACACACACACACACACACAGAGAGAGAGAGACATAGAGGAAATCAATTTTCACTTTAGATAATTTGTGAGCTTATCATTTGTGTTACCTGTGATCATAATGACAGGCACAGAGAAGTGACATCTACAAGATTCATGGATTAGTTTTAGTAACTTGATGTGCTCTTATTTATGAGATGGCATAGATATCACTTTCCTAATTAGCTTAGTAGTCCTATAATAGAATATTATATATTTTTCATCTTAATTCTGGGTACATAAATGAGGTTAAATGTTTTCAGCAAGTAATTCTCCTTATTCTCACTAATTTCCGTCAAATATAATCAATCTCAACACAGAAAAGAAAGAAAAATGTTATTCTATAGCTAATCTGAAGCTCTGTACCAAATTCATTAAGCAGGATTATTGATATATTTCCCATAACTATAAAATGTAACAAATTTACAAATATTTTATGAATATTGCTTTAAAGAATCATTATTCTCTCCTGGTTTAATACTTAATTGTCTAAAAATTAGAATTTTGAATATATGTATATGGTTCTAAATGTACGTACCTCTCAATTCAAGAAACATTTAGAAATTCTAAGTATATCTGTCTTGCTAAAAGACAGCAATTGATAGTTTTAAGTTTCTTGAGAGGAATGCCAGATATTCTTCCTGCATATATCAGTGATGATGGGCTAGTCCGTGGCCTATCACTAGAATAATTTTAATTTCAAAGCAGACTAATAGGAGTTGACTGAAGTCTGCCTGTGCATATTCTTAAGTGATAATAAGTATAGAATTATTCATTTGTAGAGGCTTATGTCATAAGCTTACTGTCTAAATGATGAATACATAATTAAATTAAACAGAATTGAGACAGATGGTTCTAGCTTTTGATAAATGTTCATATCTTCATAATCAGATAATAAGTCTGCTGCCTGGAAGATCAGTTGGGATATAATAACTTTGAAAACTAAATCATTTCATTGTTTGGCATTTATGAGACATGGTAAAAAGCAAATTCCATTTTAATTTACTTAAAATATTGCTTATTGTCTTCCCAAGCACTTGTTTAAAAATGAAAAAGCAGATATTGTTATTTTGTTTCCTTCCCATACAGAATTGTTTGTTTTGCTATATAGGCTTCAGAAAATTATTTCAAAATAAAATGGTAGCTTCTCCTGGGTAATAAAGAGAAAATAAAGCAAAATATGAAGTATTTTAAGTAAAATATTAGATATTAATAGTATAGAAAATGAGAATAAAACTACTGAATGTAGGCCAGACACAGTTGCTCAAGCCTGTAATCCCAGCACTTTGGGAGGCCGAGGCAGGTGGATCACTTGAGGTCAGGAGTTTGAGACCAGCCTGGCCAACATGGTGAAACCCCGTCTCTACTAAAAATACAAACAAAAAATTAGCCAGGCATGGTGGTGCACACCTGTAATTCCAGCTACTGGTGAGGCTAAGGCAGGAGAATCAGTTGGACACGGGAGGCAGAGGTTGCAGTGAGCCAATATTGCACCACTGGACTCCAGCCTGGGTGACAGATGGAGACTCCATCTAAAAAAAAAAATTAAAAAAACCTACTGAATGTATTTTCTTTATGTATAGTTATAAAGTAAAAACAGATTAGTATGTGTGCTTATTCTGAGAAAATGCTTGGCTATTTGGTACATTAATATTTGCTTTTCTATGCTTATTAAGCATTTTCAAATAAAATGCACATATGAAATTTTAGTAAGAATATATTTGAAATGTACTATATGTGTATGGTTAGGAAATCTAAGTGATAAATTTATTTTTTAGGGAAATTCATTTTGCTTTTAGGCTAATTACTTATAACGTATCATTTTAACTTTTTATGCATCAATAATGCTATAAGCAACTTGCAAAGACAAGTTAATGTAATAATTCAATGTTATTATTGATGATATTTATTATTATCCTATTAATACAGATTTAGTTTTGAGGATGTTTTGGGGTTGTAAGAGTTAGTTACCTGCTTCTTTTGCCCAGTACTTTATTTAAAAATTTACTTTATTTAGTTAGTTTCAATTTAAAGAGCAATACTATTTAGAAATGCTTGTTTTTCAAGTGAGTTTTATCTAAGCTATTCTGTTTTTAGCAACTAGATTGGCAAACAGTATAAATTAACATCAGTTATTTCTAACGACTGTCAAATTGACAAGATCTAAGTGCAGTTTTATTATTCTAAAACGTTTTACTTTGTTGGTATCTTTTATTCTCAGCATCAAAATTATAATATTTGAAATGTCATTATTAAATCCTAGTAATTCAAACCAAAGAAATTCCTTCTTTATTCAGATAACAAACATTTGTAGAACAAAGTAATAGATGTGAATATTTAGTTTTAATTGATGAAATTTAAAATTCTATGATTATAGTCTGTCTTTCTTAAGTTAGGAAACATAAATTATCTTGATAGCAGGAAAAGTAATACAAAATATAAAAACACCCTTTGCATTTCGTAAGTCTTATGGTAATGGTAGACATTAGACAGAATTGGGAGGTCAGAGGGGTTAATACTGAGAGGTATGTTACGTTACAGAATTATAGAAAAAGTGCTTCACTAACAAATTTGTGAAGACAGTCCTGTTTCAGAGTATCTTTTGGTTTCTGAAAAGCCATTTTGTTTCTGATTGCTCATGACTTTTTTGGAAGTTCTAAGTAGTTATTTCATATTTCCCAAGATCTTGTGATGTGCATTTGGAATTCTATGAACTGATTTTGTTTTAATCAAAATCTTAGAGCTGTTGGCATCTGTATTAGTTTGCTAGGGTAGTACTGACTGGGTGACTTAGCAATTTAGTATCTCACAGGTCTGGAGGCTAGAAATATGACATCAAAATATAGGCAAGGCCATTCTATCTCAAAAACCCATAAGGAAATTCTTTCTTCCCTCTTCCTAGTTTCTGGTAGCCCCAGACTTTATTGGATTGTAACAGCATAACTCCAATTCTTACATGGCGTTCTCTCTATATCTATTGACCTGGTCCTCCCTCTGTGAATGTTTGAGTCTGTGTTCAAACTGGTGCCCTTTTTGTAAGGACACTAGTCTTATTGGATTAAGTCCCACCCTAATGACCTAATCTTTACCTTGACTACATTTACAAAGACTTCATTGTCAAATAAGGTCAGTTTATGAAGCACTGGTGGTTAGAACCTCAACATACAGCATCCAATAATTTTGTTATAGAAATATTATCCTCCCCTTTATTTCTTCCCTTTCATTATTCTACCTCTGACTTTATGCCTTTACTAGATTCTCTGCCCCATTCCAGATGATGGAATTGATATTGATAAGCCTCAAGGTAAATGCAATATAGTACGACTTCTCATCTGTTCCACCACATCATTTTCCTAATTTCTGATGCTGAGTTATCTAAAAGATGATGAAGGAGCAGAAATCTCCTTGGATTATTTCAGATCTAAAACTTTATTTATTATCAAGAATATACACATTGATATTTTTTAATTTTCAGGTGAAAACTATGTACTATATTGTACTCATCAATTAATTTATGTAGAATATATTGAGTGTCTACTATATATTCTAAATATCGAAAATGTGCTAAATAAGGAAGAAAAGGTTTATAGCCCATGGGGATTACATACTAATCTTACATATCAAGAAAAGTCTAAAAACAAACAAATGTGTTAGATTGAAAAGTGAATGTGATGAATGCTGAAGGGAGACTTTCCTGCTTCTTTCTAAAAATTATTGGAAAACCACAAAAGAGAGGAACTAATGAAAACACAAACTCAATATGAGCAAACTTCATGGAATTACAAATTACAAATTCAGCGAAAGCATTGACAAAAGCGGATTTTTTTGTGTGTGTAAAGGATTGAACAAGAAATAAAGTAAAAAAGAAGAGTGTTCATGATTTTAGATCTCAGAAAAAATCTGCTAGGGTAACTGAGAGTCATAATTAAAATATCAACTATTAAAAAAGAAAGTAAAGGAAAGAAGAAATAAACACCATCAGAATATGACAATTGTTAAATAATGAAAATACCATGCAACTTGGTAAATACCTGACTATAAATAGAGTAGCTATAATCTTTGCAAGCCACTGTGTTCTAGACTTTAAATTTGGTCATTAAAAGAAGACCATGACTAGATATTTTGTAAAATATTTAATTCTAAGACAGAGTATTATTTTAGAATACACAAACACTACCTTTGGAATTCAAAAGCTATTCTAACCCAAGCCTCTTCTATGATCCAGCATGCATGGCCTGCCTTATATCAGACACCTTAACTTCTGTGTATTCATTCAGTGTTATTTTTCTACCACGGACTCCCTCTACTTGTTGCTATGTTCTTTTCCATCATAACTTTGGCTTTTACGTAGCCTATCAAAATCTGTCCTGTTCAATTTCCCACCAAAACCTTCTAAATCCTGGTTTCAATACTTCCTGTTTTATATTCTAAGAATTTATTAATTCATACTAATGACAAATGACTAGATCTCTCAGGTTATATTTGTTGAGGCAAAAGACATTGTAATTTACTGGACAATTTATTGATTTCTTGCTCCTTGGATAGGTATTATTCCTGGTTAATCCAACTGCTCTTAATGTGGACAAGAGTCATATACCATTAAATAAACACAGAAGGGAGCTTAAGCATGTCTATCAACAACATACGTTTACTTAGAAGCATATATATTTTTCTTCCAGTACTTAGAATGTACACAAATTAAGCATTGCTAGTATAGCTGCAAATGGCCATAACTTTCTGAATTTGGCAATGTATGCTAAAATTCCAAAGGTATATACTCTTTCATCCAGCATTTCTACCTCATGGAGTCTCTATAAGTAAAATATCACATGTGAAAAATAATACATACAAGATTGAAGCATAGTCTGTAAGGTCAAAGATTGGAAGAAATCTAAATTTGTAAAATCAGGCTCTCATTTAATATTATGCTACAGCCATTTAACAAAATAGTCTGCTTACATGAAACATATTAAAGATTATCTTAAATTTTGATACTGTATTTTCTCCAATATGAATCATTAAATTAAAAAATACAGACAGATTATTATGTATATTATGAAAAGATATATATTTTTGCTTATATATTCAAAATATTTCAGATATAAAGAAAACTAATATTTTGCTCATGGTTGGCTCTTCAGGTGACTCAAGTTTAGGAAACAGATGCTTGGAGAATTTTTACATTCAATTGTCACTTCATATACACTGTATATACTTTCCTAGGGCTGCTGGAACAAAGTACTACAAACTGGGTGGCTTATGACAACAGAAATTTATTCTCTTTCAGTTTATAGTGGAGGCTAGAAGTTTGAAATTGAGGTGCTGGCAAGGCCATGCTCTCTCTGAAGCATCTGGCAGAGGATCATTCCTCCCCCACCAATCCTAGCATCTGGTAGCTCCAGGCATTCTCAGGTTTATAGTACCATAATTTCAATTTATTCTGCCATCTACATATGACTGCCTTTCAACTGTGTCTGTGTCTAAATTTTCCCCTTCTTTAAGGATACCATTTATATTGGTTTACAGACCCATTCTACTCCAGTATGACTTCATCTTAACTAATTGAATATACAATGACCCCATTCTCAAATAAGGTCATACTCACAGGTGCTGGGGGTTAGGGTTCAACTTTTTTGGTAGGGAAAACAATTCAACCCATAACATACACTAAGATGCATACAAAACAAAACAATAATACATTAGCTAAATTAGGATATGACTGACAGAAATATTTATTGCTTGAAGAGGGATGGGATTTTCATTACATGTAGTACTGCATGTGTTACTATAACACTGCATGTGTTATTATATGTATTTCATTACATGTAGCACTACATGTGTAGTACTGTAATACTGCAAGTGTTATTACATATATTGGCTTAAGCTAGTTTAGTCTATAATAGAGAACTGATCTCATGCTTTAAACAACATGAAGGTTCTTTCATGTCAGGGAAAGGCTCAGATACTCTTAAAATGGGAATTTTTGTGCCTCAGAATTTGTACTGGCAACAATAAGAATTATGTGCTACATACATTCTAAATGAGTACCCTACAATTTATGTAAGGTTGACTAAAGTATCAAGAAACTATGTCTCTTGCAACATCACAATCTATTGTATATTACATATACATATATACACAATATAATATGTAAGATATGTAATTGTACATTACATACATAATTTATCTGATACTCACAAGTTTGTTGAGAACATATTTTTGAAAATAAATGTTAATTGTATTCTTTTTTTCCTTTTCTTTCTCTCTATAGCAAGTAAAAGGGGGTTGGTAAGACATTCCTAGAATATTTGGCACCTATTTCCTGGAGTATGGAAGATAGGGAGTAGTACCTGATACTCATCTAAGAAAAATTAATATCAGTTGATTAGAGGTCCCCTGAGGCAGAGCTGGGAGTATCCTGCAATTCATTTATAAAGAGACAGCATATCAAATGTTTCCTATGGGACAGAATAGATGTTTCAGAAGGTGTTTGAACACCCTTTATAAGACTTTTTGACATAATGGATTCTAACAGAAAGAGTCTTTTGGGTTTCATGCACAGAAGTCAAATTTGATGAGCAATGCATGAGCAATGAAATAAAGAGTCAATCATCAGTGCCAAGGAAGAAGACATCATTTGTTTCCAAGCAAGGATTGTAACAACAAAATAATTACACTACAATAATAAAAGTGACATGTGCCATCTGGTTAAAAAAGATATCAATATCATATTAAAACTGATCTTTCCAGGAAATATGCCCTGCACCCTCTACTCATCCTATCACTCCTACCCAAGTCCTGACATCTCTACTTGAGCAAACATAAAATAAGAGAAGATAGCATGAGAATAAAAAAAAAAACCATACCTATCTTTCCCTGCTGTAGGTTTCCAAGATTAAGTCATTAAAGTAGCTACAGAAAAAAGGTGAAAGCTTAAATTTAATTGAAAGTTCTATTCAGATTGTGCTTTACTTTTAAATCTGAAAATTAGCTCCTTAGTAACTGAAAAGTTAAAGATCTGACTGAAATATATAGAACAGAGGGGCAAGCATTTGAAAGAGAATGTAAGCAAAATATATATTTTAAACCTATTTTGTAATTCAACTTCAGATTATTTTTAAATGGGTATAATATACATAAGTTGGTGAGCATAAATGCCAAGGATTTACTGTACGGGCTTTACCATGAGAGCCTATGTGAATCTGACTACCCAAAAGAACTATAAATATACTTTTTTACTTATCTGTGAAAAAATCCCACATAGTTGATGGTCTTCTTCTGTTATATTAAGGTGAGAGGCTGAGTGCTCTTTAGGTAAGCTGTCACATACCACCGCTACGATTTTCTTCAGGCAATACACTTCTCTAAATGTTTGGTAAGCTTTAATGTAATTTGAATTTAACTAATCACCATATCCTACAAGAAAAAGATCTATCTTTAGTTTTCAACCTATCCTAATTTTAGGGGATAAAAAGTAGTATGATCTTATACTGTCAAACTGATTTGATACACTATCTTCCTTTCTTTGCTTGACATTGTAATGGAAATTTTTTAAAAAAATTTGAATGGAGATTTATGTTGAGCACAGGTCATGTCCAATTATTTAATTAGAGTAATGGGAATATTTTCTAGTGAACTCATAGCATTTGCTCTAGAGGTTTTGTCTTGTATAAAGGGTTTCTAAAAATCTAAAGTGATTGAAGTTTGATGAATGGCTAGATAGGCATGTCATATAAAAACTAAATAAAGAAACTAAAAAAATAAAAATAAAAAAATAAAAAAATAAAGATGTGTGTCGCTATTTGCCAGCATAATGGTGCAACAAGAAACAGGAAATATCTAGCCATTTCAAAGTCTTATAGATACAGGAATGAGTTAACACTAATACCAGGAACATGAAATGCTTTCATCGGTTTCTGGTTAGACCTGGTGCTGCTGGAGGAACTGAGGTAAATGGAGTGTTGTCCCAAGTTCATCATATAGAAATCAATTGTTAGTTTTTCTTATTTGATTTTTAATGTAGAGTGACTTTTAAAAGTGTTTTTTTTTAATAAATCTCTGTATCTTTGGTTTGCATTGATTATACTATAAAGTAACTTGGTGTGGTTTTTGTTTGTATTCAATTTGGTTGAATACAAACAATTCAAATTTGTTTGTATTCTGATTCATAATAATTTTTTTCTTTTAACTATATATATTTTCTAAAAGACAATACACATTTAGTAAAATACATAAATCAATTGAGATTTTCTCATTTATGAGCTTTGCATAAACAATCATACCACATGTGCTGTGTTCAGTACATCTATGATATTAATTCAAATTATTTATAATGTACTTATGTAGGTTTATTTTTTGATAAATTGTATCCCATTGTATGAATCCAATACAATTTAATAATCCATTATTTTCATTATTCATATTTGAGATATTTATAATTTTGGCTATGATAAATGAAGATGGTATAACCTCTATTATACAATCATTATTATTTTGTAATATATAGTACTAGAATTACTTTATTACAAGCAGCTTGTTTTCAATTTTAGTCAATGCTGCCCAGTGGTTTTCCTAAAAGGGTCTTGCTCCTTATTCTCCTACCAGCAATAAATAAAAATTCCAGTTGTTCATTATCCTTGCTCATATTCATATCTTCAAAGGAAGAACCTTCAGGTAAATATGTGAAACCAAAAGTATTCTAAGTTTTTGATATACAAAGATATGCTTTTAAGTTTCAAGGTTTATAAATATAAAAAACTTTCAAATTTATACAGGAATTTTAGGATGGTGGAAGTCAGGGATTAGCAAACTTTTAGAAGTGATGTGTTTAGCAATTGATTTAACTTCAGTCATGGAACCATGGTCTGTTGAATAAAGCACCTGTTGACCTTACGACTTTCAAAAACATAGGGTTGTCACTGGTCATGTAGCATTCAGAGTGTTTAAGGCTATTTCTGGTGTTTATTACTTGTTATATCCAAAATATATAGAGATATATTTTTCTAGTGTAACACTAACATTTTATTGTCTTTATTGTCAGCATTTTTTTTCTTAATGCCTTCTGAGTTGTGATTACTAATATCACATTTTAGATTTAACTAAAACTTGTTTGTTAATGAATGATATTTATTTCTTCTTTCTCATAGGCTTATCAGCCATTTAGATTTTTTGTGTGCGTGAAGGGCTTCTTCAGGTATTTTGCTAATATTTTAATTCAGTGATCATTTATTTTTATTAATTGTCAAGTTGTTATATATTTCATTTAAACATATTTTGACTATGTAAATTTTAAACATTATATTTCTAAGTTTAAGAAGTCCAATTTAGCAATCCTGTACTTAATGGATAATGTGTCTTGTTGAAGATATATTTGTTTAGGCCAAGCAAATTTAGACATTTTCCTATATCATCTGCAAAGCTATTTTTTAAATTAAATCTATAATTTCACAGGAAATGAATTTTCTTATTGTTTCAGTTAAGAAAGAAGGCACATGTTTTCTAGATGGACTTCTTATTGACCAGCATCATTTATTGAGAAGGTTATCCCTTCTTCATTGCAATACAGTCTCAATTATGGCATAAATTGACTATATGTAACAGTCAGTTTGTTAACTCTTTTATTGCTATATGTCTGTTCTTGAGTCAATCCCATGTTCTTTATGTTACTTGAGACAAAAAGGCTATTATATATTGATATAAATCTTAATTCATCAAAAGATTACCAATTATAAACATAATTACACCAAACAAAAGAGGCTCAAGATATATGGAAGCAAACATTTATCAAATTAAAGAAAAAATAGACACTTTAAAATTGTAGTTGGAAACTTCAATATCCACGTTAAAATGATAGTTGGAGACTTCAATACCCCATTTTCAATAATAGATGGAACAACATCTTGAATCTATTGTTCAAAATGTCTATTTTGATAGATATTCTGATTCATATATATGGTTTGTATATTTTTATTCATATATGTATTTTATGCATGTATTCATGTGTATATATATTCATGTATTAATACATATACATTATATTCATATATTTTTTTATTCATGAGAATATATATACATATATAGAAATTATATATATTGAAATTACATATATAATTTCAAATAATCCTTAAGAAAGCTTCTAGAGCTAACAAGCTACCTCAAACAAAATTTTAGGTTATAAGATCAACACACAAACGTCAGTTGTTATTCTGTATAACAGCAATAAACAATCTGGAAGGAAAATTAAGAAAGCAATATCATTTACAATAGCACTATTAGGAAAAATATATAAAGAAATACATTCTTCCAAGGTAGTGAAACACTTACATACTGAAACTATAAAACACTGCTGAAAGAAATTAAAGACCTAAATAAATGAAAAGACATCCCATGTTTATAAAAAGAAAGTCGATAGTGTTAAAATTGTAAAACTTCTATAAATTTATTGTAATGCTTATCAAAATTCCAACAGTCTGTAGTCTGAAGCAAAGAAGTCAATCTAGTTGTTTCATAGTAATTGCTAGTGGCCTTGAATAGTAAAACAAAACAAAACAAAACAAAACAAAAACAAAAAACTTCTGAAAAAAATACAAAGTTGTATGACTCACATATTTCCAATTCAAAATTTATTACAAAGATATAGTAATCAAAACAGTGTGGAACTGGCATGAGGATAGATATATAGACCATGGAATATGATAGAATCCATAGTAGAGTCCAGAAATAATGGTCAATTGATTTTTGACAAGGGGATTAAATCCATTAAATTGAAGAAAAATAATTTCTCTAACAAATGATGTTGGCACAAGTAGTTTTCCATATGCAAAAAAATAAAGTTGAACCTCTACTTTACTTCACATATAAAAATTAATACAAAATAAATTAATGACCTAAACATATAAATTAAAACAATGAAACTCTTAGAAGAAAGCATAGAAGTGTGATTTCATAATCTTAAATATGGCAATAGATCCTTAGATATGAAACCAAAAGTATGAGCAACAAAAGGACAAATAGACAAATTAAACTTTGTTAAAATTACCAATTTTTATAAATCAAAAGAAAGCATCAAGCAAGTGAAACAGCAACCTAAATACATAACAGGAGAAAATATTTGCCAATCATGTATGTTATAAGAGATTAATATCCAGAATATTTAAATAACTTTTAAAACTTAAAAGCAAAAAGAAAAAATTGAGTAAAATGTAAGCAAAATATTTAAATACACATTTCTTCAAAGATGATATGCAAATGGCAAATAAGTACATGAAAAGATGTTCAACATTAGTAGTGATTAGTGCCATGCAAATCTGTATTCGTTCGTTTTCATGCTGCTGATAAAGACATACCCGAAACTGGAAAGAAAAAGGAAGTTCAATTTGTCTTATAGTTCCACATGGCTGGGGAGGTCTCAGAATCATGGCGGGAGGTGAAAGGCACTTCTTGCATGGCAGCGGCAAGAGAAAAATGAGGAAGAAGCAAAAGCAGAAACCCCTGATAAACCCATCAGATCTTGTGAGACTTATTCACTATCATGAGAATAGCCAGGAAAGACTAGCCCCCATGATTCAATTTTCTCCCCCAGGGTCCCTCCTACAACTTGAATTGTATTCTGGGAGATACAATTGAAGTGGAGATTTAGATGAGGACACAGCCAAACTATATCATTTTGTCCCTGACCCCTGCACATTTCATGTCATCACATTTTAAAACCAGTCAAAGTCTTAACTCATTTCAGCATTAACCCAAAAGTCCACAATCCAAAGTCTCATCTGAGAGAAGGGAATTCCCTTCCCCCTATGAGCCTGTAAACTCAAAAGCAAGCTACTTACCTCCTAAATACAATGAGTGTACAGGTATTGGGTAAATACAATCATTCCAAATGGGAGAAATTGGCCAAAACTAAGGGTAACAGGGGCTGTGCAAGTTCAAAATCCAGTGGGGCAGTCAATTTTTTTTTATTATACTTTAAGTTTTAAGGTACATGTGCACAACGTGCGGGTTTGTTACATATGTATACATGTGCCATGTTGGTGTGCTGCACCCATTAACTCGTCATTTAACATTAGGTATATCTCCTAATGCTATCCCTCCCCACTACCCCCACCCCACAACAGGCCACAGTGTGGGATGTTCCCCTTCCTGTGTCCATGTGTTCTCATTGTTCAATTCCCACCTATGAGTGAGAACATGTGATGTTTGGTTTTTTGTCTTTGCCATAGTTTGCTGAGAATGATGGTTTCCAGCTTCATCCATGTCTCTACAAAGGACATGAACTCATCCTTTTTTATGGCTGCATAGTATTCCATGGTGTATATGTGCCACATTTTCTTAATCCAGTCTATCATTGTTGGACATTTGGGTTGGTTCCAAGTCTTTGCTATTGTGAATAGTGCCACAATAAACATACATGTGCATGTCTTTATAGCAGCATGTTTTATAGTCCTTTGGGTGTATACCCAGTAATGGGATGGCTGGGTCAAATGGTATTTCTAGTTCTAGATCCCTGAGGAATCGCCACACTGACTTCCACAATGGTTGAACTAATTTACAGTCCCACCAACAGTGTAAAAGTGTTCCTATTTCTCCACATCCTCTCCAGCACCTGTTGTTTCCTGACTTTTTAATGATTGCCATTCTAACTGGTGTGAGATGGTATCTCATTGTGGTTTTGATTTGCATTTCTCTGATGGCCAGTGATGATGAGCATTTTTTCATGTGTCTTTTGGCTGCACAAATGTCTTCTTTTGAGAAGTGTCTGTTCATATCCTTCGCCCACTTTTTGATGGGGTGGTTTTTTTCTTGTAAATTTGTTTGTGTTCATTGTAGATTCTGGGATATTAGCCCTTTGTTAGGTGAGTAGATTGCAAAAATTTTCTCCCATTCTGTAGGTTGCCTGTTGACTCTGATGGTAGTTTATTTTGCTGTGCAGAAGCTCTTTAGTTTAATTAGATCTCATTTGTCAATTTTGTCTTTTGTTGCCATTGCTTTTGGTGTTTTAGACATGAAGTCCTTGTCCATGCCTATGTCCTGAATGGTATTGCCTAGGTTTTCTTCTAGGGTTTTTATGGTTTTAGGTCTAACATTTAAGTCTTTAATCTTTCTTGAATTAATTTTTGTATAAGGTGTAAGGAAGGGATCCAGCTTCAGCTTTCTACCTATGGCTAGCCAGTTTTTCCAGCACCATTTATTAAATAGGGAATCCTTTCCCCATTGCTTGTTTTTGTCAGGTTTGTCAAAGATCAGATGGTTGTAGATATGTGGCATTATTTCTGAGGGCTCTGTTCTGCTCCATTGGTCTATATCTCTGTTTTGGTACCAGTACCATGCTGTTTTGGTTGCTGTAGCCTTGTAGTATAGTTTGAAGTCAGGTAGCGTGATGCCTCTAGCTTTGTTCTTTGGCTTAGGATTGACTTGGCAATGCAGGCTCTTTTTTGGTTCCATATGAACTTTAAAGTAGTTTTTTCCAATTCTGTGAAGAAAGTCATTGGTAGCTTGAAGGGGATGGCACTGAATCTATAAATTACCGTGGGCAGTATGGCCATTTTCACGATATTGATTCTTCCTACCCATGAGCATGGAATGTTCTTCCATTTGTTTGTATCCTCTTTTATTTCCTTGAGCAGTGGTTTGTAGTTCTCCTTGAAGAGGTCCTTCACATTCCTTGTAAGTTGGATTCCTAGGTATTTTATTCTCTTTGAGGCAATTGTGAATGGGAGTTCACTCATGATTTGGCTCTCTGTTTGTCTGTTATTGGTGTATAAGAATGCTTGTGATTTTTGTACATTGATTTTGTATCCTGAGACTTTGCTGAAGTTGCTTATCAGCTTAAGGAGATTTTGGGCTGAGACAATGGGGTTTTCTAGATATACAATCATGTCATCTGCAAACAGGGACAATTTGACTTCCTCTTTTCCTAATTGAATACCTTTTATTTCCTTCTCTTGCCTAATTGCCCTGGCCAGAACTTCCAACACTCTGTTGAATAGGAGTGGTGAGAGAGGGCATCCCTGTCTTGTGCCAGTTTTCAAAGGGAATGCTTCCAGTTTTTGCCCATTCAGTATGATATTAGCTGTGGGTTTGTCATAGATAGCTCTTATTATTTTGAAATACGTCCCATCAATACCTAATTTATTGAGAGTTTTTAGCATGAAGCGTTGTTGAATTTTGTCAAAGGCTTTTTCTGCATCTATTGAGATAATCATATGGTTTTTGTCTTTGGTTCTGTTTATATGCTGGATTACATTTATTGATTTGCATATATTGAACCAGCCTTGCATCCCAGGGATGAAGCCCACTTGATCATGGTGGATAAGCTTTTTGATGTGCTGCTGGATTTGGTTTGCCAGTATTTTATTGAGGATATTTGCATCAATGTTCATCAAGGATATTGGTCTAAAATTCTCTTTTTTGGTTGTGTCTCTGCCCGGCTTTGGTATCAGGATGATGCTGGCCTCATAAAATGAGTTAGGGAGGATTCCCTCTTTTTCTATTGATTGGCATAGTTTCAGAAGGAATGGTACCAGTTCCTCCTTGTACCTCTGGTAGAATTCAGCTGTGAATCCATCTGGTCCTGGACTCTTTTTGGTTGGTAAGCTATTGATTATTGCCACAATTTCAGATCTTGTTATTGGTCTATTCAGAGATTCAACTTCTTCCTGGTTTAGTCTTGGGAGGGTGTATGTGTCGAGGAATTTATCCATTTCTTCTAGATTTTCTAGTTTATTTGTGTAGAGGTGTTTGTAGTATTCTCTGATTGAAGTTTGTATTTCTATAGGATTGGTGGTGATATCCCCTTTACATTTTTTATTGCGTCTATTAGATTCTTCTCTCTTTTTTTTCTTTATTAGTCTTGCTAGCAGTCTATCAATTTTGTTGATCCTTTCAAAAAACCAGCTCCTGGATTCATTAATTTTTTGAAGGGTTTTTTGTGTCTCTATTTCCTTCAGTTCTGCTCTGATTTTAGTTATTTCTTGCCTTCTGCTAGCTTTTGGATGTGTTTGCTCTTGCTTTGCTAGTTCTTTTAATTGTGATGTTAGGGTGTCAATTTTGGATCTTTCCTGCTTTCTCTTGTGGGCATTTAGTGCTATAAATTTCCCTCTACACACGGCTTTGAATGCGTCCCGGAGATTCTGGTATGTTGTGTCTTTGTTCTCATGGGTTTCAAAGAACATCTTTATTTCTGCCTTCATTTCGTTATGTAACCAGTAGTCATCCAGGAGCAGGTTGTTCAGTTTCCATGTAGTTGAGCGGTTTTGAGTGAGATTCTTAATCCTGAGTTCTAGTTTGATTGCACTGTGGTCTGCGAGATAGTTTGTTATAATTTCTGTTCTTTTACATTTGCTGAGGAGAGCTTTACTTCCAAGTATGTGGTCAATTTTGGAATAGGTGTGGTGTGGTGCTGAAAAAAATGTATATTCTGTTGATTTGGGGTGGAGAGTTCTGTAGATGTCTATTAGGTCTGCTTGGTGCGGAGCTGACTTCAATTCCTGGGTATCCTTGTTGACTTTCTGTCTCGTGGATCTGTCTAATGTTGACAGTGGGGTGTTAAAGTCTCCCATTATTAATATGTGGGAGTCTATGTCTCTTTGTAGGTCACTCAGGACTTGCTTTATGAATCTTGGTGCTCCTGTATTGGGTGCATGTATATTTAGGATAGTTAGCTCTTCTTGTTGAATTGATCCCTTTACCATTATGTAATGGCCTTCTTTGTCTCTTTTGATCTTTGTTGGTTTAAAGTCTGTTTTAGCAGAGACTAGGATTGCAACCCCTGCCTTTTTTTGTTTTCCATTTGCTTGGTAGATCTTCCTCCATCCTTTTATTTTGAGCCTATGTGTGTCTCTGCACATGAGATGGATTTCCTGAATGCAGCACACTGATGGGCCTTGACTCTTTATCCAATTTGCCAGTCTGTGTCTTTTAATTGGAGCATTTAGTCCATTTACATTTAAAGTTAATATTGTTATGTGTGAATTTGATCCTGTCATTATGATGTTAGCTGGTTATTTTGCTCATTAGTTGATGCAGTTTCTTCCTAGTCTTGATGGTCTTTACATTTTGGCATGACTTTGCAGCGGCTGGTACCGGTTGTTCCTTTCCATGTTTAGTGCTTCCTTCAGGAGCTCTTTTAGGGCAGGCCTGGTGGTGACAAAATCTCTCAGCATTTGCTTGTCTGTAAAGGATTTTATTTCTCCTTTGCTTATGAAGCTTAGTTTGGCTGGATATGAAATTCTGGGTTGAAAATTCGTTTCTTTAAGAATGTTGAATATTGGCCCCCACTCTCTTCTGGCTTGTAGGGTTTCTGCCAAGAGATCTGCTGTTAGTCTGATGGGCTTCCCTTTGAGGGTAACCTGACCTTTCTCTCTGGCTGCCTTTAACATTTTTTCCTTCATTTCAACTTTGGTGAATCTGACAATTATGTGTCTTGGAGTTGCTCTTCTAGAGGAGTATCTTTGTGGTGTTCTCTGTATTTCCTGAATCTGAATGTTGGCCTGCCTTGCTAGATTGGGGAAGTTCTCCTGGATAATATCCTGCAGAGTGTTTTCCAACTTGGTTCCATTCTCCCCATCACTTTCAGGTACACCAATCAGACGTATATTTGGTCTTTTCACATAGTCCCATATTTCTTGGAGGCTTTGCTCATTTCTTTTTATTCATTTTTCTCTAAACTTCCCTTCTCGCTTCATTTCATTCATTTCATCTTCCATTGCTGATACCCTTTCTTCCAGTTGATTGCATCGGCTCCTGAGGCTTCTGCATTCTTCATGTATTTCTCGAGCCTTGGTTTTCAGCTCCATCAGCTCCTTTAAGCACTTCTCTGTATTGGTTATTCTAGTTATACATTCTTCTAAATTTTTTTCAAAGTTTTCAACTTCTTTGCCTTTGGTTTGAATGTCCTCCCATAGCTCAGAGTAATTTGATCGTCTGAAGCCTTCTTCTCTCAGCTCGTCAAAGTCATTCTCCATCCAGCTTTGTTCCGTTGCTGGTGAGGAACTGCGTTCCTTTGGAGGAGGAGAGGCTCTCTGCTTTTTAGAGTTTCCCAGTTTTTTTGTTCTGTTTTTTCCCCGTCTTTGTGGTTTTATCTACTTTTGATCTTTGATGATGGTGATGTACAGATGTGTTTTTGGTGTGGATGTCCTTTCTGTTTGTTAGTTTTCCTTGTAACAGACAGGACCCTCAGCTGCAGGTCTGTTGGAATACCCTGCAGTGTGAGGTGTCAGTGTGCCCCTACTTGGGGGTGCCTCCCAGTTAGGCTGCTCAGGGGTCAGGGGTCAGGGACCCACTTGAGGAGGCAGTCTGCCCCTTCCCAGATCTCCAGCTACGTGCTGGGAGAACCACTGCTCTCTTCAAAGCTGTCAGACAGGGACATTTAAGTCTGCAGAGGTTACTGCTGTCTTTTTGTTTGTCTGTGCCCTGCCCCCAGAGGTGGAGCCTACAGAGGCAGGCAGGCCTCCTTGAGCTGTGGTGGGCTCCGCCCAGTTCGAGCGTCACAGCTGCTTTGTTTACCTAATCAAGCCTGGGCAATGGCGGGCACCCTCCCCCAGCCTCGCTGCTGCCTTGCAGTTTGATCTCAGACTGCTGTGCTAGCAATCAGCGAGACTCCGTGGGCGTAGGACCCTCCAAGCCAGGTGTGGGATATAATCTCGTGGTGCGCCGTTTTTTAAGCCCGTCGGAAAAGCGCAGTATTCAGGTGGGAGTGACCCGATTTTCCAGGTGCCGTCCGTCACCCCTTTCTTTGACTCGGAAAGGGAACTCCCTGACCCCTTGTGCTTCCCGAGTGAGGCAATGCCTTGCCCTGCTTTGGCTCAGGCATGGTGCGCGCACCCACTGACCTGCGCCCACTGTCTGGCACTCCCTAGTGAGATGAACCCGGTACCTCAGATGGAAATGCAGAAATCACCGTCTTCTGCGTCGCTCACGCTGGGCGCATCTTTAAAGAAGAATTAAAATAAGTATTGAAATTACTTGCAGTGACATTTTTTTTTCCCTATTCAATGGGACCCAGCCTACAGTCATTGGGTTTATAACCGTGAATTGGCTCAGACATCAAAATTGAGCAAGGCATTTTTTTTTTTTTTACTGGAGTGGTTGATAATATCTTCCTATTTTTTTTATTCTACAAATTGAGCAAAACTTTATTCTTCTGACCAACTAAGAGCAAAACTTTAGTCTTCTGACCAACTATCTTAACCCTGAAAACTGATCTATTAACTAATGCCAGAGCCTCCTTTAGGTCAAGACACCATAAATGCCAATTTCTTATTGCTTTCATTATGCCACTTTGCATAAAATAACAATCGGCTTCTACACTCTGAGCTCCTGGACCCATTATTAATAACAGACATTTCACATTCACATAGCAGCCTTCTCTGTCATCTTGCTTTGCATAGAGCCATCACTGCCACGTTTCTCAAAGAGGCAAGTACTGTCAAGCCATTTTCAATGTCCTCTATCTGTTAATATTCTAATAGCTTGTTTTTACCCCTTTTCCACATATCTAATGATGTTTTCCTATTAGTATGCAAATATGATTGAGACTTAAACTAGTTAATTGTCAAGCTGAGCAATGTTTTATGTATAATTTCAGAAGAATGCTGAATTTTCTGCTACCATGGGATTATGTGTGCCCTCTAGATCAACATAATTCATTCCCATCTATCTAGACTTAAGCTAACCAATTCAAAGGTGCTATCACTGTTAGAATATTCATATAATGTTGAATTTGATATATCTATTGTACTGCATTCAATCGTATATACCTATTTCCAGCTGCTACTGTTGTCTGTGAGTGATGTTAAAGAAGTGCTCTTGGAAAGGTGCATTTTTTTTTTTTTTTTTTTTTGAGACAGAGGGTCTCTCGGTCACCCAGGATGGAGTGCAGTGGCGCGATCTAGGCTCACTGCAACGTCCACCTTCCGTGTTCAAGCAATTCTCCTGCTTCAGCCTCCTGAGTAGCTGGGATTATAGGCGCACACCACCATGCCTGGCTAATTTTTGTATTTTTAGTAGAGATAGGGTTTCACCATATTGGCCAGGCTGGTCTCAGACTCCTGACCTCAGGCCATCCACCTGCCTTTCCCTCCCAAAGTGCTGGGATTATAGTCCTGAGCCACCTCGCCCGGCCAGAAAGGTACATTTTTATCATTAAACTACATTTTGGTCTTGCTTGCTCTAGGGGCTTTCTATAAAATTGTGCCTGAGGCAAATTGAATAATATTGCAGGATCTGGTGAATAATTTACCTTTATTTTTGAACATTTTTCATGTACTTTTAAAATAACCAATGCATGAAAAGAGTTAAGCAACTAAATTGACTTCTTGTGTATACCATTTGCACACAAATCAAATATTCCAGCTTTCAATATATATTTTCCTGATCTTATTTGCTTAGTTTTGGATGAAAGTTCTGAAAGCTGGTAATCTACTGAGAAAAATAAATACTTCTATCACTCTATGTTCTAAAAGGCATAAGCTATATGAAACTCACAGAGTCTCCCCATAAAAATAAACACAAGAAAAAAAGGCAATTTATACAAATTAATTTTCAAGCTATTTGTGTTTGCTTAGTGTAGAAGACAATTGTTTTTCTAATTAATATAGTTACTATTTCTTGAGATTATTTTCTTTAGAGTCGTTAGAAGTAGACTTTCTTGTGTATGCTTTCATTGGCCTTCTTTAAAAAATTTTAAATACAGGTGTAAGCTACTTTTTTAAAAAAATGAAAGCAATTTAAAAATCCAAACTGTGTTAGACTATAAAGTGTCAAAATAAACTTGAGATGGAGGCTAATAATTGTTTTGTTTTCTTGCTTACATTTAGCTCTGAAATGTAGTCAGAGCTCTTCCATCAATCACACATACAAATTAAAATTTAATTTAAAAATTACTGCTGAAAACTTTTAAAATATTGTATTTTTTTAGGGGGAAGATGGAACTTAACTGGTGAGTTCAATTATAACAATATATTTTTCCAATGAATTCTGAAATTAAACTTTTTTTTACAAAATTTTATCACTTTCCATGCATTTTTTCCTGCTTATTGACAAATACAGAAGTTTGGATTTGTGTTTATAGAAACACTTTATATAACGAGATTAAAAGTATGAGAAGCTCATAAGTAGTAATTGGAAAATTACTATATGAGGCACTAGATAATAAAACTAATAAATGTGTTAACTCAAATCTCACAACAAAAATTTCCGAGCTGGTTCTTTGAAAAACCTTAGGACCAATTTATATAAAACACTCTTGCAATAAGCTTCCCAGTTCATTTATTTCTTTTGAAATAATTTACTCTCTCTTGCTTTTTTTGCTGAGAAAATACGACTTCAAAGATAGTGTTCATAAAACTGTGGTAAAAAACTATACTTACTATAGTATTTCTCTTACCACATGGCTTTATATCACTGAGAAAAAATGCTATATGGGTCAATTTTAATATTCGTAATAGAGAAATGATACATACCTGAATTGATACGCTGGTAAATGTGTAAAAATTGACTCTTGGGTGAGAGAGCTCTATTTATAGTGTTTGGCAATTTGTGTGATATAAATACTTCTAGCAGTGCTTATTTCAAGCTACTAGTATGATATCTTGAAAACAAAGTTGCAAAAAGAAGCAACATTCAAGCCTGAATAAGATGCTTCCAGTACACCACCCTTTACCTAAAATTGGAGTTTTGAAGTAAATGTGTGATAATTTTTGTTAATAACTTTGCACAATAATTTATTATAATTCAGACAGGTTACAACTCTAAATCATATTTTTTAATCCTAATTACTCATAGCTTTGCTTGTTTATAAGTTCTACTACTTGAACAGACCCATATGCTATGTTTGCTATCTTCCAGCTTTTGTTAGGTAGGTAGTAGCGGTGGGGAGGGCGGAAGTAAAGTGAAGTTGTAACAGTAATGAAAAAGGGGTTAACTAATTTCTGCTAATGAAGTATCATACTACAACTTCAAGGCAGTCACCACATAAGAAGTAGGGAGATTTACTACTTCAGTCAGAATTCCATCATATAAACAAAACTACTAGAAACGATATAGAATATGGAACTTAATGTAAGTGTGTGACCTTACATAGTTGTACCAGTTAGTTAAACATTTATGTTCTTTAAAAAAAAAATCTTGCTGGGACTGAATTTTGGAAGGGCAGACAGTGGAGAGATAAAATGGATGTGCAGTGGAAAAAAAAACAAGAAAAAATTAAAACCCGTAAGAAAAACCTGGAAGCTGTATTGGTCTCCCATTGCCTTCAAATCTCAAATTTTGTGATACAGGTGATCTGCTGGAGAAGCTGTCCAATTTCATCATAGGCTTAGGTAATTAGGCTTATTTAGAGGCTTGTTGAAATCTTATATAAAATCCTCAGTGACCAAATTATACAGTACATATCAATGCACTATATCTTCGTGGTTTAATTTCGTTGTTGTTGTTGTTGTTTTCTGAATGTCTTAGGACTACAAAACTACGAAAAGGACTTGCAATAGATACAGTGTTGATAAGGAGGCTGATTTCTTAGGAGAAAGAAAATCAGTTACAGCTGTTATCATTTATATCACCATTCCCTACAAAGATCACACTGGAATAGCTGTTTGCCAACTTTGCCAATCTTAGTAAAAATGTTGTAATAAAAGTGAAAGCCAACAGGGGTAAAAGATAATCTCACAAGTGTCTTAAAATGTTCTTATTGGAGTGGAGAAAGACAGCACTCTTGTTACTCTTAAATTTCTTCCTTACGTTTTCTGAGCATTCCTCTATGCACTTTCAAGCTCAGCAGCAACTTTCAAAAAGAGGCAATGGAGAAGAGAATTGATAAACGAATATCTTAATAATTTAAGTGGCACTAAGGAGAACTAGGAATCATTAAGAGAAGCAATATCTAAGAGCAAAGGCTTCAAGTTGTGAGTACTATTAGTAGAAAATCCAACATAAAGAAATCAGGAATTCTATTATAAGCCTGGAGATTGAAACTGTGGAGCAGAGCTCAGCTATTTAATAAAATGCTCCAGTTGGTTATGTCTAGAGCTAAACTTGTCTCTAAAAATGCATCAAGATTTATTCAAAGACACCTGAAAGCTTTATTTTTAATGAAAAAAAATCTATATTTGAATTAAAGACAATGGCCTATCTCTCATGCATTTTAATTGTCTTTGGTACTGGATTTATCATTATCAATGTTATCATCATCCTCCTCTATACAATCATCATGGCTCCATGTAGGTTCTTAAAAATAAGTCATATTTTTAAAGAGGCAAAACATTCCTTCCTGACTTTTACCACCTTTCACTTCCCAGAAAAGAACCAAGTATTACATGCACTGGGTTTTGAAACATGTGGGAAATGGTAGAATTTATTATATCAAATACACATAATAAGCTAAGATAATTTTATGCTATGACATGGAGGGAAAAATGCAGCTGTTGTTACACCTCTCTCCTTAGGGTAGTGGTACCTAAATATGCTAATATCTCTGGGCCAGTGTTAACCACTTGTGGCTCACTGATTTGAAATCCCCTAAGGAAATCACATTTAAATTAAAATCTATTCGCATTAAAGCAAGGTGTGAAAACAGGCATTAGGGACTACAGGCAAAATTAAGATTTAATTTGGAATTTTTTTTTCTTCTTAATCATTAAGAATATACCAGGAAGAAAAAATATATTTACTTCCCCGTGGTACTGAGATAAATATAGGCAATGGGATGGAAAAGAACAATTAGATCCACATTCAAACCAACAGAGAATGAGAATTTTCCTCAGAATTTTTGAGAAAGTTTTTTGACCACTAGTTTTTTTTGTAAGAACATGTTTTGTAACAGATTGAATCTCTTTAATAAATAAAGACAGCTCACTTGCCCATTTTGTTCTATCAGTTTGCCAAATTATATTTTATTTTATGTTGAGTTTGTTCAGTTTCACTAATTTGTTAATTTTTGAGATGGAATTATTTATATCCTGTTACTATATTTCAAAATGACTGCAGAGTCTGTAAGGACCCTCTGCCTTCTCCTCCCCAAACCCACCCCCACATTGTTATATTCTTATATTGGAATATTGGCAATTTATGATGTTTTCTTTCTGCTTTTTTTTTGAACTCTGTCATTCTAGAGTGTTATTCATTTGATTAATGAAGCTAAGAACTAGCTTTTGGCTTAGTTGATTTTCTATATTGAACATTCCTTTGTGTTTCATTGAAAAATCTTTATTTCCTTTCTCTACTTTGAGTTACTAAAATTTTTCTAGCCATAGAAATACCACCTTAGATCACTTTTTAAAAGGCACTCTTGCTTTTTAATTAAATACATATTTTTACTTATAAATTTCTATTTTATCATTGTTTTAGTTACATCAAAAAAGTATTGACATATATTGTCATTGATATTCAGTTTAAATTTTTTCTGTTTTTAATTGTGATTTCTCCTTTAAACCATAAATAATTCAGATGGTTATTGTGTTGATTCCATCTAGTTAGAAGCTTTTCTAGTTGTTTAATTCCACTGTGATCAGAGAACACATTTTATATGACACCAATCATTTGAAATAGCTTGATGATTTCTCTATGGCCTAGTATATAGTCAAATTTACTAAATGCTCTATCTCTACCTGAAATGATACATATTGTTTTATGGTCTGCATGTTTGTGTTTCCCCAAAAATTCATATGTTTAAATCCTAATCCCCAAGGTGATGGTGTTAGGAAGTGGAGACTTTGGGGGATGATATGTCATAATGGTGGAGCCCTCTGGAATGAGTCCCAAAGGAACTCATTCATCTCTTCCACCATGTGGGGACAGGCAAGAAAGCACTATCTATGAATCAGAAAGCAGGCCCTACCTTGGTATAGACTAAGACATTGTGTTATATTGGTTCAATGTTCCAAAAATATATCTATGTGGACCAAGGTTTTAATTGAATTCATAATTCCTAACCATTACTGAATTTGTTCTGCTTTTCCTAGTTATTGAGATGTATATTAAATTCCCCCTCTCTGATTGCAAGTGTTTCTATTTCTTTTATTTCTGTCAGTTTCTTCTTCCTTTATAAATTATGAGGCTATAATGTTGGAGGCATATACATGCAGGATTATGTCATTTAATGAATTAATCACATTTATTACTGTAAAAGACATTTTACATATTACTGTAATAAATGTTCTGCCTCAAAATTGAGTATGTGCGACTAAATATTAGTATGGCTCAACCAGCTTCCTTTTATTCAGTGATTTTATGTAATATAAACATTTTTATTATTTTGTTTTAGCCTCTGTGTTTTATATTTAAGATACGTCTCTTAAAAGTGGCATATTGCTGAATAGTTTTGGTTTATCTAACTTGACAACCTTGGAATATGTGGTCAATTGATATTTAAAGTAATCACAAATATGCTTGGATCAAATCTATCTAGTGACTTTTTTTTTTTTTTTTGAGACTGAATCTCGTTCTGTCACTCAGGCTGGAGTGCAGTGGCGCGATCTCAGCTCACTGCAACCTCCACCTCCTGGGTTCAAGAGATTTTTCTGCCTCAGCCTCCCAAGTAGCTAGGACTACAGGCATGCACCACCACGCCTGGCTAATTTTTGTATTTTTAGTAGAGACGGGGTTTCACCATATTGGCCAGGCTGGTCGCGAATTCCTGACCTCGTGATCTGCCCGCCTCAGCCCCACAAAGTGCTGATATTACAGGCGTGAGCCACTGTGCCTGGCCTCTTGTGACTATTTTTTTAACCTTCTGTTTGGTGTTTCTTTATTCTCTCATATTGAACCTACTTGTGGGATAATCAATATTTTCTATTATGCCATATCCTACATCTGTCTCTTTATTAATTTTCTTCTGTTAGAAAATACACATACATTAATATTTAGTAGTCACAAAGACTCTCTCCTTGACCATAATACTGTCAGATTGCTCTAAGCCCTCTTCTCAACTAGGCCTCAACTCAGCTCTCTAAGAACTGCAACTCTCAACACAGTTTAAACTATCCTCCACACAAAGACACTTTTAAACACTAGTATCATTTCTATCAGCAAAGGACATTCACTTGGCTGATGACCCCAATTCCCTTCAATGCCAGTTTGAGAATGCTAAATGCTACCAAAAGAATTTTCTGTGCTTTCTAGCCACAATCTTCATGTAAGCCCTAACCTCCCTTTTCTTCGAGCATTTAGGAAACTTGCAATGGTAAATCTTTTGTCTATTTGAGTTGCTTATTCTACAACCAAGGATCCTGGGAACCATCCCTCTAAAATGGTATCATCAAGAAAGATAGAGCCCCTGTCTTCCAGTTCCTTTAGAAGAGTAGAAATATTACTTTGATAAGGGCCAGTTAGTGGACACAAACGGCCTAATCACTTTGGCCAAGTTCCTTAGCTGCTTTTTGTAATTTTCCACATCCCTAACTCTGCTCAAACTCATGCTCAGTCTGCAGCCCTATTCCCTCATTCTCCCTTTAAAATGGCCAATCACCTCTGCACATATTGGAGTTGAGCTAATCTTTCTACTGCAGCAGTTTGAATAAAATCTGTTTTCTCACCTTAACAAGTATCTGGCTTTGTTTGTTTGTTGTTTTAACAGTAATTATTGCCACTCTTTCAAAGAGGTTTTAACAAGTTAAATTTCAGCAGAGGTATAAGATGGTTCTGCTTGTTCCATATTCTCACCCACACTTAGCAGCTTTCTCTTGGTATCTTTGTTTCCTTTTTGCTGTTGGTATTCATTCCAATAGATATATAGGTTTCACATAGTTGTATAATTTCCATTGCTCAGGTAACTAATAAAATTATTTTTCCTATGCTGTTTAGCCATGTGGATGTCCTCTTTTGTTAGTCTTTTAATAAAAGACTATCACTTAAAGTCTTAAAGGGTAATTAAAAATAGTTTGCCTTTTATTTCTTGGTTATTTATATATCTGAGATATGAGTTTTTTGCCAGACTGATTTATACCACCATCTTCTTCTACTCTACAGCTTGCTTTGTCACATCTTTAAAAATGCCTGTTGATCAACAAATTTTATATAGTCTCATTAATCAATAATTTTATTTTAAAATTGTTCACTTTCTGTGTTACATTTAAGAGAAAATGTTTGCCTTCTTTAAAGTCATGAAGGTTTTGTTTTCTATTATTTTCTCCAAAACTTTTGCTTTATATTTTACATTTCAACCTTCAAGACACTTGACATTATTTACTTTCAGGTGTAATGTTTGTTAGAGGTTAACTTTCTATTACTTTTTCATAGGTGTATTCCATTTATACACCACTGCTCATTGAAAATACCATCTGTTCATCACTGCGCTAACATGTCAGCAGTGCCACAAGTCAGTTAATGCATGAGTCTGATTTTGGATTTTTTTTTTAATTTGTACTCAAACTGTACTCTGTATTTACTATTGTCCTATAATAAGTTTTAAATTCTTCTTCAGAGGTATTTAGCTACCTGTGAATTCTTTTTATTTTCATTAACACCAGCTGGTCAAATTATGCATGTGTGTACAGACATAAATATAGAAAAACACCAAGGATTCCATCTGGAATGCAATACATCTATTGATTGATTTCAGGAGTAACTCCATGAATATGAAACATCATTGAAAATTGGGGCCACATTCTTCACCACATTGTTATAACTTAAACCTTAAATTGCCTGTGTAATGTAACAAATGTTTGGATTTGTTTTTCTCTATTGATAGTTTGCCATTCTTAACCAAGAGCTTGCTTCTCAGGACAACAAATTGCATTTAATAACTTGCCTCAAGCCTCTTACCTTCCAATATCTGCCATTGAATTTTGCCCAGTCTCGACCAGGTTAATACCTTGACTAACACACTAAACCACTTAAGAAAAAAAATAACTTATGAATATCTTTCCTTAATGACCCTTTCTCAGACACTACTGAGATACTGTCAAAGTGGGCTCCTATTTGCTAAAGTAATTTGTGTAGTCAACTCTGGTTGATCAACAGTTTGTAGGTGTCTTGTGTGGAAGAGTCAGCAGTGAACATTTGTTTTTCTTTAATGTTCACATAGTTTATTACCTTTATTCCAATGTCTTTACGTATGTTGGTGCTACTATAAATTGTCCCTCTTAAAAATATTAACACAATTTTTGCATGATTCTAACATGGATATTCTTTACAGAAAGAAATAAAATGAGGGCACTATTAAAATTATTTTCCTTTAATATACATCTTTAATTTTAAAAAGCATTGAACTCTGTCTTGCAGACTGTTATTATTTGCATATAGGACATTATAGAATGAAATTATTGTTTAAAAAAATCTGGGCAGCATCTTTTTGACATGTCTGATGTTATTACCCCCCTCATTAAGGAATCTCAAACCTCTTTTTAGATTGAGTTTTCAGCTAGTTTTGAAATTTATGTAGAAGAAAGTAGACAAGTTGTTTGTGATTATATATTATATTCAAATTTAGATATGTTTAATGAACTAATTAGTGAATTAATCAATCAATTACATGTTCTCTTGACTATTTTTTAAAAATTTACATGACTGAATTCTAAACATCACATATTGAGCTTATTGGTCAAGTTTTTCAGAATTAAATCAAAAAATTGTTTAAAATCATTTAGAACGCAATAGTAGTTATGATAATGTTTTGCCTAGGCATCTAAGTACATTGTTTTTAATCTTGGCTACTTATATGCGTTACTAATTTACTTCTTGTGGGTGAATAGTGCTAACATCCACTTCATTTCTAATTCATTGAACTAACATTATACAGTAATAGGTCATCCTGATTACCTTTTAATCTTTATATTTTAAAACATAATCTCTATATTTTAACTATTTTTAGGTTTAGACTTTACACTTCTTGATTTCTAATGATATGCTGGAAACAATTCACACTGACCCCCACCAGCCTGCAAGAGACAATTGTGTATATCTCGCCTTAACTCTGAGTTCAGTGCACTCACTTCCTCACTCTGATAGCTTTTATTTACACCAAGGAAATCTACAAACACTATTAAGTAGGGCCTTTTAAATTTTTCTCTAACTGGTTTAAAAGTCCTATCCATAATACTCATTGGCAACACTATGTTACGAGTATTGTTTGATAGCAATATAAATATTTAAAATTCTCATACATACATATAAACACACACATGTGCAAACATATAAAATGTTATGGCCCTTTTCTTATTCAGGTACTCACTTGGTTAGAAAATAGAAACAAGTGATTGGATAAAATTCTAGTTATTGAATTTATGTATAGAATACAAATTTTATGTTTAATTTAAACAAAATATTGTCTGGCAATGTGACTCTTTTTTCAAAATTTGCTGAGAGAGTCGATACGTTTCAGGTCTTCTGATCTCGCAGAAAATCATTGCCAGCCAGAGTCTTTAAAATAAGTCATTCTTCAGAAAAACTCATTGTCTTTGGAGCTACTGAATCTCTCATCAAGTTTTTAAATAACTGTAAATATCAAATTTCAAAGTCACAACAACAACAAAATGAATTATCTCTAAGCTTTCATTAAAAAAAAAAAAAGAAACAATTAACTGGAATTTTGAAAAGCCAATTTCTGCTGGGTTTGTTTTTGCATGATTCTCTCAGAACACCTTAAAGTAAAACTGTTCAGAGTAATCACAAGTATTTGCATAATTACAGCACAAGGCAAGGCACCATATCTATTTTATTACTTTATACTTTGATTAGTTTGGGTATGTGTAGGATAACGGGAAGCCCACTCCATTAAGCTGAGCTTTTCACAGAATTAAAAACTTGATTTATGTGAAATTTGAAGACAAGCTTCTAAGCATCAACTTAAATTCCCATTGCTGGTCGGGTGCAATGGCTCACGCCTTTAATCCCAGCATTTTGGGAGGCCAAGGCGGGTGGATCATGAGGTAAGGACTTCGAGACCAGCCTGGCCAATGTGGTGAAACCCCGTCTCTACTAAAAATACAAAAATTAGCCAGGCATGGTGGTGGTGTGCTTAGGCCCAGATACTCAGGAGGCTGAGACAGGAGAATCGCTTGAACCCGGGAGGTGGAGGTTGCAGTGAGCCGAGATCACTCCACTGCACTACAGCTTGGCAGCAGAGCGACACTCAGTCTCAAAAAAAAAAGAAAAAAGAAAAGGTTGGGCATGGTGGCTCACGCCTATAATCCCAGCACTTTGGGAGGCCCAGGCGGGCAGATCACGAGGTCAGGAGATTGAGACCATCCTGGCTAACATGGTGAAACCCCGTCTCTACTAAAAATACAAAAAAATTAGCTGGGCGTGATTGCGGGCGCCTGTAGTCCCAGCTACTGCGGAGGCTGAGACTGGAGAATGGCGTGAACCCGGGGGCAGAGCTTGCAGTGAGCCAAGATTGCGCCATCCTGGACGACAGAGCCAGACTCTGTCTCAAAAAAAAAAAAAAAAAAATTCCGATTGCTGATAAAATGTGAAATGTGTCTGTTCACTCTGATGCTTCCTTTATTGCAGTGTGTGCTTGGAGGTGACTGTGTGCTTGCTAGTAACCTTTTTTTTTTTTTTTTTAAGGCGGAGTTTCCCTCTGTCGCCCAGGCTGGAGCTTAGTGACACGATCTCGGTTCACTGCATACTCGGCCTCCAGGGTTCAAGCGATTCTCCTGCCTCAGTCTCCCAAGTGGTTGGGACTACAGGTGCCCGCCGCCACACCTGGCTGATTTTTGTATTTTTAATAGAGACGGGGTTTCACCACGTTGGCCAGGCTTACTTAGCTTCAATTCTTGACCTCGGATGATCCACTTTTGCTCTGGCTTATTCTTGTTCTTTGTTCTTCCACATACATTTTACAATTAAGCTGTTGATTTGTACATGCATATATACACACACATAAAGTATTGCAATTTTGTTTGAAATTATAGTATTATCATTGAGCAATCAATAAACCTATTTTAATGTTTAAAATAAAATCTTAAACATTATGTTGAATCTTTAAGTCCATCAGAATATGCAGCTTTATTTTTAACTATAAATTGAGATGTTTTGATAAGTTATATAATCTAAAAAGATATTGACATTTATGTATAAAATATTTTAGAAATTTTATGAGTTACCATAAATTTCTGACAATAAACAAATTTTTACCATAAATTAATTTTTAAATTTTATTTTGAAAATTAAATTTTTTAGCAAAATTTTGTTGGTTTATAGAAATATAATAGCCTGCTTAATATAGATTTTATGTCCGGAAAACATGTTTATGCACTGTTTTATTGTGCAACCTTGGACTCTAATGTTAAACAAGGAGTTATTTTTGCATTAGAATTTTGTAGGCATCTTAAAATTTGTCAAAGATTTCTCTTTGACTTTGAAAGATTTGTCATCATCACAAAATCAGATTGGAGAGGAACGGGACATTGGCCCAAATTTAATTAATACTGCTTTAGAGACTTTCCTAGAATATATACTTTTATGCTATTTATAGTTAACTTTTAAATAACAAATTATAAGAGAATAAAAAACTATTCTTCCATAGAACTATAAGTAGCCTCTATTTGTAATATATTCAGTCAAGTGTAGATAAAATTAGACTGGTTTTTGACATAGGGAAATCAAGATGAACTGATGGCAAGATGCGAATTAAACACTCAAATATATTCCTTCTTTGAAAATAGAGTGCTTTGTATGTGTTATTGAATGGATGTTAGACAGGAAGTAATTAACTGACCTATTTAAGGAAAAGTAAGGGAAAATCATTAGGCCCTTGATAAGATTAAAAGAAAAAGGAGGAGGGACACTTAGGTTAGTTAGATATCGGTTGATTGTGAAAAATTGAAGAAGCAAAATTTTCTTTTGTTTGAACAACTAAAAACAGACTTTATTTAATGCGGAGAAACTACTAATTATGCACAACAAAAGAAATGATTTAAATTAACTACATAAAGATATAAATTAATCAGAACGTTTCTGGAGGTATACCAGATAAACATTATAAATAATTGAATGAAAGTGTTTTTCGAGACTATACAAGAGTATGAGTCTTATATTGTGCTTCACATATTCAGTACAAATTTTACTGCCATCAATCTAAAATTCATAACTTCTATATTGAAGAATGTAAAGACAAGTGTTAATCCAAAGTAATTAATCAATTATCAAATAACTATTTCTGATCAGATATGCTTGTGATTAGTTAAATAATAATGTTAGAATACCTGATTCTACAATTCATTTTCATATTTTTCCTTTTGGTTTTCTTATAGGTCATAGTATAAAATAAGAATGGTTATGCACACACATACAAACACACACACACAATTTAATAATATCCAAATAAGTAAAAAGAAACCAAATGGAATAAAAGGTAAATATTTTAAGATCCCTGGAATAACAGCTAACTTGTTAAACAATTATAGTGAAAAGATTTCTTTCTCTAAATATTATTAATAACATTAATATTATGAAGACATTCCATAATTTAAGTATTTCATAACTTTGTTGATTTTTTAATTAAGCTATTTTTAGAATAGTGGTAGATTTATAGAAAAAATTGAGCTGATAATATGGTTACTATACGGACTCCCACACTGTTTCCTCTGTTATTACCATCTTACTTTAGTATGTTACACTTGTATTTCTCACCATTAATGGACCAATGTTGATAACTTATATTTAACTAAAATTAGTCATTTATTCAGATTTTCTTAGTTTTTACCTTATGTCCTTTTACTGCCCCAGGATCTCATCCACGACACTACATTATACTAATTTCCATGATTCCATCAGCTCTTCTTGGCTCTGACAGTTTCTTAGACTTTTCTGGTTTGATGACCTTGACATAATTAGGAATATCAGTCAAGCATATTGCAAGATGCCTCTTTATTAGAATATGTCTAATATTCTACTCATCATTAGACTAGAGATAGGGGTTTGTGGGAAGAATATCATATATGTGTCAAATTTATCACATTATATCAAGAGTACTTGTTATCAACATTATTTATGACTGTTGACATTGAACTTGGTTATGTTTTAGGTTTCTCCACTGTGGAGTTCTTGTCTCTTTTATCACCACTCTTTCTATAATTATCTCTTTGGAAAAAAGTCACTATGTGCACCTATACTTAAAAATGGGGAGTTAGGCTACTGGCTATTTAGGGTGGAGTATCTACATATTTTATTTGTAATTCTGCACAGAAGATTATCAGTTGACAAATACCTTTTTATACTATGATAATACTTGGTTTAGGTCAGTGTGTATTTTCCTTATTTTGCTTTTAAAGTTATCTAGGGGATTGACCCAGTATTTTCATTTCAAATGTTAAAATTTCATGAAGCTGATATAGGACACATAACAAAACTGAACCTCAAGAGCATAAAAAACAAATCGAGGCAATTGTATGAGATCATCTCTAGTGTCCTTTCTAGCGCTTGTATTCTTTGGGTTTCTTCAGTCTATGAATCTTTCAAAATCAGCATGCCCTGAAAAGTGTAAGCCTGCATTATTTGTCAGTGGTTTCAACTAGTCCCTAAATGTATCTTTCAATTTATTCTGCATATTATCACACATTAAATTTTTTTATAAAGCCCAATTTCGATCATTTCATTTATCTGTTTAAAAAAATCCAGTGACCTACCATTCCACATAAAATATCTAACAAATACATAAGTGGCGGGGTGCAGTGGCTCACGCCTATAACCCCAGCACTTTGGGAGGCCAAGGCGGGTGGATCACCTAGGGTCAGGAGTTTGAGACTGGCCTGTCCAACATGACGAAACCCCATCTCTACTAAAAATATAAAAACGAGCCAGGCGTGGTGGTGGGTGCATGTAACTCCAGCTACTTGAGAGGCTTAGGTGGGAGAATTCGTTGGGCCTTGAAGGTGGAGTATGCAGTGAGCTGAGATCTTGCCACTGCACTCCAGCCTGGGCGACAGAGTGAGACTCCACCACACACACACACACACACACACACACACACACACACACACACGTCTAAGCAATAATCCATATAAATCTATAAATTACCTTGGGCAGTATGGCCACTTTCATGATATTGATTCTTCCTACCCATGAGCATGGAATGTTCTTCCATTTGTTTGTATCCTCTTTTATTTCCTTGAGCAGTGGTTTGTAGTTCTCCTTGAAGAGGTCCTTCACGTCCCTTGTAAGTTGGATTCCTAGGTATTTTATTCTCTTTGAAGCAATTGTGAATGGGAGTTCACTCATGATTTGGCTCTCTGTTTGTCTGTTATTGGTGTATAAGAATGCTTGTGATTTTTGTACACTGATTTTGTATCCTGAGACATTGCTGAAGTTGCTTATCAGCTTAAGGAGATTTTGGGCTGAGACAATGGGGTTTTCTAGATATACAATCATGTCATCTGCAAACAGGGACAATTTGACTTCCTCTTTTCCTAATTGAACACCCTTTATTTCCTTCTCCTGCCTGATTGCCCTGGCCAGAACGTCCAACGCTATATTGAATAGGAGTGGTGAGAGAGGGCATCCCTGTCTTGTGCCAGTTTTCAAAGGGAATGCTTCCAGTTTTTGCCCATTCAGTATGATATTGGCTGTGGGTTTGTCATAGATAGCTCTCATTATTTTGAGATACATCCCATCAATACCTAATTTATTGAGAGTTTTTAGCATGAAGCATTGTTGAATTTTGTCAAAGGCCTTTTCTGCATCTATTGAGATAATCATGTGGTTTTTGTCTTTGGTTCTGTTTATATGCTGGATTACATTTATTGATTTGCGTATATTGAACTAGCCTTGCATCCCAGAGATGAAGCCCACTTGATCATCCCCATCAAGCTACCAATGACTTTCTTCACAGAATTGGAAAAAACTACTTTAAAGTTCATATGGAACCAAAAAAGGGCCCACATCACCAAGTCAATCCTAAGCCAAAAGAACAAAGCTGGAGGCATCATGCTACCTGAATTCAAACTATACTACAAGGCTACAGCAACCAAAACAGCATGGTACTGGTACCAAAACAGAGATATAGATCAATGGAACAGAACAGAGCCCTCAGAAATAACGCCGCATATCTACAACTAGCTGATCTTTGACAAACCTGACAAAAACAAGCAATGGGAAAAGGATTCCCTATTTCATAAATGGTGCTGGAAAAACTGGCTAGCCATATGTGGAAAGCTGAAACTGGATCCCTTCCTTCCTCCTTATACAAAAATTAATTCAAGATGGATTAAATACTTTAAATGTTAGACCTAAAACCATAAAAATCCTAGATGAAAACCTAGGCATTACCATTCAGGACATAGGCATGGGCAAGGACTTCATGTCTAAAACACCAAAAGCAATGGCAACAAAAGACAAAATTGACAAATGGGATCTAATTAAACTAAAGAGCTTCTGCACAGTAAAAGAAACTACCATCAGAGTGAACAGGCAACCTACAAAATGGGAGAAAATTTTCACAACCTACTCATCAGACAAAGGGCTAATATCCAGAATCTACAATGAACTCAAACAAATTTACAAGAAAAAAACAAACAACCCCGTCAAAAAGGGGGCGAAGGACATGAACAGATGCTTCTCAAAAGAAGACATTTATGCAGCCAAAACACACATGAAAAAATGCTCACCATCACTGGCCATCAGAGAAATGCAAATCAAAACCACAATGAGATACCATCTCACACCAGTTAGAATGGCAATCATTAAAAAGTCAGTAAACAACAGGTGCTGGAGAGGATGTGGAGAAATAGGAACACTTTTACACTGTTGGTGGGACTGTAAACTAGTTCAAGCGTTGTGGAAGTCAGTGTGGCGATTCCTCAGGGATCTAGAACTAGAAATGCCATTTGACCCAGCCATCCCATTACTGGGTATATACCCAAAGGACTATAAAACATGCTGCTATAAAGACACATGCACACCTATGTTTACTGCGGCACTATTCACAATAGCAAAGACTTGGAACCAACCCAAAGGTCCAACAATGATAGACTGGATTAAGAAAATGTGGCACATGTACACCATGGAATACTATGCAGCCATAAAAAAGGATGAGTTCATGTCCTTTGTAGGGACATGGATGAAATTGGAAATCATCATTCTCAGTAAACTATTGCAAAAACAAAAAAACAAACACCACATATTCTCACTCATAGGTGGGAATTGAACAATGAGAACACATGGACACAGGGAGGGGAACATCACACTCTGGGGACTGTTGTGGGGTGGGCGGAGGGGGGAGGGATAGCTTTAGGAGATATACCTAATGCTAGATGACCAGTTAGTTTGTGCAGCACACCAGCATGGCACATGTATACATATGTAACTAACCTGCACAATGTGCACATGTACCCTAAAACTTAAAGTATAATAATAATAAAATAAAAAATAAAACTGAAAAAATAAAAATAATAAAATAATAAAATAATAAAAGAAAAAAATCCATATAACAATAGTCTTCCACTAACAAACACACATCATAACATACACACACATGATTAATTTGTACCACTAATATAAATCTTTTTACTTTACAACATTTTATGAATCTTGTTTTCCCTACCATATTAAAAACTTCTTGAGGATAGTGTATTTTTGTTATGCAGTTTTGTACCCAATAAGCTCTTAGTTTGGTTACTCGTAATGTATTTAGTAGAGGTGCAATAAATTATTTTTTCTATTATGTGCTATATATGTTTCAGAGAATTTAAGAAGTATAGATCCCACTTTAAAATCATATATAGTATATTATAACTTAGTATTGTAGTAAGAGAAGTACATCTATATATTATTATATATATTATTATGTGATAAGTCTTATGAAAAAGGCATGAAAACTACATGATATAAGTGAATGTCAAAGAAGCTCGTAATCTGGATTAGAAAGAGTCATATAAAGTCTTCCTAGCTTAGGAGAAGCTTAACTATTATGATAAAATAAATGAAGTGCAATCAATAAAAATGAAGTGTCAGGGGAAGGAACATATTTATGGAAGAGTTGGTTGGGTCAAGAGGAAGAAAGTAGAGAGATAAACAAGACCAGATACTAAAAGACCTTATAGGTGATGTGATGTCCAACATTATCGTAAATATTATAGCAACTCACTAAATCATTTCTAAGAAGGATAGTTACTCTAGACAATTTTGAGTTTTAAGATCTTGACTTTCAAAGAGGTGTCAAAAAGAATTGTTAACTGGTGATTGGAAGTGGTAGCTAAGAACAACAGGAAGAAGCTTATTAATTTAGCTGAGGAAGTATTAGTGTCCCTCAAGCTAGTCTGAGATTATGTTACTAGAATTCCCTGGCCTTGTGACTTTGAAATTTCTTCCATTTAAGCCAGTGAAGTATACTTTCCTTGGTAATTGATACTGAGGTTGGTCATAGGACTTGCTTTGGTCAAGGAAATGTAAGAAAGACAACAATGTGCTAGTTTATTCTCAGTCGCTTAAGTGATGTCACAGATTTTCACTAGCCTTCATGTGGTTCTTCCATCCACCATAAGAAGATCATGTGCCAGCAAGATACTCAATCTAGACTGAAGAATATGTTAAACAGACCTGAATCCAACCAGCACTGTGGAATCAAATCCTACAGATCCCAGCTAAGAAGATAAGAAACACATCATCTGAAGGTTTTTCAGTGAGAAATATTTGTTTTTGTGTGTGTGTTTTTAAGTACTTGCAGCTTTTTCTAGATTCAGGGGATACATGTGCAGGTGTCTTCCGTGGTTATATTGCAAGATGCTGAGGTTTGGAGTATGGATCCTGTCACCCAGGTCATGAGCATATTATTTGATAGGCATTAAGTTGCTGCAAAAGTAATTGCAGTAAAAACCACAATTACTTTTGCACCAACCTAATAGTTTTTAACCCACACCTCTCTACCTACTTCCCCACTGTAGTAGTCCCCAGTATCTAGCTTCTCCATTTTTATGTCCATGGGCTCCCAGTGTTTAGCTCCCACTTGTGAGAACAAGCAGCATTTTGTTGTTGTTGTTTCTGCATTAATTCACTTAGCATAATGGCATCCAGCTGCATCCATGTAAAGGACATGATTTTCTTCTTTTCTATGGCTGTGTAGTGTTTCATTAGGCATATGTACATTTTCCCTATCCAATGCAGCATCGATGAGCACCTATGTTGATTTCATGTCTTTGCTATTTTGAACAGTGCTGCAATGAGCATACAAATACACGTATCCTTTGGTAAAACAATTTATTTTCCTTAAGTATATACCCAATAATGTGATTCCTGGGTCAAATGGTGGTTCTAAGTTGTTTAAGAAATCTTCAAATTGCTTTCAATATTGGCTGAATTAATTTATATTCACACTAGCAGTATAGAAGTGTTCCTTTTTCTCTGCAGCCTCACCAGCACTTGTTATTTTTTGGCATTTTAATTATAGCCATTCTGCCTGCTGTGAGATGGTGTCTCCTTGTGGTTTTTATTTGCACTTCTCTGGTGATCAGTGATGGTGAGGAATTTTTCATATGTGTCTTGGCCACTTGTATGTATTCTATTGAGAATTGTCTGTTCATGTCCTTTGTTCATTTTTTAATCAGGTTATTTGCTTTTGCCAGTTTATTTCTTTAATTTCTTATAAATTCTGGATATTAGACCTTTGTCAAATGCATTTTGAATTTTTTCCCATTCTGTAGGCTGTGTGTTTACTCTGTTGATAGTTTCTTTTGTTGTGTAGACACTCTTTAGTTTAATCAAGCCTTACTTGTCAATTTTTGGTGTTGTAGCAATTGCTTTTGAAGACTTAGCCAAAAATTATTTGCCAAGGCCAATTTCAAGAATGATATTTCCTAGGTTTTCTAGTAGAATTTGTGTAGGTCTTATATTTAAATCTTTAATACAACTTGAGTTAATTTTTGTATGTGGTGAAAAATAGGGGTTCAGTTTGATTTTCTGTATATGGCTAGCCAGTTTTCTCAGCACCGTATATTGATTAGGGGAGTTCATTTCCCATTTCTTCTTTTTATCAGCTTTGTCAAAGTTAATATGATTGTAGGTATGAAGCTTCATTTCTTGGTTCTATATTCTGTTCCATTGGTCTACATGTCTGTTTTTGTAATACTATGCTGTTTTGGTTATGGTAGCCTTGTAGTATAGTTTGAAGTCAGATAATGTGATGCGTTTGGCTTTGTTCTTTTTGCTTAGGATTGCTTTGGTTATTCAGGTTGTGTTTTTGTTTCATGCAAATTTAGAATAGGTTTTTCCAATTCTGTGAAAAATTAGACATTGATAGTTTGATAGGAATTACATTGAATCTGTAAATTGTTTTGTGCAGTATGGCTATTTTAATGATTTTGATTCTTCCTATCCATGGGCATGGAATGCTTTTCCATTTGTGTCATCTCTGATTTCTTTCAGCAATGTATTGTAGTTCTCTTTGTAGAGGTCTTTTACATCCTTGGTTAGCTGTATTTCTATGCATTTCAATTTTTTGTGTGTAGCTATTTTAAATAATATTGTATTCTTGATTTGATTCTCATGTTGAATGTTATTGGTGTATAGAAATGTTGCTGATTTTTATACACTGATCTTGTATCCTGGAATTTTACTGAAGTTGTTTATCAATTTTAGGAGACTTTTGGTGGAGTCTTTAGGATTTTCTAGTTATAGAAGCGTATCAGAGAAGAGAAAGGTTTTGACTTCTTTATTTTCTATTTGGATGCCTTTCATTTCTTTCTCTTGCCTGATTCCTCTGGCAAGGGTTTTTAGTACTATATTGAAATGGAGTGATGAGAGTGGGCATACTTGTCTTGTTCCAGTTCTCAAGGAGAATGGTTCTAGCTTTTGCCCATTCAGTATCATGTTGGTTGTGGGTTTGTCACAGATGGCCCTCATTATTTTGAGATATGTTCCTTCAAATGCCTAATCTGTTGAGGGTTTTTTATCATGAGGGAATATGGGATTTTACAGAAACACTTTTCAGCATCTATGGAAGTGATCATGTAGTTTTGTATTTAATTCTGTTTATGTGTCAAATCACATTTGCATATATTGAACCAGCCTTGCATCCCAGGAATAAAGCTTACTTGATTGTGGTGTTATTAACTTTTTGATATGCCTCTGAATTCAGTTTACTAGTGTTTTGTTGAGGATTTTTGCATCTGTTTTGATCAGGACAATTGACCTGATATGTTCTTTTTATGTTGTCTCTTTGCGGGCTTTTGGTATAAGGATGATGCTGCCTTCATAGAATGAGTTAGGGAGGAGCACCTCCTCCATTTTTTGGAATAGTTTCAACATGATTAGTATCAGTTCTTCTGTATATGTCTGGTATAATCTACTACTACTGTGAATCTATCTGGTTCAGGGCTTTTTTGGGTTGGTAGGTTTTTTTTATTATTTATTCAGTTTCAGAACTTGTTACATGTCTGTTCAGGTTTTCATTCTCTGTCTATTTCAATCTTAGAAGGCTTTGTGTTTCCAGAAATTTAGATACTTCCTCTAAAGTTTATAATCTGTGTGCATGGAGGTGTTCATAATAGTCTTTAAGATCCTTTGTACTTCTGTGGGACCTGTTGTAATGTTATCCTTGTCATTTCTTATTTGGATTTTCCTTTATTTCTTTGCTAATCTAGCTAGTGGTCTATAAATCTTGTTTATGGTTCCAAAAATACAGCTCTTAAATGGCATAGTTTTGTTCATTTTTATTTTTTTTATTGGCTGAACCCTAAGGAAACCAAAGGTAGAGAAGGAAACACTTCATAAATATTTTTTTATGATGGTAGAATTGACAAGACAGATGTCTAATTGGAAATGGGTTACATGGGTGAAAGCAAGGCCAATTTTCATTCTCAGATTTCTGGCTTCAACAATTGAGTATAGAAAAAGAGTGCTACTGAGTGATATGTAATAATGTTACATAAACTGATGCCCTCCCTTTAATCCATATTTAATCTTCATCTCTATAATTGTACCACTTATTTGCTATTTCACTTTTGTTTTTTAAATACATTTTAATCTCAAGATATTCATATTTTTCTGGCCTTTCCCTTCAAAATAAATTCGGAATCATTGCCATGATGCAGAGATGTCACAGTATCTATATAAATAATACTGACCATAAGGAAACTACCAAATGAAGTTATATTATAATTAGTCTATGCTCAATACCTACTAGAGAGGAGATATTGAAAAATATTTGATACCTTCATGAATAAATGAATAACATTTGTGTGAAAGGGAAGATTAGAGAGATGAGCTTAAGATTACATATTATAAATTGAGAAAAATTAATATTTATATTTATAGTATTGATTTGGAAATTTTCAAAATGAAATGCACAGAATCATATATTTATTTAAATATATGTACAAATGTGTTTAATTTTTCAAACTAATTTATTACAAGCAATATGTAAAATAAATTTTAAAATTTTAAAAATGAGATTTTAATTGAAATATTTGTGCAAAACGTGTTACACAGAGATTATAAATTACAAAAATCATAACTAAGATAATGTGATGCAACAAATTATGTTTAATTTAACTTGTTATTTTACCATTGAATGGCCATTTAAAAATCTCTTAACAAGGTACTTTTGCAAAATATCATTCATAATTAATTGCAATTTATAAGCAAATCTTCTTCAAATAATCCCTAAACCATAACTTGCTTGAAGTTTTAAAGTAAACTCTGATTATCTGTTTGTGTGTGTGTGTGTGACTGTATGAATCACATAGTCAAAAAATATTATAAAGGAACATAATTCAAACCCAAAGAACCACTTTTAATGTCTTACCGCTAAAACTAAAAAATTGCTTAGGCAATGTATTTGTTCACTTTCATATATGTATTAAGCATCAACTATTACACCAGAGAAGGTCTAAAAACACCAGGGATATAGAGGCTCCTATGTTCAAATAATTCACATTATTTAGGAAGGAGTAAGAGGCAAAATTAAAATAAATAATGTATAATGCAATGCTAAAATGTGCAAACTCGTAAATTTTCTGGCGATTAGATGAGATTTAGTTCAGCTAACTTAAGTATGTTTTTGTTGTTATTTGATTTGTTTATTTATTTCCCTTGGTCCAAGATCTCTGGGCGTCTTTCTATAGTGGGGTGATGCCCTCAATAAAAGTATAAGAGAGAACAGAAATGAAGATGAATTTTTAAAGTCATCATAAATTTGTTTGTGAATGTAAACAATAATTTAATATAGAGACAAATTACAAGAATAGATAAATGCAAATAAAACACTCTGTTATAGACATCTTGATCTTCTTAACCATGTTTGTAACTAATTCACACAAACCGCTTTGGCATATGAAGCACATAATAGAGTCATCTCTTATATAATCATTCCCAATGCACACAGATACTTGTATCCAAATTATTAGCAATTTGATTCTAATGTAAATCAATCATAAGCAATCAGTCAGAATGTAATAATAAATAGTTGTAACGATAGTCTGTTCATTAAATGGAAAAATACTAGTGTGATTCATAAGTGTGTGTTTGTGTTGCCGTGTATATAACTATTATAATGATCAATGTGGAAAGCATATTTTTAATGGTTAGTCAATTCAAAGAGAAAATTTTAGTATAGTATGCTGTAGTTAAGTAGTGAAATTTATATATAATTATCAGATATTTTATGTGGTAAAAGTATTGCATACTGAAGCTCTTAATAGTATTTGCATCATTTGAACAATGACTATAAGATGTAATTTGTTGTAAATATATTCAAAATTATCATGGAGCATCATGTTTAGGTAAAATCTGACATTGTATCTTCTAAATTTTTAGCAGAGGGAGACAAGATGGCTGGGAAGACACAGCCCAGAAGAACATCTTCCACCAGTGGGCTGGGATACTGAGAAGGCTGGCACTCTCATAGTAGATATACAGAGGGAAGGCATTGAGAATGGAGGGAGGGAGGTTGCAAACAATGGACTGAAAGAAGCTAGGAACACTGTGAGGGATTGCCCAGCATAGGCACCCACTCCTGGCCACCAGTGACTCTTAGGGAAGGGGCGAACTGAACAGATGGGAGTGGCCAGCTTTTGCTATGGACCTCCAGACTCTTAGCTGCAAAAGACCCCACGACCTCCACAGACACTTGAGCTGGCAGGAAGAGCTGCCTAGAAAGGTAGCACCAGCAGGATTCCAGCCTATACACAGCCCAGAGGGTTTGGCACAGGAATGGCTGCAGTAGAGCGTGGCAACACACCCATTCCCCAAGGCTCCCCAAGCTCCTATAGGTGACTTTAGCCTTTTGAGGGTTGTTGGACTTGGACAATCAGGGCACTCTTGCCCATGGGACAAGGCCAGTACAATTTGAGAGCATCCCCCTTTGTCTGCCGCCCCAGCCTGGCCATGCCTATGGCATTGTAGCCTTGGATGAATAACCTGGGGGGTCTTCATCTTAGTTCTATTGTTGGCAGACCACACCTAACCATTGGAGAGCTGCAGCACAGCATCCACCTTTGATGTGACCAGCAGGTCACAGCCTTCCCCACTGTAGCCTCCCCCTTCCACTTGTCTGATACATACTTACCCATGGGCATTTCCAACAACCACTTTGACAGTACATGCATGTGGGTGATTTCGTCTATCCTCTGATAATGGCACATATGTGTGTGTACACCCCACCATTCTCTCAAGCCCGCCAGTGTGCAGTGCCACTATGTGGGCATGCCATCCCTGCTGTGGCACAAGTGCTGCTCACAGATGTCAGAATCCTTCTTGCTGGTGCCCCACCCCCGTCATGCTGCTGCCATTTCTGGCACAAGTGCAGCATGGATACCAGCACACTCACCCCTGCTGGTGCCCTGCCCCAACTGCACCACCACACAAGTGTGTGGAGAGATGCTGGTGCCTCCATTGCCACCTCACAACTGCTGGTGCCCAACCAAACCATTGCTGCCAGCCTGGATGTATGCAAAAACACCTCTGACCTTCTCTGGTTTTTCCACCCCAGCGGATGCATGTGGAACCTGCTACCTGCTGTGGCTACTGGCACGTGTGAGTGAGCACAGATCCCATTGCCATGACCTAAATGAAGTGCTTTGGCTGGCACCTTCCATTGGATTTTTGGGGCCAGCAGACCAGGAACACCTTGGTTCCTCCATTGCAGCACGTTCTAACTTCAAGAGGTGAAAGAACAAAGCTGGGAGACCTGTACCAGCTCTCCAGAGTTACAGCACACAGCCCAGAAGGGCTAAGCTGAGCCTTAGCCCCCTGAAATTTTCCAGAATTGAATCCAATCAACTTAATCTAACCTATACCACAATAAAACACCTAAGGGCATCAAAAAAGATCAAAGTAATAAAACCCTTCCAAATGACACCAACTTCAAAGATTAAATAAACATCAGTCCACACAGATGGGAAAAAAAATAGTGCAAGAATTCTGGCAACTCAAAAGCCAGAGTATCTTCTTACCTTCTCACAAGCACACTGGTTCCCCAGCAATGTTTCTTAACAAATCTGAAATGGCTTAAATTACAGACATACAATTCAGAATCTAGATAAAATTTTCAAGATTCAAGAGAGAGTTGAAACCCAATCCAAGGAAATTAAGAATTACAATAAAATAATACAGAAGCTGAAAGTTGAACTGACAGAGCTGAAAAACACACTACAATAATTTCATAATACAATTGCAAGTATTAACTGCAGAATAGACCAAAATGAGGCGAGAATCTCAGAGCTCAAAGACTGATTCTCTAAATTAACTCAGTGAGATAAAAAGTAAGAAAAAATAGTAATAAGGAATGAACAAAACCTTCAAGAAATATGAGATTATTTAAGGAGACCAAATCTGTGACTCATTGACATCCTTGAAAGAGAGGGAGAGAAAGCAAGCAACTTGAAAAACATATTTGAGGATATCATCCATGAAAATTTCCCCAACCTTACTAGAGAGGCCAACATTTAATTTCAGGAAGTACAGAGAACTCCTGTTAGACACTATGGAAAATGCCGATCCCCAAGACACATAGTGATCAGATTCTCCAAGGCTAAGATGAACAAAAATATATTAAAGGCTGCTAGAGAGAAGTGGTAGGTCACCTAGAAAGGGAACCTAATCAGGCTAACAGCAGACCTTCCATCAGACACCCTGCAAGCCAAAAGAGATTGAGGGACTATATACAGCATTCTTAAAAAAAAAAAAAAGAAACTCCAACCATGAACTTCACGTCCAGTCAAACTAAACTTCATAAGCAAAGGAGAAATAAGATCCTTTTCAGAGAAGCAAATGCTAAGGGCATTCATTACCACCAGACCTGTCATATAAGAGATCCTTAAATGAGTGCTAAATATGGAAACAAAAGACTATTACTGGACACCACAAAAACACACTTAAGCACATAGGCCAGTGACACTATGAAGCACCTGCACAATCAAACCTGCATAATAACCAGTTAACTACATGATAACAGGATCAAATCTGAACATATCAATAGTAACTTCAAATGTAAAGAGGCTAAATGCCCCAAATTAAAAAAGCACAGAATGGCAAGTTAGATAAAGAAGCAAGACTCAGCAGCATATTGTCTACAGAAGACCCATCTCACATATAATGACATTTATAGGCTGAAAGTAAATACAGACTTCAACTCAACAATGATTGAAAACAGACAAGGGAATTACATAATGACAGCAAGTTCAATTAAATAAGAGACCTATCTATCCTAAATATATATTCACCCAATACAGGAGAACCCAGATAAATAAAACAAGTTCTTAGAGACCTATGAAGAGACTTAGATGACCTCACAATAATAGTGGGAGATTTCAACACCTCACTGACAGTATTAGACACATCATCGAGACAGAAGGCTAACAATAATATTCATGACTTAAGCTTGACACTTGATCAAATAGACCTAACAGACATATAGGACTTTCCACCCCAAAACAACAGAATATACAGTCTTTTAATCTGTAAATGGCACATACTTTAAAATTGACCACTCAATTGGCCATCAGGTCATTCTCAGCAAATTAAAAAAAAATTATACCAACCACTGTCTTGGACCACTGCACAATGAAAATAGAAATCAATATTAAGAACATCATGCAAAACAACACACTTATATGGAAATTAAATGACCTGCTCCTGACAGACTTCTGAGTAAACAATGAAATTAAAGCAGAAATAAAGGAATTCTCTGAAACTAATGAGAATAAAGATAGAGCATATCACAGTCTCTGGGACAAAGCCAAAGCGGTGTTAAAAGGAAAGTTTATAGCACTAAATGCCCACATTAAAAGTTAGAAAGATCTCAAATTAACAACCTAACATCACACCTTGAGGAACTAGGAAAGCAAGAACAAACCAACTCCAATGCTAGCAGAAGACAGGAGATAACCACAATCAGGACTGAACTGAATGAAAAATATAAGGCAAAATAATACAAAAGATCAACAAAACCAGAAGTTGTTTCTTTTTGAAAAAGAGAATACAATTGATAGACCACTAGCTAGACTAACAAAGATAAAAGAGAGAAAATCCAAATAAACACAATCAGAAGTGACAAAGGGGACATTACCACTGACCCCACAGAAATGCAAAAAAAACCCTCTGAGACTATTACAAACATGTCTATGCACACAAACTTAAGAACCTACCAGAAATAGAATAATTCCTGAAAACATACAATTTCCCATGATTGAACCAAGAAGGAAATGAAACCATGAACAGACCAATAATGAGTTCCAAAATTGAATCAGTAATAAAAAGCCTATCATTCTGTAAAAGTCCAGGACCATATAGATTCACAGCCAAATTATATTTGACACCAAAGAAGAGTTGATACCCTTCCTACTGAAAGTATTTGAAAAAATTGTGCAAGATGGACTTACCCCAACTCGTTCTATGAGGCCAGCATCATCCTGATACCAAAACCTGGCAGATGAAAAAAAAAAAAAAGGAAAAGAAAACTTCAGGCCAATATCATTGATGAATATAGTTGCAAAAATCCTCAACAAAATACTAGCAAACAAAATCTAGCAGCACATTGAGAAGCTAATACACCACAGTCAAGTGCGTTTTATCCCCAGGATGCAAGGTTGGTTCAACATATGCAAATCAATAAATGCAATTCATCACATAAACAGAACCAATAACAAACACCAGATGATAATCTCAATAGATGCAGTAAAGGCTTTCAATAAAATTTAATATTTCTTCATGTTAGAAAACCTCAACAAACTAAACACTACACGAACATATCTCAAAATAATAACAGCTATCTATGACAAACCCACAGGTAACATACGGCTCGTACTGAATGAGCAAAAGTTGGAAGTATTCCCATCATGAACCAGAATCAGACATGAATGCTCACTCTCACCACTCCTTTTCAACGTAGTATTGGAAGCCCTAGCTAGAGCAATCAGGAAAGGGAAAGAAATAAAAGACATCCAAATAGGAAGAGAGAAATTAACACTATCTCTGTTTGCAGATGATGTGATTATAGACCTAGAAAGCCCCACAATTTCTATCCAAAAGCTCCTAGATCTGATTACTTTAGCAAGTTTTAGGTAGTAATATCAATGTACAAATATCAGTAGGATTTCCATACACTAACAATGTCCATGCTGAATAACAAATCAAGAACACAATACCATTTACAGAAGCCACAAAAATAATAAAATACTTAGGAATACAGCTAACCAAGGAGGTGAAATATCTCTCCAACAAGAGTTACAAAATACTGCTGAAAGACTTCAGAAATGAAACAAATGGAAAACCATCCTGTTCTCATGGATAGGAAGAATCAATATTCTTAAAATAGCCATACAGCCAAAGCAATTTACAGATTCAATGCAATTCCTATTAAACTACCAAGACATTTTAACAGAATTAGAAAAATAAAGGATTCTTAAATTAATATGGAACAAAAAAGAGGGTGAATTGCCAAAGCAAGCCTAAGCAAAAAGAACAAAGATGGAAGCATCACTTTGCCCTACTTCAAACTACACTACAGGGTCACAGTATCCAAAATAGCATTGTACTGGTACAAAAACAGACACATAGGCTAATGAAACATAATACAGAACCCAGAAATAAAACTATACACCTACAACCTACTGATCTTTGAAAAAGTTGACAAAAACAAACAATGTGTAATGGAGTCCCTATTTAATAAATGGTGCTGGGATAACTGGCTAGCCATAGCAGAAGATTAAAACTGGACCCCTTCTCTACAAGATATAACAACACAACTCAAGATGTATTAAAGACTTAAATGTAAAACATAAAACTATAAAATCCCTTGAAGTAAACCTAGGAAATGCTATTCTGCACATTGGCCCTGGCAAAGATTTTATGATGGATGTGCCAAAATTAATTGCAAGAGAAACAAAAATTTACAAAGGGGACCTAATTATACTAAAGAGCTTTTTCACTGCAAACGAAACTATCAATGGGGTAAACAGACAACTCACAGAGTAAGAGAAAATATTTTCTAAGTACGCACCTGACAAAGGTCTAATATCCAGCATCTATAAGAAACTTAAACAAATTTATAAGAAAAAAAACCTCATTAAAAAGTGGGCAAAGGAAATGAACAAAGACTTCTTAAAGGAGGACATATATGGGGCCAACAAACCTGTGAAAACATATTCAACATCACTTGAGTTGGGTTTTTAATCATTAGAGAGATGTAAATCAAAACCACATTGAGATAACATCTCACATCAGTCAGAATGGCTATTATTAAAAACGTCAAAAAATAACAGATGCTGTTGAGATTCTGTAGAAAAGGGAACACTTCTACACTACTGGTAGGAATGTAAATTAGTTTATTCTCTGTGGAAAGCAGTTTGGTTATTTCTCAAAGAATAAACAGAACCACCTTTTGACCCAGCAATCCCATTAATGGGTATACACCCAAAGGAATATAAATCATTCTGCCATAAAGATACATGCACATGTGTGTTCATCACAGCAATATTCACAATGGCAAAGACATGGAATTAACCTAAATGCCCAACAACGGCAGATGTGGTAGATATCTCCATGGAATACTACACAGCCAAAAATGTACAAGATCATGATCTTTGTAGCAACATGGATGGAGCTGGAGGCCATTATCCTAAGTGAACTAATGCAGGAATGGAAAACCAAATACCACATGTTCTCATTAATATGTGGGTGGTAAACACTGAGTAGACATGGACTCAAAGAAGGGGACAACAGACATTGGGGCCTACGTGAGGCTGAAATGTGGGAAGGAGGGTGCAGTTTGAAAAAATACCTGTCTGGTATTATGGTTATTACCTGAGCAATGAAATAACCTGTACACCAAACTACCATGACACGCAAATTACCTATGTAACAAACCTGCACATGTAATCCTGAAACTAAAATAAAAGTTTAGAGTCTACTTATATTTATACTATAAGTGGACTCTAAAAATTGAAAACAGGTAAAACATTATATGCACTTAGTATGAGTATGCACTTAGTTTAAAAATATATCTCAGTGTTTTACTTCAAAACTCATCTATACAAAATCAACTATCTATATTACAGGAAATAAAAAAGTAAATAGGCTTCAATTACCAAATGGCAATTTAAGTAAATCAGTTAATAGGGTACACATATTGCCAAGTCAAACTTGACAAACATGTTTTGAAGTTTGCTCATTAGTTATAAAATTTTCACAGGTTGCAGTAAGGTTGCTCATTAAAAAATATTACTTTCTAAAATAAACCAGTAGTTCATTAAAAATCTAATCTCTTTTAAAATATATCATTTAGTAATTTATTGAACAATATATAATTAGGTTGGTTTTAGAAACATTCAGTATATCAATAAGCTTTTCATTATTACAGTTTATTCACAGTTTTAAAGTAGGTTTCATCAAAGTATAATAAAATTAGGCATATAGTTCTATGAGTGTAACCACCTTCACAATCAAGATATAGAACATTTCATCACCCCAAATAATGTCCTCATGCTCCTTAGCAGTGAATCAACTCCATCTGTATCCAGTCCTAATTAAATTTCAGTCTCCAAGCTTTCGCCTTTTCCAAATATCAAATAAATGGAATCATTCAGCCTGTAGCCTTTTGGGTCCATCTTTTTTTGAACAGTATTATGTTTCTGAGTTTCATCCATATTGCTGTATGTATCAGTAGTTTGATCATAATGGTAAAGCTTTAATTTAATTTCTAAGGTTTGTCCCCTATGGGAAAGATTTCTGGGAATCTCTTTCTGAAAAACTTGTTCTTAGAAACAATCCTGAAAGTATCATGAGCATTACATTTTTCTTCTGTGGGCCCAAGAATGCCAACTGAGATTCAGAGAGGTTAATTTCTCCAAATAAAATAAAATTATTGCTACTTGTAAAGAGTTATTATATCCACATAATAATCCGTTAAACATCATTCACTTATATGTGCATACAGATCATAAAAGACTATACAATTTATAACAGGTTTACCAAACACATCAAAATCTAGGTATACATTGAAGTAATGACTTGAAATTGAGTAATGGATCCTCCTGGTTCCACTCCTTTTTTATTTGAGTTGGATTTTGTGGATTTACATTCTTTGCACTTCTTAGCAATACTTTCCGGATGTCATTTTCCTTCCTGGAGATTTACTTAGTTATATATTTCTGCAGAGATTGGCTATTAAAACTGGTATTCCTTCGGCATATATTTTAGGACTTATTTTTCCTTTGGAATTGTTATCCACTCCTTCTTGGCTTCATTTGACATCCATATATCATGGCTGTATAACCAAAATAATTTCACAATATAAATATCCAGCCTAGTATCTCTCTTGTGTTTAAAACACATATATAAAATAATTTACTAAAATACACAATTAGATACCTAGCAGGAAATTAAAATTTCTATATGTCCAAAGATAAACTTACTATCTCCTCTTTACTTTTTAACCTCATATGTTTCCAATCTCAATGTATGACACTAAACAATGCCGAGCTTCTTTAGACAGAAACCTGGGATTTGCATTTGATTGTTTCTTGTCCCTTCAACGAATCTAACTCAGTTACCATGCCCTGGCTTGATAACTCTTTCTCCTGCATATCTCTACTTCCTTAGTTTTTCTTCTTTTCCACCCTCACTTTCCTTAGTCCATGACACTATATACTTTAATCTTACTTTAGTATCATCATAAATGGTTTCCTGCTTCCTTGCATCTTTGCTCCATTATGTCTTTATCACATTAGAATATTAATGGTATTTCAGAAATGACACTTTATTCATTCAATTTATCTGTGGAAAATTCATCGCTCTAGGAAAATTCAGACTTATGTAGCAAATGAAAAAAATGTCTTTTCCTGCCCATCATTAGGTTCATGGCTGAGGCCTCTATAAAAAAGAGAGGTTAACAAGAAAAAAACATAGAAATATATCTATTTTAAGTTTTCTATAACAGGGAAAATCTTAAAAGAAGATACAAAAAAATAGGTAAACTTCTGTGTTTTTATGCTTAAATTTGATGAAAAGGTGTATAATTGTGGAGACATATAATTGGACAAAGGAGGGATGATCTAAATGTGGAAGGAATTTATTAAGGCCTTTTTGTTCAGATTTTTCTCTATATTTCTCTGTCTTCATAAAAGGATCTTCCTTTCCTCTGGGTATAGGGAAAATACCTCTCAAATTAGGGTCTTATGACCTGCTTCAGAGTAGAAGAACTAGGAGAACATGAGAGAGGTCTTCCTGCTTGTGCTGTTTTCTCAAATAACAAGGTAGCATGCTCTAAACCCTCTAATGTCTACATTTTATGGTGCATCAGCGATCATCTCTGTGGTTTCATCTTTCTGCAAATATCCCTCATCTTCTATATTTAAATTTTAGCAGAGAAAGCCTCATCTATTGGCCTTCACTTATGTTGTTCTCTCTACCTCAGACAGTAATTCTTTATACATCTAGCTAATTTTCACTTTCTTCTAAAGGTGAAGCTTGAATATTACCTTTATAAATTAAAATTTGCCTGATTCTCCTATAGTACATTAGGTATTTTTGCAATATTTTTGTCTTCGTTTTCTATAGCTGTTGAAACAAACCACAAGTTAGTGACTTAAAGCCACCAATTTATTACTTTAAATTCTGTAGAAATCAGAAACAGGACTCACTAAATTAAGGTGTCAATAAGGCTGAAATTCTTTCTGGAGGCTCTAGGATTGTACCAGACTTTCTTGCCTTTCCCAGCTTCCGGAGGCTACTGCTATTCCTTGACTTGTAAACTCTTTCCTTCATCTTCAAACCAGCAAAATTGCCTCTCTCAGAGTTCTCTTCCATGGTCACATCTTACTTTGCTCACAATTGGGAAAAAAATCTCTGATTTTAAGAACCTATGTAATTAGATTGATCCCACTTATGGTATTCAGGATAATCCACCCATCTCAAGGTTCTTAATCACATCTCGAGAGTTCTTTTTAGTCATGTAAGATAATGTATTCACAGGTTTCAGAAATTAGGACACTAGAACTAGGAGATTATGACATGGATATCTTTGGGGAGAGCCATTATCCTGCCCACAACAGTTCCCATTTTACCTTCAATTCTCCCTTCTATGCACCAACAAATAGTATTACAATCTTTATTTAATATCTGTAGTTTCGATTATATTTTTTTTTGAGGCGGAGTCTTGCTCTGTTGCCCAGGCTGGAATGCAGTGGCAAGATCTCCACTCAGTGCAACGTCTGCCTCCCGGGTTCAAGCAATTCTCTGCCTCAGCCTCCCAAGTAGCTGGGATTACAGATGCCCGTCACCACGTCCGGTTAATTTCTGTATTTTTAGTAGAGACAGGATTTCTCCACGTTGGCAAGGCTAGTCTCAAACTCCTGACTTCAAGTGATCCACCCGCCTTGGCCTCCCAAAGTGCTGGGATTACAGGCATGAGCCACCATGCCCGGCCCGATTAGATTATTATATAAAGTATAATATTTAAATTCTTTGGTTCCTATTCCCTAGAAAATTTGGAGTTCCTCTTAAGTATGTTTCAACTAAAGCAATGAGTACCCAGGATCTGGATGAAACTTGAGATTGCAAAGGAAATAAAGTGGAATGTAGTACAAAAGCTACCTTACTTTATTTGTAGCTAGAAGAAACATTATTCTCTTTAATCTTTGCCTAGAAACTGCTATTTTTTTAGAACTATGTGTAATAACAATTATTGAAGGAACTTCATATTATTTGAGTTATTCTTTAGATGAGTTAATGTCTGGCAAGTTATAGTCTTTTTTCTCAACAAGCAATATTATATTTATATTTAGTGAAAACTTATTTCACTTTTAAAATATTTATTTTAAATATATTATTATGATTGTTATTTTTAAAAATAATTTTCATATATCTTCATAAGTAATTTCATGGAAAATAAGAAATGAGACAATCATTAGTGGCTGGTAAAATAGCTCTGCTTCTAATCTGAAATAAATTGTTTTCTCTTATTTTTGTGAGGTATATTCATTAGTATTTTAATTTTTTAAATAAAATTCATATCAAAATGGTTGTATGTACTTTGATCATCTTTGATTCAGATACATTGCTCACTTTCCTTTTGTTATTCTATTTCATAACGTAGAGTCTTAGCCTCCGGCTCCCACATCCTCATGTATAGATTCAATTTGGATTTAAACAATGGGTAGTATTGGAGAAGACTTAAAAAGCAAGATACAAAGAAGGGAAAAATCAGCATATTTGTCTCTCACTTTCTGCCCTTAGCGGTGTCTGGCTCAAACAGTGGATACACGTGTCTTCCATGGTTCCATATACCATCAGGTACCTACCATTTTTTTTTGTTCCCAGCTTTATTTATGATTTAATCACTAACTGATGGTCGGGTTTTCATCATTTTAATCAGATTATTGCATTGACTTCTTTCTTTGAACTAGTCATAATTGTTTTTGTTTTTCTGTTTAGGCTCTGACATATATTAGGACTAGTTGATTTATACAAATGTATTTAAACATCTCTAAACATAAAGCAACTTCGTTTGTGCACACTTTTAAAACAGTTCTGAATAACAGATAACCTCTTATTTCAACAAGCATATTTTTAAACATTGTTTTACTTGGAGAGGACAAATGAGCAATGTAAAATATTAAAAATATAGATGAACTATTTAATTACATAATTATAAGATCAAACATATTAATGTGTACATATTTAAAATATGCAGTACAAAAATATATTTACACTGAAATATTTTTGTTTATACTCTCATTTCATGAAATGTTTTCAGTTAAAATTTTTAATATACATCTTTCACATTAGTGATTTTGTCATTATTAAAGATGCATTTTGGGAATACTGATTTTTTTTATAATGCAGCATCCTCATGTAGTGTAATTGTTTGAGGTAGGTTTTTTTTTTGCCTTGGGATGATGGGCATTTAATCCCATGCCACAAAAAGATATTTGCATAAAATTTTGGCAGACATCTTTCCTCTTATTCTGCTGGTGTGTGACTATAATTCAGCCACATTTTTTAAGGCTTTTGAAATGATTTGTAATAAAATACAACTCTTGCATTTTATGTTCATATTATTATGAATACTTATTTAATTTGTATTGTAACTGCAGACTTTCCATTATAAAAATTGCAACAGGTGTTCTTAGCAAGCAATCAACTCAAGCAATTCACTTATAAAGGAAAGAGATTAAAAAATGAGATCTATTGACTCATCTTCAAATAGAACTTGGGTGATTTATTTTATTTATGTAATTTTTTCCCGCTTCATAAGGGTATACCTGATAAAAAAAAGTTGTATAGATTTAAGGTATACAACATGATGATTTTACATGTTATACATGTGTGAACACATATTCGTAAGTATATAATATATACAGTGAAATGATTACCACAGTCTAGTTGCCTTTTTTCTTTTGTGTTGAGAACACTTAAGATCTACTTTATTAGCATATTTTAAGTATATAATACAGTATTTTTAACTATAGTCATCATGGTGTACATTAGATCCCCATAACTTATTCATTTTGTAAGTAAAATTTTGTACTCTTTAGCTAACATTTCTCTATTTTCCCCACTTCCCAGTCCCTGGAAACAACCATTCTACTCTTGCTTTCTGTGAGCTCAACACTTTTAGGTTTCACATATATAGTGATATCATACAGTATTCGTCTTTTTCTGTCTGACTGCTTTCACTTAGCATAATGCACTCAAGTTTCACCTATATTGTCCCAAATGGCAGAAATTTATTTTTTATGTCAAAATAATATTACATTTTACCTATTCATCCAGCTAGTTAATGTATTTAGCCAACAGACATTTAGGTTATCTTCATATCTTGTCTATTATGAATAATGCTGCAATAAAAATGGGAGTTCAGATATCTCTTCAATGTCCTGATTTTGTTTTCTTTGAATATATACCCTAAAGTGGGATATTTTTAATTTTTTGAATAACCTCCATGCTGTTTTCCATAATGGCTGTAATCAATTTACATTCCCACCAATAGTGTAGAAGCGTTCCCTCTTCTTCACATCTTTGCTACTTGTATCTTTTAACATTTTTGTAATAAACATTCTATCAGATGTAATTAAAATTTAAACTATTAATTCAAATAAGGTTTATTTCTCTTATAATTCTATTAGTGGAAAAGAATAAAAAAGAGAACTAATAGCATGATTCAGTTATGTATTTAAGGCATTGATTTATTATTTTATGTGTTATATTAACAGAAAACTTACATTTACTGTGTATAACATGATGTTTTCCATTATATACACATTGTGAAATGACTAAATCTGTCTTTTTACCCTATGTATTATCTCACATAGCTGTTGCTTTTGTAGTGAGTACTCTTTACATACCCTCTCTTAGCACTTTTCAAGAATACAATATATTACTAATAATGGTCCCCAAGATGTACAATTGATCTCTTGAACCTATTGTTTCTGTTTGCTACTTTGTATTCATTGACCAATATGTCTACACTCCCCTCAATCATCCCGGCCTTTGGTAACTACCATTCTACTCTCCACCTCTTTGAGATTAACTTTCTTACATTCTACATATGAGTGATATCCTGTGGTATTTGTCTTACTATCCCTGGCTTATTTCACTTAACATAATGTCTTCCTAGGATCATCCATGTTGTCACAAATGACAAGATTTCATTCTTTTTAAGGCTGAAAGTGGTATATATAACACATGTTCCTCATTCATCCATTGATGGACACTTAGATGTACTCCATATCTTGGCTATTGTAAGCAATGCTGCAATAAACATGTGAGTGCAGCTGTCTCTTTGCATACTGATTCTATTTCTTTTTAATATATACCCAATAGTGAAATTGCTGGGTTATATGGTAGTTCTGTTCTTGTTTTTGAAGAACCTCCATACTGTTTTTCATAATGGCTACACCAATTTATATCACCACCAACATGCAAGTGCTGTCTTTTCTCTACACGCTTGATAAAGCTTGTTATATTTTGTCTTTTTTATAATAGCCATTCTAGTAGATGTTAGGTTATAGCTCATTGTGGTTTTAATTTGCATTTCACTGATAATTAGTAATGTTGAGGATTTTTCATATACCTGTTGACCATTTGTATGTCTTCTTTTGAGAAATGTCTATTAAGATTATTTGCCCAGATATATTATAGAATAATTTTGTTCTCACTTCTTAAACATTGGCTCATTTATTCACTTTCATGTGTCTTTAATCAGCTATTCTGTATACTTATCTATACAAACACAAGTTCTATCTTTTCCTAATACATTCCCTTTCTATGGCTATTAATTTGATTGTATCTGTTTATTGTAACATCGTATTAAATGTTTTAATGTTTTACTTTACTTCATATGAATGTGCATTCACATACATACAAACACAAAATAATTCATCACTTTAACAAGCACGTTCCATGTCCAGATGTCATTCTCTATCTACACTGTCCAGTGTGGTGTCTATTAGCTTTATGAGGCAATTCAAGCACTTTGACTGTGGCCAATTAGAATTGATATGTGCTGCAAGGGAATAAACAAAACAAAACAAAAAACAGATTTTCAAGAATTAGATTTTTAAATATAAAACATCTTGTTAATATTTTATATTGATTATATGCTGAAATTATATTTTGGATATATTAAGTAAAATATATCATTAAAATTAATTCAACTTTGTTTTTACCTTATTTAATGATGTTCCTACAAAATGTAAAATTGTATATTTGGCTCACTTATATGGTTCACTTTTACTTCTATTGTACAATATTCTAGATAAGGTTGAGGGCATGTTCTATTCTCAAAGAATACGTAGCACATTAAGTAATAATTATTTGAATAATAAAATTAATTTCATAATGTGAGCATCCCATATTACAAATATAATGGATAATATATGGATACATTTAATAATGAAAACTAAATTTGTGTTGAAATTTAAAGAATGAATAGGAATTTATCACCAAAAGCTAGGGAAAAGCATATGCCACATATGATGGCTTGGCTAAGTGATATTCTAAGAGATTTATGCAGATGCTCCTTGACTTATACAATGGGGTTACATCCAGATAAAATCTTTGCAAATTTGAAAAACCACAAGTTGAACCATCATAAACTGGGGACCATTTGTATATAGAATTATTTTAAGAAGCGCAGGAGGCTAGAGATATGTAACAAGGTAGGTGGAATACCACATACATATCTAACAGAAGGTCAGTCTTTTAGGTATTACTTGAAAGGGCAAAATAGTTCAAGGTGACTGTCTCCAGAGAGATCTGAAAGATATTTTTAAGAATCGAAACTTTGACCAAGAGTTGTATTTTATTATCAAATTTAATCTAGTGAAAAATCCAATTTGTTTAAACCCTTGGAAAATTCACAAAATCCATTTTTATTCACAAATCTATATTTTTATTTGCTATTTTTCAATGTTTTCAAGTTTCTTAAAGAAAAGAAAAGTTTGAGCATTGGCTGTATATGAAACATAAATGAAGCATGGTTGCTTAGGAATTGTACAATTTCAATCCTGCTTAGACTTTTCAGAGCATTTAATTTTGAACTTAAATAGCCAAAGAAAAAAGAAAATAATTTAGCTGGTGATTTCATGGTCCTGTTTTTCTTCATTATCCCTTGTTGAGTCTCCTACTGTTTATAAAATTGAAAAATCATGCTGAGCTGAATGTCCAATGGCCTGAATAAAATTGATTTTAACATTGTGTATCCCAATGAACAAAAAAGTAATTATAGTCCATATTTACTTTATGTGCTACCTATGTAACTACTGTTTATGTTGTGAATGTACCTTTTTATGATGACTCAAACTGATAGAATTAGAGATTATAATCAGCATTAAAAAACCAAGATTAAGACAATTGTCAATCCTTTCATTAAAATAGCAGTCAAAAGAACACACAAAATTTTAGAATAAAGCAAATTTTAGATTAATTTCTTTAGATTCTAAAATTTTATTATTTAAGTTTAAAGAGGATAGCAAAACATAAAACATTTTCATTATTTTTCTTATTAGAAGTTCACATGATAATTTAAAAAAATTTTATTAAAATTGAAGCTATCAGAGATGATGTGGCACATTAAGCTACAGAAAGTAACTTTAGCCCTTATCTGTTCACTTTAAATATATATGAAAAATGTAAAAAACATTGTTTCTTCAAAGTCAATAATAACAGGAGAAAATGAATTTGCTTTATTTTTCAATCAGCACCAATTTGAAGTAAACTATAATTGCTGTATGTTTGACCAGTTCATTATTATATTTTGCCTTGAACAATCATACATAAATGTATTAAAATGTCCTGACTTTCATTACCAGAGTCTTGGGGCAGGATTTTATTTTTAAACCAAAGTTCAAAAACCCTGTTCTCTTGATAATAATCAGATGATGTTTGTTTTCTTGACTCAATGCTTTAATTTAATTAAAGGTTCCTGCTGTTTGGAAGCCATTGTTCTAGAATTTTGTTTTGTACTAGGAAAATAAAAATTACTACAACATTTTCAGTCCTTTAGAGGATGATCCACTGGGAAGTTAGATCCCAGTGTCCCAGAGGCTATTAAATATAAGAGTAGCTTGGCACTGATTCACCTTAGCACAACTGCTAGAAAATTAGTTCACATTAAGCTGCATTTAAGTAATTTAGGGCAGCAATACCCTTGTCTTAAAATGTCTCTAAAAATATGAGAAATGTAAACATGATGTCCACACATCCAACTGTCCCTAGGAGGCTTTGATTGTCCTCCTGATTCCATGAGGTTAATAAAACTACAAATGTCAATTTAAAAACTACTAATTGCAACAAATTTTGTAGCTTGCTGATATTGTTGCTTGTTTTAACAATATTTACCAGGAAGTTGACAAAATTATAAGCTTAGGAATCATTATTTATCTCATGTTTGTGTCACACGCATCTTCTGCACATCAAAAGAAAATAATTGTTTTTTAAATAGCCTCTTTGGTCTTCATCATACAGATAGGATGGGAGTAAGTAGTAGGGGCGTCAGATAAGCAATTAGGTAGAAAATGCTTTGACAATTTAAAAAAGGTTGTACAAAATGTAGTTATTCTCAAGTATATGAGGATAACATTGCATGACTACTGCTTATACAATTATGCTGTAAGCCAATTCATGCCCATTGCTGATTGGTGGAAAGAAAGACTGCTTTTTTTTATTTTCTTAGAGATAAATATTATTACATTTTTAAAAATTAACATAATCTCATTTCCCTTTTAATATTTTTGTAAAGATTTTTTTCCAGGAATCGGTTTCTGGTATAATTTGTTCTCTTCAAGCTTGAAATAAATATGATTTTTCATCAACAGAATATACTCTTAAAAGTAGAGTGTCATTTCTTACTCCCATAAGTGCCATTCAGCGACACTAAGTAAAAACGTTCCTCTAGTTCAGATGTGCAATTTCTTAATGTTGCTTAGTAGCATATCCTCTGCTTACTCCGTTTTTGCTGGGGAGTGGGAGTTTTGTAATAGATATTGATTTGTCATATATTTTAAGATCCCTGCTCTTTGTTACTTATTCATGTAGAGATATATGCAAATGATATAAAGGACTAATAGCGTCATAGATGTTATAAATTAATGGGACAATTAAATGTGGTAATTTTAATTATGATACAAGACCAGTGGAAGTAGACTACTTTTGTGCAGAAAGTTCCCCCTGGGCTCTTGTCTAGCCATTTCTATTATAAAAATAGCCAGCCAGCTAAACAGTAAAATAAACTGAATAACTCAACATTATTCTAGGCAGAACTTGTTGGTTCAATTTAGTTTGTGGCCTAAGGAAGGGACTGAATGAAACTATTTTATTAAAGACTCTCTGCTTGAGGAATCTGACTGACTGAATTCTATCTAAACTTTATCAAAAGCTGACCATATGTCTGGATAGATTAGGGAATTTTTCCTCCTCCTCTCTATAACTGGTAGTAATAATTTCTTAAACAACATAGTTATTGCAAGAATTAAATATGACAAATTTTCAAAAATGCTTAGACTGATGCCTTACTTAAAGTAGGCAAGAAATGAATGCTTCCCTCCCTAAACAGAACTTCCAAAGCATGTGGCTAGGGAAAGCAATGCTGTTCTCCACGTCCCCCTGTATGCAGGTGTGCTGTGGACAGAGTAGGCTTATTTATTTTGAGCTAGAAACTGAAAATTATTCAGAGACCTGGCTTATCTTGCAGTCTATAAATTGGACCTCACCAGAAAAAGAAGAAAATACAAATTATATTAAGTATATAATTTGGTAAGTAGAGACAAATCAATTTAGCTTAAAAAGGTATTTACTTTATGGAATTATGACATCAATATTTTCAAATTACTTCAAATTGTTGGGAACAAAGAAAACATTATCTGACCTGTTTATCATTCAAGTGTCAGACAATTCATGAAAAAAAATGTATTGTTACAAAAGGAGATACAACACTGTTAAACAATAAAACATTATTTTCTTGTATTATTGTTTTAAATTAAAAAATGTATTTTTTAACTCTACAAAGAGCATCATAATAAATTGTCGATTTGTTCAATAATAGTTAACAGTTAGTTAGGTCCTTAGCATTAAGAACCTAACTAGTAAAGCTCAAAACAGCTGTAACGTGTCTTGATGAATGGTATAAATTTTAAATGTTCTTGTTAATTTGAATTTCTCATTTTACTAAATAATGCAAGAAAAAAATGAGCCATTGTAACTAGGACAATATTTGGATTACATTAGTCACTGATTCAATATATTGCCACAGTAGGCATTCAAAAATGATTTGAATCAATTTTAAATTCATACATATATGTTGGATAATATTATGAGCGAAGAATTGTACTAGATAGTATAGGGTACATAAAGAAGATGATACATTACATGTTATCAAGGAGCACATCCAAGCAGGTCATACACATTATATAAGCACTATGTGTTCTTTTTCAACCTTTCAGTGAATATATAGACATTCTTAGAGAACAAATATAAAATAAATTCCAAATAATTGAAGATGCACTGAGGGAGCCCTGATCCTCTATAGACAATTAGAAAACAATTTGCTTTTGAACATAGGTGGAAATGAAGAGGGAAATCAGACTGAATAAAATATGCTTAAAACCTAAATTTAAAATCCATAGCTTAGAGAACAATAGACTTGATAATTGTTGAAACTTTCCATTTAAGTTATGCATTTTGTTCTCTTTTAAGCAGGCACCTGATTATTTTTTTCTACATGAAATATAGTTAATAATAGTTTGTAACATATGGATAGATAATTCTACCAAATGATGATGACAATAGTAAGATTAACAGAATATTGCATGATTATTAAACAGTTCTAAATGCAAATTTGTTTTCTAGCTTGCTACTATGGCAAAATGTCATATTTAACATTTTTAAATGGTGGAATACTTTACATTTTATATTTAACATAAATTTTATATTTAAATATAATATTTTATACATATTTAATATTTTAAAGCAGTAGAATAATTCAAAAGGTATAATACATTATTTTAATCTTTCTTGTATTTTCATTTTTTATAGTGATTAGATTTGTGATAGTTTTTTTTAACTTTAAGACTGTAAGAATAAAGATTCAGAATCAATGGAAATGTCAGAAACTCATGGCAGTGTAGTTGACTATAGTGTTGTCAACATCTGCAGTTTAAATATGTTTTAATATAGAATTTCATCATTATTCTTTATGTATTGGAACACTATTATGTTATACACTACTATCACATGTTTTTTTTATTTATTCCAAAATGTCCCATATCACACAGTTGATATAAAAACATTTGCCAGTTTTTTGAAAAAGAACTTCATTTCCAATATTGAACACAACAATACTAAAATGTGTCTCATTTGAATGCAGTTCAAAGAAAGACATGATCATAACACCTGCGCATTTTGAAATGCATTGCACTCAGACTTCTTTATAATCTTTAAGGCACAAAAAAGTTACTCTCACTGAGGATATTATTGGCATTAAAACATCTTTCTTTCTACCAGCACTATATATTTCAAAGTTGACTTTACTTCCAAAACATGACAAATTCACATCACAAAGAAATAGTGAGTTTGAGATTAGTTATTAGAGTTTACTTTTTATAAGTATGATTGTATGAAAATAATAGAAAATCTCTCATTGGAGTCTGTAAATATTGGCATAATTTTCCAAGTGCTTACTTGTTCCTATCAATATAACTAGATTTTCACAAGCTTGACTACAAACATGTTTGATTACTTGCAAATTTAGATATTAATATTTGTTTGTGGTTTGAATGATGTAAATTTTTTTGCCATATATTCCCAAATATTTAAAATACTGGAATATTATTTAAACTGTCAAATGTTTCTTACATCAAGATGATTAAATATTTTCATTATTTGTCAAGCTAAGTATTTCCATAACTTTTCAACAAGCTTTCAATAACCTTTCTCAGCTTATTATTACAACATTAAATGTATCCAAAACTAAGTGAGAATGTACAAATTAAGGATTTTTTTAAAAAATAAGTTTTAAAAGCTTTTCCAACGTCAATTCACTGAGACTATCAATTAGGAACTGACATTTACAAATATTTAGCTAATTTCAATCATTATTTTTGCTTTTAAATAATTTTCTTTTTTACATATAAAACATACCTTTCAACATTTCATGAAACAAGATTATAAAAAGAAGGAAGAATTGGTTATTCAGCCCTAGAATACAAATTAACACTGGTTACATATGATATTTCTCTTGAAATCTTAGGTGTTATTTTGATTTTGCCATCACAATTTACAAAAGGGAAAGTTTAAAATGCCAATAATAATGAAAATAAAATTTTCTGTTTTATTTATCAATTAATTTTGGACCTTGGAAGAAAAGATGGTAATATTTATTGAGATTCTTCCAAGACACTAATCTCTAAGACTGACTATTATTTTCTTTATATAAATTTATAGCTTCAAAATTGACCATTCTCATGAGATACACACTGCAACATTTAGCTACTTGATTGACATATCTCCTTGTTTAATTCATAGAGTTCTAAAGTTAGTATGTCAAAATCAGGATTCTTGATTTATTGCTGTCCAAATCTCCAGTCTTCACCATCTCTTTAAAAAGTACCACCATTTACTCACCATTTAATCAACCTTTGTATTATCCCATTCCTTGTCTTCTTTCCAATTTATAACTCATTTAATCCTATCATTTTCATACTTAAAAACTAGTTTAAGATATACTGTTGTCCTGCCTAACACTGGCAATAACTATATATTTCATTTCATATTTACTCTGTCAAAAGACATTCCCTTCATGATATTCAGAATGATCTCTTTAAACCTTAATACATTCTAAGGCTTATATGGTTTCTCATAGATTTCAGATAAAATCCCAATCCCTTAATGTGGCCCAGAATTCCCTGTATTCTATTATTCCTTTATCCATCTATTCTTATTTATTAGCAGTGATGCATCGAGAAAAAAATTGCAGGAAGTGAAGGATGGAATTGGGAAATAAATAAGGAACTTATTACAACAATCATTGTGATAGAGAATGTTCACTTGGATCAAGCTGCTAATAATAGAATGAAAAGCTGTCACATTTTATTGTGTTTTGAAAGAAGTGACAACAAGATATTCTGGTTGATTGAAATAAGGAGAGAGTGAAAGAAAGGTACTGAGAATGACCCACAAATTTTGTCCTGAAAAGTAGGAAAAAATTGGTTTGCAATGTACCAATATAGACAAAAGTATAGAATAACCTGAATTGATGTGGTGCTTTAGAGATTAGGCATTTCTGTTAACACATAATTTGACAAGTTTATGACATCAAAACGAAGATGTCAAAAGACATTTGAACATATGTGTTAGTTCGACAAGAAATGTGTATTACAGACATAAAGTTGGGAGCTGCCTGCATAGAGATGGTGTTTAAAACTTGAGATGAGACGTACAAAGGAGTCAGTCAGTAGACAGAAAATGGACAAAGAGAAAGAAATACATCCTATTAGATGTAAGATCTAACCTATGGCCCCGAATATGTATCATTGTGTTTGGTAGAGCTAATAGAGCAAATAATTTATTTATTTAAATGATATAACATAATTTTTTATTAACTATATGAATAAAATATATTTTAATATATAAAATTATTGTACAAATTTTGGGAAAACAATGAATAAAGCTGTTTGTTTCTTATGCCCTGAATGCACTTTAAATAATTTAGAGATTTCCCACATCTGAGAAACACTATTTAGGGAACACTCGAAAATCCTTTTTCAATTTATTGAGGAGTTTTGATATATATCAAAGACAAAATGATACAAAATGTGTTTATTGTATTCTAGGAGAGGTGCGGAGGAACAGAGCAGAAAGGTAGCAAAGTCATTCTTCCTGGGAGCTTTTTCTCTGGGAACTCTTCTTACAGCTTCACTATAGTACAGCTTGACTATATTAGTCTAGAATTGTTTAGAATTTAGAATTTTCTTAATGGCTCTTCTTATGGACCAGATTATTATTAAGAGGTGTTTGTCTACCTTTAGTGATATTTCTCTTTTATCTTTCATATAACTGGACTGAAAAGAAAGGTATGGAGCTGCCACTGTGTGGCGGTAATTACCCAGCTTTTGAAAGTAAGCAAAGTTGGTCATGGAAAGAAGGCACCTCATGGATAATTGTTCAAACACTTGTGCTTCCAAGTAATGACAACTGCTTACAATAAAAAAAAAAAGATGTTTTGATTAATAGATAAAATAATATAAAACAAATTATATTTAAAACTATTTCTATGTTATTTTGAAAACTTATACTATAAAATATGAATATGACGTATTTTCAGTCCTTTGAAACGTATTGAGGATTTCTTGATCTAGAGTATGGTCAATTTTGATAAAAGTTAACGTTTTTGAAAATAATGCATTTTTTTTTTTTGCCAAATAAGTTGCATTTGTAATTTGTGTAGTTAAAATAATGTACATATATCTAGTGATTTTTCCACTGTTCCTGCTAAAAGCTATTGAGAAAAGTGTATTAAAGTCTTACTCTATAACATTTTTATTTACATATTTTTAAATTGCCAAATAAAATTATATGTATTTACCATGTACAACATATTGTTGTGAAGTATGTATATATTGTGGAATAACTAAATCTAGCTAATTAACATTATGTTTTACCCCAGAGTGATCACTTTTGTGATAAGAACACTTTACATCCTTTTTCCTAGCATTTTTCAAGAATACAACATGCTGTTAACTATAGTCATCACATGTACAATAGATTACTTGAACTTATTCTTCCTATCTAACTGAAATTTTGTATTCTTTGATGAACATCTCGCCAATTCACCCACTACCAACCACCCTGCCCCAGCTAACCACCATTCTACTTTCTGTTTGTACTATCATCTTATAGTTGTCTATTTTCTTTTAGTTTTGTCAAGTTTTACTTTCTATATTTTGAAGCGATGTTACTGACTCTACTAGTTTAGAATTGTTTAGAATTTAGAATCTTCTCGATGGATAGGCCAGGTTATTATTAAGAGATATTTGTCTATCTTTAATGATGCTTCTTGTCTTAAAGTATACTTTTTATACTATTAGTATTAAAAAACACATATTTTGTTAGTATATCCATGGTATACATTACATTCATTATTTTACTTTTCACCTTACTCCATTCATACCTTTAAAGTCTATCTCCTATTGAAAAGCGGCACACAGTTTTTATTTTTTGTTCTAGTTTGTCAACATTAGTCTTTGTATTGGAGTCTTTAAAATAGTTTCATTTAATGTAATTAGTCAAGGTTTTGGAATTATATATACTGTGTAATTGTTTTTGATTTAGCAATGTAATATGTTCTTTCTTCCCTGCTTTCTGGCTTCCTTAGGGGTTAACCAAATGCATACATCTTCTATCATACATTTGATTATAAAATCATTAATGTAAACCTCCAATAGATATTAAACTTCCAGCTTTTACTTTTATGTCTACAAAACTTATTTCTTGTGCTAGGTTTTTCCGTTGCTAGGGTATTGGAATATTTTAGTAATATTTACCTCTATGTAAAGTGTTGTTATTTTAAGGAAATATTTTAATTTCGCATATGTATTTAAACCACTGAATAAATATTGTTTTGTACATTCCACATTTATATATATGTACCCAAATATTATTTTTTCTATTGTTCTTCATACTTTCCTGAATTTCTGTGTTCCCATTTGAGAATATTTTTCTCTCTGAAAAGAATTCTTTTTAATATTTATTTTTGAGAAAATAAATATGTTGCTGGAATACATCTTTCTTGACCATCGTTTTTGAAGAAATGTTTAGGATTCATAGTTGTCTTTATTCTCTTTCAAAATTATACATATTTCATTTTATTGTCTTCTGTTTTCCATCAATTTTTGTTCAGAAATCAGTCACTCATAATAATATTATTTTAAAAGCAAATAATTTATAATTTGGCTGTTTTTAAGATTTTCTCTAGGTCTTTCTAAATCAATATAGGTTGATTACCTCTAATCAAAAATCCATTGTCTCTAATCAAAAATCCATTGTCTCAGCCCAAAATCTCCTTAAGCTGATAAGCAACTTCAGCAAAGTCTCAGGATACAAAATCAATGTACAAAAATCACAAGCATTCTTATACACCAATAAGAGACAAACAGAGAGCCAAATCATGAGTGAACTCCCATTCACAATTGCTTCAAAGAGAATAAAATATCTAGGAATCCAACTTACAAGGGATGTGAAGGACCTCTTCAAGGAGAACTACAAACCACTGCTCAATGAAATAAAAGAGGATACAAACAAATGGAAGAACATGCCATGCTCATGCGTAGGAAGAATCAATATCATGAAAATGGCCATACTGCCCAAGGTAATTTATAGATTCAATGCCATCCCCATCAAGCTACCAATGCCTTTCTTCACAGAATTGGAAAAAACTACTTTAAAGTTCATATGGAACCAAAAAAGAGCCCGCATCGCCAAGTCAATCCTAAGCCAAAAGAACAAAGCTGGAGGCATCACGCTACCTGACTTCAAACTATACGACAAGGCTACAGTAACAAAACAGCATGGTACTAGTACCAAAACAGAGATATAGATCAATGGAACAGAACAGAACCCTCAGAAATAACGCCGCATATCTACAACTATCTGATCTTTGACAAACCTGAGAAAAACAAGCAATGGGGAAAGATTCCCTATTTAATAAATGGTGCCGGGAAAATTGGCTAGCCATATGTAGAAAGCTGAAACTGGATCCCTTCCTTACACCTTATACAAAAATTAATTCAAGATGGATTAAAGACTTAAACGTTACACCTAAAACCATAAATACCCTAGAAGAAAACCTAGGCATTACCATTCAGGACATAGGCATGGGCAAGGACTTCATGTCTAAAACACCAAAAGCAATGGCGACAAAAGCCAAAATTGACAAATGGGATCTAATTAAACTAAAGAGCTTCTGCACAGCAGAAGAAACTACCATCAGAGTGAACAGGCAACCCACAAAATGGGAGAAAATTTTCACAACCTACTCATCTGACAAAGGGCTAATATCCAGAATCTACAATGAACTCCAACAAATTTACAAGAAAAAAACAAACAACCCCATCAAAAAGTGGACAAAGGACATGAACAGACACTTCTCAAAAGAAGACATTTATGCAGCCGAAAAACACATGAAAAAATGCTCACCATCACTGGCTATCAGATAAATGCAAATCAAAACCACAATGAGATACTATCTCACACCAGTTAGAATGGCAATGATTAAAAAGTCAGGAAACAACAGGTGCTGGAGAGGATGTGGAGAAATAGGGACACTTTTACACTGTTGGTGGGACTGTAAACTAGTTCAACCATTGTGGAAGTCAGTGTGGCGATTCCTCAGGGATCTAGAACTAGAAATACCATACTGATCTGCAGTCTATGGGAAAGCAAAAATTATTGGGCCTAATACAAATGTTTAAATTGTGGATGTCAATTCTATATGAAGTGAAGGAAATTGGCATAGTCCATAAGCTTGCCAAGCTTGAGAAACAAGAATTACAGTCATGTATCAAGAAAGCAGACTTTAGTCAGTCTCCAGTTTTCCCATTGGTTCCTGTATCCAGAACGACAAATTAAAAGTATAACAAAATCGGGTAGAAATAAAAAACAATCACACAAAACAGGTATCATTGTGATAGCAAAGGTGTATTTCTGCCACATATATTCTGAGGCACTAAATTCCATTCACTTATTATTATTATTATTATTTTGCTTTGGGTCCCAGTATTGGAGCAGTAGAACACTATATTGAAACTCCTTCTTAAAATGAAGATTGTGAATAGTATAGTCTAATATTTTACTCGACTTACAGGTTAGTAAGACAACCCATAACTACTTCATGGCTGCTAGCAGAAGACACTAGACTATGGGATAGAGACAAATGAATTTATTATTAATGAAAAAAGCAATGGTCATGTCTTCATATTATTTGCATCAGTTTCCTTTATTCCAATTCAGTTCCCAGTGAGGTTACTCAAAGGGGCCTATGAAAGAAGGCTCTATAGGCAGTAGGGTTTATTACAGGAAAGGAACAATGTACCTGGGGAACACACTGCTTTTACCATGAGCAGAACCAAGCCTGCTTTCTGTCCAGGCAAGACATAAATTTATTCCTTAAGATTGCTTATTGCAAATGCAGCTCTGAAAAATATCCAAGATAATGAACAGCCAGGGCCTTGCATTTTTGGAAGAGTTCACAACTTGCATGGAATCTCGGCCCATTGTGGATTGCTTCTGGACCCTTAGCAGCTGTTGTTAGCCTTTCAGGTATAGCACCAACTCACACTAGGAAAAATCAAAGATAGCCTGAAAGAAGTGTGGATGATAAAGACTCAGTTTGAATAAACATCATTACCACTGAGAGGAACAAAAGTGATTGTACACTCAAGCTAATTCACTATATAAAAGGAGGTCACAGGTATAACATCATATTCAAAGAGATGTCATTTGAATATGTCACAAGTTAAAAATCAAATTTACTCTATTTTATAATCTATTCTTTATGTTTCTGTATGTAGAAATCCATATTTCTAAAACATCATAAATCTTCCTCATATGCTCTATATTACTTTGTTACAAAAGTACTTTGGGAAATTTTTCATAGTTGTTGTCTGGGAATTAACTTGCACATAGCAGATCAAAACCTAAAATGCAATTTAGAAACACTTCAAAATGAATAATAGCTTTTTCATGTTGGAACGTAATATAGAAACACATTCAACCCAAGGTATTTTTTGTTATACTATAATGCTATCAATTGACAAAGATAACCAGTTCATTATTTTCAAAGCAACATTAAAATATTATGCAAAATCTAACATTCCATCTCCAGTACCCAGTTGTCAGAATCAGCTTTTAAAGAACAGTTTTTAATTTGACCTGCATGGAATATGCAAGCCTCTCTGCACAAAAGTATAAAGTTCATCATAAGGTTTTCACACAAACAAGAAATGAGAAGCAGTGAGATTTTCTTTATTAACCTACTATATTTATATTTATTCCACATTGTGGCTCGTCATTTTACTTTATTCATGGTGCCCTTTGTGGCACACAGTTTGTAATTTTGATATTATCCAATTTACTTATCTTTTCTTTCGTTGTTTGTGCTTTTGCTATCCTATTTAAGAATTTGTTTTTTAATTCAGGGTCATGAAGATGTATCCCTATGTTTTCTTCTAAGAGATTTACAGTTTTAGATATTACATTAAGTTTGTGACCCATTTGGAGTTAATTTTCACATACAGTATAAGATCCCAATGTTCTGCATTTTTTTTTTTTTTTTTTTTTTTTGCTTGTAGAGATCTAGTTGCCACAGCAGCATTTGTTGTAAACACACTTCCTTTCCCATGGAACTGTCATTACACTCTTGTGTGAATAAAATCATTTGACCTAGATGTATCAATTTATTTTTGGACTCTCAATTTTCTACCATTGGGCTATATGTCTATCCTTGTGCCAGTAAAACACTTTCTTGATTAAGGTGGTTTTGTAAATAAGTTTCGAAATGTGGAAGTATCACTCTTCTTACCTTTTTCTTTTTTTCATGGGATTGTTATGGCTTTCTAGTTCCTCTGAAATGCTACACAAATTCTAAAATCAGATCTTTAATTTCTACAAAAATCCAGCTGGAATTCTGTTAGAAATAACATCTAATTTGTATATCAGTTTGGAAGTATAGTCATTTAATAATGCTAAGTTTTTTGACCCATGAATATTTTTATTTATTTAGATATTCTTAATTTTTTGAATGTTTTATACCTTTTATAATATTAACTTTAACACTTTTTGTTAAAATTATTCTTTAGTACAGCAGATCCTTGAATAACATTACTTTGTTTAGCATTACTTTGTTATAAGTTGAAGAGAAAACAAATTGATTTCTCGTAGAGGTGACTGTGTGGAATTTGCATGTTCTCCCCATGCCTGCATGAGGTTTCTGAAGTTTCTCCAGTTTCCTCCCACATCCCAAAGATGTGGCATTAGGCTTATTGACATGTCTAAATTGTCCCAGAGTGAGTGAGTGTAAGATATATATAAGAGTGCACTCTGTGATTAAATGGCATCCTGCCCAATGTTGGTAATCAGTTGGTGCACTGAACTGCTGGGTTAGGCTCTGGCCCTTAGTGACCCTGAACTGAAATAAGTGGGTTGAAAAATGCATGCATGAATGAATACAAATTATTGTAATATAGAAGTGTGTAAAGTTTGTGAAAATTATACAAATACATGACAGTAAGTGATGTGATACCTAAGTGCTCAGCAAGACTGCCATGTTTGTTATTGTTTGTTTTTGACCTCCATGGTGTTAAGAGGTACTCCTTACAATTTTCACTTTGCAAACACTTATTCCTTAATTTAACTCACACCACTACGACCACCATCACCCACTAAGTGACCAAAAATTGAGTAAATAATTACTTGTTTCTATTAATCTTTCTTAACTGTAGGTATGGCTCACATTTATTGTAATGTTTAATATTAGAAGTGTTTTTATTCATTATTTAGAATTTTGATGATGTTGCTGTGATCAGATATACACTGTATCATCTTACCTCTTGTTTACATTAATTTGCCTATGGTGAAATTGGTTTCATTTTATGTTTACTTAATGTCACAGTTGCTACTAACCTATTGACTACATTAATTGTAGATTTATTGCATTTATTTTTATGCTACTGTGAGTGGAATTGTCTTCTAAACTTTATTTTTTGGATTATTCATTGCAAGCATATAAAAATACCATTGATTTTTGTGTACTTATTCTGTGTCCTGCAAACTTTTGTATGCATTTAAAGTTCTATAGCTCTTGGCAGATTTCTTAGAATTGTCTATATAAAAGTTAAAGTCATCCAAGTATAGCAATAGTTTTTCTTTTCCCCCTTGTCTCCTTTTATTTTATTTTTTCTTGCTTAATTGCCCTGGATAAAATCTCAAGTACAATGTTAAGAGAGAAGTCATCAAAGTAGACATCCTTGTCTTGTTCTTGATCTTAGAAAGCATCTGGTTTACATCATTAAATAAAATATTAGCTGTTGGTTTTTCATAGATGCTCTTTATCAGATTGAGGAATTCTTTTATTGCTAGTTTGGGTCAGATTTTGTCAAATGCTTTTTCTCTGTCTACTGAGATAATTATGTAATTGTTTCTTATTATGTTGATGAGATATATTATATTAATTGATTTTCAGATGTTAGATAATCCTTGCATCCCTGGAATATATTATATTTGATCATGACATAATTATTGTTAGAAATTCTTTTACTTCTTTTGCTGGTATTTTGTTGAAGATTGTGTGTGTCTACTTGAAGTTCATTGAGCTTGCTGGATGTGTAGACTTATGTTTTAAGTAAATTTTAAAAGTTTGCAGTCATGTTTTTGAATAATTTTAATGCATCCTTTCTCTTTTCTCTCATGTTGGTACTCCCATTGCATGTATGTTGGTACAGTTAATGCTGTCCTACCTTTTTCTGAGGCTCTGCTTATTTTTCATTTTTTCTCTCAGTACATCAGCCTGCATAATCTCTATTGATCTTTGTTCAAGTTCACTAATTTTTTCCTAACAGTCCAAACTAACTGACTTAGTTTGAACTCAGTTATTATTCACTAAGTTCCTCTCAGTGAATATTTTTAAATTTCAGTTATTGTATCTTTCAACCCTAAGGTTTCCATTTAATTTTTTTAATATCTCTTTTGTATTGATATTTTATATTTAATGTTACCTTATCATCATATCTTCATTTATTTCTTTAATCATACTTATCTTTAGTTATGTAAACATATTTATATGGTTACTTTGAAATCTAACATCTGGTTACTCCAACAAGTAGTTTCTGTTAAATGCTCTTATTTCATTGTGTGATCTTGCTTTCCTGTTTATTTGCATGTCTTGTAATTTCTTGTTGGAAATTTGGTACAGGTTGAGTATTCCTAATCCAAAAATTCAAAATTCAAAATGCCCCAAAATTGGAACTTTTTCACTCCTACCATACCACTAGTGGAAAATAACACACCTGACCTTATGTGACAGGCCAGAGTAAAAACATAGTAAAAACCTTTTTTGTGTGGACAAAATTATTCAAAATTTTGTATACAATTATCTTCAGGCTATGTGTATAAGACATATATAAAACATAAGTGAATTTTATGTTTAGACTTGGGTCCCATCCCCAAGATATCTCATTATGTATACTCAAATATTCCAAAATCCAAAACATTTTCCATCTTAAGTGTTTCAGATAAGAGATATTCAAACTGTATTATAGATACTCTGGTTAAAGTTTTCCACCCTTCCCTGACCCCCTCATGCTTCTTATTGTTATTTGTTTATTATCTGACTGGCTGAATTATTTTAGTGAAGTTTATTCCTTGCTCTACTCTAGCCTTCACCCCACCCTCAGTGTTAAGCCTCTGATGTTTCTCCTCAGGGAGACATAGTTTTGTGGTGTCCATTGCCATTCTGTGATTACAGTGGTAGAGTTCTCTTTCTATCTTTCCTAACCACCATGCAGTTGTCAAGTTCCATCAGTTGCCAAGGGATTGCTTTACTGTTGTTAACAATGTCTGGGACATAAATTCCCCTACAAACTAATTCAATAAAATTTTAGCTTCTTTGAAGGATATTTTCTGAGGTTAGTCTTTTATATATTCTGAAATTAGCAGAGCTCTTTCCAGTTCTTATTCCTGGGTTCTTTCCTGTAAACTAGCTGGCTTAAATTATAGGCTGTATCTATTTTAGACCCGTGGATCTCTTCCCAAATGCCTATTACAGCAGCCTTCATAGTTGTTGAGAGAGATTTTAGGTTAAAATTTTCCTAAGCTCTTTTGCAAATGAAGTCAGTTTTTTTTTTTTCATAAATGTTTAAGGGTTATCTATTTTGTGGCCTTTTTCTTCTCCTGCCCCAGGCAAAATCTGATCTAGGGCTCTTGAGCTGGTGGCAGGGTATGTTTCTTCTGAGTAACCCTTCAACTCTAGGACCTGAGTAGAGGGCAGGGGCAGCCCCTTAGGCAACTTTTGGCTTACTTCTCATGGAATAAAACCACCATCTCATAAGCTGGGCAAGGCCTATTTTAGTCCCAATATTCTCAGTGTGCCACATCTGAGGTAGAGCCTTCACTACAAGAATGAAGACGGCAGAAAAAGGAAACCTCCACATTTCCATCCCCTTGCCTCTGACAGCTTCAGCAACAGGAAGCTTAGAGTAGGATGACAAATGGCTCAGGTTCTGCTCCTCAGGGGAAGAAAGCACTGTGGCTGGGAGCTGGGGTAAGAGGGAGCCCTGTGTTTCTGGCTGCAAGCAGTCTAGGATGGCATCTCTATCTTACTAAGCCAGGATTTGGAGGAGGGAGAAGTCTTGGTTAGAATACTGCCAACTCTCATCTTTCTTACTGAATTTTTTTTTATTTTTTGAAATGGAGTTTTGCTGTATTTCCGAAGCTGGAGTGAAGTGGCACGATCTCGGCTCATTGCCACCTCCACCCCCTGGATTCAAGCAATTCTCCTGCCTCAACCTCCCCAGTAGCTGGGATTACAGACACACACCACCACGCCTGGCTAATTTTTGCATTTTTAGTAGAGACGGGGTTTCACCATCTTGGCCCGGCTGGTCTTGAACTCCTGACCTCCGGTAATCCACCCGCCTCAACCTCCCAAAGTGCTGGGATTACAAGTGTGAGCCACCGTGCTTGGTCTACTGAATGTTTTATAGACTGGCTTGATACCTGTTTCTTCATTTGCTTTTAACCCTTACGACCATTTCCAAAGGCTTTGAGTGTTTTAATGATTTTTTAACAATAATTTTTACTAATTTCACTGGAGAATTTAGCTCTTTATGTTGTCATGACAGAATAGCAGGTTGAGTTCTTATCACATTTTATTACTCTGGCTTCCTCTTCTGCTTCCCTCTTTCATTTCTAAGGACCCTCATCATTACATTGGGCCCACTTAGACAGGTCAAGATAATCTATATTTTAAAGTCTGACAATTAAACAATTATAATTCCTCTTTCACATGTAACATAATATATGTATAGATTCCAGAAATTAGAACATAAATTTCTTTGGGAAACCATTATTCTATCTACCAAATACAGCCAATCGGGATAACACATTTACTTATGCGGAATGAAAAGCATAGGAATGGGCATGAATCTCAAGTTGATCTTAATTCCTGAAATCCAGAAGTTTTCTATCAGATCAATGGAAAATTCTCATTTTTTAAATTACAAGCTTTAAGACCATAAAGTAAGCAATTGTAGGTGGCCATTTTTAACATTAAAAAATGGGGCTGGGTGCGGTGGCTCACGCCTGTAATCTCAACACTTTAGGAGGCCGAGGCGGTCCAATCACAAGGTCAGGAGATCGAGACCATCCTGGCTAACACGAAGAAACCCCGTCTCTACTAAAAATATAAAAAAATTAGCCTGGCGTGGTGGTGGCACCTGTAGTCCCAGTTACTTGGGAGGCTGAGGCAGAGAATGGTGTGAACCCGGGAGGCAGAGCTTGCAGTGAGCCGAGATCGCGCCACTGCACTCCAGCCTGGGCGACAGAGAGAGACTCTGTCTCAAAAAAAAAAAAAAAAAAAAATGAAGTATTTCTGAAAATAAGGACAATGGTAAGAAACGCCTAGCTAAGAAGTAATAAAAAGTGATAGGGTCTGGACAGTATTGTTTGAGTGCCTACTTCCAATCATCTGTGAAGTCACATTTATTCCTCAACTTTTCTTATAGGTTAGATATAAGCTGAAGTATTATACACACATTCTCACACAGAAACATATATGTGTCTATGCCTATGGATTGAACTAGTTTGAATTGTGAGGGCTTTTTAAAAAAGCATGAAATACAAAGAAACCTAAGTAAATGAGCCAATTGTATTTTAATGACTTACAATTATATTGCTGGTCCTTTCTTAAAGGGAGAGGTATACACTTGAAGATATATTCTTCATTTGAATTAACTTTTTCATATGCTCTTTCCAACGTCATAATCTCTGAATTAATAGATTATCAAAGTATTCTGGCTTACTTATATGAAAAATCTATAATCATCCTTTCACATGTTTAATGTCAGTAATTTATTTGTGGTTGTTTTGTAAATTTTCCCAAATAGGCTAAGATTTAAATATACAAAATGAGGGGAGGATTAAGCAATGAATAAGAGACAGCAGATGTAGATACGACAGGTTTTAAACATATATTTATGAGTTTATACTATAATGTGTTGATGAGTCAGGACTCATTACCCCAATATATGGCACCTTGGTATTTAAGGAAACAGAAGAAACAGGAAGGTTTCTCTCATTTCTTCTCCCCTTTTATGTCTTTTAATGTCTTCCCTAAAGCGGGACCTGAAAAATATCCTCTGACATTCCTGTGAGGTCATAAGACCTTCATTGAAGAAATACCCTTTCTATACTCAGAAAAAAGGAATGTCCCTGTCTCTAAAAATACAGGAACACAGGAATAATTTGAGCAAAGAGGCCTTGATAAGTTCCCCCTCCCCAGTTTACTACCATCAGATCATACACGTTTTGTGCAGTCATATATCTGCATGACTGTCTACTTCTTCGTCCGCTTCTTTCGGTGTAGGCTGAAAAATACAAGGTTTTCCTCTTTCCTTGGATCTTCATTTCTGAAGGCTCTTGTGCCATGTGAAATTTATATTAAATAAATTTGTATGCTTTCCTTTGTGAATCTGTCTTTTATTATAGGTGCCTCCGCCATGAACCTTGAGTGAGCTGAGGAAAATATATGACATTTTTGCCCCTACAATGTGTAGGAGAGGCAGGATGCTGGATTGTGGAAAAAAACTGCCTGTATTAAATTCTCAGCTGTGCATGTTAGCTGTAGGACTTTTGATATATTACTTAACTGAAACTAAAATATAAAATTATATTTTTTAAGCATGACAGAACAAGTAATGGCATCAGAAACATGCAGATGATAATATACTCATGACTCATAGTTATTATGAAAATATATATTATCTCCAAAGAATAGTATATGCCTGGAATGTGGAAAGAGCTCATAAGGACTGTAAGACCATAAGAGTATGTCCTTAAATTTTGTGCCTCAGGTAGCTCACTTGCATCACACTAGTCTTGATTCTGGTGCTTAATCAAAGAAACTGAAATTAAAGACTAAATAAATAAGAATTAACTAACTCGAGAGCACTTTCTTAGAAAACAAGATAACACTACATAGGATACAGATAATTTATGTTTTGACTGAAAAAGCTCTAGTTTTAACTCTGGGGAAGTTTTGATAGGAGTATATGAATTTGAATCTTGCCTAAGGTAAAGGCATTAGCATCCAATAAATGATATACAAAGTTTGGAATTTTCCTGGAAAACACCAGAGTGAGTTTGTTTACTGATGGTTTCAATTGGCATAACCAGTAAGAATGGCTTACTTACAAAACCCAGAAAGACGTAAAAATACCTACTGTGTACTTTTGCCTCAAGTTCTCAGTAAGCCAAGATTTCAGGTGAATCTTGACAAACACACTGTTTGGAGTTAAAGATTACCATAAAGGAGGAATAAAGGAATGCCCTTGAATTTAAACTATGTATGTAGTGATAGGACACATATGACCAACCTGCAATTGATACTGCCTGTACATCTGTAAGTATAATCATTACTGGGATACATGTATTATAGAAGAAAATTATTTAATTTTGTTGATATTTTTGACAGATATATGCCAATTGAAATTCTCAGATTTTTTTGATGACACAACTTGCCATTATATTGAATAAAACAATATATGACCTGAACACTGAATCAAAAATTTAGGCTACAGGAATAAATCTAAGAAATTAAAGAAAACAAACAAAGCAAATTATTTCCTATTTATAACATATAGTTTTCCACAACACAATTATTTTTATTTTCTACCACTAATTCAATAATAATAATAATAATAATTATTATTATTATTATTATTATTATTTTGAGACAGAGTCTCACTCTGTTGCCCAGGCTGGAAGTGCAGTGGTGTGATCTTGGCTCACCGCAGCCTCTGTTTCATGGGTTCAAGCACTTTTCCTGCCTCAGCCTCCTGAGTAGCTGGGCTTACAGGCATGTGCCACCACACCCAGCTAATTTTTTTGTATTTTTAGTAGAGACGAGGTTTCTCCATGTTGGCCAGGCTGGTTTCGAACTCCTGCCGCCTCGGCCTCCCAAAGTGCTGGGATTACAGGCGTGAGTCACTGCGCCTGGCCTCAATTATAATATTTTTAAAATTTCAGTATGGTATGTTATATTATCAAAACAGATAACAAAAACAATTTAATATAAAACTGGCCATATTATAAATAACTGTAATATAACTTACTTTGTTTATATTTTTATTCCTTAAGGAAAAAGTAATTTACCATTAAACTTCATTCAGTGATTTTGCTATTTTACACTGAGACATATATTCTTTCTTTAATTTGGATAGGACAGATGATTTCTTTCACATATCTGAAGTTGATTTCACAAACAACTTTGGATGTAAAGCAGCTGGTATTCAAATTTTAAAAATCTAAACTCTGCATTAAAATATTCATTTAAGATTTATAGATTGTGAAAATCACCCATTCCATAGAGTAAAAAATGATAACTAACACAAAACTACTTTAAAATAAGTCATTTGATGGCAAATGCAATTTGCAGAGGAAGCAAGAGAGTTCTCAGGGCACAGTGGGAAGTCAGAGCTGTTCATTAATTTACAAAAAGTCATAGATTACTTAAAATTCTATGCTCAGTATAAAGCACTTTAGAATCACAGGGGTATTTCACTTGTTAGTTACTATACCCAGCTTGTTTGATAAAGCAGTTAAGGGATTCTATCATTTACATAAGGCATTTTAAAAAATCTGCTTTAGAGACCTGAAATTAAAATATAAAATTATATTTTTTAAGCATGACAGGACAACATTTTATTTTAACTCAGACTTTCATTACAGGATTTTTAAATACAAATTTGTATTATTAAATGATTCCACATGTTTCTCTGTTTGGAATTAGGATAGCTAAGTAGTGCTCCTCTTATCCTTTATTGATAGCTCTGTCATTTAATACTGCTTTTCTCTTTGTATTCGATTAAAATTATCCTATTATTGCTTAGGGCTTCTTCAGTAGTTAGCCACTGTGCTGTTCATCATTCATATTACAAATTCAGACAGAAGTACATAAATTGGAAGCCTTGCTGTTAATCACGTGTATTTATCTTTGTATGAATTTGGGATGAGCAGCATACATTTGTAGGTTGAATGACTAGAATTTCATACAGCGACATAACATAGCATTCAATAAACTGCTTTATGTCAGTGACCTTATGATTAAAACAACAACAACAACAACAACAAACACTAAACTAAATACATAATTATCTATGTGTGGTGTTAAGTCACTAAATAAAAATCGAATGGAAACCCTTTTCTGTGAAAATTATAATCCAAAAATAAAGAAGAAATCATTAAATCAATACTTGACCAAAGTTATTCCATTAATAAATGAATAAACATTTATTTAAAATCCCTTAGCCAAACAAAGGCCATACTTCATGATTATTGCTTCTTTACCTTCATTGATAAATCATAATCTCTCTTGAGACCTCCGCATCCTGGATTACTTAGTTTTTTTCTAATAAACTCTGTTCTCTTTCACTTTTTTGTTTTGTTTTGTTTTGTTTTGTTTAGTACGTGGGTCCTTTCTCTGTATGGAATGTTTTCCATCATTTCTCTCCTTTTGAAACATACCCCTATGCTTTCCCACTTGCATCTTCTTGACTTTTACTTATAAATAACTTCACATGAAACTTCTCTTTAGGTAACCAGATGACTGGCTAAATGGTTTTACTAATGTGCCGCCAGGTGCTCTGCGTATATATCATTGTAACACTTACCATTAACATTGCACCTGCAGCTATCGAATCCTTTCCCATGATTGCTGAGAGCAGAGAATATACTCTTTCAATATTGTATCCTCAAGGACTAACAACATACCCAGATAGAGTATTTAGCTGTCTGATAAATATTTCTAGAAAAATATTCATAGTTAAATGAATGAATAATGAAGGAAAAGTTTGAGTTTGAAATTAACTCTTTGATTTAAAGATGTATTACTGGGGCCTAATGTCTCATTATCTTACAGTATTATTATTTTATATCAAATTTATTTCAATTAAACATAGAAAATCTATAAAGTAGAGGACAGTAAATCCTCTGAAATATTTAGGCCGTATATTTTAGATTTCTACTTTTCTTTCCGTACAAGAAATAAAAATTCAGTATGTCTGTAATTCTATATCATACCCACTATATTTCTGCTGATGTATTTGTGATGGAAACTCTTCAGTTGAAATTAATTAATAAACTGTATCAAATATGTTGATTCAACATCAAGTAATTACTTTTATAAGACAGGTAGAATTATTAAGTATCTGACCTCAGACGATACTGTGAAAGACAACACATTCAGGTAGAAATAATTAATTAACACATGGCTTCTATAAAATTTGTCAGCCAATATTTGATACATAAAAAAGCTGTGACTAGCAAAATGGCTCCAGTAAGTTTTAGCTTTAGAAATATATATATTTGCAAATATATTTTCATCTTTTACAGTAGTGCCACAAGAAATTTTCAGTGCAGAGGATTTAATAACAAAGTAAAAAAATATATAATTTCTGTACAAATATTTAAATAGACATTTTTCTTATAGAGTTGATTATACTCCCTTAAGCAACCCACATTATTCATTAATTTTAATGAAACTCTGACTATATCATTTCATTAAATGCAGTGACTACACTTCTTTGCATTCTACATAATCTGTCTTGTCTTTAGGCTAAAAGTCCCATTTAATTTGATTTCCATTTCAAGTCACATAATTCCATTTTCCTTGTTTTCCAAAACATTGTCTCCTCCATCTTCTGCCTTAACTAGATAAGACCTCATCAGGGGTACAGAATCCAAAGGTCAAGAAAAAAAAGCATGGGAATTAAATCTTTTGATATCATTTATCAATTCACATTACCTAGGAATATTTTTCTTTTCTACTAGATGTGTTGATGCCTAGGATGAGATTTTTCATTTGATGTGTATTCATTTACATATAATCCTAGACCTTATAAAAGTTGTTAATAATCTCAAAGGAAAAATGCTGAGAAATTTTAAATAATAAATGTAATGTCATTTAAGAACAGTTTTTCACAGTCTAACTGTACTCTTATTGGCTAATTTTCTGGCATAAAAAATTTGTCCTTTACTCAAATTTTATAAAAATTATTCAAGTAATCCAAAAGTTAATTCAATAATTGATCTTTTTAATAAAAACTGGATTATTAAAAAGCAATCACTGAAAATAAATTATTCATATTTAGGGCTTTTGTAACATTGCTTACTTTTAAATATTTTCTTTGGATTTTTTTAATCTAACTGATTTTAGTCAATTAAAAAGAATATCCAGATTAATTCACATTTTCTTGTTTCTGGTGATTTATTTTGTATATCATACACATCAAATTTAATATAAAATGAGGGCTATCTTCTCTAGTCCATCATATATATCCATATAATTTTCAAAACTTTTAGTTTTGGGGGGTAGGTGTGAAGATTTGTTATATAGGCAAACTTGTGTCTCAGGCATTTGTTGTACAGATTATTTTGTCACTCAAGTATCAAGTCCAGTACCCAATAGTTATTTTTTCTGCTCCTCTCCCTCCTCCCACCTTCCACCATCAAGTAGATCCCGATGTCTGTTGTTCCCTTCTTTGTGTTCATGAAAGAACACACTTTCATGTGTTTCGGCTCCCACTTACAAGTGAAAACATGTGGTATTTGGCTTTCTGTTCTTACGTTAGTTTGCTACGGATAATAGCCTACAGCTCCATACATGTTTCTGCAAAAGACATGATCTCATTCTTTCTTATGGGTGCATAGTATTCCATGGTATATATATACCATATATTTTTAATCCAATCTGTCATTGGTGGGCATTTAGGTTGATCTGGTGTGTTTGTTATTCTTAATATTACTGCAATGAACATTCATATGTGTATGTTTTTATGATAGAATGATTTATATTTCTCTGGGTATATATCCAGTAATGGGATTTCTGGGTTGAATGGTGGTCCTGCTTTAAGCTTTTTGAAAAATTGCCATTTTGCTTTCCCCAGTGGTTGACTGACGCATACTCCCACCAGCAGTGTGTAAATGTTCCCTTTTCTCTGCAACCTTGCCAGCACCTGTTATTTGACTTTTTAATAATAGCCATTCTGACTGGTGTGAGATGGTATCTCATTGTGGTTTTGATTTGCACTACTCTAATGCTCAGTGATACTGAGTTTTTTACATATGCTTGTTGCATGCATGTTTGTTGTCTTTTGAAAAATATCTGTTGATGTTTTTTTGTCCACTTTTGAATGGGGTTTTTTCTCTTGTAAATTTATTTAAGTTCCTTATAGATACTGGATATTAGACCTTTGTCAGATGCAAAGATTTCAAATATTTTCTCCCATTCTGTGTATTGTCCATTTAATCTGTTGATAGTTTATCTTGTTGTGTAGAAGTTACATTTAACTATCTATATCTGCATGTATATATCTTCTAAAATCTAATATTGCAATATATTGTGTCTATGAGTGTATATATTTTGCAAATTAATTGTAACAGTATCCTATCTAGAATATGTGTTTAGAATAACGTTTAAATATTTTGATAAAAATTGTGAGGCATTTTTGACGCTAGTGAGGCAGTGTACCAGAAGGGGGTTGTTAAAAACAGCTTCATGAAGATGTGAATATCTTGGGATAGGTTTAAACCTAAAAATTGCTTTAAAAGAACAGTGACTGTTATACAAGAAAAAGGAGAATAAAACTGATAAGAATCAAAGGCTTAACATTAATTCTTTGAACACACATTTGAGCACACAGGGCTGGATTTTGTAAAGAATATATTAAAATTAAAGACAAGTTCAATGTTCAGAGAATGCAACAGTAACTACAAAGCAGAATGAAGGTAAGAGTATAAAACTGACAAATAAAAAGTACTGATAGTCAGCTGGTCTAAACACACTCACCTTTTAAGACTCAATAAAGAATATTCTCCTTCTCTAATAGCTTTCCTTAAACACCCAAGGTTAATGGGGGACCCCTCATAAGATTCCCCATAGAACTCTACACAAGGCGCTAAGTGTTTAAGTCTCACCCAGATCCTTTCTAGCAGTGGTGTGCGCATTCTCACCTCCAACCCCAGAGTACCCTGCAAGGCATATCTGCAACACTGAGTATTGCCTTTTGACTGGACACCACTTCACTTCTCCAGAGAAGGTTGTTCCTGTCTAGCATTCTGTCCTTGCACCTCCATATTTTCTTCCTCAAACTCGCAGGTGACCAGTGACCTGTAACTGCTGTGGGAGTACAAAAGCTCAGCTCTTTTACCTCCAGGTGGGGTGAAATTTTGAGTTGTTATTTATACTTCAGATTTTCTGGGATTAGCCTACCTCTAGGACTTTAACACAAATCCCACCCTTGCTACACTTCCCCTGTTCCATCCTGCTTCTTCCACACTCTTTCTGGATTCTCCTGAGAGTTCTTCCTTAATACATTTTTCCCACTTGGATCTTTAGCCTATAGTGTGCTTCTCAGAGAATGTCACATAAGCCAAACACCTACCTTCATGCTTACCAAACTGCATTATACTAGCTGTTTACTGGTCAATTTAGGACCATGTACTCTTCATTTTTGTGTCAGATCCTAAGGAGAACAGAAAACAGCACTCCTACTGTATATTGGTTTTCTAGAACTTTGGTAACAAAGCACCACAAACTGGTTGCCTTAGAACAAAAGAAACGTATTGTCTTATGGTTCTGATGTCTAAGGAATTAAAAATTCAGGTGCAGGCAGGCCCATGCCTAAACTCCCTCGAGGGTTTAGGAAAGAGCTGCCCTAGGCCTCTCCCCTAATTCCTGACAGCATAACTTCAGTTTTCACATGGTCTGATCTTCTTCCTGTGTGTGTCTGTCTCTTCACAGGCATTCTTTTTATAAAAACATCAGTCATATTAGATTAGGAGTTGGCCTAAAGATGGGTATGACTTCATCTTAATTTAACTAACTATATTTGCAATGACACTATTTACAAATTAGGCCAAATTCTGAGACATTGCTGCTTAGAACCTCAGCATATGAACTGTGGGGGACAAAGTTAATCTCATATTGCTAATTAACCTATTTTATAGGGTATTAAAGTATTATTAAAAATCATTGCATCTTCCTTTTTGTAAATTTGACATAGATTTGGGAAGAATACTAGAGACCATTAAATTTAGAAGAATTTGCAGTCTTCAGAATAATTCTGAATCTGTCTCAGAATAATTTTGGATAAAGAAAAGGAAGGTCTCTCTGAAAACAAACTAGTAGTATTTGGCTTTTCAAGCATTTGCTAATATAGAAGAAAAATCACTTAGAATAAAAAAAAAATTAATCACAAAAATGTTCCCTAATCGAATGTGTATTGCATGTTTAAACATGTTGGAACCCTGAGATTCATTATGCTTTATAAACCCCGGGTGTGATTTTATTTACCTTTAATTACTAAACCTGAGTACTCATAATAATAGGACTATTGCAAACATTTTCATGTTCGCACTGTAACTGACATAGTGAAGAAATGGCAGAAAATATAATCTTTCTCCAACTCTTAATTATTGAAAGGGAATTTTAAAACTTACTCTTATCTCCTTATTGCACGTTTATTCTATACCAGACACTACTCTCAGCTTATCATGAGTTAGTCCATTTAATCCTCACTGAAAAAAATAAAATGAGAGGACAAAGAGATCAAATAGCTTTCTACCAAGGCATAAACTCTGGAATCTGGGTTATTAAGCTCCATTGTTTACTACTGATTCATGAAGAAGATAATCTCATCACATTAGAATGAGTGTGGGAAAAAAACAGTATTTAATAATAATATGCTTCAGGTGCTTTGTATACCTTACATCCATGATATTTCATAAGAGTTTTCTGACAGATAATTCCATTGTATAGCTGGAAAAAACAGAATCATGTAGCAGTTAAACAACTTCTAAATTTTTATAATTCTTTACTAATGGAATTTAAACCTGTTTGTCCAATTACAAACCTTTAGGCGTTGCAATACACTGAATTTCAGTCTGGCCAACTTGAGCCTTGAGGGAAAATAAAGTTCTTATGAATTCCTTAAGTCAACAAACTATCGTGCTCCAAACTAATATATTAAATAGCACAATAAAGCCAGAGTTAAACTTCACTTACAAAATTCAATTTCAAATTAAAAAATCACAAGTTATATAAACAAAAGTATTATTAAAATTAAAGTTAACATTAATTTAATGTGAAATAGCATCACATTACAAGTAAATCAATCATTAATTTATGATTTAATTGGTTTTACGATCTAGCTCCAAATATAGCCCATTTCCCTGGCAGTCAGTATATTAAAGTGTTAATATTTTTGCAATATGTTCACTAGAGTATGCTTTTGATGGTAGCCCTGAGTCTGATATATTTCAGACCATTGTACAGTGATTTAGTTTTCCCAAAACATTTCTTCTTTTGAATGATTTCAAAGTGATGTTCACAGAAGTGCGTTTGACTTCAATAAACTATCTTTGTTACCAATTATTAGTCTATGAGACAAGTTAAATATAAGTTGCTGCACTCTTTTATGATTGCAAACAATATTTTAATATTTAAATTAATTAATTAAATATTTAAACAAATGAAAGTTTTAGTCTTTAAAACTTTATTTCAATTGCAATTTAACTGAGTGAATAAAAAATGTCTGCATATATAAGTATAATCATTAATGATCTTTCAAATTAATAGATATTGAGTGTTCTGTAAAATTTCAGGTTCTAGTCTAAGTGCTTAAGATACGTCAGTAAGAGAAAATCATACAAAATCTTTGCTTATGGAGTTTACCCAACATGAGGTTATGGATGTCACTGTGTACAATATTAACACATAGCAAAGTAGATGAGTCATGTACACTTATCATTGCATTGAGTGTTAATATCTGTTTTTATAGATTTGTACTTGTAAGCAAAGATATTCTAACCTAAAAGTAATCTTCAGCTATAAAGATTATAATTGTCTGTTAAACTTGTTTATAAGGTTATAATCTAGCTAGATTATTACGGTTACTAAACTACTATTATTTTAATGTACTTTGTAATGTTATATTTTAAAATAACAATGGAAATAGAAATTTAAATTTCAAACATATTGTGTAAAACTATTTGATAATGACCTCACAACACATTTGTAGAACTACAAGGATCCAGAAAGCCCACTTTTGGTGAAAAGATGATGATTCTAACGTGGTCATGGTGAGTTTGAATTGTCCATAACACTAGCCACATATATGCTTTTCTTATTATTCTTAAGATATAACAATCATCTCTAAAGATATTCAGCTTACATATAATAGAAAACATATACATTAAAATAAAAAATTTTAAAAACAATCCTCAAATTGATGGTGATATCTCTTTCTCATTCTCTCATCCATTTTTCTGTGTACTTAAATATTTATATTCTAATTTGGCAAATATATAAGACTGCATCAGTATTAGCAACATATATTGATTTTAATATTTCTGGAAAAAACTGGCAATATTTGTCTCTTTGTAATCGACTTCTCAATTTATTTAATATAGATTTATCCTAAAGGGATATTTAGATATAACTGGAAATATTCATAGTATCTGAATATAGAAGTATACATAGAGAATAAATATCACAAACATGACTATATAAATGTAAATATTATTTAAAATGTTTAGCAGTAGCCAAATAAATTATGACAGAGTACAATATAGTCATTAACATAATTCTCCAGAAATATATGTAATAATGCCTTATCCATTTATTGTATACTTTATATAAATTTATGGCTCCTATATCTCCTATATGCTAGACTATATTAAATATTGGTTATGCAGCACTGAGCAACGTATATTTGGTTAACATTCTTTCCAAATTATATATGTCAGGAGGGAAACAATTAAATAAGCATCAGATAAATAAACATAAATAAAAATATTCATGGGTATGCTACATAAAGAATAATCAAATCTTGAAGCTTATGAAAAGTATAATATAAATATTTTTAAAAGTCTATATTAACATATTTTTAGAAGACAGACTGTAAGGCAAGGTGAAATAGATGTAACTGCAGGAAAGACCTTGCCTTTTCTTATAGTATAGTACCATTATGTGAATGCACACGTATACATATAATAACATACATATGCAGACACATACATTATCTGGGAATCAGCACTGTTCCTTGAAATATAATGTGAGTACCAAAGGTGAGCCACATATGTAATTTAAAATTTCTCGTAGCCAATAAAAGCATATAAAATTAAATTTAATCTTTTTAAACCAGTCTATCCAACATATTACTATTTCAACATTAATTAATATGAAGATAACTAAAGAGGTTTTTTACATTTTTTGTACCACAGCCTCAAAATCTGGTACACTTATAGCAAGTCTTAATTTGAACAAGCCAGATTTTACACATTCAATATAATGTGACTAATTGCTATCATTTTGGACAATGAAGACAATATATAAATAAATATAATTTTTAAATTATATTTACATATATATTTATATATGCTAAGGAAGCATAATTTGAAGAAGAGAGAATTGAATTGAGTTAGATCTGGACTGGCACTTGTTGTATAGTGGGCTCATAAGAAATAATTTATTTTCACCTAATCTGATAATTCTGGTACTTCTGTTGCATATAATGTCACAAATTAAATGTATTATAAAGTTACAAATTAATTTTAAAGTTACATAATATGTGTATATTCAAAATAACATTAACACTTGAAATTTGTGCCATGTCATTTAGAAGTCACTTATAGTTTAAAATTTATTTAAAATTTTGTTTTAATGATTTTCCTCTAAAAGTATTTTAACTGAAATAATTGCCAATTAAAATTTTTAAGTCCTTATACACTTATAAAAGCATGATTCCATTTGATTCTATTTCTTCTTTAGTCTCTATAAAAATGAAAACATTATTACTTACTGCTTACCACCAAGATTACCTGACAGAAATATTTACATATAAAGTGTTACAATAATGCTTATATTTATTGGACAATCAATATGCCAGCATTATTCTAAGTACTTTCTATATTATGTCATATCATTTTCATTATTCTCTTACAAGATAGGTGATATCCATAATTATGAGAAATATAAAACAGAGCAATACAAATTGTTTCTGTAGTTGTTTTTCTTGGAATATGTAAGTAGAAACACCAAAAAGACTAATTTCATAAACATGATAGTTCTGGTTATGCTGTACTTTTCTAATTTTGATGCTTAAATTTGGGATATATGCCTAAAAATGTCTATGATATGAATCCAAATTACACTCTAATTATAGAATTTTGAGGCTACCACTTTAGCATAGCTTGTAGCTAGATTGCCTGTCATAAAATAATTGAGTTAAATCCTAATTATAAGGACACGTGTATTTAATTTTTATGTATCAAAAAACAGCAATTTACATTTAAAATTTGGAAATATTAACACAATTTTGTTTTATTTATTTAGATTCATAGATATTAATATTATGCCAAATCTAACTTGGTCTCTTGAATGACAAGTTTTATCCCTACAGAAAATAATACTAAGAGGCAAAGCAGTAGCTATATTGAGACTAAACAGAGATGGAAATGACAGAGTTGTACTAGACTCTTGGTTAACTTCTTTCTAGACATGTGACCAAAGCAGATCAGTTGATCTCTATCCTGTATTGTACTCACCAGTAAAATATGGATAGTAGTCCTGACCTCTTGAGGTAGATGGGAGGATTAAATTAGACACTGTTTTGTAAAGTGCTTAGCTCATTAGGAGTGAAGCATATAGTTCTTATTTGGTAGATGTAATGACTTTTTGGAAATAATCATTATAAGAATAGAAAGTATATTTTAGTGGTAAATAAATGTGGTGCCTACAAAAGCATCCAGGTGAATCCTTTTTTAATAACGTAAAGATAATCTTAATTGACCCTGCTTTTCTGTTCATTAGGTGTGAATTAGTAAGGTTTACTTCAGATGGGTTTGCCTATATAATCATTATTTTAGTCTGAGTTCATTTTTAGTTAATGTAGCCTGAAATGTGAATCTAGTGAGTAATGTATTTTAGTTACATTGCCAAAAATTTGGAGAAATTCTCAAATTTGCTTGTCAAATGGAGTGTGTCTCTGTAAGGTAACAAATTTAACATTTTGGTTAAAAAAGAAAAAAGTATATAATCATAAAATTTTTAATTATTCTAAACCTTACAGGTGCCATATGGTGATACCTTTATTTTTCAATTACAAATGTAAATATTTAAATGTTTATTTTAGTATCATATTTATATTATATACAAAAGAAAACTAAACTTAATCTCTGCATTTGAAAAATAAGTGCACTTCCTATAAGAATATAAAAACATGGGCTTTGTAGTTTCGCTCAAAACATATTAATGCATATTATATCATTATTAATATTTTAAATAAAGGGATTAAGTTGAACACTTCCTTTTTTCCTGTGACATTTTGTGCTAGGAACTTTCTGCACTGGTGCAGGTAGATACTCTTTTGAATACTATAAAATCAATAAAATCACTGGAATTTATTTAACTAATATAGTTGTAATAAACTATGAATTAGAAACGACAGATTCTGTGGAGAAAGTTTACTCAACTTTCCATAAGTTGTGGATCAGCCCAAGAATATTTAAGCTTAAGTACTTAGTAGTTTAAACTTCAGCATATTTGTCAGAACTAATGCTTTATTTATACACCACTGACTTTTCTTGTCAGGCCACAGGACTTAGTGATTTGGAAACACATGAAATGATGAATTAAAATTTTATGTCAGAATGGGAAAAAAAAAAACATCAAATGTATAGTCATCTGTTTTTGTTTTAAACGTCCTGTAAATCATTGAAAAAGAAGATGAAACCTGAATGGAATGTTTTGTATGCTTTCAATAATGACAAATGGATGACTCCCTGATACAATTTTTCTTTCCACTACAACCTATTTTTTGTTCTTTTGCAGGCAGGGCCTAAGCAGTAGTAGTGAAAGCTCTCATGAGTTACTAGCAACAACCACAAATAAAGATAAGCTTTCAAATATTTTATTTTTGTAACTTTTTAAGTCTAGCTTTAAGAAATATTTGAAGTCCAGCTTTAAGAAATATTTTTCAACTATATTCCCACTTTTGTGAAGCAGTGTGATTGACATTTAACCTTCCATGCTGCAATACAGCACAGTACTTTGGCTGAAATATCTTAAAATACCTGTTCTCAAAAATCAAATTGGAAACTGAGAATGAAAAATATAATCAACACTTGCTGAAGAAATTATACTTATCTGTGGAGCCTATAATTTGCAAAAATTTTGAGACAGTTTCTATTTCCACAAATACACCTTCGGGGAAATTTCCAAATAATGACATATTGTATTTTAAGACAAATTGGTAAATTTATATGAATTTACTGAGTTATCTTTTTTCCCTTGTGATCATCTGGAAACAATGAGGAGTTTAGGAGTATGTATTTCGTGGATAGAAAAACTCAGTTTCTCTCTAGGGATATTCTTTTATATTAAAAAACCAGATTAGTACTATAGATTAAACTATATCATATGACCTCTTTAGAAATGTAATTAGCTGACAGTCAGTGATTATGGTCAAAGGTAATGAAATAACACAGGAGGCAGATGATGATATCTGGGACAAATTCCATGACACTTGGACCTAGGAACAGGGGTACTACCCTGGGCCATACGTATTGGAGTGCTTCACATATATAAACACTGAAACACAAATACAAATGTAATTTATATAGTGTATTAAATAAAAATGCAAATATATATGTCATTATAATTTTTAAGAATTATCTTAAGAAAGTTTGTTGAATATTTGTACTTAATCAAGCGAATTAAATGTTCTGGAGATGGACTTTGGAGGAGGACTTTGCTTGTCAGGCCACAGGATTTAGTGATACTGACAACACAAGCAGATGATGAGAGGAAAGAACTCGGGTCACCTACAGAGAGTACCTAAGGAACTCGGTTCCAAAGATAAATGGTGCTTCATTTCTCCCCTCTGTTGTATGGTGGTGTTTTGGGAAGTGCTGAGTACAGTACAGTGTGAGGGACAGGAATGCTGAATAATATGTGGTATGAGAAAGGGAACCAGCCTGCCCTGATTTGCTGGAGAGTTTGACCTTGTCAATCTCCAGTCTGGTTTGAAATGGTCCAGTGATGGCCCAGGCATCATGGGATTCAGGTGCAACTTTGAAAACCCTGTCCTTTCCAGGATATTTTTGCTATGACTCCAGCTGGCTCATAAGCAGTGAGCCTGGCTAGAAGAAAAAAGAAAGCAGCTCCTTTGTTTCCCTGGTTGCAGAAGAATCCCTGAGGAGGAACCAGATGGATCCTGTTACAGGAAAGCAGTTCAGGCTGTGAGTACAGCTACATTTGTAGAGTGTGTGTGTGTGTGTGTGTGTGTGTGTGTGTGTGTTTGTGTAGACTCCATTTTCCTTCTTGCTCTGGACCCCACAAGTGTTATGGGAAAAAATGTTTATACCAAAATGGTTGTGATAGAGCCTGTGAGAATGGCCCAGATACAAAGACCTGGGAGTCTTGATTGATTTCACACAGTATGTGAAAGAGAATCGTCAAGAATGGCTGTGTTCACGATATATAGAATACTGGGAAATTAGCAGGATTTAAGAAAACAAGGGTTTTTACTTGCTAATTTTGACATATATTACATATTAAAGAAGAAATATTAAGTAGACTTAGTTATTCTGGTGTTGTGGAGAAAGTCAGATTATAGATAATATTTAAAACTGTGGGACTACTTGTGATTTCCTAGAAATTGAGTGTAGATATCAAAGCCCTGGGAAATGCCAACATTTAGAGATTAGAAAGAAAAGAAAAGAAAATTGTTAAGTATTCAATGAGGAAAGAGAAAAATATTGTTTTCATCAAGAATGAAGAAGGGATAAATGATATCAAATACTACTGAATGATGAACTAAAATGAAGATGGAATAATGACAACTGGATTGGCAATTAAAAGGTTATTGATGACAGTCACAAAATAATTTCAGTGGAGTTGTGGAGATGAAGTCTTAATCATAATTGGTTGGGGAATAAATGAGTGTTCAGGAAGTAGGAACAGGGAATTTAGTTAGCAGAACTTTAATTTACAATCTTGAAAGCTGGAATTTGAATATCTCATCTGAATAAGACTAGCAGAAACAAGAATTAATTAATACCAATACTCCTCTGACATTAATCTAATGGTGATGTTTGTCTCTTGTCATGTTGATTTTCCTCCTGAAACTGTGCATTTACAGAGAACATGTTCAGTAATGCCAGCTTTAAAAATAATGAATGCATAGGCAAGAAGCTGGATCTGTCTCTCAATTCTGAACCACTATTCAAAAGAAACTACACTGCTTTATCTGCAAGTATTTGGAAGTTTTAACTTTGTTTTTAATTTCAATAGTGTTATATGAAGCAATTTTATTAATTTTTTGCCACCAGGCATTAACATTTTTAATAAATCTGCTTTCCAAATAGTAATGATTCCAATAGGACATTAGAGATAATGAGTTTTACATTAGAGATAAATGAGTTTTACAAAGAACAGATGTAACTTGATTAGGAACAGAAAGAGACTGAGTCACCCAATCAAAGATTGCTTATTGTGTGTGGACAACTATAACAATCAGAAAACTGAGTAAAGCAAAGCCTACAAACAAATAGTAACTATAAAAAAAGTCATTTATAAAGTTATAACAATTTTTGGAAAGTTTCTGAAGCCTAAGGATAATACTTTCAATTTGATACAGTAGAATCATTCGAGGATACTTACTAAAATGCCACTGCTAGAAATATTAAAAAGTGATAGAAATAAGCATAAAACAAGGCAAGGAGTAGAATAAAACTAAGTTAAAAAGAGAGATATAGATAATTGGATTACAAGATTAGGAAGTTTTAAAATGTGGTTAGTTGTAAAGAAAGAAACACAGAGAGTGAACAAAATGCTAAGGCATTTTGAAGAGGGTTTAAATATATATACATACACACACACACACACACACACACACACACACATATATATATATACTACAGTGTGTGAAATACCAAGTATCTTTTCCTACCACAATGGTATGAAACTAGAAATCAATGATAGACAGGATTTTGGAAAATTTACAAATGTGTGGAAATTACACAATATGCACTTAAGCAACTAATGAGCCAAAGGTAAGTATAAAAGAAAATTTTAAAATATCTTAGACAAACAAAAATGGATCACCATGTACCGAAACTTATGGAATGTAGCAAAAGCTGTTCTAAGAGGGAGGTTATGTCAATAAATGACTACATCAAAAAAAAGAAGAAAGATCTCAAATAAATGAGCTAATGTTACACCACAGGAACTAAAAAAAGAACAAACTATGCCCATAGTTAGTAGAAGGAAAGAAATAATAAAGACTACAGCAGAAATAAATGAAATACAAGAAATGATGCAGATTGGGAAAATGATAAAAAAGATCAATGACACTAAGGCTTTTTTTAAAGATTAAGAAAATAACAATCCTTTATGTAGAGTGAGAAAAAATCTTAGATTCAAAATCAGAAATGAAAGAGGAAAGATTACAACTAATACCCTAGAACTGCACAGGTTCACAAGAGACTATGGGGGGCAATTATACACCAATAAATTGGATAACTTAGAAGAAATTAATAAATTTCTAGACACATAAAACCTGCTAAGACTAAATCATGAAGAAATAGAAAAGCTGAACAAATCAATTCTGAGTAAAGAGATTAGCAATAAAAAGCCTTCCATCCAAAAAGAAAAAAAAAGCCCAGGACCTGATAACAGTGTCACTGCTGAATACTATCAAACACTGAAGGAAGATCTAATACCAATATTTCTCAAACTTCCAAAAATTGAAAAGGAGGTAACACTTAATTTTTTTTCCACAGGTCCAAGAAAACTTCTAATGGGAACACTTTCAAACTTATTTTATAAGGCCAGCATTACTGTGATATTAAAACCAGACAAGGACACTACAGGAAAAGAACATTACAGGCCAATATGCCTGATTAACACAGAAGCAAAAATTCTTAATAAAATACTAGCAAACAAAATTCATCCAAACATTAAAAGGATGATTCACCATAATCAAGTGGGATTTATCCCTGCAATGCAAGGATGGTTCCATATACGCAAATCTATAAATGTTATGTTCCACATTAACTGAATGGACAAAAACCACATGATCATTTCAATACATGCAAAAAAAGGCATTTGACTAAATTTTATATTCTTTCATGAAAACTGCTATCAATAAATTAGATGTAAAAGTAATGTACCTTAACACAATAAAGGTTGTATGTGACAAGACCATAGCTAACATCACACTTGACAGTGAGAAATTGAAAACCTTTTCTCTAAGATTGGGAATAAGACAATTCCTAGGTATTTCAAAATTTTTGTGACTATTATAAATGGATTGTGTTCTTGATTTGAATCTCAGCTTGAATGTTATTGATGTATAGAAATGCTATTGATTTTTACGTTGATTTTGTATCCTGATCCCTTACTGAAGTTATTTATCATTTCTAGAAAGGTTTTATGGAGATTTCAAGGTGAAAGTATAGAGTCATATTGTTTGTGAAGAGAGAGTTTGACTTCTTCTTTTCTTATTGGATGCCTTTTATTTCTTTCTGTTGCCTGATTGCTCCAGCTAGAATTTCCAGTGCTAGGAGCATGCTTGTCTTGTTCCAATTCTCAATGGCAATGGTTCAAGCTTTTTCTCATTCAGCATGATTTTGGCTGTGAGTTTTTTATGGATGGCACTTACTATTTTTAGGTAAGTTCCATTTTTGTGACAAAGGCACCTAGTTTGTTAAGGGATTCCTTTTTTTGAGGGTTTTTTTATATATAAAAATAGTGATTCCTGATCTTTTTATTTTCTATTTGCAAGATCAGTCTTTCTTAATCCTTTGACTTTGTGCCTTTAGGCATCATTACATGTGAGATGGGTCTGTTGAAAAGGGTAGATGGTGGGGCTATGTCTTTATCCATCTTTCCACTCTATGTCTTGTAAGTAGGATGTTTAGCCTATTTATATCCAGGATTACTACTGATACATGATATTTTGATCTTGTTATGTTGTTAGCTTGTTGCTATGAAGACTTGATGATGTAGTTGCTTTATAATGTCTGGATAAGTGCTTAATTGTGTTTTTGTGGTAACAGTTGTCATTTTCTTATTCCATGTTTAACACCCTTTCCTAGACCTCTTGTAAGGCTGGTCTAGTGGTAATGAATTCCACCAGTGTTTGTCTGAGAAGAATTTTATTTCTCTTTTGCTTATGAGGCCTTGTTTGATAAGATAAAAAATCTTTGGTGAATTTTTTTAAAGGATTCTGAAAATATGCCTACAACATCTTCTGACTTGTGAGATTTCTGTAAGAGGTCCACTGCTACCCTGAAGGGGTTCCCCTTGTATGTGTACTGATTCTTCTCTTTAGCTGCCTTAAGATTTTTTTCCTTCATATTGATCTTGATGAATCAGATGACTGTGTGCCTTGTGGATGGTCATCTTGTATAGTATCTAGGTAGTTGTATTAGCCCATTCTCATGCTTCTATAAAGAACTACCTGAGACTGGCTAGTTTATAAAGAAAAGGGGGATAATTGACTCCCAGTTCCACAGACTTAATGGGAAGCATAACTGAGAGGACTCAGGAAATGTACAATCATGGCTGCAGTTGAAGGGAAAGCAAAGACCAACTTCACATGGTGGCAGGAAAGACAGAATGCAAAGTGAGAAGTGCAACATGTCTTTAAATCATGCATGGGATCTTGTGATAATTCAGTCACTATCATAAGAACAGCAAAGAGTAACTTTGCCCCCCAAGATCCAATCTCCTCTCATCAAGAACCTCCTCCAATCTAACATGAGATTTGGTCAGGAACACAAATCCAAGCCTGTGTTTCCAACCTACTGAATCAAAAGAAAAGTTTAACTTTGTGAGATGAGTCCACATATCGTAAAGTGTTTTCACAGATAGCTTCCTTCTGGTTTTTAGCATGGGATATTTGATTCTTCAGTATAGGCCTCAATGGGCACCAAAATGATCCTTTACAGATTCTACAAAAAGAGGGTTTCCAACCTTTTGAATCAAAAGAAAGGTTTAACTCTGTAAGATGAATCTACACATTGCAAAGCATTTTCACAGATGGCTTATTTTTAGTTTTTAACACAAGATATTCAATTTTTCATGAATTACCTCAATGGGCTCCCAAATGTCCCTTCACAGATTCCATGAAAAGAGTGTTTCCAACCTGCTGAATCAAAAGAAATATTTAACTCTGTAAGATGAATCCACACATTGCAAAGAATTTTCACAGATAGCTTCTTTCTAGTTTTTTTGGCGGGATACTGGTTTTTTACTACAGGCATCAATGGACTCCAAAATGTCTCTGTGCAGATTCTACAAAAAGAGTTTTTCCAACCTGCTAAATCAAAAAAGATTTAATTCTGTTTGCTTTATCCACACATTGGAAAGCATTTTCACAAATAGGTTCCTTCTAGTTTTTATCATGGGATATTTGGTTTTTCACTATATTCCTCTCTGGGTTCCCAAATGTCCCTGCACAGATTCTACAAAAAGAGTGTTTCCAACCTACTAAATCAAAAGAAATGTTTAACTCTGTAAGATGAATCCATATATTGCAAAGAATTTTCACAGATAGCTTCTTTCTAGTTTTTATTGCAGGATATTGGTTTTTTACTACAGGCCTCAATGGACTCCAAAATGTCACTGGGCAGATTCTACAAAAAGAGTGTTTCCAACCAGCTAAGTCAAAAAAAGATTTAATTCTGTTTGATTTATCCACACATTGGAAAGCATTTTCACAAATAGGTTCCTTCTAGTTTTTATCATGGGATATTTGGTTTTTCACTATATTCCTCTCTGGGTTCCCAAATGTCCCTGCACAGATTCTACAAAAAGAGTGTTTCCAACCTACTAAATCAAAAGAAATGTTTAACTCTGTAAGATGAATCCATATATTGCAAAGAATTTTCACAGATAGCTTCTTTCTAGTTTTTATTGCAGGATATTGGTTTTTTACTACAGGCCTCAATGGACTCCAAAATGTCACTGGGCAGATTCTACAAAAAGAGTGTTTCCAACCAGCTAAGTCAAAAAAAGATTTAATTCTGTTTGATTTATCCACACATTGGAAAGCATTTTCACAAATAGCTACTTTTTAGTTTTTATCATGGGACAGTCAGCTTTTGACTATAGGCCTCAATGAGTTCCGAAATGACTCTTCACAGATTCTACAAAAAGAGTATTTCCAACCTTCTGAACCAAAAGAAAGGTTTAATTCTGTGAGATAAATTCACATATGACAAAAGACTCTATTAAATTTTTTCTAGTATTTATCGTGGGATATTTGGTTATTCACTATAGGCGTGAAAGGCTCCAAAATGTCCATTCACAGATTCTACATGAGACTGTTTCCAACCTCCTGAATCAAAAGAAATTTTTAACTCTGTGAGATGAATACACACATCTTAAAGTGTATTCACAGATAGCTTCTTTCGAGTTTTAATCACAGAATATTCGGTTTTAACTATAGGCCTCAATGGGCTCCCAAATGTCCCTTGAGAAATTTTACACAAAGAGTATTTCCAACGTGCTGAATCAAAAGAATGGTTTAACTCTGTGAAATGAATCCACATATCACCAAGCATTTTCACAGACAGCTTCTTTCTAGTTTCTATCATGGGATATTTGGCTTTCCACTATAAGTCTCAATCGGCTCCCAAATATCTCAGTGAAGATTCTACAAAGAGTGTTTCAAACAAAAAGAGTGTTTCAAACCTGCTGAATCAAAAATAAGTTTTAACATTGTTTGATTAATCCACACATCAGAAAGCTTTTTTACAGATAGCTTCTTTCTAATTTTTATCTTGGGATATTCAGTTTTTCACCATAGGCCACAATGGGCTCCCAAATTTTCCATCACAAATTCTACAATAAATGTATTTCCAATCTGCTGAATCAAAAGAAAGTTTTAACTCTGTGAGATGAATCTACACATCACAAAGGGTATTCACAGATAGCTTCTTTCTAGTTTTGATTGTGAAACATTTGGTTTCTTAATATAAGCCTCAATGGGCTCCCAAATGGCACTGTGAATATTCTACAAAAAGAGTGTTTCCAGCCTGCTGAATCAAAAGAAAGGTTTAAGTCTATTTGATTTATCCACAAATCAAAAAGCACTTTCACAGATATCTTCTTTCTAATTTTTATCATGGGATATTTGGTTTTTCACTATAGACATCAATGGTCTCCAAAATGTCCCTTCACAGATTGTACAAAAAGAGTATGCAACCTGCCAAATCAAAAGAAGGTTTTAATCCTGTGAGGTGAATCCACACATTGCAAAGCATTTTCAGAGATAGCTTCTTTCCAGTTTTATCATGGGATATTCCGTTTTTTGCTATATGCTTCAATGAGCTCCCAAATATCCCTTCGTTGATTCTATAAAAAGAGCGTTTCCAACCTGCTGAATCAAAGGAAAGATTTAACTCTGTGAGCTGAATCCAAACATCACAAAGCATTTTCACAGATAGCTTCTTTCTAGTTTGTATCAAGGGATATTCTATTTTTCACTATAGACCTCAATTGGCTCCCAAATGACTGTTCACAGATTCTACAAAAAGAGTGTTCTCCACTGCTGAATCAAAAGAAAGGTTTAACTCTATGAGATGAATCCACACATCACAAAGCATTTTCACAGATACTTTTTTTATAGTTTTTCTTTTTCTTTCTTTTTTTTTCATGAAATATACGTTTTTTCCTACAGGCCACATGGGCTCCCAAATGGCTCACTGCAAATTCTACAAAAAGAGTGTTTCCAACCTGCTGCATCAAAAGAAAGTTTTAACTCTGTGAGATGAATCCACACATCACAAAGGGTATTCACAGATAGTTTCATTCTAGTTTAGATTGTGGGATATTCGGTTTTTCACTATAGGCCTCAATGGGCTCCCAAATATCTCTGTGCAGATTCTACAAAAAGAGTGTTTCCAACCTGCAGAATCAAACAAAAAAGTTAAACTCTGTGTGATTTATCCACACATTGGAAAGCATTTTCACACATACCTTTTTTCTAGTTTTTGTCACAGAATATTCGGTTTTTCACTATAGACATAAAAGGGCTCCAAAATGTCCTTTCGCAGATTCAACAAAAAGACTGTTTCCAACATGCTGAATCAAAAGAAAGGTTTAACTCTGTGAGTTGAATCCACACATTGCAAAGCATTTTCAGAGCTAGCTTCTTTCCAGTTTTTGTTGAGGGATATTCAGTTTTTTTCACTCTATGCTTCAATCGGCTCCCAAATGTCCCTTTGTAGATTCTACAAAAAAAAAGTGATCCCAACCTGCTGAATGAAAATAAAGGTTTATCTCTGTGAGATGATTCCAACATCACAAAGCATTTTCAAGGAAAGCTTCTTTCTAGTTTTTATCATGTGATATGAGTTTTTCACTACAGGCCTCAATGGGCTCCCAAATGTCACTGCACAGGTTCTACAAAAAGAGTGTTTCCAACCTAGTGAATAAAAAAAAGGTTTAGCTCTGTTTGATTTATCTACACATCAGAAAGCGTTTTCACAGAAAGCTTATTTCTAGTTTTTATCGTAGGATATTTGGCTTTCCACTGTAGGCTTCAATGGGCTCCAAAATGTTCCTTTGCAGATTCTACAAAAAAAAAGTGTTTCCAACCTGCTGAATCAAAAGAAAGGTTTTACACTGTGAGAAGAATCCACATATCACAAAGTGTTTTCACAGATAGCTTCTTTGTAGTTTTATTGCAGAATATTTGGTTTTTCACTATGGGCTTCACTGGGCTCCCAAATATCCCTGTGCAAATTCTACAAAAGGAGTGTTTCCAACCTGCTAAATAAAAAGAAAGTTTTGCCCTTGTGAGATAAATCCACACATGGTGAAACATTTTCACAGATGGCTTCTTTTTACTTTTCGTTGCCAGACTTTTTTTTTTCACTATAGGCCTATATGGGCTCCTTAATGTCCATTCGCAGATTCTAAAAAAAAAGAGTTTCCAACCTGCCGTATCTAAAGAAAGGTTTATCTCTGTGAGATGAATCCACCCATCACAAAGCATTTTCACAGATAGCTTCTTTTTAATTTTTATTGTGGGATATTTAGTTTTTCACTATACGTCTCAGTGGGCTCCCAAATGTCCCTGCACAGATTCTACAAAAAGAGTGTTTACAATCTGCTGAATCAAAAAAAAAGTTTATCACTGTGAGATGAATCCCCACAATGCAAAGCGTTTTCTCAGATAGCTTCTTTCTAGTAGTGTATTGTGGAATATTCATTTTTTCACTATACTCCTCAAAAAGCTCCCAAACGCTCCTGCACAGATTCTACAAAAAGAGTGTTTCCAGCCTGCTGAATCAAAAGAAAGGTTTAATTCTGTGAGGTGAATCCACACATCACAAAGCATTTTCACATATAGATTCCTTTTAGTTTTCATCGCGATATATTCGGTTTTTCAGTATAGGCCTCAATGGGCTCCCAAATGTCCCCGTGCAGATTCTATAAAAAGAGTGTTTCCAACATCTGGAATCAAAAGAAATACTTAACTCAGTTAGATGAATCCACACACCACAAAACGTTTACATGCATAGCTACTTTCTACTTTTTATTGCAGGATGTTCAGTTTTTCACTGTAAGCCTCAATGGGCTCCCAAATGTCCCTTCAAAGATAGAACAAAAGAAGTGTTTCCAACCTGCCAAATCAAAACAAAGGTTTAACTCTGTGAGATGAGTCTACACATCACAAAGCATTTTCACAGATAGTTTCTTTTTACTTTTTATTGCAGGATATTTAGTTTTTCAGTATAGGCTTCAATGGGTTCCCAAATGCCCTTGCGCAGATTCTACAAAAAGAGTGTTTCCATCCTTCTGAATCAAAAGAAAAGTTTACTTTATGAGATGAATCCACACATCACAAAGCCTTTTCACAGATAGATTATTCTAGTTTTTATTGCGGGATATTGTTTTTTCACTACAGACATCAATGGACTCCCAAATTTCTCTGGACAGGTTCTACAAAAAGAGTGTTTTCGACTTTCTGAGTTAAAAGAAAGGTTTTACTCTGTGAGATAAATCCACACATCACAGAGTGTATCACAGTTGTTTCTTTCTAGTTTTTATCATGGGATATTCGTTTTTTTACTATAGACCTCAATGGACTCCCAAATGTCCCTTTGCAGATTCTACATAAACAGTGTTTCCAACCTGCTGAATCAATAGAAAGGTTACCTCTATGAGATGAATCCATGAATCACAAAGGGTTTTCACAAATAGCTTCTTTCTAGTTTTCATTGCTGGGTATTTGGTTTTTCACTATAGGCCTTAATGGGCTCCCAAAAGTCCTTTGGCAGATTCTACAAAAAAAAAAAAAAAAAAAAAAAAAAAAAAAAAAAAAAAAAAAATTGTTACTTACCTAGTGAGTCAAAAGAAAGGTTGGGTGTGGAGCCAAGATGGCCGAATAGTAAGAGCTCCAGTCTACAGCTCCCAGCATGTGTTACGCAGAAGAGGGGTGATTTCTGCATTTCCAACTGAGGTACCGGGTTCATCTCACTAGGGAGTGTCGGAAAGTGGGTGCAGGACAGTGGCTGCAGCACACTGACTGTGAGCTGAAGCAGGGTGAGGCATCACCTCACCCAGGAAGCAAAAGGGGTCAGGGAATTCTCAGGGAGTCAAAGAAAGCGGTGACAGATAGCACCTGGAAAATCAGGTCCCTCCCAACCTAACACTGCACTTTTCCAACGTTCTTAGCAAACGGCACACCAGGAGATTATATCCTGCGCCTGGCTCAGAGGGTCCTACACCCATGGAGCCTTGCTCATTGCTAGCACAGAAGTCTGAGATCAAACTGCAAGGCAGGAGCAAGGCTGAGGGAAGGGCGTCCACCATTACTGAGGCTTGCGTAGCTAAACAAAGTGGCCAGGAAGCTCAAACTGGGTGGAACCCACCACAGCTCAAGGAGGCCTCCCTGCCTCTGAAGACTCCACCTCTGGGGGCAGGGCATAGCCAAACAAAAGACAGCAGAATCCTCTGCAGACTTAAATGTCCCTGTCTGACAGCTTTGAAGAGAGTAGTGGTTCTTCCAGCATGCAGCTGGAGATCTGAGAACAGACAGACTGCCTCCTCAAGTGGGTCCCTGAACCCTGAGTAGCCTAGCTGGGAGGCACCCCCCAGTAGGGGCAGACTGACACCTCACATGGCCAGCTACTCCTCTGAGACAAAATTTCCAGAGGAATGATCAGGCAGCAACATTTGCTGCTCATGAATATCAACTGTTCTGCAGCCTCTGCTGCTGACACCCAAGCAAACAGGGTCTGGAGTGGACCTCCAGCAAACTCCAACAGACCTGCAGTTGAGGGTCCTGACTGTTAGAAGGAAAACTAACAAACAGAAAGGACATCCACAACAACACCCTGTATGTCACCATCATCAAAGACCAAAGGTAGATAAAACCACAAAGATGGGAAAAAACAGAGCAGAAAAACTGGAAACTAAAAATGAGAGCACCTATCCTCCTCCAAAGGAATTCAGCACCTCACCAGCAATGGAAAAAAGCTGGACAGAGAATGAATTTGACGAGTTGAGAGAAGAAGGCTTCAGAAGATCAAACTACTCCAAGCTAAAGAGGATGTTCAAACCCATGGCAAAGAAGTTAAAAACCTTGAAAAAAAATTAGATGAATGGCTAACTAGAATAACCAATGGAGAGAAGTCCTTAAAGGACCTGATGGAGCTGAAAACCAAGGCACGAGAACAATGTGATGAATGCACAAGCCTCAGTAGCCAATTCAATCAATGGGAAGAAAGGGTATCAGTGATGGAAGATTAAATAAATGATATGAAGTGAGAAGAGAAGTTTAGAGAAAGAAGAATAAAAATAAATGAACAAAGCCTCCAAGAAATAAGGGACTATGTGAAAAGACCAAATCTACATCCGACTGGCATACTTGAAAGTGATGGGGAGAATAAAACCAAGTTGGAAAACACTTTGCAGGATATTATCCAGGAGAACTCCCCCAATCTAGCAAGGCAGGCCAACATTCAAATTCAGGAAATACAGAGAATGCCACAAAGATATTCCTTGAGAAGAGCAACTCCAAGACACATAATTATAAGATTCACCAAAGCTGAAATGAAGGAAAACATGTTAAAGGCAGCCAGAGAGAAAGGTAGGGTTACCCACAAAGGGAAACCCATCAGACTAACAGCTGATCTCCTGGCAGAAACTCTACAAGCCAGAAGAGAGTGGGGGCCAATATTCAACATTCTTAAAGAAAAGAATTTTCAACCCAGAATTTCATATCCAGCCAAACTAAGCTTCATAAGTGAAGGAGAAATAAATAGTTTACAGACAAGCAAATGCTGAGACATTTTGTCACCACCAGGCCTGCCCTACAAGAGCTCCTAAAGGAAGCACTAAACATGGAAAGGAAAAAATGGTACCAACCACTGCCAAAACATGCCAAATTGTAAAGACCATTGAGACTAGGAAGAAACTGCATCAACTAACAAGCAAAATAACCAGCTAACATCATAATGACAGGATCAAATTCACACAAAACAATATTAACATTAAATGTAAATGGGCTAAATGCTCCAATTAAGAGACACAGATTGGCAAATTGGATAAAGAGTCAAGACCCATCAGTGTAATCTATTCAGGAAACCCATCTCATGTGCAGAGACACACATAGGCTCAAAATACAGGGATGGAAGAAGGTCTTCTAAGCAAATGGAAAACAAAAAAAGGCAGGGGTTGCAATCCTAGTCTCTGATAAAACAGACTTTAAACCAACAAAGATCAAAAGCAACAAAGAAGGCCATTCCATAAAGGGATCAATTCAACAAGAAGAGCTAACTATCCTAAATAGATATGTACCCAATACAGGAGTACCCAGATTCATAAAGCAAGTCCTTAGAGACCTACAAAGAGACTTAGACTCCCACACAATAACAATGAGAGACTTTAACACCCCACTGTCAACATTAGACAGATCAATGAGACAGAAAGTTAACAAGGATATCCAGGAATTGAATTCAGCTCTGCACCAAGTGGACCTAATAGACATCTACAGAACTCTTCACCCCAAATCAACAGAATATACATTCTTCTCAGCACCACACCACACTTATTCCAAAATTGACTACATAGTTGGAAGTAAAGCACTCCTCAGCAAATGTAAAAGAAAAATTATAACAAACTGTCTCTCAGACCACATTGCAATCAAACTAGAACTCAGGACTAAGAAAGGCACCCAAAACCACTCAACTACATGAAAACTGAACAATTTGCTGCTGAATGACTACTGGATACATAACAAAATGAGGGCAGAAATAAAGACGTTCTTTAAAACCAATGAGAACAAAGACACAACATACCAGAATCTCTGGGACACATTCAAAGCAGTGTGTAGAGGGAAATTTGTAGCACTAAATGCCCACAAGAGAAAGCAGGAAAGACCTAAAATTGACATCTAACATCACAATTAAAAGAACTAGAGAAGCAAGAGCAAACACATTCAAAAGCTAGCAGATGGCAAGAAATAACTAACATCAGAGCAGAACTGAAGGAAATAGAGACACAAAAAACCCTTCAAAAAAAGTGAATCCAGGAGCTGGGTTTTTGAAGAGATCAATAAAATTGATAGACCGCTAGCAAGACTATAAAGAAAAAAAGAGAGAATAATCAAAAAGATGCAATAAAAAGTGATAAAGGGGATATCACCACCAATCCCACAGAAATACAAACTACCATCAGAGAATGCTATAAACACCTCTACACAAATAAACTAGAAAATCTAGGAGAAATAGATAAATTCCTTGACAGGTACACCCTCCCAAGACTACACCAGGAAGAAGTTGAATCTCTGAATAGACCAATAACAGACTCTGAAATTGAGGCAATAATTAAGAGCTTACCAACCAAAAAAAGTCCAGGACCAGAGGTATTCACAGCCAAATTCTACCAGAGGTACAAGGAGGAGCTGGTACCATTCCTTCTGAAACTATTTGAATCAATAGAAAAAGAGGGAATCCTCCCTAACTCATTTTATGAGGCCAGCATCATCCTGATACCAAAGGCTGGCAGAGACACAACAAAAAAAAGAGAATTGTAGACCAATATCCCTGATGAACTTCGATGCAAAAATCCTCAATAAAATACTGGCAAACCGAATCCAGCAGCACATCAAAAAGCTTATCCACCATGATCAAGTGGGCTCCATCCCTGGGATGCAAGGCTGGTTCAACATATGCAAATCAATAATCATAATCCAGCATATAAACAGAGCCAAAGACAAAAACCACATGATTATCTCAATAGAGCAGAAAAGGCCTTTGACAAAATTCAACAACATTTCATGCTAAAAACTCTCAATAAATTAGGTATTGATGGGACGTACCTCAAAATAATAAGAGCTATCTGTGACAAACCCACAGCTAATATCATACTGAATGGGTAAAAACTGGAAGCATTCCCTTTGAAAACTGGCACAAGACAGGGATGCCCTCTCTCACCACTCCTATTCAACATAGCGTTGGAAGTTCTGGCCAGGGCAATCAGGCAGGAGAAGGAAATGAAGGGTATTCAATTAGGAAAAGAGGAAGTCAAATTGTGCCTGTTTGCAGATGACATGATTGCATATCTAGAAAACCCCATTGTCTCAGCCCAAAATCTCCTAAAGCTGATACGCAACTTTAGCAAAGTCTCAGGATACAAAATCTATGTGCAAAAATCACAAGCATTCTTATACACCAATAACAGACAAACAGAGAGCCAAATCATGCATGAACTCCCATTCACAATTGCTTCAAAGAGAATAAAATACCTAGGAATCCAACTTACAATGGATGTGAAGGACCTCTTCAAGGAGAACTACAAACCACTCGCAATGAAATAAAAGAGGATACAAACAAATGGAAGAGCATTCCATGCTCATGGATAGGAAGAATGAACACCGTGAAAATGGCCATACTGCCCAAGGTAATTTATAGACTCAATGCCATCCCCATCAAGCTACCAATGAATTTCTTCACAGAATTGAAAAAAAAAACTACTTTAAAGTTCATATGGAACTAAAAAAGAGCCTGCATTCCCAAGACAATCATAAGCCAAAAGCACAAACCTGGAGGCATCATGCTACCTGACTTCAAACTATACTACAAGGCTACAGTAACCAAAACAGCATGGTACTGGTACCAAAACAGAGATATAGATCAATGGAAGAGAACAGAGCCCTCAGAAATAATGGCACATATCTACAACCATCTGATCTTTGACAAACCTGACAAAAACAAGAAATGGGGAAACGATTCCTTATTTAATAAATGGTGCTGGGAAAACTGGCTAGCCATATGTAGAAAGCTGAAAATGGATCCCTTCCTTACACCTTATACAAAGATTAATTCAAGATGGATTAAAGACTTAAATATTAGACCTAAAACCATAAAAACTCTAGAAGAAAACCTAGGCAATACCATTCAGGACATAGGCATGGGCAAGGACTTGATGTCTAAAACACCAAAAGCAATGGCAATGAAAGCCAAAATTCACAAATGGGATCTATTTAAACTAAAGAGCTTCTGCACAGCAAAAGAAACTACCATCAGAGTCAACAGGCAACCTGCAAAATGGGAGAACATTTTCGCAACCTACTCATCTGACAAAGGGCTAATATCCAGAATCTACAATGAACTCAAACAAATTTACAAGAGAAAAATAAACAACCCCATCAAAAAGTGGGCAAAGGATATGAACAGACACTTCTCAAAAGAAGACATTTATGCAGGCAAAAGACACACGAAAAAATGCTCATCATCACTGGCTATCAGAGAAATGCAAATCAAAACCACAATGAGATACCATCTCACACCAGTTAGAATGGTGATCATTAAAAAGTCAGGAAACAACAGGTGCTGGAGAGGATGTGGAGAAATAGGAACACTTTTACACTGTTGGTGGGACTTTAAACTAGTTCGACCATTGTGGAAGTCAGTGTGGCGATTCCTCAGGGATCTTGAACTAGAAATACCATTTGACCCAGCAATCCCATTACTGAGTACATACTGAAAGGATTATAAATCATGCGCTATAAAGACACATGCACACATATGTTTATTGTGGCACTATTCACAATAGCAAAGATTTAGAACCAACCCAAATGTCCAACAATGATAGACTGGATCAAGAAAATGTGCACATATACACCATGGAATACTATGCAGCCATAAAAAAGGATGAGTTCATGTCCTTTGTAGGGACATGGATGAAGCTGGAAACCATCAGTCTCAGCAAACTATCACAAGGACAAAAAACCAAACACCGCATGTTCTCACTCATAGGTGGGAATTGAACAATAACACATGGACACAGGAAGGGGAACATCACGCACCGGGACCTGTTGTGGGGTCGGGGGAGGGGGGAGGGATAGCATTAGGAGATATACCTAATGTTAAATGACGAGTTAATGGGTGCAGCACACCAACATGGCACACGTATACATATGTAGCTAACCTGCATGTTGTGCACAAGTACCCTAAAACTTAAAGTATAATTAAAAAAAGGAAAAAACAAACAAACAAAAGAAAGATTTAACTCTGTGAGATGAATCTACACATTGCATAGCGTTTTCACAGATAGGTTGTGAATAGTTTTTTTGTGGTATATTTGTTTTTTCATGATAGGCATCAAATGACTTTCAAATAACCCTGTGCAGGTTCTACGGAAAGAGTGTTTCAACTGCTGAATCACAAGAAAGGTTTACCTCTTAGAGATGAATGCACATATCCAAAACCGTTTCACAGATAGCTTCTTTCTAGTTTTTATCGCAGGATACCTGTTTTTCAATATTGGCCTGAATGGGCCCTCAACTATTTCCTGAAATTTCCCTGTGCAGATTCTACAGAGTTTCCAACTTGCTGAATCAAATTAAAGGTTTAACTCACTGTGATGAATCCTCACATCACAAAGCCTTTTCACAGATAGCTTCTTTCTAGTTTTTATCGCAGGATATCAGTTTTCCAATATAGGCCTCAATGGGCTCCCAATTGTCCCTGTGGAGAATCTATAGAAAAAGTTTCCAAACTGCTGAATCAAAGAAAAGTTTTAACTCTGTCAGATGAATCCACACATCACAAAGCATTTGCACAGATAGCTTCTTTCTCGTTTTTATCACGGGATATCAATTTTTCACTATAGTCCTCAAGTGGGCTCACAAATATCCCCTTGTAAATTATACAAAAAGAGTGTTTTGAACCCCCTGAATCAAAAGAAATGATTAATTCTATGACATGAATCCACATATTGCAAAGAATTTTCACAGATAGCTTCTTTCTACTTTTTAATCATGGGATATCTGTGTTTCAGTATAGGCCTCAATGGGCTCTAAAATGTTTCTACACAGATTCTACAGAAAGATTGTTACCAAAATGAGGAATCAAAAGAAAGGTTTAAGTTTGTGAAGTGAATCCACATATTGCAAAGCATTGTCACAGATAACTTCTTTCTCATTTTTATCATGGGATATTGGTTTTTCACTATAGGCCTCAATAGGCTCCCAAATATTTGTGTGCAGATTCTACAGAAAGAGTCTTTGCAACCTGCTGAATCAAAAGAAAGGTTCAACTCTGTGAGATGAATCCACACATCACAAAGTGATTTCACAGATAGCTTCTTTCTTGTTTTTATCATGGAATATCTGTTTTCACTATAGGATTCAATGGGCTCCAAAATATTTTGCACAGATTCTACAGAAAGAGTGTTTTAAACCTGCTGAATCAAAAGAAAAATTTGAATTTCTGAGATGAATCCAGACATCGCAAAACATTTTCTCAGGTAGCTTATTTCTAGTTTTTATAATAGGATGTCACTGTTTCACTATAGGCCTTCATGGGCTCCCAAAAGTCCCAGCGCAGATTCTACAGAAAGAGTGTTTTCAATTTGCTGAATCAAAGGAAATGTTTATCTCTGTCAGATAAATCCATGCATTGCAAAACATTTTCACAGATAGCTTCTTTCTAGTTTTTATCACAGGATATCAGTTTGTCACAATAAACCTCAATGGGCTCAAAATGTCCCAGTGAAGATTCTACAGAAAGTGTTTCAACCTGCTGAATCAAAAGATAGGTTTGTTTCTGTGAGATGAATACACACATCACAAAGCATTTTGACAGATAGCTTCCTTCTTGTTTTTATTGCAGGATACCTGTATTCCCTATAGGCCACTATGTGATCCAAAATGTCCATGTACAGATTCTGCAGAAACAGTGTTTCCAACCTGCTGAATTAAAGAAAGTTTTAACTCTGTGAGATGAATCCACACACTGCAAAGCATTTTGACAGATACTTTCTTTTTAGTTTTTATTGCAGGATATATGTTTACACTGTAGGCCTCAATGGGCTCCTAAATGTCCCTGGGCTGATTCTACAGAAAGAGTGTTTTCAACCTGCTGAATCAAAAAAAAAATTAACTCTGTCAGATGAATCCCCACATCACAAATCGTTTTCACAAATATATTCTCTTTAGTGTTTATCATGGGTATTGGTTTTTCAATATAGCCCTCAATGGGTTCCCCCATGTCCCTGTAAAGATCCTACAAAAGAGTGTTTTCAATTTGCTAAATCAAGAAAACGTTTTACTCTGTGAGATTAAACCACACATCACAAAGCATTTTCACAGATAGCTTCTTTATAGTTTTTATCACATTTATTGGTTTTCCACTATGGGTCTCAATGGGCTCCCAAATATCCCTCCGCAGATTCTACAGAAAGAGTGTTTCCAACTTGCTGAATCAAAAGAAAGGTTTAACCCTGTGAGATGTAGCCACACATCAGAAAGCCTTTTCACAGGCAGTTTCTTTCTCGTTTTTATCATAGGATATCTGTTTTCGCTATAGAATTCAATGGGCTCCCAAATGTCCTTGCACACAATTTAAGGAAACAGTGTTTCCAACCTGATGAATTAAATGAAAGGTTTAACTTTGTGATATGAACCCACACAACACAAAGTGTTTTCACAGATAGCTTCTTTCTTGTTCATATTGCGGTATATTGGTTTTTCACTACAGGCCTCAATGGGCTCCCAAATATTCCTGTGCAGATTCTACAGAAAGAGTATTTCCAAACTGCTGAATCAAAAGAAAGGTTTAACTCTGTGAGATGAATCCAAATATCACAAAGCATTTTTAAAGATGGCTTTTTTCTTGTTTTTAATCACAGGATATTGGTATTTCACTGTAGGCCTCAACGGGCTTTAAAATGTTTATGTGCAGATTCTACAGTAAGAATGTTTCCAATCTGCTGAGTCAAAAGAAAGATTTAACTCTGTGAGATGAAGTAACACATTGCAAAGTGTTTTCACAGATAGCTTCATTCTAGTTTTTCATGTGGCAGTTTTTTTTTCATTGTAGGTCTCAATGGGCTCCCAAATGTACCTGTGAAGATCTTACAGAAAGAGAGTTTCCAACCTGCTGAATAAAAAGAAAGGTTTTACTTTTTAAGATAAATCAACACATCATAAAGCATTTTCACACATAGCTTCTTTCTAGTTTTTATTGCAGTATTTTGGTTATTCACTATAGGCCTCAATGGGCTCCTAAATGTCCTGTGCAGATTCTACAGAAAGAGTGTTTCCAACCTGCTGAATCAAATGGAAAGTTTACCCCTATTAGATAAATCCAAAAATCCCAAAACGTTTTCACAGATAGCTTCTTTCTAGTTTTCATCACAGGGTATCAGTTTTCACCATTGGCCTCAATGGGCTCCCAAATTTCCCTGTAGAGATTCTACAGAAAAGGTGTTTCTAACCTGCTGAATCAAAGGAAAGGTTTAACTCTGTCAGGTGAATCCGCACATCACAAAGCATTCTCACAGAGCTTCTTTCCCGTTTTTATCATGGGATATCGGTTTTTCACTATAGTCCTCAATGGGCTCCCAAATATCCAAATATCCCTGCTCAGATTCTACAGAAAGAATGTTTTGAACTTGCTGAATCAAAAGAATTGTTTAATTCTGTGAGATAAATCCACCCATTGCAAAGCTTTTTCACAGATAGCTTCTCTCTAGTTTTTAACACGGGATATCAGTTTTCCAGTATAGGCTTCTATGGGCTCCAAAATGTCCCTTCGGAGATTCTACAAAAAAAGTGTTTCCAACTTGCCGAATCAAAGGAAAGGTTTAACTCTGTCAGATGAATCCACACATTACAATGGTTTTTCACAGATAGCTTCCTTCTAGTTTTCATCATGGAATATCAGTTTTTGCTATAGGCCTCTATGGGTCCCCAGTTGTCCATGTGCAGATTCTACAGAAGGAGTGTTTTCAACTTTCTAAATCACAAGAAAGGTTTAACTCTGAGATGAATTCACACATCATAAAGTTTTTTCACAGATAGCTTCTTTCTCATTTTTATCGCTGGATATCAGTTTTACACAGTGGGCCTCAATGGGCTCCTAAAAGTCCCTGCACAGATTCTACAGAAAGAGTGTTTCCAACCTGCTGAATCAAAAGAAATGTTTAACTCTGTGAGATGAGTCCACACATCACAAATTATTTTCACATATAGCTTCTTTCTAGTTTTTATTGTGGGATATCTATTTTCACAATAGGACTCAATGGGCTCCCAAATGACCTTGCAGATAATCTACAGAAACAGTGTTTCCAACCTGCTGGATCAAAACAAAGGTTTTACTCTGTGAGATGAATGCACACATCACAAAGCATTTTGACAGATAGCTTCTTTCTAGTTTTTATCATGGGATATCGATTTTTACCAAAGGCTTCAATGGACTCCCAAATATCCCTTTGCAGATTCTACAGAAAAGGTGCTTCCAACCTGCTGAATCAAAAGAAATGTTGAATTCTGTGAGATGAATCCACCCATCACAAAGCATTTTCACAAATAGCTTATTTCTAGTTTTTAATTGTGGGATTTCTGTTTTTCACTATAGGTCTCAATGGGCTCCCAAGTGTCCCTGTGCAGATTCTACAGAGTGTTTCTAATCTGCTGAACCAAAAGAAAGAGTTAACTCTGTGAGATGAATCAACTTGTCACAAAGCATTTTCACAGATAGCTTCTTTCTAGTTTTTATCATGGGCTATCTATTTTCACAATAGGACTCAATGCATTCCCAAATGTACTTGTGCAGAACCTACAGAAAGAGTGTTTCCAACCTGCTGAATCAGACAAAGGTTTAACTCTGTGAGATGAATCCACCCTTCCCAAAGCGTTTTCACAGAGAGATTATTTCTCGTTTTTATTGTGGGATATCAGATTTTCATTATAGGCCTCAATGGGCTCTAAAATGTCCTGGTGCAGATTCTACAGAAAGAGTGTTTCCACCTTGCTGAATCAAAAGAAAGTTTTAACTCTGTGAGATGAATCTAGAGATCAAAAAGCATTCTTGCAGATAGCTTCCTTCTAGTTTTTATAGTGAGATATCTATTTTCACCATATGACACAATGGGCTCCCAAATGTCCTTGCACAGATTCTACAGAAAGAATGTTTCCAATCTGCTGAATTGAATGAAAGGTTTTAACTCTGTGAGATGAATCCAAACGTCCCAAACCCTTTTGGCAAATAGCTTCTTTTTAGTTTTTATCTCAGGATATTGGTTTTCCACTATAGGCCTCAATGGGCTTCCAAATGTCCCTGCAAAGATTCTACAGAATAAACGTTACCAATCTGCTGGATCAAAAGAAAGGTTTAACCCTGTGAGATGAATCCACACATCACAAAGCATTTTCACAGATAGATTCTTTCTCATTTTTATCACGGGATATTGGTTTTTCACTATAGTCCTCTGTTGCGGGAAGTCGGGGACCTCAAACGGAGGAACCGGCTGAAGCCATGGCAGAAGAATGTGGATTGTGAAGATTTCACGGACATTTATTAGTTTCCCAAATTAATACTTTTATAATTTCTTATGCCTGTCTTTACTGTAATCTCTAAACATAAACTGTGAAGATTTCATGGACACTTATCACTTCGCCAATAAATAACCTTGTGATTTCCTATGCCTGTCTTTACTTTAATCTCTTAATCCTGTCATCTCATAAGCTGAGGAGAATGTATGTCACCTCAGGGCCCTGTGATGATTGCGTTAACTGCATAAATTGAAGAGCATGTGTGTTTGAACAATATGAAATCTGGGCACCTTGAAAAAAGAACAGGATAACAGCAATGTTCGGGGAACAAGAGAGATAACCTTAAACTCTGACTGCCTGTGAGCCAGGTGGAACAAAGCCATATTTCTCTTCTTTCAAAAGCAAATGGGAGAAATATCACTGAATTCTTTTTCTCAGCAAGGAACATCCCTGAGAAAGAGAATGCACCCCTGAGGGTGGGCCTCTAAAATGGCCCCCTTGGGTGTGGCCATCTTCTATGGTCAAGCTGTAGGGATGAAATAAGCCCCAGTCTCCCACAGCACTCCCAGGCTTATTAGGATGAGGAAATTCCCACCTAATAAATTTTGGTCAGACTGGTTGCTCTCAAACCCTGTCTCCTGATAAGATGTTATCGATGACAATGGTGCCGAAAACTTCATTAGCAATTTTAATTTCACCCCGGTACTGTGGTCCTGTGATCTCACCCTGCCTCCATTTACCTTGTGATATTCTATTACCTTGTGAAGTACATGATCTCTGTGACCCACACCCTATTTGTACACTCCCTCCCCTTTTGAAAATCCCTAATAAAAACTTGCTGGTTTTGCAGCTTGTGGGGCATCATGGAACCTACCAACATGTGATGTCTCCCCCAGATGCCCAGCTCTAAAATTTCTCTCTTTTGTACTCTGTCCCTTTATTTCTCATATTGGCTGATGCTTAGGGAAAATAGAAAAGAACGTATGTGAAATATTGGAGGTGAATTTTGCCCGATATCTGGCTGAATTTCCCGATAGTCTTCAATTGACTCCCAAATGTCACTGTGCAGATTCTAAATAGTGTTTTGAACCTGCTGAATTAAAAGTAAAGTTTAACTGTGTGAGATGAATCCACACATTGCAAAGAGTTTTCACAGATAACTTCTTTCTAGTTTTTATTGTGGGATATCAGTTTTTCACTATAGGCTTCAATGGTCCTGTCCTGTGCAGATTCTATAGAAAGAGTTTTGCAAGCTGATGAATCAAAAGAGATGTTTAAGTCTGTAAGATGAATCCACACATTGCAAAGCTTTTAAACAGATAGTTTATTTCTAGTTTTTATTGTGGGATATTGATTTTACACAATAGTCCCCAAAGGGCTCCCAAATGTCCCTGTGCAGATTCTAAAGAAAGAGTGTTTCCAACCTGCTGAATCAAAAGAAAGTTTTAACTCTCTGAGATGAATCCACACATTGTGAAGCTTTTTCACAAATAGCTTCTTTCTAGTTTTTATCATGGGATATCTGTTTTCACTATACGACTGAATGGGCTGCCAAATATCCCTGCACAGATCGTACAGAAAGAATGTTTCCAATCTTCTGAATCAAAAGAAAGGTTTAACTCTTTGAGATGAATCCACACATCACGAAGCATTTTTACTCATAACTTCTTTCTTGTTTTTATCCTGAGATATCGGTTTTTCACTATAGGCCACTGTTGACTCCCAAATGTCACTGCACAGATTCTAAAGAGTGGTTCCAACCTGCTGAGTCAACACAAGGGTTTAACTCTGTGAGATGAATCCACATGCCACAAAGCATTTTCACAGATACCCTGATTAAATTTTTCTTGCAGGATATTGATTTTTCTTTATAGGCTTCAATGGGCTTCAAAATATCCTTGTGCAGCTACAGAAAGAGTGTTTCCAACCTGCTTAACCAAAAGAAAGAATTAAATCTGTGAGATGAATCCACGCATTGCCGCAAAGCATTTTCACTGATAGTTTCTTTCTCCTTTTCATTGTGGGATATTGCTTTTTCAGTACAGGCCTCTATGGGCTCCTAATGTCCCTGAACAGATTCTACAGAAAGAGTATTTCAATCTGCTGAAACAAAATAAAGGTTTAACTCTGTGAGATTAATCCAGATATTGCAAAGAATTTTCACAGACAGCTTCTTTCTAGTTTTTATCGCAGGATATCTGTTTTCACTGTAAGACTCAATGAGCTCACAAATGTCCTTGTGCAGATTCGACAGAAAGGATGTTTCCAACCTGGTGAATCAAAAGATAGGCTTAACTCTGTGAGATGAATCCACACATCTCACAGCATTTTCACAGATAGCTTCTTTCTTGTTTTTATCATGAGATATTGGGTTTTAATATAGGCCTCAATGGGCTCCATAATGTCCCTGCACAGATTCTACAGAGTGTTTTCAGCCTGCTGAATCAAAAGAAAGGTTTAACTCTGTGAGATGAATCCACATATCGCAAAGTGTTTTCACAGATAACTTCTTCCTCGTTTTTATAGTGGGATATCTTGTTTTTACTATAGTCCTCAATGGGCTCTCAAATATCCCTGAGCAGGTTCTAAAGAAACAGTGTTTCCAACCTGCTGAATCAAAAAAAAAGTTTTAACTCTCTGGGATGAGTCCACACATCGCAAGTCTTTTTCACAGATAGCTATTTTCACTGTAGAATCCAACGGGCTCCCAAATGTCCTCGCACAGATTCTACAGAAAGAGTGCTTCCAACTTGCTGAATCGAAAGATAAGAATATCTCTGTGGGATGAATCCACACATCACAAAGCATTTTCACCCATAGCTTCTTTCTGTTTTTTATAGTGGGATATTTGTTTTTTTACCATAGGCCTCAATTGGCTCCCAATGCCCCTGTGCAGATTCTACAGTAAGAGTGTTTCCAACCTGCTGAATCAAAAGAAAGATTTAAGTCTGTGAGATAAGTCCATACATTACAAAGTGTTTTCACAGATAGCTTCTTTCTAGTTTTTATCGCGGGATGTCTGTTTTCACTATAGGACTAAACGGGCTTCCAAATGTCCTTGCACAGATTCTACAGAAAGAGTGTTTTCAACCTGCTGAATCAAAAGAAAGTTTAAACTCTGTGAGATGAATCCACACATCGCACAGCATTTTAAGAGATAGATTCTTTATCGTTTTTATTGTGGGATATCGGTTTTTCACTATAGGCCTCAATGGGCTCCCAAATATCCCTGCGCAGATTCTACAGAGGGTTTCCAACTAGCTGAATCAAAAGAAAGTTTAACTGTGAGTTGCATCCACACATCGCAAAGCTTTCACACAGATAGCTTCTTTCCAGTTTTATCACAGGGCATTCGGTTTTTTACTATAGGACTCACAGGCTCCCAAATGTACCTTTGCAGATTCTGCAAAACAGTATTTCCAAGTTGCTGAAACAAAAGAAGGGTTTATCTCTGTGAAATGAATCCATACATCCCAAAGCATTTTCAAAGATAGCTTCTTTCTAGTTTTTATCACAGGATATCATTTTTCATTACAGACCTCAATGGGCTCCGAAATGTCCCTGAGCAGATTCTTCAAAAAGAGTGTTTCCAGGGGGCCAAGTGGCAGAGCTGGGCTGGGGGGATGGGGGTGGGGGGTGAGGGTGGGGGTTGGGGATGGTGGGGAGCACAATTCACTTGCAGCCCCCCAGGTCAGGGGTCGACTCTGTGTCCCCTCCCTTAGCCTACGTGAAACCTGGCTTTAGGACCTAAGGGCAAAGTGAGCGCCTGGTTCTCCAGGTGCCATGTGCGTGGACTGCCCATGCCCCTGGCTGCTGTTGCCCTGTGAGCAGGGCAGGAGCCTGCAGCCAGCCACAGAGGCCTGGTGTGCACTCCACCCCTGAGCCCGCAGTAAGGGTGGCCTCTGCCCGGGAGTCAGGAGTCATCCCCTTTGTTCTTCCTTGCCCTGGGAGGGCCGCTAGGAGGGGGTAGGCCCTCGGCCGGGCGGGGCCGGTGGGCACCTGGGCGGGCGAATCTGTCAACTCCTGTGGGAGGCCCTGTGAGGGCAGCAGCCGGTGAGTAGCCATATCAAGCTCCTTAGGGAGGCTCCACCCCATCCTCTGGGGCCGCCCTTCCTCGGCGTCCACGGCCCCGCGGGCAGTTACCTGTTCTAGGTGTTTGTGCCCCCCGACTCCGGTAAAGGTCCTCAGCCCCGGCCTGCTACGTCTCAGCTGCTGCCCGCGCCAGGTGAGGGCTCAGGGCTACTGGTTGGGGCTCCCGGCGCTTGGTGTCTGGCTCTGGGAGTGCGCTGCCGAGAGGATTGGGCCGGCAGGCGTTCGGTTCCGGGAGGGGGCGGCACGCCGGGAACTGGGCGGCCTAGGCTGGCTGGTTGTGGCGGTGACGGCGGCTGTCTCTGGGGTTCTCTGCCCCCAGCCGGAGCCAGTCGGTGCCCTGGCGGTGAGACGGGCAAGTTGGGCTCCCTGGCCTCGGGGCCACCCCGACTGGGGCGGCTGGGGCAGAGGGACGATATTTGCTCACTACCCGGTGTCTGCCGCTCATTCTCAGGAGGATCCGCCCGCTGTGACTGCTGAGAGGGAGTCGCTGTTGGCCAGGGTGAACCGGCCGGCCGAGCATCAGCCCCTGGCCGAACATGAGGGCAAAGTGGCAGCGAGGGAGGAGAAGGCCAAGGCCACCACCAGCGAGGGGGCGCGGGGAGAGCCATCCTCCCTGGTGGTGCCTACACGCAGCATGCCCCAGGTGGCTGTCCCCGTGAGGCCCTTGGCGCTGCATCTGGCGCACAAGGCGCGTGGGCCCGGGGGCCCTTTCAGCAGGGAGCCGCGGTGGCCAGTGCCGCCGCTGCTGCGGGATCCATTGGCCTAGGATACCATGGAGGAGGCGGCAGCTGGCCCTAAGGAAAAGCGGCAGCCGCCCCTGCTGCTGCCTAAGGGAAATCCCTGGAACAAAAAGCCTTCACAACACCTGTCCCCAACCACAACAGGTCGGCCGCAGCCAGCGCTGGAAACCCTGGAGGCAGAGTTCGGTTCCCTCAAAATTATGAAAGCAGGAAAACTCAAGAAAAAGAAATCCAACAAGGCTAGTGATTTCAAGGATATGGAGAATTGGCGAACACCAAGTGAATTAGTGAACACTGGATATCAGAGCGTCCTCAGCCAAGGAAATAAAAAGCCACAAGATAGAAAAGAAAAAAGAAGAGAAGGTTGGAAAGAGAAGTAAAAGAACAAACAAAACCGGGAAACAAAATTAAATGGTCCTGGTGAAAATGTCAGTGAGGATGAGGCTTAGTCAAGTAATCAACGAAAGAGAGCTAATAAGCACACGTGGGTACCACTCAGATGATGTAAGACCAGAGAGTCAAGAAAGACCTGGATCCTGGAACAGCTCAAGATGTCAACCTGAAGCAAGTAAACCAACACATAACAATAGGAGAAATTATATATGAAATTGGAGGTGAGATAGAGATAAATATGGTTATCAAGAACATGGTGAAAGGACTTTTCAGCCATTTCAAACAGAACTTAATACCAGTATGATGTATTACTATGATGATGGTACAGGGGTACAGGTGTATCGTGTGGAAGAAGCATTGCTTAAAGAGTGTATTAAGCGTCAAATTGAACATTACTTCAATGCAGAAAATTCGGAAAGAGACTACTTTCTTCGAGGAAAGAGGGGTGAACAAGATTCCTTGCCTATTTTCCTGATTGCTGGTTTCCAACGTGTTCAGGCTCTCACTACAAACCTTATCACAGAGGCACTGAAGGATAGCACAGAAGTAGAAATTATGAATGAGAAAATGAGAAAAAAGAACCAGAAAAATGGCCAATTCCAGGCCCTCCTCCATGCAACGTACCACAAACAGACTTCTCTCAACTGATTGTCCAGAGTTTGTACCAGGCTAAGCCTTTTGCTCGCATACAGAGTCTGCCCCAAATTCCCCAAGAATTGGAAGCCCATTGACTCCAAAGAAAAATAGTGAAACAAGTATTCTTCAAGCAATGTCTAGAGATTTGCCAGTTTGCCTGACTTGGACTCAGAACCTGGGATGGAAGTAAAAAAGAGACATCAGCCAGCCCCAGTGAAATTGAGGGAATGAGTGTCTGTTCCTGAGGGGTCATTAAATCAGCTATGTTCTTCAGAAGAAACAGAACAAGAAGAACTTGATTTTTGTTTGATGAAAAGACTGAACAAATAGGATGAAAAAACACATTAACTGATTGGTCTGATAATGATTCAGATTATGAAATTGATGACCAAGACTTAAACAAGATTTTGATTGTAACTCAGACACCACCTTATGTGAAAAAACATCCTGGAGGAGATTGAAGAGGCAACCACATGTCTCAGGCAAAAATCACATCTGAACTTACTAAAGTTATCAATGATGGTTTATATTATTAGGAACAGGATCTATGGATGGAAAAAGATGAAAACAAACATACAGCTGTAAAGGTGAAAATACTGAGAACGCCCTTTCTCATATGAAGGATAAAAACAAGGTTACTATGGAAAAAAAAAGTAATTCTATTAACTAAAATGTTATATTAAACTTATATAGCATTTATGTTTGTAAGTAGCTAAACTGTTGTTAAGCGCAGAATTACTTCATGTTTTTGAAAAGAATGAAGATATTTTTAAAAGTTTCAACAATTTTTCAATTTTATCATTAGATGTTTCATATTTTATATTTTATTTTATTTTCCCATTGGAGCCATGTGATATTTATTGCGATTCTCATTTTAAAAATAAGGAAACAGAGTAGATAATGTAACATGTGCAATATCATGGAAATTCTATGTGTGAGAACAGATTTTCATACCTAACTCTGATGGGTTCAAAGGCTCCATATACTTAAAATTCCATCTGCTTCTTAATTACGGTGTTTAGATTTTAATTGTGAATTAAATCTTGGACATTCACTATGTAGTAAAGATTCTGAACAAAGAAACTTAGTTTTCTTCCTTATTAATCTTCAACTTCCTGAGTTTAATGAAAATTAAAAAGTGTATAGAGTTTATTGATAATATAGGGATTGGCAGAGTATCATTCTTAAGTACTTAATATTTTTGTAATGCTATATTCACACTATGTTAAAAAGGGGAAAGTGTTTTAAATAGTATTTTATGAAAATATTTCTTGTTTTTTGAGGAAACATGAATACTTTAATAGGTTGTAAGTCTTTATTCCTTTACAGTGTGTTCGAGTTTTTAAAATGATGAAAAGTCATCTAAGCATACACCTTCTTAATAGACTGAAAGTTATAACTTGCATACTAAACTTTGATTTAAGAAATATGCTAACATACTGTGAGATATTTTCTTCTATGTTTCATAATCTTTCTCTGGAGAAATCCTAAAATAGAAGGATCAAATACTTAAAAAAATTGTGAGAACTTAAGTTTGGTGTTAGATTTTTCACATTTACATTAATTTTACTCATGTGGTCCTAGGATAAATAATTTTTGTATTTTCCTGCTCTTCAATGGTATCTTCATCACAATCCAAATACACTGATCATTAGATGTTTAAATCTTTGAAATCTTTATTCTAATGGAGCCTAGGGTAGTTATATAATCTACCCTAAATTATCGATAATGGCCACTGAAGTTCTAAATTTTCCTTGGTAGAATCTTGTCAAATTTTTGATTATTTAGTTCAATTGACACCACATTGCTGAGATTTATTGAAACACTAGTAATTGCTAATATTCAAATGAAAAGAACACACAGAATACAAAGAATTAGGCACTGATATTCTTGTCCCTACCCCTCATTTCCTCTATAACATCCCTGAGCAATGAAACCAAGCCAATTAAGAAGTTAATACCAAGGTCAGGAAAAGAGAAATAAATGATGTCTTCATAAAGACTTAGCAAAAATGTTCAGTTTTGGATGATTTTGGAAATAGTTAATAAAATTCTTCTCTACTTATGCTGATCCAACTCTATGTGGGCGTCCCGCTTCTACATACTTCAACTTCCCCCTTTCCTCTCTGCTCTCTCTTCTCTGTCTGTAGCATCTGAACCATCCCCTTTTCTCTTTCATGCACTGGCCTGTTCTGAACATACCCCATTCCTTGGATATTAAAATAATATCTTACAGCGCAGTTAATAATAATGACCAAATTCTCTGTTTTGTTTTAACTTAAAATCTTGTTTAATATCACATTTGCATAATTTAGTTCTTATAAAGAAAGGCTAAAAGTTCACTGAAGGATTTGGGGTTGCTTTATCAACTCTTACTTTGGATTCCCTAATCTCCATCAATTAGTTTATATCCTTGTAGGTCCTGGCGATGTGAAAACTTGGTTAGAAAAGAGCAGGAAGGATTGATTTTCAGAATACTATCAAGTATATTATTGAAATTTGACCGTGAATGGATACTAAATGAGTCCAAGAATAAGAAAATTCATCTTAGCAGTTATGTCTGATGTCTGATGTCTTTCTCTCAAACTGAATGATCAAAAATTCAGTCTGATAGACTAAAAAGCATTCATTTCAAAGATGACTTAACTGGAACCTTCTGGGAATACGCTGCTCTGAATGAATGTAAAAATACCATAAAAACCATATCTACTTTCCTTGTGGATGATTTTAAACCTTCTGTTACAAACAAAAGATAAGATGGCAGACTTCCTCCCTTTCCTGAATTACAAGAGCTCGCTGGGCACATCGAAGACATTTTGACCAAGAAAAAAATGCATACCAAATTAATAACTCTTAAGATTAAGCAATTAGCTAAACCATGGTTAAGGAAATGACTATATCTAAACTAGAAAAAAACCCATTGCTAAAATTGTAAGAAAAAGGAATACCACAGGAAAAATTGCCCTCTCCTATCTTAAAATATAAAATCTATTAAATAAACAAAAGACAAACATCATCCAATAAAATGTTGACTCTCAAAAAAAGAAGTCACTCCCATCTGTCCACAAATGCCCTTAACAGCAAAACACTGTTTCTGGGTTGTATCAGTGCCATATTGTCATTTATAAAATCTCCTGTTTTCCATAATTTCTTTCTTAGAATAATGAAAAACTGTCAGTGGCAGGAATCTTGAATGACCTTCAGATTTGGCCTTCTATCTCAGCCACTTCTTCTCTCTGTAGACCCTCTATTAATCAAAACATTTGTTTTGTTTTGTGATTCTATTCTGACGATTATGTGGGGAAGAGACCTACATTTTCAATGTGGTGATACAGTTTTAAATTGTGAACAAATCTCTTCCTGGAAATTCATGAAAAATAAAAAAGAAAAATCAATAGCATAGAATTTGATAATGAACCAGATTGATTACAATATTCATTTTCTTTTGCTTCTGTTGCAAATTTACACAGATTTAGTGACTTAGAATAGTATATCTAGTATCTTACAGTCCTGGAGGTAAGACTTCAACAATGAATCTGAAGGGACCAAATCAAGATATCTGTAGTATTGCATTTATTTGGGAGGCTTCGGGGAAGAATCTGTTTCCTTGCCTTTTCTAGCTTCTAAAAGTTGCCCAAATTTCTTGGTTTACGACCACCTTTCTTTTTCTTCGAAGTAATTTACTCCAGCCTCTTGGTTCATTGGCACATCTCCTTTTCCTCACTTTGACACTTTTGACTCTTTCTTATAAGGATCTTTTATTTTATTACACTGGGCCCACCTGCATAGTACAGAATAATCTCTCCATGAATCTCAAGGATCTTAATGTAATTTCATCTGCAAAGTTATATTTGTTATGTGAGCTAACAAATTATTGGCGTTTATGACATAGATGTCTTTGGTGGGCCATTGGCCTACCACAGTTACCCTCCACTGTTATCTTTGAAGTTGAATCTATTCCTGATTGTTTCTCTCCTAAAGAAAATTTATATGTGGGACAAATAACACTGAAAGTTCTCAAGTGACCTGGCTATGGTCTTAAAAAATTGTCCTAGGAAGAGAGAAAGTGGCTTTATGAAGACCGATGTCTATTGCAATTGCATACTTCCAGAAAGGATTTATTAACCCTTTTAATGGACATTTTAATATGTTTCCCAACCAAAACCACTAATGCTTGGAGCTACAGTTTTGATTAAAATAAGAACTGAGAATATTTTACAAGTTTAGATATTAAAAGAACTCACAAGAATGCACAAATCATACTCTTGCAAAGCTTTTGGCTGGGTGCGGTGGCTCACGCCTGTAATCCCAGAACTTTGGGAGGCTGAGGCAGGTGGATCATGAGGTCAGGAGTTCGAGACCAGCCAGGCCAACAGAGTGAAACCTTATCTCTACTAAAAATACACAAATTAGCCAGGCATGGTGGCGCATGCCTGTAGTCCCAGCTACTTGGGAGGCTGAGGTGGCAGAATTGATTGAACCTGGGAGGCGAAGGTTGCGGTGAGCTGAGATCAGGCCACTGCACTCCAGCCTGGGCAACAGAGCGAGACTCCATCTCAAATAAATAAATAAATAAGTAAAGCTTTTATTTAAAGGCTAATATTTGGTGCAGCCAAAGATACAGAATAGGCAAGCCCAAGGATTCTGAGAGTCTTTCAGGAGTAAAACTTCCACAGTCATTTTGTGTACATATAGACATGTTTTGTTTCTAATGTAAATCACCATCTGTGTCATGCATCTTAACTTTGGGAGATCCTGAGACAGATGTTCCTAGTCTAATTGCTGGTTTTCTAGTCATATCAGGCTACTTAATCTGTTATGCCCTTCAAAACTATCAATGAACAAATGAACTCTGGCAGTAGTCAGGTAGACTTTGTACTTTAAGTAACATGTTCTGAATTCCCCTGACCTTATCTTGGCCAACAGCCAAAACCATATACCTTTGCATCTCCCAAGATAAAGATAGAATTTATCAGTTCATTTGTAAATTAACTCTATCCTATAAAGTCAACCATCTGATGATCTAGCAACACTTTTTAATTGAAATTGCTTGTGATAATTTCTTCTCATGCATCTATTGCAATATTTATAGAACAAAATGCTAGTGGAAAACTGTCAAATATTATTTTTGCACATGAAATGAGGTATGGGTAAATAAGTCAAATTATTCTTACCAATTACACTAGTATTACACTAAATATTACATTATGAAAAGAAAATTACTATGAAAGAAGTCATTTTGGATTACAATAGTATTTCGTACAGCTTCCTAACAAAAGCAGTCATTACCTGTATATTAAATGTTGTCATAGGCCATGCTGTAAATCAAGGGTCAAGTTTTAGTTAAATCTGAAATCTCAGTGCCTTGTGGGGCACAGCCATATGACCTTTTTTACTACGTGGTTGTATTGAGTAGATTTCATCATGAGCCTTGTATTTAAATCATACTCTCTCTCAGGTAAATCCTTATTTAGGTTTAATGGGCTTCCATTTGCAGCCAACTACGAAACATTTTGTTACCATAGAATGTTTATTTCATAGTTACAAATTGGACATATAATTTATATCCACAAATGTTGAATTTCCCAGTGCAATATCATTTGGGCTGTAGTCATCTACAATTTAAATATGGCAGAAAGCTTCTTGTGGGAATCCCTCATTGACATTGGAACTATCAGACTCAAGTATATGTGTTATCACGTTGCCTCTGAACTGATGTTAGTTTCTACTTTCTATGTATATATATTTTTTTTACCTCAGCAGTTACCCTTCTGAAAAAAATATATATATATCCTCTCCATGCACTAAGACACGCAATACTCTGATGAGTTGGAACACAGTACATATTTTAATACAACGGGTATTTTGGTCTTAAAGCAATTTTGTATTCCTCTGTAATAGAAACAGTTACTAAAAAACCCCAATAACAAGTTGTCAAACATTTTTTAAATGACATACACTTCGAAGTGACAACAACAAACTTATCCCAAATCCCAGTGGTTTTCACTGGATAAGAGTAAGAAGTTTTTGTGTGGTGGCCATATGTTTCAGACACTTCCAAAATTATTTGAGCATGGGAAGTGTTAATGTTGCGTTGTGTGTTTTTGAAGCTCTAAGACAGCTTGCTTTTAGAAAAAAGATAATCAAATTTGACTGTTTTCCTTTTAATTTTGTGAATAGGTGCTAGCAGTATTTCAAAATGTGGCATGAAAAACTAAATAATCCAATCAGTTAGTGCACCCCTTGATTGATTTTGGAGCTGACCTAGAGAGTAACTTAACTTTGGTTGTCTGAGTAATGTCTTTATGACCCTTGCTTAAGTGATGACAAAAAATTTTATCATTTTTTTCTGAGCTTTACCATATCTGGGTTAATTAGCTTTACTCTGGTGGTCACAGAATTGATAAGCATTTGTAATTATGACTTGGTCTTCAGATTAAGTTATCAACATTATATAACAAATAACAGTACTTTCCCACCGAATCAAATCTATATGTATTTATTTTCACTAGGTTGTGGTAATTAATTAACAGGAGAAATTAAATATTCTTGTAGGAACACAGTGAATGCATGTTGAAGCCCATCCCAAGTAAATGCAAATTGGCTTTCTCTTCTAACTAGAGTTGAAAAAGAAGGCAAGCGCCAAACCAATAAAGGTATGAAAATCTTAATCATTTAGTGGCATGTCTTGAATTTCTACCATATAGGGTATAGCTGATGCTTTTGGTGGAACCATTATACCAGTTGACTTTCAGAATTAATCCTTTATCTATGTTCCATAATGAATTATTAAACAAGTGATTTTAGGGTTCTAATATGCTTATATATAAAACAGACCTTTTGTTAATTTAAATATTTATATTCCTTATGAATCCTATATTGTTTCAAATTAAGCACTTGCATACATTTAGATGATTCTAAATGATTCAGTATGTATTGCCCAATTAAAATAGGTGAAAAACAGATTTGTATAACTTTCCTTTTCCTGTATTTTGGGTAAGTGAAAACTTTCCCATTCAGACAAAACATATATTCCAATAATACATTCTGGCAATTAGGAGGCAACAACAATAAAAAACTTTTGTTCATAAATTTCTACTGGAACCTGACTTTCACCTGCAAATCTCTTATAATTGCATCACCATATCCTAGTGTGAGAATGTAGTGAGAAGTCCCACACTAGATACTGGTGCCTCGATCTTGGACTTCTCAGACTCCACTGTGAGAGAATAAGTTTCTGTTCTTTATAAATTACTCAGTCTGTGATATTTTGTTATAGTACCACAAAATGGACTAAGACAATCAAAGACCAGCAATCCTAATAAATTTCTTTACCATACCCAGGCCGTTTTACCCATCCTTGAGTAAATTACCTTGAGTCTCCCACTGGGATTTACTAAGAGACATTAACACTTTTGTCATGCAGAGTCCTAATCCTCTCCTGTGTTAACTGGCACTCACTCTTATAGGATTATAGACTATAATTCTCTGTAATAACCATTTTTAAAAAAAATATTAAGTATTGGATAAATTAAGTGAATTTTTCATTGTCCTTTTCCAGACAAAGTAGTTGGTAGAGGAGCTAGACAATCTAATTTCTCATAGTGATCTGTGAAAATGTTAGTGGCTATTCCATCTATTTCCTCCTTTTTAAAATATTTGAATTGAGCTTATGAAGACTTCCACAGAGTTAAACTGTCTTCAGATTTTTCACCTTTTTTTCTTATTGCTCTCTTTCTTGGTATAATCCTGAAATTTCTCATATTATATTTCGCTCCATTCAGGGGCCTGAAGTTTATAGCAGCTTCCTACAGATCTAAGAATAAAGTCACATAAGGAACTCAAACAGTTAGAATCCGTCCTTTATTATGAGAGCATCAATCATTACCGGGTAAGAATCATAGAATTAGTGGAAGTCTTAATATTATACAGGAAGTAATTTTGCAGCTCTAGCAGCCTCTGGCTGCTTATCTGTCAGCATCAGTTGTACCAGAACACACTTTAAAAATCAATACCAAAAAGAATAACAAACACAACCATACTCAAACCCAGTCACACACACGTGCACACACACACAACATTGCGTTGTTCATGGACTTATTTTTTTAAGATATACATATATTTACACACACACACACACATACACATACACACACACACTCCCATATATATTTATGTAATGTAACACATTTAGATGTTCATCCAAATCTAGATCCATGAATTTTTGGTCTCATAATTTTCTGCCTGTCAGTGGATGCAGTACTTGTGCAGCTTAAGCCCAGAAATGACCAGTAAGTCAACCTAAGGACAATGATTTCTCTCTCCCTCACTTTTATTTCTCTCAAACCATGTCTTAGACATTGTTATTTACATTATATTGTCAGGAGTAGTTTAAAATATCCCATCTCATTGCCATAAATTTTGTAAGTTTGAATGTTTTAAAGGTCACACAAGTTGTACAGAGCATCCTTTCATAAGGCTTAATGTACAACCAGAGAAAAATAAAGTATAGAAAATAATCAGGGAATCCAAGGGAGCTCCAGGTGCAAGCTCCCAGCATCCTTATTGAAACAGAAGTGCTTTCTATCTTTGAATTCAACCACCCAGAGTTTTATAATAAATATTGCCTTCAGAAATATGCAGAAAAGCTCAATGCAAAATGTCTCTGTGAAGTTTTCATGATGTTCTGGTCACTTAGTTAAGCTAGGCTACATGTCAATTGAAAATCATCTGTAAAACATTAGACCTGAAGTTCCTGGTGGCCAAGGGCAATGCCCAATCAGGACAGGTTATGTCCTGGGATCGATATATATTTCATCTTGCTTAAAAATGAGAAGAATAGCTGTTATTTGTTTAGTGTTCCTTATGTGGCAGATATGATGTTAAGGGCTTTACACTTATCTCCACTTTTAGAAAAGTAACGATTAGTTTCGTTTTACAGATGATGACACTAAGGTTCAAAAACAGACTGGCAGAATCTTGCCCCAGGCCACCTAGCTAGTTAAGTGGCCCAGCTAGTTTTGATATCGTATGTGGCCCATTTGATCCCCAGTTCACCTGTAAGCACATGAAGCACATCCTAAGGATGCTTAGAAGAACATTACTGTGAACAAACATCAATCTGACACTGCAAGATTCTTGGTTCTCAAAGAAACATAAGATTATATTTAGCAAATTCTGCTTCTAAAATAGGAAAAGGGGTTCAAAGTCAATTGATGAGATACTAAACAAGGACTGACATGAAAAAGAACTTTTCAGGGCTCAAGAGTGACTGAGTATACAGAAATTTTCATTATACACTGTAAATTGAACTTAATTACATTTTAACTCCATATTTTAAAAATAACAAAAAAATTAATAAAATGTAAAAAGTAAATAGCCCTCAGAAGTTGAGAAGTCACCAGGGGAGGTTCAGACTTTAAAGGGCACGTCATAAATGCCTCCTGATATAAAGATAGAATTTTCCCAATTCACCTGTGAATTTACTCTATCTGCAACAAAAATACTTAAAAAAGCTATATTAAAACCAAAGACAATCTGTTTATCTGAACACAGTATAAAAGTGAATAAACAATCTGAATATAAATGATACTAGAAATAAAACTGAAACAGTGATAGTACTCATAATATAAATAGGATGCCTACAAATAAGAAAAATCTAAACAACCTAATTTGGATAAGAATAAGAAAAAAATGAATAGGTTGTTAATTCAAGAGGAATCTTGAATATCCAATAGGCAGATAAAAAGATGCTTTTGATCATCATTGGAAATACGTGAAATAAAAATAAAATAACTAATAACAATTTTCACTATTGGATAAAATTTAAAAGTTTGAGAGTAACAAACATTGTCAGGATTTGAAGACAACTAGAATTTTAAACACCTTTGGTATAAAGGTAGAAGTTGTTGTCACTAGTTTGGACCACAATGTGGCCTTTTCTAGTAAACTAAAAATATTTGTAATAGATTATTCTGCAATTCAACCACTGGACATATGCACTAGAGCAGAATTTTTCAAAATTTAATGGTGACTTACAATAACAAAGATATTTGATATTGTGACATTATAAATACATATTTTTAAATATTTGTGTCCATGCACATATAAGCAAAAGAATAAAATTATTTATTATAATATTTATATGTATATAAACAAAAGTTAAATGAAACAATATTTACCCCAACGATTTGAGATGAACAATGAAACAAATGCATTCTGTTTAATTCTTCCTGTTTCTTTCTGTTGTGGCTGAGAAAACATTACCCCAAAGTATGGCACTTTGGCATGCTGAGTACTTTGAGCTGAAGGATATTGGAAAGACCTCAGAAACAAAGTCTACTTCTGACCTTTCTTGGCCTTCATTCTCCTACTTTGTTTTCTCTCTTGAGGCAGGCCATAAAATCTGGAATTCCTCTTCCCAAAGGCTGGTCATACAAGCCAAAAATATTACTCTAAATTTCCTCCACTGTTTTGTGTAGAAGCCGGCCATAAAGAAATTATCTGACCTACTTTGTCTGATCGTATCATAGAACCCTCATTCCAAAAGGGTTCTTGCCCTATTCCCAGGAAGAAGGAATACCACACAGAATGACCAAGAAGAATCTGAACAGACAGGCCTTGCTGTGTTTAGCCAATCAGTCTATGACCATTAGTTTCACTCCCTTTTTGACACATTTCTACATGGCTGTCCATTTTTATTGAACCTAAGCATAACAATAGACATTTTTCCCTAAGTCTTTAGGTCTTCATTCTGGTCTCTGTGTCACATAAAATTTTATTAAATACGTCTGTTATACATTCCTCTTGTTAACCTGTCTTCTGTTGTAAGAGTATCGGCTGTAACCTCTATGATGAGAATAGTTATGACATACTTTCCACTTCTACAGTTCTGATCTATCACATTACACTCACAAATAGAGGCCATAACTCTCTGAAATACCTTTATGATACTGAAGTGCTGTGACTCACAGACTGAAAATGCTGTTCTCTACATGTGAATAGGGTCTTTTCTTCTTGTACATGTGTAACAAGAGATACATACAAGAATACTTGAATGAATACTGGTGGTTATTCTAAAGTGGGAAAGAATAATATACTCTACAGTAATGAATATAAACTGGAATTAAACATTATATAACAATAGGTATGAATTTCACATGCATAATATTCAGCAAAAAAGTTGCAGAAGTAAATAGAAAATGTAATTCCATTTATAATTACAAACACATGAAACAAATTATTAATATTTGTGTGTGCATTAAAGAGAGACAGAGATATAGAAAGAGCTGTATACAATTTTAAAAAGAGGGCTAGACACAATATTTGATACATTGGTTGTTATTGGCTGCCATCACATAAAGGGCGTATAGGTGGTTTAGAAGGCAAGGTATTCTCTTGTTAAATTTTGATGTAATCAATATATTGATGTGACTTTTAACTTTACTTTTTACATGTGATTTATATATTTAATGTTTTAGATTTAATATTGAATAATTTTAAATATATAATAATTATAAATATATAATTTTAGATAGAGATATATAATTTTTTAGATATAAGTAATAAAAGACCTAAAAGGAGATGTTTCTACTTAGTGGAATATCATATGCTAAGTACACAGTATTCTCTTCACTCTGAATATTAAAAGTATCTTGGCCTCAACATTATAACGGCGGCCAGGTGCAGAGGCCGGGGTGAGCTTTTTGTGCTCCTGCCCTGTGGTAGTGTCTAGGGGTGTGTGCCTGCAACCCCAATGTTACAATGCTCTTAGCCTCGCTATCCACAGAAGACTTTAAGTGTCAACCAGCTCAATGAACCCTCTGACTTTTTGCAAGGGCAGAAGGCGAGCGTGACAGCTTTCTGTATCCAAAGTTCTTGTCCAGCATCCCTGAAGAATCTGGTCACACATGGACTTGAAGGATAAATGCAAGGTTTTATTGAGTGGTAGAGGTGGCTCTCAGTGGGATCGATGGGGAGCCGGAAGGGGGAGATGAAGTGGAAAGATGATCTAGGCTGTCCAGCAGCCAAACCCCTCTTCAACCACAGCAACCCAAACTCCTCTTCATGTTCAGACATTCCTCCTCTTCTCTCTTTTTCTGCCGTGTTGTTCTGCCATTCGTCTGCTTGTCTCATGCTAGTCTGCTTCTGGAGCCTGGGGTTTGGGGTTTATATGGATACAGGATAGGGGGCATATTGGGCCAAAAGGCAACTTTTTGGGCACAAAAACAGGAATGTCTGTCCTCACTTAGGGCTTTGTGTCTTCAGGCTTGAGGGTGGGGCTTTTGCCAGGGAACTGCTGTCTTCAACCAGTGATTCCCTGTCTCCTATCCATATCACTTTTCCTTTTTATTTATCTTTATGTGGATTTACCTATTTCAGTTCTACCTCATCCTGCCTCCTGAAGTACTGGAACCCTATAATTCCTGCTCCTGTCTGGAGTTCTTCAGGGTGAATTGTCTTGATTCATAAGGCATCCATGGTAGCCAGAATTCAGATTTCATCTTTTTCTGCTCTTCTAGATGAGTTATGGATTATTTCTTCTAGTTTTATCCTTCAAAAACTGTATTGATATTTCTCATCAGCTATTGTGTCCTTCAATACTCTGTGCTTTATGGTGAAATTCAGGGAAAAAAAGAAGATACATGTATTAGCTTTTCTGTTTAACTAGGCATTTGTACATATTACTCCATATTACTGTTATCCATGAGCTATAACTCTGAAGACCACAAAAATGCCGCAGTGACTTTTAGTACTACACAGAATGATATCACATAATAAATTTTAGTTTTTCTGTCTTGATGTAAGAGTTATAAGAAAGAATGAAGATTCTAGAAGTCTTTATTTATTTAAATATTGAGTTATCCTATTAAATACCAGTGTGTGGTACTCACTGGCTGAAATTCTAACACCAAGCAATATTGTTGGAAGTAAAGCCTTTAAAATAAATTTCCTCTTTATTTGTTTATTTATTTATTTATTTTACTTATTTTTGTTTGAGATGGAGTCTGGCTGTGTCGCCTAGGCTGGAGTGCAGTGGCACGATCTCGGCTTACTGCCACCCCTGCCTCCCTGGTTCAAGAGATTCTCCTACCTCATCCTCCCAGTTAGCTGGGACTACAGGTGCACACCATTACACCCAGCCAATTTTTGTATTTTTAGTAGAGACAGAGTTTCACTCTGTTGGCCAGGCTGGTCGCGAACTCTTGACCTGCCTTGGTCCCAAAGTGCTGGGATTACAGGCATGAGCCAAAACACCTGGCTGAATTTTCTCTTTATAATGGGAGAAGTTTTTAAATTTTTTTTCTTTTTCATTCTAAAGGGATGTAAGGCATTCACTGATACATCACTGCTTAAGAAGAAATGCTGCACTTGGGGGTTTAATTGAATCACTGTGACATATTCAAGTTGCCATATTTACAACCAATAACATTCACATTTTTTATTCTGAAAGTAACATAAAAACCTCCCTGGCTGCTCTATATTCAAGCAGAAAATCAGTTATTTGAATATCACAAAAAGTACACTATGACTATTCATATTAATTACAGCTGAATATCCTGTTACTGACTATAAACAATTTAAATTATAATTAAAAATGAATTTATTTAAAACTACAGTTTATATGAAAATGGACTCCTGTAATTAATGGCCTTGGAAAAAATTAAAAACTCATCTTTCTGAGAATAAATTGATATATAAGATTACTTTTTAGGGGAGGTTTACCAAAAGTCCTTTACTATTTAATTACTGGGACATTAGGGTATTTATTTTACATGGAATTACTATAACTACCCTATTCTAGTACTAAAACTGACATAAAATGTTTGATCAGAGCTATGAAACATTATAAATAATTAACAGAACATATTAACTTATTTTTGGTTTTTAACTGCTTACACTGATGTCAACACTATCCAAAGTCATCACATAATCAGTGTTCTGTGAAATAAAGTCAAATGCATCATTAAGTGTGTTGATCAGCAATTCTTAGTGTGAACTGAGAGCAGTTTTACAGGAGAAAGACCAGCTGCTTTCTCAGAGAGAGAGAGACAGAGAGTGAAAGAGAGAGACAAAGAGAGATTGAGAGTGAAAGAGAGAGAGAGAACAAAGCAGGTCTACTTATTGAACATATGGCAATCCCAGGAGGATCCTAAAAACATAAATTAATATGTAAATACCCTAGTGCTTATAAATATTCTAATAAAATGAGCTTTTGCATAGTACATATATAATGTTAATTTTAGATCAAAGATGATTCGTGATAACCCAATGAATTCATTAGTATACTGTCATCCTCAGAGTCTCACCTTGTTATAGGCTTGCTTCTTGAAGTTAATCACCCAAGATTTACTAGCTTGAAATTCTTCTCCTCATTTACATCAGCCTTTTGAATTCTCACTTGAGAGGTGATATTTTACTCTCATTTCTGTGTCAATCTGGAAGTTTTTCTGAAGCAAATTAAATTAAAATTACAAAGCCTTATTGAATAAAATAATTTATGGTGTATTAATTAGTTTCCAATTAATATTAAACTGTGTTTATCTTTTGCAAATATTAATTATAATTGAGCACTTTGTTCCCCAGGATTTTAAAAATCAAAATTATCCCTGTACTTTTAAAATCAGAACAAGAAAGAGAAATGTTAACAATATATTACTGTATGAAATCAAATTTTACCTATGGGAGAAAAATTGTGTTGATGACCTTTGTGAATCGGCTATATCTAACATTAAAATAATTTTTGGAATTTAAATGTAGTGTTCCATCCACTGAAATTATATCATATGTTGATGTTCAAACTTGTTTCAAATGTCAACCTTAATTGGTACTTTGTCTGGCAAAGACAATGTTGGGCATTGGCATTCACACAACCATTTTCTTTTTCCCCTCACCATACAGAGAACTACGTTTTCTACACTTCGTGACTCTCTGGCAGGACCATGTGACAGAGTTCTGAACATTTGAATGTGGATATACATGATATATGACTATTCTAAGCTCTAAAATCTCCATGGAATTATTTATGACAGATAATAATGGATTTAGATCATAATCTCAAAAAACACAATCCCAAACCCTGTAATTCCAAATGTTGAAATAATGAATTATCAAAATTCATTAAGTCTAAATCCCTAATGTCTAAAATCCCCAAAAGCATAATCATAGGATAGTTGTATCGTGGAACTATTACCTTGTTATTGTCTTTATTTAGAAATTAAGTATGGCTTAAGGAGATGTATATGGATTCCTAATTGACAAGGAGTAGATTTGTGACCTTAATTTTAAGTGTCAGCTTGACTAGATTAAGGAATACCCAGAAAAATGGTAATGCATTATTTTGGACTTGTCTGTGAGAATGTTCCAGAGGAGATTAGTGAGTGAGTCCGAGTGGGCAAGGCGAGGAAAACCTGCCCTCAATATTGGTGGAAACCATTTAATCAGCTGGGGAACCAGAGAGAGCAGGTACAGAAAGGCAACTGGTCCCTCTCTGACAACTAGGGTAGACTTTTCTTTTGCTGCTTTGAACATCAGAACTCCAAGATTTTCAGCATTTGTACTCCAAGACTTACACCAGAGGTCCCCAGGTCCTGAGGCTTACAGCCTCAGTCTGAGAGTTACATCATCTGCTTCTCTGGTTTTCATGTAAAAACATTGACATTTCCTTAGTAAATGATAATATGTTCTTTTTGTACACCTGGATTGGTGAAATTTCTCGAGCTCTCAACTCTTTGGGTTACTGCATACGCAGTGGTGACCCATTGTGATTTTTATTCCATCTTCTCAAAAATTTAGGTTGTTCATAACAGTATTTTAGATGATGAGTTGTTGAGTGTACATTACTACCAACCATACTGATTTGTGCTTATACATTTTGGTCTTGACCTATTTCTCTATGAATACGTTTCATCTGCTTATAACTTGTATATACATGTGATTGTCGTTAGTATAATTAGTGTTTATGCTTGCAAAAATACTTATATCATTATTGCCTATATTATTGTTAAAATTGGCCTATGAAATGTTGTCATAGTTTTATGTTTGTCAAATAAATTTGCTTTTAAAAATACAAATAAATATTTATAAAATAATTTTGAAACTATTTTTTCAAGAATTATATTTTTCAGATTTTGATTTTTTTTAGGATTGTGATTTTTGAGTTTATTTAGACTTTGAGGATGTTGATATTCTTATGTTTCAACATTGGAGATTATGGCGTATGGTGTTTGCAGCTGTGTCTTTCAGGATTATTATTGGCTTGTGATGATAGCAGGGAAACTGATACAGTTTGGAAGTGTGTCGCCTCCAAATCTCATGTGAAAGGCGAAACCAGTGTTGGAGGTTGGCCTTGTGGGAGGTGTTTGGGTCATGGGGCAAATCCCGCATGAATGGCTTGGGACCCTCCTCACAGTAATGAGTTTTGACTCTTTCAGTTACTAAAAAATTTGATTGTTAAAAGAGCCTGGTACCTCTTCCTCTCCCTCTTGCTGTGTGATGTGTCTGCTTCCCCTTCACTTTCTGCTATGAGTAAATGCTTCCTGAGGCCTCACCAGAAGCTGACCAGTTGCTGGTGTCATGCTTAATAAACTGCACTACCATGAGCCAAATAAACCTCTTTATTTTGTAAATTACTCAGTACTTGGTATTCCTTTATAGTAATGCAGAACATAATACAGTAACCTTAAAGCCAAGTGATGATAATGACAGATTGAAGGCTGGCAGAGATCTTGTGAATAGCTGCTTATGGAAGAGCACTCTTTTTGTATTCCCCACTAACCACCCACAAACTCCAATGTGTGGTGAGCTTAGTAAGTGATAAATGTTCATCGTACAAAGAACCTTGAAATGTCTGGCTTTAACAGGTAGAATAGCTACCATTAAATACTATAATATGAGGTTTCTAATTAGAACATATGCAGATGGTAGTTTGCTGAATTATAGTATAATTGATTGGCAATACAAAAATATTAGTAATAATAATAGTAATAAATTTGTGGATAACTTTAACCTTTGCTTGAAATTTATTAGAAATTTCTGAAATAGGCAGGATATATTTTTATTTAATCAATAGAAAAATTAAAGTGCAAGACAACATTTTACAATATAGCAAAAATACTATCATACTATCAGAACTTAGTGGCATTAATATATTTATATATTTTATATCTAGTGGCATATATATAGTCACTAAGTTCTGATAGTATAATAGTATTTTTAATATGTAAATAATAAAATATAAATATATTAAATGCTCTATATACATTATTATATAGAGTATTTAATATTGCATTTAATATAGTTTTCTAAACAAATGATAATATATGTAATTGTCCTTCAGACTATCGAAGTCTTTGTACATATTATCTATTTTTTCTGGTATTCATTTCCTATCAACTTGGTCTGTGAATATTGTAATCATCATTCACAGTTAACATCAATTATCATTTACTTTTTTGCTACTTCTAGTCAGAGACCCCTTGTCCTTTCATGGTCTTGTCCATATTTTTTAAATTAATTAATTAATTAATTATTATTATACTTTAAGTTTTATGGTACATGTGCGCAATGTGCAGGTTAGTTACATATGTATACATGTGCCATGCTGGTGCGCTGCACCCACTAACTCGTCATCTAGCATTAGGTATATCTCCCAATGCTATCCCTCCCCCCTCCCCCCACCCCACAACAGTCCCCAGAGTGTGATGTTCCCCTTCCTGTGTCCATGTGTTCTCATTGTTCAATTCCCACCTATGAGTGAGAATATGTGGTGTTTGGTTTTTGTTCTTGCGATAGTTTACTGAGAATGATGATTTCCAATTTCATCCATGTCCCTACAAAGGACATGAACTCATCATTTTTTATGGCTGCATAGTATTCCGTGGTGTATATGTGCCACATTTTCTTAATCCAGTCTATCATTGTTGGACATTTGGGTTGGTTCCAAGTCTTTGCTATTGTGAATAATGCCGCAATAAACATACGTGTGCATGTGTCTTTATAGCAGCATGATTTATAGTCCTTTGGGTGTATACCCAGTAATGGGATGGCTGGGTCAAATGGTATTTCTAGTTCTAGATCCCTGAGGAATCGCCACACTGACTTCCACAATGGTTGAACTAGTTTACAGTCCCATCAACAGTGTAAAAGTGTTCCTATTTCTCCACATCCTCTCCAGCACCTGTTGTTTCCTGGCTTTTTAATGATCGCCATTCTAACTGGTGTGAAATGGTATCTCATTGTGGTTTTGGTCTTATCCGTATTTTTCTATTTGAAACATTAGATAAAAATGCCACTTTTTCCTAATGATTTTTTTATTTAACTCTTTCTTTTTAAATTGTTCAAGGGAGAGCTTAAGTATCCAGGTATTCCAACTCAATAATGGGATATTGACTTGTGAAACTTTTATTAAATACTGATAACCTTGTCATGTATTGATAAAAGAGAAAATGAATAGTTGATCTAAAGGCTAATACTACACATAGGGTGACTCCGCTCATGTTAGAATATAAATTTAAAGTGAGAAAGGTAGAAACTGACTTGGATACTTATTTACAAATTATTTTAAAGTATTTATTATATTATGTCTTATTTCTCAATCATTGTTACTTAATATTAGTTTTTACAACATATCATTGTAAAATTAAATGTACTTCATTACCCCTAAACTTGTGTAATTTTTACATTTTATTTCATCCTTCTTTATCCTAATATGTCCCTGTGACATTAAGTGGGCATATAATATAGATCTAATTTTAATGAAGTATGTATTCCTTTTCCTTCCTCTTCCACAATTAATAGAGTTATATTTCCCTAAGAGTCTTACAACTTTTACAAGTATGTTGCTTAAAATGTCAGATACAAAATGGATCACTAGGAAATGTAATAGGTGTCAGTTATAAAGCTGTAAGACAAAATTCAAATTTTCAGTTGCTAATACCAATAATCTTTATTTTAGTGAATCAAATCAATGACAAATATAATTTTCCAAAAGTGAAAATTATGTTTAAAAAAGTTTGAATAGCATTTCAAACTATCTGGGTTGAAGGATCAGGAGTTTTGTTTTGTTTTTTTCTTTTTCCTTGCAAAATAGTATTACAATATAAACAAATTATTTAAAAAATTTGATAAAATTAACAAATGAAAAATAAAATCCCAACTTTTAAAATACTAACTTGAAGAAATAAGCTATACTTTAAAAATATAGAGAAATGCAGTGAATGTGCTGTGTTCACTTGAGAAGAATGTTGCATTCTGCTGTTGTTTGGTAGATTATCCTATAAATATATTAGTCTTATTCAGGCCATCTATATCCTTATGCTTTTCTGCCTGTATGTTCTTTTTTTTCAATTACTCAGTGAGGAGTGTTGAAATCTAAATGTATATTATATTGTGGATTTATATATTTCTATTTTCAAATGTATTTTTTAACAAAGTATGGATATTTTTCTTTTAGCACATTGAAAATGTCACTGCACTGTTTTTTGCTGGTGTGAGTTCTGCTAAGAATTCTGCTGTAATACTTATCTTTGATTGTATTGGGTATTTTGTCACTAATATTGAAAAATCCTTTGCCATTATTTCTTCAAAATTTCTTTTGCTCCTTTCTCTTTTCCCCCTTTTTCTGGGATTCTGATTATGAATGTTTGGCATTGTCTCATGTATCTTGTATGATTTTACCTGTTATTTAATTCTTTTTTTCCCTTTGTTTTTGTTTGACTTTCTACTGACCTGTCTTCACATTAACTGATTCTTTTATTTGCTGTGTTGAGATTACTGGTGAACCTGTCAGAGGCATTCTTTTTATTTCTACAACTTCTATTTGTTATATTTTAATGTTTCCATCTATCTATTAAAATATACATTTTATATTGCTTGTAATGCTTTTCCATTAAAGCCTGTATTAGATTGGTCATATTTATTTTAAATTTACTGTCTGTACCAACATCTGTGTCACATTATAGTGTTTTTCTGAGGACTGTTTTTCATCTTCAGACTGTTTCTTTCTTTTTGTTTTTTTGCATGCCTTATAATTTTTGTATTTGCATGCCTTGTAATTTTTGTATTGAATTCTCAACATGTTATATAGCACAGAATATACTGAGTCACATATTTGTTGTAGTTAGGGATGAGCACATCTTTCCTTTCTCTGAGTCTTTAGTTTGAGATTTTGCATTAGTCTGGTAAGGAATAGGGCTGAGTTTGAGATTTATCTTTTCTCTAGTTACCCTCCATGAAGTTGAAGGCTCAAACCCTTCAGAAATTCCTTTCATGTATTGTATGGGCCCATTTGCAAGACATAGTTTCTCAGTATCTACTCCACACTTGGCTTTAGGCCCCATGCTTTACTTTACATCTTCCCTTTGTACTGCTTCCCAGAAAGAATCTATTTCCTGCAGCTCTCCATATTATACTCCATTATTATTTTTATTTTACACCTTTTATTGTGGTCATGGAGAGCTGGGGAAGACAAATGTTTTCTGATGTTTTAACTAAGCCTCTTTCTTACATAGGCACTGCAAATTTAGGCCCATTCACATCACTCACATTTAATGTGATTATTTTTATAATTGAATTAAAATATACCATATTGCTGTTTTCTATTTGTTTGTTTGGTTATTTTTTCCTATTGTTTTTCAGCTTCTTTTCTTATTTGTTAATTGTTTTTTATTTCTTCTCACTTTTTATTATTATTTAATTCTTTAGTGGTTATCCTATTTTTACAAGACAGATTTTTAATTAAAAATATTATATCCTCAAGTAATATTTTACTACTTCATGTATAGTGGAAGGACTTTCAGTTGTAGATTATATTTTCTATTTCTCTCTCCCAATTTTTGTATTATTTTTGTTATGACATTACTTTTTATCTACTTTATACAATATATTACTATTATTTTAGCTTTACATGGTTAACTATAAGTAATTAAAAGTGAAAAAAATTATCTTTCCAACATTCTTCTTTGATTTAATGGATTTATATTTCTGTCTAATCTGATATTTCTCTACTGGAAGAAATTTATTGAATAATTTTTACAGCGTGGTGTTTTTTGTCTGAGAAAGACTTTGTCTCTCTTTCAATTTTGAGACATACTTTGTAGATCAAAGTCCATTGTGTTTTGGGATTGCATGATTTTTTATTGTTAGTTTTATTTCTATGTATTTAATATAGATATCTTCAAGATTTCCCATTTATCTTTTGTCTTCGGGTGCTTAAATATTATGGGCCTTATTTTTCTTTTGTTGCTGTTACTTAATTTGGTTTGGTTTGACATTTCTTCTGCTTGGTGTTCTCTGAGCTTCTTGAATTTATGGATCTCTATTTATCAATAATTGCAGAAATTTCTCAATCATCAGTCTTAAATATTTCTCTTGTTCTATATTACCTCTCTTTTCCTCTGGCATTCCATGGGTCCTGTTTCATAAGATCATTTGATATTTTTTCTCAGCGATCTGATGTTATTTCTGTAATTTCCATTGACATATTCAAAGTCACTGGTTACATCTTCAGTTGTGTCAAGTTTATGCATTAGTCCATTGCTGATATTATTTATATCTATTATGTGTTTTTTATTTCTAGAATTTTATTTTGATTTTTTAGATTGTTTCCTTTTCTCTGCTGGAATTATCCATCTCATTTTGCATATTGTCCAACTTTCATAGTAGAGAATCTACTTTTCCGTGGCCCTGAACCATGTAACACTGCAATGGTGTCAGTTTATTTAATCAACTACAATCCAAACAAGTCTATAAAATGCTATCAGATTATACTTGACTATAGTAATTACCCACAGATTAAAATATTTATAGATAGTTCCCCATGAATATAGGATAAAGTCCCAGATAATTTATCCAGATGTAAATCGTTCTATATATTTCCATTTTCTATGTATCAAATACTATCGTGCTCTCCTGCATAAACTTTGTATTTTATTAAATTGATCTAATAAATATTCTCCACTCTCTGCATATTTTCTGTCTACAGGCCTTCATCTACAGGTCTTCTGTCTACAGGCTTTCATTCTAAATTATTAGAATAGTTTTATGTTCTTCTTTAATATTCAATGTCCATCTTATGTCTGACCTCTCTATGAACTCAGCCCATCTCAACAGTCCATCACTAAAGTTTAACCTTCAGAAGAATTTATTATCTCTCAAAGGTATACCATTGGGCCATGTATATCTTGCCTCCTTATGACTTATAGTTTTGGTATATTCAGTGATGAAAATAATATTCATTTGATGATAGTGCTTACAATGGTGTTGATAAAGATGATGAAGATGATTGTGATGACAACAGAAACCTTTAAATTGTTCTTTGCAGATATGTTTGTTCACATATACATGTCATATCAGAGTCCAATGAGACAAGTTGCTTATTATGATTTATTTTCTCCAGACAGCTGATGAATTTTATGTCACACAGGAGGTTAAAATCCTAATTTTATCTAAAATTATAAATCAATTTGATTGTTAAACTGAAGAGACAAAATAAGAGAAAAAAAAGAATGTCTAACACTATAGCATTGGTAGTATAAAAATCTCTGTATCCCAACATTTAATTTTAATCTTCTTTGATATCTAATTACATCTACAAAATGTTGTGACCTATGCCATTATATTTATTCCAAATGCCAGTGAAGGTTTCTAGTCAACTAAACTGTATATTTTTGCATATAGAGATCTGTATATTCATGATCACTTAAAGTTTTAAATCTATAAGTGCTGAATTAAAAAGATTCAAAGGGCCAGGCGCGGTGGCTCATGTCTGTAATCCCAGCATTTTGGGAGGCCAAGGCGGGTGGATCACCTGAGGTCATGAGTTCTAGACCAGCCTGACCAACATGGTGAAACCCTGTCTCTCCTAAAAATACAAAAAATTAGCCGGGCATGGTGGCACATGACTGTAATCCCAGCACTCGGGAGGCCAAGGCAGGAGAATCACTTGAACCTGGAAGGCGGAGGTTGTTGTGAGCTGAGATTGCGCCATTGCACTCCAGCCTGGATAACAAGAGTGAAACTCCATCTCAAAAAAAAAAAAAAAAAAAGAAGAAGAGAAGATTCAGAAATAGTTAAGGAAATATTTTGTATGCTTCTATGATTGTAGAAGCTTTTCCTAAAAATAAATCAAGAGGGAACATGCAGAAATAATTATAATACCACAATAATAGAATTGGAAATAGTGGAAACTTGCATTTCCATTGCACTACACATTATTTAAAGCAATTATATAAACATTACACAGTGTAATTCATTATGTATTAATACACTAGATTTTATCCTCTCAGCAACGTTTGGAGCAAAAATGATATTGTACATTCTTGGTCCCCTGGTATATGTTAATTGCTCTAAGCAAGGGGTTGAATCATGGTCTCTTAAAATAAATTCGGTATTATATTAGAAATTGTTCTAATTTCAAAAATGTCTCATTTTAATAGAAATTCCTGTTTGATATAAAATCAACATTGAACTTTAGAACTAATTTGAGATTATCAAAATGTATTTTGCTCTTTTGATACAAAGTTAAAAATGGCTTGAAAGACAACAGTGAGGTGAAATTATCCTAATGGGTAGAGACTTTAGCATATGGTTAACTGCATAATGATGGGATTGGAAAAAATAATATTTGAAAATTAGACACCAAGAGGTGGGAAGAAGCAGACTGCTGTATTAGTTTGTTTTCACGCTGCTGATAAAGACATACCCAAGAGTGGGTAATTTATGAAGAAAAGGAAGTTTAATGGATTCACAGTTCCACATGGCTGGGGAGGCCTCACAATCGTGGTGAAAGGCAAAAGGCACTTCTTACATGTGGCAGACAAGATAGAATGAAAACTGAGTGAAAGGGGTTTCCCCTTATAAAACAATCAGATCTCGTGAAACTTATTCACTACCACGAGAACAGTCTGGGGGAAGCACCCCCATGATTCAAATATCTCCCACCGGGTCTCTCCCACAACACATGAGAATTATGGGAGCTACAATTCAAGATGAGATTTGGGTGGGGACACAGCTAAACCATATCAGATGTATATTTAAGAATGTGCACAGAGTTTGAAGATCTTTGACTCTCTCATGAATACCAAGCCAAGGAGTCTCAAAGCAACCTTGTGACAGGATGTCTTTTTCAGTGGAAATAAAAAAACCTCTCATCTCAAAGTGGGTTCATAAACTTATAAGCCATGAAAGAAGGGACGGAAGCTATACAAGGTCCCAATAGCATAGGTGAAAACAATTTAAGAAGGATAGTAGAGAGAGTGGTCATTAATTTTAATTATGACATTTAGACTAACTATAGCAGTGAGTACTGTATCTTGTGCTATTAACTGTCCTTTGTGCTTTGGGAAGTCTTTTTCATGCTTTTTTTTCTTTTTAATAATTATAACTAATCGCCAACTTTGAGAATTATTGAGAGTTCATAATGGACCAAATATGTTGTGCAAATGGATCTGAATTGTATAAATCATAATCATAGGAAACACTGTGTGTGTCCCACTTACATCCCTTTGACCTAATCTGAAGGTCACCTGCAGAGTTACCATAAAGCTCTCTGTGTCTCTGCCTGAGAGCAATTTCTAGCTACTATTGTCAATTTGAACCATGCATAGCAGGTCAACATTTTTAGAAAGTTGATATTCCTTGAGAATCTTTCAAATAATGAAGTAGCTGCTAAACAACTATCCCACTCTGTTCCCTCAGAGGGACAGCTCTAAGTTACATTCTATATAGTCTCAGAAAAATCAAGTCCCAGTTACCCTCAAGTGGAAAATGTTCACTAATGTTCCCTTTATTGATTTCTATCCCTTCCCTCTATCACTTTCCCTTGACCTTACCATGCTACCCAAGATCCTCTTTCTAACAAATTACTTATACTCAAATTAATAAATCAAGGTCTTCTTCTAGGGAAATAAAAAATAAAATATTTATTTTGGTCACTTAGCAGGAGTGATGCCTGCCTGAGAACTTTATTAAGTTTATTAAAATTGCTTAGTAGTCAACCTTCTTGCTAAAGTAATAAAAATGTGTTGAGTGTGATCTGTGAACCAAGAAAGGATTGATAGAGATAATCTGGACTGGGAAATCCATTACAGACATTTTTTTGGTTACACTGAACAGAACAAACTAGATCCAAGTCATTTTTCTGGTTACACTGAACAGAGCAAACTAGATCCACAACAGTTCTCCCTAAAGATTATCACCTGGAAAATGGTGAAACTCTCAATGTATTGCAGTATTAATATTTTTATTCTATTCAGTAAAAAATGATGCTGGAAAAAGTTTAGCAACTTTCCCTTGTTTGTCTACTGAGCGCTGACTTTCAACCTCAGTCTTATCTAATGTCAAATTTCCTGGAGTTCTAGAAAGAGTCTTTTTTTTTTATTTATATCATTGTAAACATTTCATGAAAATAATTTTTAGTTACAATGTCATTTTCAGCACAAGAAGCCAAAGAGTAGTTTACCTTGGTTAGGCATATATGTTTTCTCTTCCATTCATGAAAATTCTTATTATACTCACAGAGGAAATGGAGTTTCTAATGATAAATAAATAGCTATGTTAACACTAATTAATTGATTGGGAGCTTAGGAAATGCTAACGTTTAATAAGGCTTTATTGACAAAGTGAATTTTGAATTTCATTTTATAGATCCTTTAGTAATAATAAGAAAAGAGGTAAATACTAGGCAAAACTATAGCAACTTTAAGAAATATCATTAATTCCTATTTTATCCTTGTGCTTTATTCTTTAAATTTCCCCGATATTATTACATATGTGGTTATATTTTTCTTATGTTTTATTGATTACCTGTAAAATGCCACAGTTATTTTGGAAAGTAAAAAAAATACATAAATAAATAAATACTTTTTGCTCTCTAAATATATAACATTTCTTATTTACTCTTCCTGGAAGAAGTATACCATAGGGGTAAGATTTAAAATTTAAATGTGTCATTTATGTCAGAATACCATTACTATTCATGTACTTTTTCCACATGATAATCCTAAAGGAATTAATTTGTTAAAATAAGATATAACAGTTCACATTTTAAAATTCATAACTTTATTGAAAACATCATGCCATTTAAAAAGCTGAGCTTGCTATGAAATTAGTCACCGTATTTAGTATTCTGCTGCAGATAAAATATTTTTATTTAAGCTCCTGTGAGATTCGCTCAAAGATTTGAGAAGTGAATTTAGTTCCTACTGATAGAAAACAAAGTGAAATCTACTAACCATGATTCACAAAGGCTAGAAAAGAGTTTTTAGAAGGCATTATAAAAAGTTTTCTGTTTTCAAGTTATCTCACTTTTATCCTTCTCTAAGTCTCATACACCTGTTTGACTTTTCCTAAAAAGTTTTCAGTCTTACAACTTTAAAATTAGTTAAGGATAAATAAAGGGGAAAAAAACGACTTGATACACTTAAATTAAGGAAAATGTCAATGGGATATAGGAGGAGATATTAAAAAAAAGACAAGGAAATCAATTTTTAAAACAATTTTCAAATATATAATCAGAACTGATATTTTAGAACCTAATTCTCTGAAAATTTTAGTTTTATATCATTTTTGGTAGAATTTATATTTAAGTAATATACAGGTTTATCACTGCTGTGTTAGAACAATGCATATTCCAACTTTTGTTCACTAACTTTTTAAATGTTTCCATCAACAGTATTTGTAAGTGTCTTTAGGATAATTGCTTATTTGCTAGCTTCTGACATCACTAAATTAGAAAAAAATTTGTCCACTTATAATCTATGTTTCTGGTAATTGCCAAGTTTTAAGCCACATGTGTTTAATAGGAAAAATCAGAGTTTAAATATACTATAATTTTATTTCTAAAGAGGGTCTTAATATAAAGAGGGTGTTGAGAATGGTGAGTTAGAATGAAATAAATGATAAATATAAAGAGGGTCATGAGAATGGTCAGTTAGAAGGAAAAGAAGCATGTGAGGTAATAATGTTATTTCATGACATAAGGAATGGTATTTGGCTAAGAATGAAACTCTTCTAATTAAGTAATGGAAGTTGACAGGCCCAGTTGGCTGTATATAATAGAAAAATGGCAAGAAAAAATACTGTAAGGCGAGCCACAGTAGCTAAAGATAAAAGATCATTAAATATGCAGCATTAACATAGAATTTTTAAACTGTCAGTTAAAGAGGTTATAAAAATGACCAAGACATAGATCCAAGACAAAGAACTGTGTAAGAAATACTATATAAATTATTCAATTATCAGGAAATACAAAAAGATCCAATATCCTCTCCTGGTCCATTTAACATAACCAACACCTCCTAGTCTAACTGTAGGACCCCTCTTCCTACAAGATGACGCATTGTATGTTACATGCAGGGGTGGCAAAATACATATTCTGTCCAAATACACCTACTCTAAAATTGTAACTATGGATGGGAATTTTCTGGACACAGCAAGAACCTGGGATATTAGGATAAAACATTATAAAACCTTGTCTCAATTTCTCAGCTCAGTGGTGACTTATGAATACTATCCACACTGGTAATATTTTATTTCATTTTCACCTTCTCATCTCTATTTTTTTCCCTTACAATAAACGTTTTCCTTCTTATTGGTATAAACGCCATCTATCAATAAAGTAAAAGATACTTGGTATTTATTACATGCCTCATGTTTATAAAACAAATGTGTCATTTATAAGCAGGATGTGTATGCACCTGTAACAGTGATTTTTAGAATGCATTAGTAACACTGTTCTCACTACATCTTCCCTATGTGTCCTCCCCAATACTTTAAATTCAGAAGGAAGAGAATACCTTGATGAAAAATATATTAAAATGCAATGTTCAACGGGATAAACAACTTAATTGTGCTTCTGTCCCCATTCCTTGACTTGATCAAAGTTTGTTCCATCAGGATTACTTAATATTTGTTAAATAATTAAGCTACTTTATAATTTAACATCCCATCTATTTTTTACACATTTATTCATTTGCCCAGTTTTCCTCCCACTTCAAATGTGACTTTCAAAGGTTTCTGCTCCTTTTCTATGCAATTTCTTAATTTTGGAAAACTTCAGGGTTCAGCTTTAAATCCTCTTCTCTTTTTACTGCAGTTCTCACGCCACTCAAGAGATTTATCTAAACATATGGTCTAAAAACACTCTTATTTGCCAAATATTTCTAAGTGTTTATTTCTAGCTCTGGTTAGTAAACTGAAATTTTTGTTGTTATAACCAAAATTCTACTAGAAATATCAACCTGATTTCTTAGAAATCTAACAAACTAAATGTAGATAAAAGAGAATTTGTGACTTCTCAGTGTCTTCCCAAACATTTCTTACCTGGATTTTCCCATCCTAGCAAAGGGCACCGCCATTCACCCAACTACTAAAGCCAAAAACTTATGTCATCATTGATTTTTCACTTTCATTAACATTTAATATACAGTACACTTGTAAGCCCAATTGATAGTGGCAAGAGGCAGGCAAATTCCTGGGCAGATAAGCGTAGGTCCGTGGTGAGGCCCACCCTTCAAGCCAGGAATAGCCCCAGGCCTGAAAAACCTGCTTCCAGTTCCAGGTGGAGTCCACCACCCCAAGTGCAAACTTCCTTGATGCCTTTCAGCCAGTGGGATGCTTTTTCTGGGCCCACCCATGGACCAATCAGCATGCACTTCCTTCATTTGGAGCCCATAAAAACCCCAGATGCAGCCAAACTCAGACACAGCTTGGGACTACATGCCTATAAGGAGGAGCTACCCACGTTGTGTCTTCTCTCTGCTGAGAGCTGTTCTGCCCCTCAATAAAACCATCTCCACCTTGCTCACCCTTCAGTTGTTCACATAACTTCATTCTTCCTGGACACTGGACAAGAACTGGGGACCTGCCAAACTGTGGTTTGGAAAGGGCTATAACACTTTCCTGCCTAGCTTGCCAAGCTGAAGACAGTGACCTGCTCCCATTCACCAGACTGTTGGAGTGAAGAGCAGTAACCCTTCTGGAGGCCCAGACCTCAGGATTCCCTGAGCCAGAGCTGTAACACCTATAGCCCTCCCATGTTCTGCCTGCATCAGGAGGCCTTCCCACATGACACGAAGTGGCGGCCTTGCTGGACCAGCCCAGGATCCATGGGCTACAGTTGGCAATGGGACTGAAAGAGCTGTTAACACATCCTCATTCACCAAGCTGTGGGCAGTGGAAATGAGGGAGCTATAGCACACATCCCCACGCTCCTTGGGGCTTGGCAGTTGCTGGCATCTCTGAGTTTTTGGGTGCCACCATATTCCCCTACTTCAGATGCTGGGGCTCACAGTGGAAGCCACTTGTGGTACACCTGGTCCAGCTGCAGTCTTGCACAGAGCCAGCGCCTGTGTCAGCACCAGGAGCTGCCCACCAGCTGGCATAATTGGCTGTAAGCAGTGGCCAGACCCTGCATTAGCTTACACACCCCTCACCAATCAGTGCCTGGCTCACCCTTGGTGGGCATGGGATCCGAGCTGGTAGCATGAGCCAAGCACAGCATGCCAGTCCAAGCGAGCAGAATGAGACCAGCAGGTGCAAGCAAAACTCAAGCAGAGGTGCCACCAGCCATAGAGGTTTCCAGCTGGCAAAGCGACACCCAAAGATCCTGTGAAACTTACCTCTAACCACCGCATATATTCCAATTACACCAATTTGTACATGTTATATAAATTATACATATAAATATATTGAATGTGTATATATACAAATTATAATTAAATACAGTATATAATATACACTATACAAATATATAAATTATGTATATATTTAGTGTAATACATTTTGGATATATATTTATGTTTTACAAATTCATATATATATCTCTGCATATAAACTACACTGAGACCTATTATCTATCACCTTTAATACTGTTAAAGGAGTTGAAAATATGTCTCTCTGCCATATTGACTATTTAAGTTAAAGACCTATGAAGAACAGCAGGTGCAAAAACTTCACTCTGAACTTTGTTTTGTTTCTCGAGAGCAGAAGATGAAATTACCACGTGAATTTATTCTCAAGGACAAAAGTTAAGAGCAAGATTTCTTATAGATCTGTATAGATTTCTTAAAATAACTTATCTTTTAAGCATCCTCCAGAATTGAGCTGCTTCTTAACAACTTACCATTTTTTATCCAATTCAGTATTTAAGTTCCTGACTCTATCTACTTTTTTGGGTCTTCATTTTCTTATGATGTCTCCCATGCCATGCAAAACTTGTATTAAATATGTAATTTTCTTCTGTTGATCTGTCTTATGTCAATTAAATCTCTGGCCCAACCAGGACCCTAAACGGAAATTTGCTGCCACTTACTGCAATAGTCACTTAACTGGTCTCATTACTCCCAATCTTGTCTCTCTTCAATCGACTACACTCTCTTTTAAAAACCTGTAATAGCGTTCCTATATTCTTGAAATAAATTCCAAGCTTGTTGCTATGGCTCTTAAATATCTGTAACACTGCATCTCAGAACCGCACTTATCTTTGTTCACTAACATACAGCCATGATAATCTTTTGTATATCTTACTGGTCAAGCATTTTTTTCCCTTTGAGTATCACTCGTCCTTACTGTTACGCAAATATAGAAGGCAAAACTTTGAACGGGTACCTCCTCTTTGTAATTCATGCACTTGCAGATATTGATTAAATTTAGGACATCCACACACTGTTTATTTGCTATTATATTCCCCCAGTTTTGTTATTCTTGTGGTATTCAATGACTTTACATGAACTCTTAATTTTTGTTGTTGTTAGTTGTCAATCTCCTTTCAGTAAAAACTATCCCAATTCATTTTCTCATAATCACAGAAACTTTGAGCATTCTGGCACAGAAGAGGAACTATAAAATACTTTATGAATAAAGGAATAAATAAATTACCACCTTTTACTTTTTTATTTGGCTAATATTCCTAAAAAACCAAGTTATGTTGTTAAATAAAATAGTGTATATTGCTTCAAAGAGAATAAAATACCTATGAATCCAACTTACAAGGGATGTGAAGGACCTCTTCAAGGAGAACTACAAACCACTGCTCAATGAAATAAAAGAGGACACAAACAAATGGAAGAACATTCCATGCTCATGGATAGGAAGAATGAATACCGTGAAAATGGCCATACTGCCCAAGATAATTTATAGATTCAATGCCATCCTCATCAAGCTACCAATAACTTTCTTCACAGAATTGGAAAAAACTACTTTAAAGTTCATATGGAACCAAAAAAGAGCCTGCATTGCCAAGTCAATCCTAAGCCAAAAGAACAAAGCTGGATGCATCATGCTACCTGACTTCAAACTATATTACAAGGCTATAGTAACCAAAACAGCATGGTACTGGTACCAAAACAGAGATATAGACCAATGGAACAGAACAGAGCCCTCAGAAATAATATCACACATCTACAACCATCTGATCTTTGACAAACCTGACAAAAAAAAAGAAATGGGGAAAGGAGTCCCTATTTAATAAATGGTGCTGGGAAAACTGGCTAGCCATATATAGAAAGCTGAAACTGGATCCCTTCCTTACACCTTATACAAAAATTAATTCAAGATAGATTAAATGTTAGACCTAAAACCATAAAAACCCTAGAAGAAAACCTAGGCAATACCATTCAGGACATAGGCATGGGCAAAGATTTCATGACTAAAACACCAAAAGCAATGGCAACAAAAGCCAAAATTGACAAATGGGGTTTAATTAAACTAAAGAGCTTCTGCACAGCAAAAGAAACTATCATCAGAGTGAACAGGCAACCTACATAATGGGAGAAAATGTTTGCAATCTACTCATCTGACAAAGGGCTAATATCCAGAATCTACAAAGAACTCAAACAAATTTACAAGAAAAAAACAAAAAACCCAACAAAAAGTGGGCAAAGCATATGAACAGACACTTCTCAAAAGAAGACATTTATGCAGCCAACAGACGCATTAAAAAATGCTCATCATCACTGGCCATCAGAGAAATGCAAATCAAAACCACAATGAGATACCATCTCACTCACACCAGTTAGAATGGCGATCATTGAAAAGTCAGGAAACAACAAGTGCTGGAGAGGATGTGGAGAAATAGGAACACTGTTCCACTGTTGGTGGGACTGTAAACTAGTTCAACCATTGTGGAAGACAGTGTGGCGATTGCTCAAGGTTCCAGAACTAGAAATACCATTTGAGCCAGCCATCCCATTACTGGGTATATACCCAAAGGATTATGAATCATGCTGCTATAAAGACACAGGCACATGTATGTTTATTGTGGCACTATTCACAATAGCAAAGACTTGGAACCAACCCACATGTCCATCAATGATAGACTGGATCAAGAAAATGTGGCACATATACACCATGGAATACTATGCAGCCATAAAAAAGGATGAATTCATGTCCTTTGTAGGGACTTAGATGAAGCTGGAAACCATCATTCTCAGCAAACTATCGCAAGGACAAAAAAACCAAACACCGCATGTTCTCACTTATAGATGGGAATTGAACAATGAGAACACTTGGACACAGGAAGGGGAACATCACACACTGGGGACTGTCATAGGGTGGGGGAGCGGGGAGGGATAGCATTAGGAAATATACCTAATGTAAATTACAAGTTAATGGGTGCAGCACACCAACATGGCGCATGTATACATATGTAACAAACCTGCACGTTGTGCACATGTACCCTAGAACTTAAAGTATAATAAAAAAAAATTAGCTGGCACACACAAAAAAAAGTGTTCCTTGGTTAAAATAATGCAAACTTATTTGGTTATTGCACATAACAAGATTCTTTGTCATAGGCATTCTGACAACTTTTACAATACTATTATACTGCCAATATTCAAGGGGAAAGGTAGCATCTATGTTTTCACATGGTAGTTTAACCTTCTTTCCATGAAGCACATCCCCATTTAAGGGAAATAATAACATGTTATTATGTTTTTTTTTATCTACAGATTTTAAAGTTGTATTACATTGAAGAAACTTAATAATTAAAGACACAAAGATTCTCATTATATAAATTAAATATCTTAGCTTTTGTGATACTTCTGAAATTTTTAGATTTTAGAGCTATAATGAACTTTTCAGAAAGATATCTACAAATGAACAACATACTTTCTTCTAAATTATAACTAAAATATTATTTTTGTATATATGCTTTTGAATTAAGGAAATAAATGAAAGTAACAATATATAATGAAATCTGGAAAATAGAGAACTAGCATCAAAATAATCATATTTTGTGTAATCCAATTACATATTTCCTGGCTATCTGCAAAGAACCTTGTAATCTATTGAAGCTTACCATAAAACAAAATCAAATTAATAAACAGAATTTTATTATCAATCCTTTAAAATTACACATTTGACTTCTCTCTATATAAGAATTTACTAGAAGTGTTGATATTTGCCTAAAAGGGAAAAGAAATTGTTGAGTATTAGGAGTCTTTTTGTTTCAGCATTTAGGCAGAGTTGATTAAATTGATTTTTTTTAATCAAATTTTTACAGAAGAGGCATATGTTGAAAATTTGTGCCAAAATAATTTAGGTTGGTATATTAACTTTGAGCAAGCTAAAAATTTGCAAAGAAGAATTTGAAGGGTTGTCCAGATTAGTATTTTTTTTAGTGATAGAACTGTTTTTAGCCCATATGAAATTATGAAATTACAAATTAATATATTTCTAACATATCAAAAACACTGGCCATCAGATAAATGCAAATCAAAACCACAATGAGATACCATCTCACACCAGTTAGAATGGCGATCACTAAAAAGTCAGGAAACAACAAGTGCTGGAGAGGATGTGGAGAAATAGGAACACTTTTACACTGTTGGTGGGACTGTAAACTAGTTCAACCATTGTGGAAGTCAGTGTGGCAATTCCTCAGGGATCTAGAGCTAGGAATACCATTTGACCCAGCAATCCCATTACTGGGTATATACCCAAAGGATTATAAATCATGCTGCTGTAAAGACACATGCACACATATGTTTATTGGGGCACTATTCACAATAGCAAAGACTTGGAACCAACCCAAATGTCCAACAATGATAGACTGCATTAAGAAAATGTGGCACATATACACCGTGGAATACTATGCAGCCATAAAAAAGGATGAGTTCATGTCCTTTGTAGGGACATGGATGAAGCTGGAAACAATCATTCTCAGCAAACTGTTGCAAAGACAAAAAACCAAACACCACATGTTCTCACTCATAGGTGGGAACTGAACAATGAGAACACATGGACACAGGAAGGGGAACATCACACACCGGGGACTGTTGTGAGGTGGGTATAGCAGGGAGGGATAGCATTAGGAGATGTACCTTATGCTAAATGACGAGTTAATGAGTGCAGCACACCAACATGGCACATGTATACATATGTAACAAAACTGCTCGTTGTGCACATGTACCCTAAAACTTAAAGTATATTAATAAAATAAAATAAAATAAATAAAAAATGAAAGAATTGTTCCATGATATTAACATTTTTTGAAATGTAACATAAAAACTAAGAAATTATTTATTAACTATCATATTTCATTTGAGATTTCATTGGATTTTTGTGAATTTACTTCTTATATTTTTCCTATGACTTTTGAGATAATCTTCTTTTCTTGAACAGTGTGGAGACTCCTGTGCTACCACATATTATTACAAACATAATTCAAGATGGTCCCCAGGCCTCTGGTATGTTGAGATGAAATTATTTTGTAGAATTAAAAATAAGATCCAAAAGATTTTTTGAATAAGTAATTTATTTTAAGTATGCCATACTAGTTTACTTTTAGCATTTTCTATAACAGATGCATATAAGTGAAGGAAAATATTATGTGTACATCATATATATTTTTGTGTCAAAAATTTTAAATAGAACACACAGTGAATTAATTTCCATGACAATTAGTTGTGAAACAATTCTCCCACTTCAACAGAGACTAAAATAAATAGTAAATAGTATATGGTAAAGGAGGCATTTAACTTTTTAATAATTATAATAAAGCAATAAATAACGTGTATCTTAATGTGATGAACATTATACATTATTATCCTGAAAGATTAATTGCAGAGTTAAATTACATATTCTAATTAAGGATCTGCTAAATGGCTTGGAAATAAATACCAAGCAACATCTTTGTGAATATAGAAAAGTATATTTTAAAAAACCCTATCATACTTGCAAGTTATATGTTTTAAAATGGATTCAAGAAGAATTGGGCAAAATGGAAAAGCATGTTCTTTATATAAAATTAAATGACCAATCTAATTTAAAGTGCTTTCCTAAGATAAAGTTAAGATATACTAAACATATCAGGTACACTTGAAATTGCACTTGTTGATACTGTCCAAATCATAAGAACTTAACTTCTATGAAAAGTAGCAACATGTGTCATTTCAAATATTTTTAACACTTCTGGAAAATCCTAATTACAGATGGTTGCCAAGGAAACAAAGGCAATTAAGTAAATGAATTAAAACATAAATTTTACTTGATGGAATTTAGGTTTAAATTTCAAAGTGAGAAATATACCCCTGGCACTACAAAATAAAATGTCAGACACTTAAATTATCACCGAATAAAATTAGTGCATATATAATCAACAATACTTCATTTCTGGCTAGGTATCCTAATAAAAATATTGCATTATATTACCTTTCAATAATCTGAGAGAGTTTTCAAAACCATATAGGTAAATGTGATTACAGGAAATGTGATAAAGTAATATGAGCTATTAAATTATTTAACTATTCTTCAAATTATCAAAATTAATATAAAGTAGATATGTAGTTTAGATAACTATTCTAATCAAAAAATAAAAATTGAATGTACATATATATCTAGAAACTACATAAAATGAACTTAAGGACTTGAAACTACACAACATTAGTTATTTTAAGCAAAAGACAGGAACACAATTAGAGTGAGCACTGCATTCAATGGAAAAGTCATTAGCAGTAATAACAATGTATGATTTTACTTCTTCATTCTTTACTAGTTTTATTGAAATGACAAAAGCCAGCTAAAACACAAGACACAGGAAAGATAAAATTAAAAAGTATTATGCAAAAAAGTTATGCAAAAATATAACAACATTTGATTAAGTTCATATGATTACAAAATTCATCAATGTTTATATGTTCAGACCCAGGAGTAATGGCTAACATCAGTTTAAATTAAGTGCTATCACTTTACCAGAGCTTTTAGGAAATAGCATTACTGTAATAAAAGGAATCATAACAAACTGGATATTATGGAATTTAACTTAGGCAAATAAAATAAAACTATCATGTTGAAAATAGTAATTATTTTACTATTTTATATGAAAAAATATGAATTGTCAGAGTTATTGATATGTTTGGGAGAGTATCAATCTTTTCAGGGCAAAGGAACATAATATGACTCAGAGGACAATGGAAAATCACATTTTTGAGAGTTAATTTTAGTCAGATATTAAAAGGTTTTGAATGTGATGCAAGAAAAATTTTTACTTTCTTTTGAAGGCAATCAGGATTCATGGAACTATTTTAAACATGAAATACTCATTTAAAAATTAGAACAAATATTTCCATGGAAGGATGGCTAGTACATTGAAACAGTAAGAGAAATGGGCACATATGCTTTTTAGTGCAGTAAGGTAGACCTGAATAGGTTGGGTTAACAAATTTAGGATAACAGAAAACTAATAATCAATAGGGCATACATTTTTGAACCAAGTTTAATTTATTACTTCATCAAACACTTTAGTAGGCAGTTTGTTTTAGAAAATAGGCACTATTTGTTAAAGATACAATAAGGAGGGCAATACTGCCCTTGCTTCAAATTTGCTTACAGAAAAGGAGGAAAATAATGTACTGATTGCTATTGTGTTGTCATTGAGAAATGTTATGGGATAATAGATGTATTAGTCTGCTCAGGCTGCCCTAACACTGTATCACAGATTGGGTGACTCAAACAAAAGAAGTTCATTTTCTCACAATTCCAGAGGTTGAAAAATCCATGATCAAGTCTCCATCTGCATTTGGTTTCCAATGAGATTTCTCGTCTTGGCTTGCAGATAGCTGCCTTCTCTCTGTGTCCTCATATGGTAGAGGGAAGGAACAGAGCTCTTTTGTGACTCTTCTTAAATGGACACAAATCCTGTTAGATCAGAACTTTGCCCTTATGACATCATTTAACCTAAATCACCTCCTTATAGGTCCAGCCTTCAAATACCCTCATATTGTACTTTAGGGCTTTAACACATGAATTTGTGAGGGACAGAGTTCAGTCAATAGCACTAGCTATCTATAAGCACCATACCTGAGTAGTTTTCTTATTTAATTAAGTGGAGAATAACAAGATGGGCTAAAAATCCACAATTTGCCATGAGTCACAGAGGCTATTTACAGAGTAGACTTTCCTTAGAAATATAAAGAAATTAGAAACTTTAGTTATCATCTATCCTTTAAGAGAGGAGTATTTTCATATCCTAAGGGGGAAAAGAATGTTAGCACTTCAAAGATTCTGGAGTGAGGGAAGGTGCTTCAAATAACAACAACAGTAATAATAATAACAAGAATAATCATGATTTAATCATTATAGATGCAACAAGACTTTAGTTCTTAAATTGTTTCCTATCAGGCATTATTTATAGTCTTAGAAAGTATTGAGAGTCCAAAAATTTGTATTCATGTTAGACCTATTAAAATTTATAATATTAGAAATTCAATCTGAAAAAATATTAAATACTACTAATTAATTCACTTTAAAGAATAATAAACCATTATATAAATAACATTATTTATTAAAATAGATATGTATTTTATATAACTACTTTTAATTATGTAAAATACCTAAAGAAAGTAGATAGTGAAAACAGTGACATTGTTTTACATAATAGTTCTGCAAATCTCTTAAATAGCTTGCTTAATGAGACCATCTGGATCCATACACATCCTTTTGTATTCAATCTATTGCAGTATCACCCACCTGGTAGCCTGTAGAAAAGTCTACATTTATGGGGGAATGTGAATGAAAAAGTATCATCATGACAGTAGTTTGATTTCTGGAGCCCCTAGAAGTTTATTGGAAAATCCTGTTAGTGCTGGTATGTTAAAATCTGCAATAGTGATACTATGATAGTTTAACTGTTCAGTAGATAGTTTAACTGTTTTATAGCTAACATAGAGACAGAAACAATGAGTATACTTAGAAAGAGTCAATGTCAGTTGATATATTGGACTACCCCTTGGTGCTGATCATAATATTCTGTAACCTCCATGTTTGATATTGACAAGATTTTTCTCTATTGTCTGAAGCAAGGGCATGATTCATTACCTCGCCTGTGAATCCTCTTCAAGAACCTTCCGTACATGGATGGGGATAGTTAAATATAAGTTTAAAGAATACTGTAACCTATTTTCTTCATACAGAGCTGATTAAGGTTCTATTAACAGAATTCAAGGCTTTACAATATGACTAGCTGGACCGTAATCTGTCCCGTTTCTCACAGCTCTGCGTATACAATGAAAACAGATTTTGTAAAAGGCATCCTTTACCCTCTTTAAGAAGAGTTTTGTAGGAGAACCTCAAAAGTACCACTTTCTTTTTAAAGTTGATGTTAAGTATTCTTGAAACTTTTAGTGCTCATTTTTCATAGAATTGTTAGTAAAAATCATTCAGCCATATTGACACATTAAATAGATACCTATAATTCAGTTATTTCTCAACGATGTTCTTTAATTAATTGTGTTCTTAATAATTTTTAAGCTGATATTGTTTTGGCAATAAATGTTGTGGTTTGTTATTTTTGTATATGCCTACTCGTTCTACTAGTGTAAGTTAACTTTATTAAACATATCATTTATTTGGAAAAGATCTGTTTACCAAGACTAAAAATATCAATAATAAACATAATATGGCACTTTACCAATTGTAATAAATTAAAACATTTAGCTTATGAAGTACATTTGCTGTTTACATTTTCATAAATGTATTTTACAATAATATGAATCAGAAGAATGTTTGGCATCTCTAGACTGGTAGAAGTTGAAAATTTGAGACCAGTTGTTCTTAGAAATAATAATATAAATAAAAACTCCTTACTGATATATGGAGACAATTAAGCCTATTTTAAATAATTTCATTAATAATGTAAAATGACTTCTGTTCATTCCTATCCTATTACATCATTAAATATTATTGAGTTAGGTCCTGACATTTTATTCAAAATTATGTTTCTGGCATTTAAGTATTCAGCTCTAAATGTTAAGGATGCCAATTATGTGAGCATCCATCTTTTTCACTCTGGTCTCCCATCAAACATTAATGGTGGAAGTGTTAATTCATTTCAAGTAGTCTGAAATATCTGCCCTGAAGAAGGCTGACACTCTACAAGTGCTCTGACAACCTCTGGTAAGTAATGACTCTTAAAAATATCTCAGTAAATTCAACTCACTCCTAGAGGCATTTTAAATTATGTGTCATTAAAATGTAATGCCTTCTCAAATGACAAGGTCATGCCAAAAACCAAAACTACACTGTATTTTTTTCTGAAACATACCCACACCAATAAAAATGTTACAACTTACACTTCAAAACAGTAAAGATAAGTCGTGCCATATTTAGAGGCATGTAGTAATCAAGGTAAATTGTTATTTATAGCAACCATAAATTTATACTATGATACCACTCTATGTGAGAAAATAATCCATTTGCATGAAGACTAGAATGCTGCACATCTTAATATAATTTGGGACAAAAATGCAATCACAAAATTGTCTGTACCTAATGTTCGTCCTGACTTTCCAACATTTTCCTTCTCCTTTTGGATAGTACAAAAACGCAGTTATATGTAATTTTGCTTTTGGGTTTCAAGAAATATACCAATGAGGGCATGACTTACAAAGCAAACTGATCATTCATTATGAATTTTTGCCCCTAATGGCACAATAATAAATATATAATAATTTGGAAAAAAACTGTAAATAAAAAATCTAACACAGCGGTGAGACAAAGTGACCTAATTCCGCTTTTACTCTACAAGTAGAAACAATATTTTGAAATAAAATTATTTTGATAATGTAGGAATAGAGATGGGGTAAATATGTTTTCTAAATTGTGACAGGATATTGACTAAGTAGAACCTATTTTATCATCTTTCTCAATTCAATATTTAGGAAAATAAAACATAATCATATCTATGAAGTTGTAACTTACATAACAATGATTAAAACGTACTTTCACTTAAAGCTTTCCCTTTATAAGAAGCTGATTTCAGATTTTAAGAAGAAAATATATTGATAAATAATAAGCTAGTCAGTTGCTAGTCAATGTTAAATACGAATAAAAGTATAGAAAATGATGTTTTTAAATCCAGATATGATATTTAAAAGTTTATCTAATATACTACTTGAGTAAATGACTTATATTACCTCTTCTGAATTAGAGAATCTTAATAAAAATGAAATAAAGTAATAGCAATCCCACATAAACTCCTCCAAAGTAGAAAAAGGGAAAATTTCTGAAGATATTTAAGCAAAATAATCTTGATAGAAAAACATATCAGGGACATTTAAAGTGAGGCAAATTATGGATCATTTATTCTTATGAGCTTAGATAAAAATATTAAACAACATATCATGAATTAAATAGAACAAAATATAAAACACCAATCAAATAAAGATTATTTCAGGTGTGGAAGATTTTTTGTTTTTGTTTTTCCTTGACATTCAAGATAATCTGTTTGATCACATAATAAGAAATGAAAAAAATCATATAATAATTTTTAAACCTGCAGGAAAGCATTTTACAAAATAAAACACCAAGTCATCATAATAAAATATTTAAAAGTAGGATAAAAAATTTAGTAGATTAAACATATCAAGAGAAAACCTAGAACAGGCATCCTACTCATATGCATTATTGACAGTTTTATGCCTCAAATCAGAAACAAGAAAGGCCATGAGAACCACTTATATTTGTATTTATATTGTGACCATAAATAAGACAACATTACAAGAAACATTAAGCATAAGTTTCACAAAGAGGAAATAAATCCAACACCTGCCACAGATGACATGGTTGTGAATGATGAAAATCCAAAACAATATAAAGAAAAACAACAGGATCAATAAGTAAACTTATCAATATAGTGTATATCAAATCAATACTATCGACAAATATTTTATTTTTATATACTGGCAATGAGCAATTGAAAAATGAAGTAAGAGTGAGTTTTACAGTAACCTTAAAACTTATCAAATTCCTGGCGGTATAACTTAAGATGGGTGAAACCTCGATAATAAGATATTCAAAACACTGCTTTGGAAAATAAATAATGTTCTAAATAAATGTATAAATATATGATTATGAGTCAGAAAACTAAATATTGTAAAGCAGGATTTCTGATCCTTGACAACATGGAAACTTTGGTTTATTTTTTGGTGGGGGGGTGGTAGCTGTGTTGCATATTGTAGGACGTTTAGTAGGATTCTTGGCCTCCATCCTACTGGATGCAAGTGGTATCCCCCAGCTATGACAGCCAAGTACGTCTCAGGACATTGACAGATATCTCTTTGGGGTCAAAATCTCATTCATTTGAGAACTGCTATTGTAAAGGTTTCCATTTCTTTAATTTATAGATTCAATGCAATCTCAGTCAAAATCCTATTTATGTTTTTAAATTCATAATTTGATTATAAATTTCATATGGCAAGATAAAGGACCAAGAATAGTCAAGGCAGGATTGACAGACAAGTAAGCAACACTGGACACTTGCACTACCCAATATCAGTGCATACTATAGTTATTGCGATTAAGGCAGTATAATTTTGTCAAAAGGAAGATAGATAGACCAAGGGATTAGTACATGGTGATCAGACAGATATGCAGTTTTGTAATCATTTGACTTAAGACAAAGATGATACACACTCTGCAAATAAAATAGGATGGCTTTTCTTTTTTTTAATTTTATTATTATTATGCTTTAAGTTTTAGGGTACATGTGCACAATGTGCAGGTTTGTTACATATGTATACATGTGCCTTTTTGGTGTGCTGCGCCCATTAACTCATCATTTAGCATTAGGTATATCTTTCCTGAAAAATGGTCCTGGATAATTTAATTCCTATAAGAAAAGGTTGAATGATGTGAGGTCCACTACTTCAGACGTTAGCAATGAAAGACACGCCATAGAAGAAAATATAGACTATTTTTATGCCCTTGGGTTAGCTAAACATTTCTTTAAAAAGTACATAGAGCTTACAAATAATATATTTTATTGTACCAAAATATTGAAACTGTGCTTACAAACACAATGAAACGTCAAACAGAGTAGGTCAACATATTTTCAATACTTAAATACAACAAATTATTCATATCTAGAATATCAATCAGTAAGAAAAAGACAACTCAATAAATAGGGACCTCACAAAAGTTTATACAAATATCCAATAAACTCATAAAACAGCACTCAACATCATTAGACATCTAGGAAATGCAAATTATAATCAAAATGGTGTACAATTACATATCATGAGAATGGCAAAAAATTTTTTAAATACAAAATTTAAGTATTGTTCAGAGTGTGGAGGGAAAATAATTCTTCCGCACCTTTGGTAAAAATGTAATTTTGTTTGAAAAACTTGTTGGCATCATCTATTGAGCTTAAACATGTATATTATATTATATTATGTAACCAGCAACTGCACTTAAGAGACTCCTTATGGATATTTACCAGGATACATGTGCAAAAAATATGAATAGCAACTTCCATTGTAGGACTCCCAAACAGGAAACAATTCAACTCTTTATCAATGGTAGAATGGATAAATAAATGTTTTAATATTTGTACAATGAATCACTGTGTGACAATGAGAATGAACAAATTGCAACCACATGGAACAACTTGGATGAAACTCACAAACATAATGTGAAAAACAGAAACTAGATGCATACAATGAGAGCCATATTCTTTTGGAATATAAAATTCAAAAGACAAATAAAATAAATATTTGTGTTAAAAGTCAGGATAGTAGCTACCCTTTTAGGACAAGTGGTGACTAGAAGGACTATAAGAAGTGCTTCCAGGATGTTAAGTTATGGTTGTTGATTGAGTGCTGGTTGCGTGAGTATGTCTAATTTGTAAAAATTAATGTGTATTCTTGTGATTTGTGCATTCCTTGTATATGTTACTCTAAGCAAATTTATGAAATATTAGTATATAGTTTGATAAATAAAAAATATAATGTGTCAATGTACACTTTTTGAGAAACGTGATAGAAATAATTGTAAATGAATATATCTCATTTCTGCAAGTATTTGAAAGAATTGAACAGCACAGCAATAACTAGGAAATGTTTTTATTTAATAATTTATGTAATAGCTGCATTTTCTTGATATTTTTAAGTTAATGATGACAAAGAATTTTCTGTAGACCACTAGAGACTCTACAGAAAATATGTTTAAATAAAGGGGCATAATAGCAGAAGAATCTGTATAATAAATTATTTTTATTTAGTTTTGTAGCTATCTGAGACAATGTAGAGCAGAAAATATCTCAAAACTATTCACCTTTTTTCTACCTCTGAAGCAATTATTGCAGATGTGCTCTTGCATGTGATATTATTTTAAGGTAATATCTAAATAATCTAGACAAGCTAATGTTGGAGAGTTATCAGGAACATTTTTTGGATTACATATTTTTTACTTAAATATTACATAAAGTAATGTAAGTGTATATTAATGAAGTGTGTTCATAAAGAAAAATGAGAAATTGCTTCAAAGCAATGTGAAAATTATTTTATAGAAAAAAATTAAAAGTTAATACTATAGGAAAGTCTCTGAACCTATTTATTATTGAATATGCAGATGGGATTCTTAAAGCTAATGTTGACTGCTATTGTTTTTCTTGGCTAATTAATACAGCATTATACTGAAACTGTTAAATTATATGCAATTTTTTTCATTTTAAATTGTTCTTAAATACACATAAAGTAAAATACACTTCTACCATTTTATGAAGTGAAAGTAAGAACTCGAATAGATATTTAAATATTCATGTTATTCAGTGTTATTTACAATAGCCAAAAGGTAGAAACATACCACATGTCTGATGATGGATGAATGTACAGATAAAATGTGGAATATGTATAAACCCAAATATCATTCAGCCTTAAAATAGAAAGAAATTTTGACACAGGCTATAACATAGTTCAAACTTGGAGACATTATGCTAAGTGAAATAAGCCAGTGACAGAAGGCCGAATATTGTATAGTTCCACTTACATGAAGTTCCTAGAGTAGTCAGATTCATAGAGACAGAAAATAGAGGGGTGGTTGCCAGGGGCTGGTAGTTGGGGCAATGGGGAGTTAGTGTATAATTGGTAAAAGTTTCATTTGGAGAAGGTAAAAAAGTTCTGGAAATAGTGATAATAGTTGCACACCAATGTAAATATACTTAATGACAAAGAATTATATAATTAAAAATATTTGAAATGGCAAGGTCTATAGTGTATATATATATATATATGTACATATAAACACAATTTAAGAGACAAAAATAGCTTTCAACAATTGTTAAAATATTAAAAAATTAAATATTAAATCCATTAAATAACTTGTTTGCTTGCTTCTGCTAGCCCCTACTAATAACTATCTTTATAATTTAGACTTTTATCATTCCATCTATATACCTACCTATCATCTATGCATGTATGTATGTGTGTACCTATTATCTATCTTATCTATCTATCTATTATCAATCATTTTCTATTTGTCTCTGATAGTGAAAGGAAACATACAGATTCCTAGTCAGGCAGGGACAGGTCCCCAGTGAAACCCAACCTTTAAACCAAGGACAGCCTGAAGCCTGAAAACTGAGCTGCCAGTTCTGCATGGGTCCACAACCAGAGTGAGAACTTCCTCGATGCGTTTTAGCCAATCGAATTGTGCTTCTGCCTGCTTGTGGACTAATCAGCATGCACTCCCCCATTCTGAGCCCATAAAAACCTCAGACTCAGCCTCACAGGCAGCCACCTGCTTTTGGGCCCTGTCTCAAACAGAGGGCTACCCACTCAGGTCCCCTCTCATGTTGAGAGCTTTTCTGTCACTCAATAAAACTCTTCTCTGCCTAGCTTACTCTCCAGTGTCTGTGTAACTCATTCCTCTTGGTTGTGGGACAAGAACCCGGAACCCACCAAATGACAGGTGCAAAAAGAGCTGCAACACTGAAAGCCTCCCTTCCACTTGCTGAGCAACAAGGGAGAAAAAGCCATTGGGCACCACATGCCTTTGTTTGCCAAGCTGTAGGCAGCAGAACCAAATGAGCTGTGACACGTCCTCATTCACTGAAGCTGTGGGCGGCAGGAATGAATGAGAGTTGTAACACTTCCTGGAGGCTTAGACCTTGGGAGGCCCTGAGCAAAAGCTATAACACCGCTTGGGGCTCTACGGTTGCTGTCACCTCCCAGTTTGTGGGCACCACTACATTCTCCTCATCCAGACACTGGCACCCAAGGTGGAAGCCAGTCTTATCACTCCTGGACCAGCTGTGGGCTGAGCACAGAGCCATGGCAGGCATGGGATCTGGGCCAGTAGCATGAGCTGAGTGCAGCCCATGGGGACAAGTGGGCAGAGCAAGCCCAGTGGGCCTGAGCCAAGTCCGGGAGAAGTGCCACCAGCTGTGGAGATTTCTGGTTGGTGAAGGTGCACCAAGAGAATCCTGTGTCACCTCTTCAACACTGGGAAACATTATTTTGGTTTACACTGTAAATATTTAAATGGACATACACGTTCATTCCTTTCCTTTTCATTCCTTACTGTCTTACATTTTTACTATATTATCTAATTAGTTTTCTTCTGATTGCAAGAAGAGCCTTTAATTTGCTCTTCAGTGCTGGTATTCTCATGTCAAATTCTCTATATTTTTATTTTCATCATTTTTTAGACTGGGCATATTACTTCATCATCATTCTCAAAATATATTTTGCTAGCTTTTAAATTTTATGTTTTTTCTTATTTTTGTGGCAAATTTTTTTAAAAATTCAACTTTTAGATACAGAGGGTGCATGTGAATATTTGTTCCATGGGAATATTGCATGATGCTGAGGTTTGGAGTATGGATCCTGTTACCCTGGTGAGTGAGAATAGTGTCTAATAGTTTTTTAACCCACCTCCCTTCCCTCCACTTTCCAATAGTCCACAGTGTCTATTGTTCCCATATTTATGACCATGTGTGCTCAATGTTCAGCTTCCACTTCTCTGCAAGAACATGTAATATTTCATTTTCTGTTCCTGAATTAATTTGCTTAGGATTATTGTCTCCAGTTCTGTCTACGTTGCTGCAAAGGACATGATTTCATTCTTTTTTATGGCTGCATAGTATTCCAAGGTGTATATGTATCACCTTCTTTTTATCCAATCTTTTTGGTGAAATGATTTATTTTCTTTTGGGTGTATGCCCAGTGGTGGGATTGCTAGGTAAAATGGCAGCTTTAAGTACTTTGAAAAATCTCCAGACAGCTCTCCACCATTGCTGGAATAATTTACATTCCCACCAACAGTGTGTAAGAATTCTCTTTTTTCTGCAACCTCACCCCCATCTGTTGTTTTTTGGCTTTTTAATAGTAGCCATACCGATTGATGTGAGATGGTATCTCACAGCAGTTTTGATTTGTGCATTTCTGATCATTAGTGATGCTTTTAGCATTTAAAAAATAAATTTAAATTCTATTTGTTTCCATTGTTTGTGTTAATAAGTTAGCTGTTAGTTTAAGGCTCCTAAGAAGGTAATCTGTTTCTGCCTTTTCCTTTTGCTTTAATATTTAGATATTTTTTATAATATGCCTAGAGGAGAATATTTTTATTATTTATTATGTTGAGATTTGTTAATATTCTTGAATTTGTAACATGATGTATTCTATATCTTTTAGCAAATTTTAAGCCATTATTTCCTCAAATATTGGTTTATACCACCCTCTGTACCCTGTCTTTTTGGAAATTTAGTTACAAATAAAAACTATGCGTAATACCTTCTCTTTAATATTTCCATCTTTATGACTTTACATATTTTAATACAAATAGTTTCTTTTAGGATACTTTCGTGTTAACATACATCTTTCGTTTTATATAATCGTTTTTTTTAAAATCTTTAGATCCACAGGGTACATTTTCAGGTCTGCTACATGGGTATATTGTGTAATGTTGGGATTTGGGCCCCTATTGAACCCGTCATCCAAATGGTGAACATAGTATCCAACAGGTAGTTTTGCAACCTTTACCCCCCTCCCATTCTCCACCCTTTTTGGAGTCCCCAGTGTTGTTTCCATCTTTATGTCCATGTGTACCTACTGTTTTGCTGTTACCTATAAGTAGAAATATACAGTATTTGATTTTCTGTTTCTAGCCAAATCTTTTTGTTCAATTGCCTTAGCTTGGTTTACAATAGAAAAACACCCCCAGGACACACGCAGGATTTCAATTACATCTTAAGTATTATTGAGTTCATCTTTGTGAAGTAGAGGAAGGGCTCATGAAACTAAAATGACATTAAATCCCAGAACTAATATTCATATCCCATATATTTTAAATAAGTTATTGACATCATTACTAGTTAAAAATGCAAGTAATACCTACCTATTTATTTATAAGACGAAGTTGCAAATTTATACATATTTACATATGTATATATACATATATATGTAGATAATATATATAAAGATATACATGTAGACACAAATATATGTATATATTTGCAAATGTGTACTATTCATTAAAATAGTGTATATATTTATTACATAAATATAATGTATACTCTATAAATATATATTTATAAACTTTTTTAGTATAATAAATCTTGACTATGACTTTTTCTGAGATTCTGCTACAAAAATATAAATAAGGAAAATGGAATATTTAATACATATATGGCATGTGTATTGGTCAATATATAAATTTTATCACTTTTTTCAGAATATATATCTTGCACACTATATTTTTGCTTGAATAACATGGATGTTTTGACCCGGAAATTAGTCAAATTTTTATTAATACATGTTTTCAGAATTTTCCTCTGCTTCGCTTATATAAAGCAGGTTCTTTAAATTTTCTAGTTCAAATATGACTGAATCTGACAATAATACTTGTCATAAACATTTTTATTGCTATTGAATTCATAGGTTGAATAGTTGATAAAAGTATGCTTTCTGAAGAAGCACTAAGTATATATTTTGTACAGACATTTAAATCACCATGACTTCTCATTCATCAATATTTCTAACCAAGATGATTTATTTGAAATATTAAATGCATACCTAAGAAATTTAGGCCATGGTAATTTATCTACTTAAAACACCAGTTCAACTATCCAAAGCAATTGCTTTCTTTTTTAGTTGGGAGTGGGCTTACACAATTAGGAAATAATATTGATAATGTTCATATTACATCTGAACAATATAATGTCACAAAACGGTGGTGTTTAAAGTGGGATTCTCCAAGAGTTAATATTGGCCTAAAATAATTTGACATAGAATGATAATATTACATTTTTATACTTAATTTTAAAGAACAGTTCTCCGCCGTTTTGGTAGTAAACTTCTGAATTTTACAATCTGTACCAAAATGTTCAAATACATACTGATATATTTACTATGTAATGTCTTTAGAGAAAAATTATTACATTTAAAAGAATTGCATTATATAATCCTTAATCACTTTCCTTAATGACCCATCTACTCCAAAACAACTAATAATATAATTTTAATAGTTCTTAAACTAGTTTCCTGAAAGTCAACTTCTTTCATAGAATTTAATAGTGTGTTGAACATCAGTTCCTCTTGACATAGAATTTTGTATGAGAAAGACTTGATTTCAAATTCATTCTCTATAAATTACATGCTTAAGGATGGTAATTTCATTTTTTGAGCTTCCCATTGGTTATCTTAATATTGGAAATAATAATAAAATCCAAATAACATGGTTGGTAAAGAAGTTTGTTTAAATAATAACTGTAAGGCACTTAGCTTGGTGCTTGGAAGAGAAGAAGCATTCAAAAATTATTTATTACCATTATTAAGGATAATTATTAGCAAGGCACTCAAACTTGATAGATTATTCTGGAGAGAATATATTTTTCTATTAAATTTGTATCTAAATCTAAGTATTTGGCTAAATTTTCAGAAAGTATACTCAAAGCCTTATACTATACTATATAGCTCAGAGCAGTTACTTTTTTCAATTTATCTATCATTTATTTTCAAAAATGAATTAGTGTTTTGTCAACTACTAAATTTTAGTAATTTACAGCAGAACTACAATGACTTAATTCATTCTTATTTCTCTTTTATATATTAAATTGTATTTTTATTGCGAAATATTTTTAAAATATGTTCAAATATCTCCTTTTAGCAATATGCAGAAAAATAAGAAAATTGACCTATAATCCAAAACACCAATTATTGTCTTTCTCCTTCTATTTCACGTACTTTTCCTTGTACATACTCATTTTCAGACTTTTCTAATGCAACATTAGAAATAAAATTTGATAAGTATCTAAAATAAATATAAGAGATGGATTAAATTTTCCAAATCCAGGTTAAAAAAAGATAATGATAAATAAATTGGAGCATTGAATGTTTTGTGGTGTGACACATATAGCAAGTAAGCAATGCATAAACTAGAAAGAAAATTTAGTTTTATTTAATCATTTTGTCATACTTAGAGCTGCTCATTTACCCCCCTGCAAAAAAAAAAAAAAATCATGAAAAAGGAAGTCAGCTAATATAGGTGCAAATTTCTTGGGACTGACAAGAGTGGCCTAAGGTCAAATGCATATTGTTAGGATAGCAGAAAGGGACAGAGGAGGAAACAGCAACAACAACAACTTCAAGTGTTCAATTCTATTAGACTTGGAAGAATACAAGAGTGAGAAGAGAGAGTGAAAGAGATTAACTGAGTTGGCTATTGTTTGTGTCTTAATAGCACAAGGGTAAATTAAAAGAAAGATAATGAGATATCTAATCGAAAAGTGGACCTTTTGAAAAACACTAATAAATCATGGGAGGACTATAGCTTTTAAATATATTATTATAATTAGATCTAGTAACCAAAATGACATTTTATTTTTAAACTTTCTCTTCATCTGCCTCAAAGATGAGAGTATGTATTTATCACATTAGTAGTTTTTAAATGTTCAGATTATGTTTTCTTATATTTTACTATCTTCTAAGTCAAATAAGTAGTTACAAAATAAGATAATATCTGAGAAATTTTTTGCAAATCATGACATAAGCCATTACTATGGTTATTCAGGTATTTTTTCTTTAAAACATCTTCCTTATCTTCTATGGCCTATCTTTTGATATGTAAACTGATATAACATTTTTCAGAAAGAATTTTTGCGCAGGTATAGTGTTGGTAGTTTAAGTAGGGTTCCTCATGTATCATGAGTGCTATTTTCAATAGATATATAAAAAAAGTGACAGGAAATTTAGCTCAAAACAATGCTAACTACAAGAAATAACCTTGTACTCAGTATCTTTCCCATGCTTCAACCACTCACCGCTGGCATTCCTGCCCCCATCAATAACCTGAGTTAATGTGAATCTGAGACCATCATACCTGAGTGGAGATAGAGGGGAAAAAACATATGGTGTTGGATGGCTTGTGATTTTACTTTGTCACTCAAGCTGTTATGTGAGTTACTAATTTGTTGTGATGATTGTTTCTGTAAATTTAAATTTATTTTCATGGTATGCTTTTATTTATCTTAAAAATTATATCACCTTGGTCCAGTTGGTATTTTTTCCATACTGTATTGTTTCATTTTTTAACATATTGTTTATACTGCCTTAGAATAAATTCCCTCATCAGCAGATTGTTGTCAAAAATAATTTGTGGGCTCTTTTTAACACATTTTATATCATTAAGATATAATATTAAGTCCTATATTTCTTATCACTTCCATCTTGCATCACAGTTAGAAGGATAGAAGGAAACAACAAGTTAAAGAGACACTAGTGCATGAACCTCTGGAAACTCACATCACACACACACACACACACACATCGAAACAACAGAGGAAAACTCTTGGGAACATAATTCAATTACAGACTTAAATAGTCCATATTTTTAAAGTTGCCTTGACTCAAAAATATATAACAGAGATACAGAAAGGCAATGAGATTAACTGAGGGTGAATGGGGTTCATGCTTCTACAGGACAGAGAAATAATCTAGATCTATACTTATGGATGTCACAAGCTCACCTACTGTAGGACTTTTGTAAATTTTATATTTTCTTTGTAACTTGTTTGTGTTATCTACAAAAGTAAGGTAATAATAACAAGTAATGCTCTAGGAAAGGATCCAATAAGTTTTTGTAGGTAAACCATTTGCACAATATTGTACACATTAAATACAAATACTTAAAATAATGAGAAACTTTATAAAGCTCTCATGCATTGCAATTGTTTAGTCTTCTAACAGTATGTAATAGTCCATTATTTCTTGCTTGTAACAGTCTATTATTTCTTGTTTATTTATTCATCTGTTTGTTCATCGCCTTGATTTAAATATAAATTTCATTAGACATGTACCTATCTCATTCCCTATTTTATTTCCGGTGCCTGGTACAATATGTTGCTTCGATGGAGTATTGAGAAATGACAGAAAGATGACTGCATGATTGTTAGATTAAAAGAGCAAAGTGATGGAAAATTAGATGAAGTTGTAGCACTGAGAGTAAAAATGCATTTTAAAAATATTAACAAATGCTTTGAGGTAAGATGATTAAACAAAAAGAAAACTTGGTGACTGATTTGATATTATCGCCAAAGTGAACAAACGAGGCAAAATATAAATGGCTTCAGTGACATGAGAAATGGCTGCAACATTGAAAGAGAAGGGGAAGTTCAAAGAGAAGCAAATCAGAAGGATACAAAATAGAATGTTTTAGATTACATTTTTAAGAGACACCTAAATAAAAAATGTTATATGAGAAGTTGCTAATAAGTAATTTAACTGAGGTCAAGATTAATAACAGAAAGGCAAATGTGGATGTCAAAAAATAATAAAGCAGAAGAATGGTAGTTATGGCTGGAAAGATAAACTAATATCTGACCAATTAAAATCCTGTTTAAGAGTTTTGGAATATCTTCTAAGAGCAATCTAAAGTCCCTGTAGGATTTTAAATAAGAACGTTGAAAGACCATTTTGTATTTTTTGAAAGGGTGCTCTGAGTACAATGATAAAAATAGGTAAGAATTGATATGGACAAACTGGTAGGAAAGTATTTCTTTGGCAATTGATAAGTAAAATAAAAAGAATGAAAGATTAAAACAGTGAAAAATTGGAGTAAGGTTTTACTTATATATATGTATATAACAATGATTGTATATTTTATGTTTTAAAGGTAACTTCAGTTGACAAATTCAGCACACTAATATATTCTTTATTAACAAAATAAATTGTGATATTTTGTGGTCTCATTAGTGCCATTAATGAAAAAATTTTGAAGCAATCTTATTATGAAAGATTTAAATCAAATTTTTAACAATGTTCAGTTTTTAGAAAGCATTTAACGATATTATATAAGAGTTAGTAATGTAAGCTTAAGATGCCTATCCTTATTAAAAAAATGTTCCATTGTGCATAACAGAAGGCTTTGCAGAGCACTGACTTTGCACATTACTAATGTTAAGATTGTGAAAACTTTTAAATATGAAGATAAATAACCATAACTTTCAGGACATTAATATGCATTAGACATTCAAACAATATATCTTGTTAAAATGTGATTAATTTTACCATACTCATGACTTTTAAAGCACAAGCATTATTGAAATTAATTTTGTCTTGAGAGAGCAAGTGTTCAATGAATCTGATGGTGTACTTATAATTTCAATTTCCGGATGGCATACTGAAATTTTAGCATTTATGATATTCCAAATATTGGGCTAGGTTAGCTATTTTTCTATAATTGAATTCATTTTGTTTTTAAAAAACTCCATATTATAACAATTCGTTTGAAAATGAAGGAATATATAAAGCATTGGGAAATGCTTTATACATATAAATATAAATATTATATATATTTATAATTAATATATTATATAATAATGACAATAAATCAATACATTATCTTCCCTGGTAAAGAAACTTTCATAATGGAAAAACAACCTTGATAAAGAGCTCCACAAACCTGCAGTGCAAAAATGCCTCCCAGCATATTAAACTGAGTAATGAGAAATTATTTCTATTTATTTATTTGTAATAGTTAATCATATTACAAAATTATACTAGGTGCATGGTGAAATAACCTATCTATAAAAATATGAAAACTAAAATTAAAAGACGTTTTCTCATCAGACACCAGTTTTCCAGACTATTAAGTGTGAAAAGTTTATTGTATGTTTTGTAGAAGCATATGTGAATGTAATTTTTTATAAAATAATATTTGTGTATATATATATATATATATATATTATCCTGAAACATGAATTACTAACTTAACAATATACTTCCTATATGTTTATTCATCACTAAATATAGATGGTCCTTTATTTATGATGGGGCTAACATCCCAATAAAACCATAATAAGTTGAAAATATTGAAGTCAAAAAATGCATTTAATATGCCTAACCTACTGAACGTTATAGCTTAGCCTATCCTGCATTTAACATGCTTAGAATACATACATTAACCTACAGGTGGGCAAAGTTATCTAACACAAAGCTAATTTTATAATAAAGTGTTGACTATCTCAAGCAATTTTAAGGTAACAGTAGCCTCCCCTTATCTACTGTTTGCATTCCACGATTTCAGTTACCTATGGTCAACCACGGACTCAAAATAGGTAAATACAGTACAATAAGATATTTTGAGAAAGTGAGACAGGCCATATTAATATGACTTTTATTACAGGATATTTTTATATTTTTTCTATTTTATTATTAACTATTGTTAATCTCTTAGTGTGCCTAATTTGTAAATTAAACTTTATCATAGTTATTTATGTATGTACCGGTGAAAACCTGTTATACACATAGGGTTTGGAGCTATCTGTGGTTTCAAGCTTCCATGGGGGTTATTGGAGATTTTATCCCATGGATAAAGAGGAAGTGCTGTACTATTTTAAAAGTGAATATTAGCATGATTTCAAAGGTACCTGAAGTATGGTTTCTACTGAATGCATATCACTTTTGCACCATTGTAAAACTGAAAAATTTTGTCAAATTATGGTACGTTGAGGACCGTTTATAAATATTTACTACTACTATTTTAATAACTGTGTAATGTTCTAATAAAAATGTTAATTTTACTGGAATGAAGTGAGTGAGTCTCATGGCTTAAATAAAATTGGAGTGTTGGCTGGGCTCGGTGTCTCACGCCTGTAATCCCAGCATTTTTGGAGGTCGAGGTGGGCGGATTAGGAGTTCAGGACCAGCTTAGCCAACATGGAGAAACCCTAGTCTCTCCTAAAAATACAAAAATTAGCTGGGCGTGGTGGCACGCACCTGCGGTCCCAGCTACTCCTGACGCTGAGGCACAAGAATTGCTTGAGCCCAGGAGGCAGTTGCAGTGAGCCGAGATCGCACCACTGCACTCCAGCCTGGGCAACAGAGTGAGACTCTGCCTCAAGGAAAAAAAAAAAGAGTTATATAAGAACTCAGCAAATGCAAATGCCATAAAATGGACCATGCTTGAAGTCTGAGGAAAAGAGAGGAGGCTGAGGTGACTGAACTGAGAGAAAAGCAGTAAGAAATAAGGCAGAGACTCGAATGATGGAGACAGATCATGTAAAGACTTGCAGTCCACGGAAAATGTTTTGTTTAGAGTGATATGGAAAGTCTCTTGCAAAAAAAAAAAAAGTAAATGGATAGATGAATAGAGCATATATCTAGCTTAGAACAGAGCGTATTGGGGAAAATGACATACTTCTGAAAGAATTTATATGAAAATGAAAATGGACAAGAAAAACAAAATGATTTCAAATTTCAAAAATGGAAAGGCGTAACCTAGTGGATAGCAAAACACATTTAAAATTACAGTAATTTGGCTGGGCGTGGTGGCTCACGCCTGTAATCCCAACACTTTGGGAAAGCCGAGGCGGGAGGATCACGAGGTCAGGAGATGGAGAGCATCCTGGCTCACACGGTGAAACCTCGTCTCTACTAAAAATAGAAAAAAATTAGCTGGGCGTGGTGGCGGGAACTGTAGTCCCAGCTATCTCTGGAGGCTGAGGCAGGAGAATGGCGTGAACCCGGGAGGCGGAACTTGCAGTGAGAGGAGATTGCGCCACTGCACTCCAGCCTGGGCGACAGAGCGAGACTCCGTCTCAAAAAAAAAAAAAAAAAAAAAAATTACAGTAATTTAACCACAGTTAAAAATCCACATGTAACTATTGACTCTCCCCAAATGTAGCTACTAATAGCCTACTGCTGACCAGAAAAGTGTTACAAATAACATAAACATTTGGTTACCACATATTTTCTATGTTATATGTATTATATACTGTGTTCTTACAATGAAGTAACCTATAGAAAGATAATGCTATTAAGAAAATCATAAAGAAGAGGAAATATATTTACTACTAATTAAGTGGAAGTGGATCATCATAAAAGCACTCATTCATCTTCAGGTTGAGCTGAAGTCATCTTCGGGTTGAGCAGGCCAAGAGGAAGAGAAAGGGTCACATGGAGAAGCACCAGAATCTGTCAGGAGGTAGAAAGTGTGAGGGTAACAGCTTTTATTGTGGTTTCCATGGAAAAGACAAGGCAAGGCAGAGTGAACAGACTTACAGTTAGAGAGTTTGAATAATTTCAGCAGGCTCTCAGGTAGACAGGCTATCTCTAGTTGTATTGTACCTGGCCCTAGGATGATTAGAGCAGAGAAATATTGCCTCCTGGGGTGTATAGGTAAGATAGATAGAGGTGTTTCAGAGTATGGTCTCTGAATTGTTTATAACTCCAGGGGGAGTTATTTCCTATCTTTAATAATTGGCTAGCCCAGGAATGGGCAGTCTCTCCTCTCTCACCAAGACAAGAAAGCACTGAGAATACAAACATTGAGAGTATATTGATGAAGTGAGAATATATTTGAGAATATAGTTTATGCAATGGCTTATTAGCTCTATAAGGTAGGTTTTTTGTTGTTGATTATTTGGGATTTCTAAAATAGGCAATCATATAATGTGTAAACAAAGATAGTTTTACTTCTTCCTTCTGATTCTGTATTTCTCCCATTTCCTTTTATTGTCTTATTACATTATCTAGGACTTTCAGTATGATATTGAATAGGAATGAGGAAAGAAGACATCCTTGCCTTGCTCCTGACCTTAGTGAGGAAGCAATTAGCTTCTCAACATTACATCTGATTTTAGCTCTGGGATCAGTAGATTCTTAAACATCAAATTGATAAATGTTCTTCTATTTCTAGTTAGGTTTGTCTATTTAATAGGTAACACTGTATTAATTAAATATCCATAATTAAGAAAATAAATTTTGACCCAGAAATTTCACTAAACACAGCTGTTAGTTCCAGATAAATCATAGACCAAAAGAATGAAGATTCCAGAAATAAGGAAGAATGTTTTCATGAGATTTATGTTAGAAAATTTCTTAAACAAAACACCACTGTAAAAAAAAATTGACAATTTGGATTACATTAAAGTCCACAAGTTTTGTATATTAAAAGAAATGACTCCAAAATAGGAAAGGCTGTAAGCAGTGGCTCACTCAAGCCTGTAATCTCAGAATTTTGGGAGGCTGTGGCAGAAAGATCACTTGAGTCCAGTAGTTTGAGGTCAACCTAGGCAAAATGGTGATACCTTATCTCTACAAATAAAAAATAAAAATAAAAATGAACTAGGTGTGGTGGTGCGCCCCTATATCCCTAATGCTCTGGAGGCTGAGGTGAGAGGATGGCTGGAGCCCGGGAAACCAAGGCTGCAGTGAGCCATGATCATGTCACAGCACTCCATCCTGGGGGACAGAATGAGACTACATCTCAAAAGAAATAAAAAAAGAGGAAAGTGAAGTCATTGTATGGGATACACAGTTTTCAAAATATTTATTTGGCAATAGACTGGGACATATAATCTATAAATAACTGTCACACTTCCTTTAGAATAAACAGGCAATCTCTGCCCTCTCATAGGCAAATGATTGAAAATGCACTTCCCAACAGAATACATTTAAATGGGTAGAAGACTATTAAACTTGTTCTGAAAATCATATTATCATAAGGAAAATGTAAATCAAGACAGATCGAGAAAATGAACTGGCAATAGAAGCCTAAAAAATTAACAATACAAATAAAAACATGGCAATATCATGTGTTGACTAAGGTATGTAGCAAGAATAATTCACTTATCTCACTATTCTGATCACAATAGAACCTTTAATTCAACAATTTGCTGCTAAGTGTATATCTAACAGGACTGCTGACATGTGAGCACCAAAGTACACTTTAATCAGGAGAATGTATACTGTATGATTGTCTAGGTATTATATTTTAAAACGGGCCCAATTAAAAGGCTGTTTATGTGCCTTCCCATATTTATCTTTCCTAACTTAAAATTGGATGCAAAATTTTGCTCAAAGAAGATATACAGAAGAGCTTCATCTATTCTGCCTCTTCATATGGCCAACTTAGGTTTGAGTGCATACATGAAATTTGACGAGAAACGCTGGGTACCAAAACTAGGTACTACAGAGTAATTAATGCCCCATGGGAAGAACTGAGATCAATGAGAAATAGGAAAATTAAAGGATAAAAAGATAACTTCCTTTTTCTTTTTCAAATAGTAGACATTTCTATCTTGCACATAATTCCACATACCTTGTGGAAAAGGCACAAGTGTACAAGAACAAGCTGTGCTTTTTGTAGTGTTAGCCAGCCAAGTAAGACACTACCTTTATCTGACTTTCCTATCTCTCTGGCTACTTTTGCTTTCCTCCTGTTATTTTGGCATCCTGAATTACAAATTTTCAGTAAGGCATAATCACGTAATATTTGTTTGTTATTCTGTTTGATAGAGAACATGGGATAAGAAAATAGGTGAAGAAAAAAAAGAAATGTGTTACTATTAACTAAATCTCAATTTCTATACATAACATTTCTACCATTAGGTATAAGCTTTTTAATACATGTGGAGATAAAGCTAGAGGGATAAATAGATTGGCATAAACTGGGGGGAGGTGATAATAAATTGAGAGATAAAGACAAGCTTTTTTTCATGAAATGTGATCAATTATGAACTTACTTTAATAATTTATTAACATTATTATTTGTATTTGAATTTAGCACATTGAAATAATTAAAGTAGCATTAAAGAATTTTAAAAGTTAGGTGAATTTTTCTACCTGACAATTATAATATTTCTTATAATATCCCTATAGAGTTATAAAACAAAGATTATGAGAAGCATGAAGGTTTTAGATTTATTATAAAACTTCTATAAATAAATATAATAAATAATTTATTATAAAATAGATAATAAAAGACTTTTTGTACCTTCTCTTTAAATTTGAAAATAAGTTATTTCTAAAATAGAGTTGGAATAGTTGCTATGGAAATGATACGAATAATATAAATAATTCCATTATAGATTATTTTCTATATTGCAGAACATAAAATATTTTTCTACTTTTTCATAATTTTACTTCTATATGAAATCATATTGCATTTTCCTATTCCCCTTGCATAACATTTGCACATCAACCACTTGTAAAAATTTTCACCAACTCAATTTAGTTTCTACTCGGTCATGTATAATCTGGCACCCCACCAAACTGTACCACCATTTCTTATACTTCTCTTTTGCATGAATGGAGCTTACCAAAAATTTCTCTCTCATTCACTTTTGCAGACATCATTATTATGTTACGCAGTTTGTGTGTTGCGTTTTTTGTAAATCTAATGTTATTATTTCATTTACTTATGTTAGCCGGTGTTTATTTCATGTCATGTTTTTTGATTTTGAGGAAATGGTAAAAACTGTCAGAAAGAATTGAATTTTGTTTCCAAAGCTAACAGTACACTTTATTTGAAGCAGAAGCTACTTTATTACAAGTAAACTTGCTGTTTTTGCAAGTTAAGTTAGGGGCATTAATGCATTTGGGAGGATATATGTCAAGGTTTCTGAGAAAAATAAAATGAGTGTCAGAGTACCGTGTCAACGCAAACTATCACACACACAAAAAGCACTACTGCTTCTATAAAATATCATTTTTGAGATTCGTATAGAATAAAGTGTTACGGTTACCCATGAACATTAGAAAAAAAGAAAATAGGCCTGGCACAGTGGCTCATGCCTGTAAATCCCAAGCACTTTGGAGGCCGAGGTGGACGGATCATGAGGTCAGGAGATAGAGACCATCCTGGCTAACACGGTGAAACCCCGTCTCTACTAAAAATTCAAAAAAAAAAAAAAATTAGCCAGGCGTGGTGGCAGATGCCTGGGGTCCCAGCTAATCGGGAGGCTGAGGTAGGAGAATGGCGTGAACCCGGGAGGCGGAGCTTGCAGTGAGCAGAGATCTCGCCACTGCACTCTAGCCTGGGCGACAGAGCAAGACTCCGACTCAAAAAAAAAAGAAGAAAGAAAACAAGAAAATATTATTATGCCCAATTCATTAAACAGGTTTTACTTTACTAATTCTTAATAGATTAGCTGCCTATTTAATACCTGGAATTTTCTACTAAAAATAAATAATGACCTTGCAACATACATATGCTGAATATATTCTGACAAAAAAATTTAATGGTTCATTACTCTATTGACTCTAGTGATAATAAATTCCTGGCATTTGCCAAACAAGTTTTTTTTTTTTTTTCTGTGTTTCTGTGGAGAATAACATTATGTCCTCTCCAGCACACATGAAGTGAGACAATTCAGTTGTCATCAATTTCTTGTAATAGATAAGTCACTTTTTCCTAAGAAATGACAAACTGTAGTTCAATATACTCTCATGCTAAAGGTTCATTGCTCAAAGTACAGGCTTGATTTAACCTTTGGGAATCAGTGATGGAATAGGCCTTCCTTCAGAATTTTCTGCAAGTTAAATGAAAAGTCTCAGAACTGAAATGTTATTGAAACATGCTCAAACTTTAAAGACACATTTCAAAATCTCTTTTCATGCTGCTATGTCAGAGCTGTTTAGTTTAATTAGATCCTATTTGTCTATTTTGGCTTTTGTTGCCATTGCTTTTGGTGTTTTAGTCATAAAGTCCTTGCCCATGCCTATGTCCCGAATGGTATTGCCTAGGTTTTCTTCTAGGGTTTTTATGGTTTTAGGTCTAACATTTAAATCTTTAATCCATCTTGAATTAACTTTTGTATAAGGTGTAAAGAAGGGATCCAGTTTCAGCTTTCCACATATGGCTAGCCAGTTTTCCCAGCACCATTTATTAAATAGGGAATCCTTTCCCAATTTCTTATTTTTGTCAGGTTTTTCAACAATCAGATGGTTGTAGATGTGTGGCATTATTTCTGAGGCCTCTGCTCTGTTCCATTGGTCTATATCTCTGTTTTGGTACTAGTACCATGCTGTTTTGGGTCTAGTACCATGCTGTTTTGGTTACTGTAGCCTTGTAGTATAATTTAAAGTCAGGTAGTGTGATGCCTCTAGCTTTGTTCTTTTTGCTTAGTATTGTCTTGGAAATGTGGGCTGTTGCTACAAAGAGAATGAAATACCTAGGAATCCACCTTACAAGGGATGTGAAGGACCTTTTTAGGGAGAACTACAAACTACTGCTCAACAAAATAAAAGAGGACACAAACAAATGGAAGAATATTCCATGCTCATGGATAGGAAGAATCAATATCGTGAAAATGGCCATACTACCCAACATAATTTAAAGATTCAATGCCATCCCCATCAAGCTACAAATGACTTTCTTCACAGAATCAGAAAAACTACATTACTTTCATTATTCTAACCATAGTAAGACCATCGGATATAAAACAGATGAATTCATATAAACTTTTAAATCCATTGAGAAGGTACATCGCACCAAAGAGACTCTTATGATGGCTGTTAGGAGGATAACAGAGTGAGACTCCATCTCAATATAAGAATAAATAAATGAATAAATAATAAATAACAATAATAAAATAACTTTGCAAGAATTCCTCTTCTACAAACTTTCTATAACTTTCTCATATGTATTCAATTTTATGTTCTGTACTTTTCCTTTTTCTTATTTTGAAACAACCAGTCATTTCATTTTAAGAAAAAGTTACTCTCTTTTTCCCCTCATAAAACAGAACAATTTCACACGTTCTACCTTTTTCTTAACAAAAAACACATCATACTTTTCTTGCATATTTGCATATAGATAATTTTTAAAATTATTTCTAGTAATATTCGTTAAATATGTTATAGAATTTTTAACCCTTAGTGACCTTAATTTCCAGTCAATGCTTGGAAGCAAGCAATTATGAACTGTCTGTCACACCAGAAATCCACAGATTGACAAATCTATCTATGAACCATAATTTCTAGATGCATACTCTTTCTCATAGTAAAATTTGTCAGTGTGGCAAAGAACATGTTTACTATGTTTAGTCTCTCTGTAATAAGAACCTGTAGAGGAGGAACTTTTTTTTAGGGTTTTCTTTAGCTAGATGATAATTAAATAATTTATTTATGTATTTTTCTCAACTTTCCTCTTTACAATAAAAATAGTAAAACCTTCTCGTATAGGGAGGACATCATTCATACAGAAATTCTATCTTACATCTGTTTACCTCACTTGTTTTTCAACAAATATGCTTGAGTTGCTCATGAAAATGAGACATTATCAGCTAGCCAGTAACAAAAGCTATTTTTCTTGCTGACAAATTTTGCAATATAGAGATAACAAAAGCTTAATTTACCACTAGGCCTAGATAGGAAATCATGTGTCTGTATTATATTTAATGCTGACCAATCTGAAGATATGCCTGTTTTAATCAAACCAATAGTATCTCTATTTACCAAAGATTACCCAAGTCATGTAAACTTGAAAAGAATTTGATTTATACCTTATTTTTCTGAGAGAATACTTAACTTATGTAAGTGCACATTTTAAGGCAATTAAATAGAGTGTTTTTTACAGTTTACAATTTTCAATATCATAGAGAGAAAAACAAAATCACACGAATATGTCATACATACAGTTATATAAAAACATTTACACCGAAACAAATCTTACAGCTTTCATTCTAAAAGTTTAGCCGTGTGCCAGATACTGTAATACAAGCATTTTGTAGGCTTGTACTCAGCATATAAAGGAGAGGTTTTATCATCAGAAACAGGTTCAATCTTTTTTTGTTTTCAGGATTGAATGACAGACCAATCATGTTTTTTTGTTTGTTTTTGTTTTTGAAAGAGTTTTGGGGCATAGCAAAGATCATGACAACAAAAAAGAAGTAGACAGAGTTGGTAGAAGATTTAGTCATAAGTGGTTTGAGAAAAGGGGTTTTAGTTGACTGAAGGGTTCCCATAGGAGAAACAGTATCAAATAGAGATAAGAGAAAGGACTAATTATTAGAAAAAAAAAAAATATATATATATATATATTTTGTTGTTGTTGTTGTTGTTTAATGGGCCAAGTGTCAATTGAGTTCAGACATGTAGACTTTTTGGACTTGATTTGAAACCCCATAAAAAATCTTTTTTTTCTTTCTGAGAAATTAGTCGATTATTGTCTTAGAAGTAAAGCCTTTGGCTATTTCCTCCAGTAGGAAAAGAATCCAAGCCAAAGGGATGGTCTATCAGATGGCAGGTTTAAAAATGAATCATTTCTTTTCCAATGGCTGGGCTATTTCCAAAAAAGGCAGACATTTCAGGACACTGGATTTATTAGTTTGGGCTACCTTGGTTTGGGTTTAAAGAGGAGGTCCTCATGGTCCCTGTATCTATTGTAGTTTTTTTGTAAGAAGTCCCCCTTCCCATGACCACTGTAGCTTTTAAGTTACCTTTGGGAAGGCTACCCCATTTTTCTAGAAAAGCATGGGTTTTGAATCAATAGCTCTTGTACTTGAAATTGGCTGAAGCTCTACATAGAGAAGTTCTAGACTCTTTGGGCCCAGATGAAGCCACAATTCCCTGTCTTCTAGTAGCCTTGACTACCTATTGAACCCAGTCCAGTCTCTCTTGGACCTACTCAGACACTGAAGGCCTCCCTAAAAGACCTAGTTATATTTCTGTTGCAATATATGAACCTAAAAAGTATAAAAATGTTTAAATAAACTCAGAGAGCTGATAATACAGGTTTGTGCAGCTTGAATCTGAGACAGATCTCATTCACAACCTCTAAGTGCTGCGAGAGAGCAGTGGACACTATATTTCCAGCAGGTACCTTGACTTGGTCACTCGCTGCTCCTGGGGATGGCTGGAGGTCTATTCTAGATCCCACTTCTGATTCGAAACTATTAAAACAAAAACTGTAGACAACTAAATTTAGGAGAGTTTATTTAATGACAAAAATTCATAAACAGGCATCACTCCGAACCAGAACAGATTCAGAGAGCTCCACCCAGCAATGGGCAGGCAGTATTTATATACTTAAAAGGAATGTGGTGACATAGAGAAACCACTTGGTTCATTACAGCTCAGCCCTTGGTTTATTTGGGCATGGTGTGATGTTGTATATGCTTTGTATGACATGGTCTGATCAGTTGGTAGCCATTAATTGGCTGAAGTTTGGTTGCTATGATCGGCTGAGACTCAGCTACTTGTTAGGAGAATAGACTCCTAAATTACATTGCAGTTTGTTTACGTAGTATGTTAAATTGCAATTTGTTACATATGGTTTCAAAGTACAGAGAAATCGTTAGGCTAAATATAATGTAATGTGCCAATTTATGTTATTACAATGCTAAGAATGACGAATACCATCAATAGATATTTAAAACAGTGAACTAATATAACACTCTCAGAAACTGATTGTGGAATTCTAAATTAAACAAAAACACCTTGAACAAAATTTCCTGTTATTTATTTATACCTTAAATATAAACATAACATAGAATCCAACAGTTCTACAGTTAATTATGTACACTCAATTAACTCTTCACCTGTGCACAAATATCACTATTACATTGAAAAAAGAGCAAGTCTTACAAGATACATACAGCATAATTATATAAATACAAAGTTTAGAGGCAAGACAAATAAAGCACACATATCCTAGATATAGAATGAAACTAATATTTAAAAGGAATTGAGAAACACATTATGTAGAATAAGAGTTATCTTTTGAAGAGAGGATGGTATGAGAAACACTAGCATCATTTAAAATATTGGCAACACTTTATGTCTTAACTTAAATAATGGGTAAAATTTGTTTTGTCAGTTACTATAGAAAATCTCTACAAACCATTCAAAGATAAATGACATATATGGAAAAAATACTATATATGTGTATACACACACACATACATATATATGACAAACTTTTATATTCTTTACCATCCTAAAGATCATATAGGTCAATAAGAAAGAGCTGAATCTCTAGAAATAGCAAAGGTCTGAAGGCAAAGATATGTACTGCTTTAAAAAGAAATATAAAAGGCCAATAAATGTTCAAAAAAACTTTATAAAATTCTGCTACGGGAAATGTATTATTTTGAAATCCTGACAAAACTGAGCAAAGATCATGCCTCTCACACATGTTCGCTCTCTTTCACCACCTTATATATACCCTTTCCCTGTCTCTGGCTCTGGCTCTGGCTCTCTGTCTCTGTCTCTCTCTCTCTGTCTCACAGACACACACACACACGCACACACACACAGACACACAGGAACCCAAAGAAAGGAGAACAATAACAATATGTCTAATAAAAATATTGGAAGTACTCTAAATATTTATTGTCAGGGAATTGTTTCAATAAAATATGAGACAATGCAATATATTATTTTGAGGACTTAAAAAAACAGTTTTATTGACAAAGACTTCATGTACCATAAAATTCAATCTTGTAAACTGTGAAATTCTGTAGAATTTAGTATATTCAGAGTTTTGCAACCATCATTACTATCTAATTTTAGAACATTTTCATCACTTTAAAAAAGAAACTCCATACTACTTTGCACTCACTTATTCCCCCCTCTCCCCAGGTGCTGGCAACCAATAAGTTACCTTATGTCTCTATAAATTTTCCTATTCTGTATATTTTGTATAAATAGAATTATACAATATGTGGCCTTTGTGGTTGACTTATTTCATTTAGCTTAATGTAATCAACATTCATTCATGTTGTAGTATGAATAAATACTTCATTCTTTTTATTGCCAAATAATATTGCATTCTATAGATATATTGAATTTTATCTTTTCATCATTTTCTGAAAACTTGTGTTTTTTTCTACAATTTGCTTATTATCAATAACAATGCCATAGACATTTATGTCTAAATTTTTGTCTGCATAGATGTTTCAATTCTCTTGGATACATAATAGGAAGTGGAATTGCAGAGTCCTGTCATAACTCTGTTTAGGGAAGAACTTTCAAACTGTTTCACAAACCACTCGAATGATTTTATGTTTCTACCAACAATGTATAATTATTTTAAGCTCTCCATGTACTTACTAACACTTTTCATTTTCTACCTTTGGATTATAGTCGTCATAGTATGTAATGTATCACCTTTGGTTTTCATTTGCAATTTCATAATCACAAATAATGTTGGGCATATTTTCATGTTTACTTTGGCTATTTGTATATCTTCTTTAAATATTTATTGTAATTATTTGCACAATTTTAATTGGTATATTGTCTTTTAATTATTTAGGTTTAAGTGTTGTTTATATATTTTAATGCAAGTCTTTTTTTTAGATAAATAATTTGCAGTTATTTTCTCCCATTCTGTGCTTGTTTTTTCACTTTTTAATTGTGTTATTAAAAACTCATATTTTTATTTGTATAGAGTCCAATTTATCTATTTAAATATAATTGAAGATATTTCTTTCCATTTTGTAGATTGTCTTTTCACTTTTTAACAGCATACTTAGAAGCACTTATGTTTTTCATTTGTATTTAATTTAATTAATTTAGTTTTTCTTTTGTTTCTTGTTCATGTAATGTGATATGCTTTGATAAGCAAAGAAGTCTCCAGTTTATTTGTGGCTGCAAAATACAAGTTACAACATATTTAAATAAACATACAGGGTAAAAAAAGAAAAGCTTTTTATAGGTAAGCATAGAGGAAGCTTTTATGACATTGTAGTAGAATATTCTTAAACAGTACACTCAGAAAATGCCTAACATCAAATTCAATTCATTGAACTGTATTAAAATTTAAAACTGCTACGCAAGAGGTACCATTAGGAAATGAAAAATGAAATCACTAGAATGGGAGAAGATATTTGCATCACATGTAATCAATAAGAGGCAGATAATAAAAATATGTAAGGGATTTCTACAAATTCTTTGTCAAAATATGGACAATTCAATGGTATAATGAGAGAGAAAAGTGACCAGGAACTTTATAACATAGAGTATAAAAAAGGTCAACAAGCACAAAGAAATGTAGTGAAAAATATACAACTCCACCACACACCCATCAGAATGACATAAAAATAAAAGAAAACCTATAAAGCAAGGATGTGTTGATATCAGAACTCTCATATGTTGATGAAAAGAGGAAATTTGTAGAATCATTTTGGGAGAATATTAGGTATTATGTACTAAAGCTGAACATACACAAACTGTGACTCAGAATTTTCATTTGTAGGTATAGAGCCATCAGAACAGGTATATATATATATATATATATATATATATACACACACACACACACACACACACATACACACACACATATATATACACACACACATATATATATAGCATATATATATATATATAACAACACAATAAATGGAAAATATGGATGCATAAATCATAGTATAATCACATACTGGAATATTATGAGGTAATGAGAGTTAATGATCTACAACTACATTTGGCTATGTATATATATCACAAACATGCAGGTGAGATAAAGCAGCCCCATCAAAAAAGAGTACACTTTCTATAATTTCATTTATATAAAGTACAATGCAATTCCAGGTAATATAGTCAGTAAGACTGTAGTCTCCAACATTTTTGACACCGGGGACTGGTTTTGTAGAAGACAGTTTTCCCACAGACTGGTGGTATGGTGGGGATGGTATCAGGATGATTCAAGCACATTACATTTATTGTGTACTTCATTTATATTATTAATATGTTATTATATATAATGAAATAATTATACAGCTCACCGTAATGTAGAAATCAGTGGGAGCCCTGAGCTTGTTTACATGCAACTAGATGGTCCCATCTGGGAGTGATGGGAGACAGTAACAGATCATCAGACATTAGATTTTCATAAGGAACTCACAACCTAGATCCCTCACATGCGCAGTTCACAATAGGGTTTGCACTCCTATGAGAATCTAATGCTGCCACTGATCTGACAGGAGGCAGAGCTCAGGCAGTGATGTGAGTGACGGGAGTAGCTGTAAATACAGATGAAGCTTCTAACTTGCTTGCTGCTCACCACCTGCTGTGTGGCCTGGTTCCTATAGCCCACAGACCCATACCAGTCCATGGCCTGGGGCTTGGGGACCGTTGCTATAAGAAGTCAGAAATAGTGGTTCCCTAGGAAGGGGGTGAGGTAGTAGCTTTGAAACTGACCCAGTAGTCCCATAACTACATTTTTTTTAAAGATAAACATAGAAATTGATCCTTCTAGTCTTAAAACTTCAAACTTATATTTATTTTATGTGAGTTCATTCCTCAGGAAGGGATCATCAGGCTTCCCCCCCACCAAAAAAAAAAAAAAAATCAAAGAACTGAAACTCACCATATCACATCCAGAAAATGAGATGCCAGACCTCTCATTCATTATAATGCTTCCCATCAATTTCTAGTTTTAGTCACGAAGATGGATTTGAGACTGAGGTCCCATCTCCTCAGCTGCAGCACCCAAATAAAGCCTTCTTCCTTGGTAATACTTGCCATCTCAGTCATTGTCTTTCTGTGTGGTGAGCAGTAGGAACTAGACCCAATCCCTGGTGTTTCAGTCACAGCTTGAAAGAAACACAGGAAGGCTACCCGTATGCTAGCAGTATCTCTCTCATGATTGGGGTTTTCATTTCATAACTGCTCCTTGTAATTTGTGCAAATTTCTTGAACTATATATACTTAGGTTCTGTTTTCTATAACGTGCTTAAAAAGTCTTGTTGTAGAATTAAATATTAGCATTATTAATCTAATTATCATATATATTATATACATATATGTGTGTATACTTCTATCTATAATAATATATCCAAATACTGTGATTACCTCTGAGAAGTAGTATAGAAAAAGTATTGTGGGAAGCCTTCAATTTTTCCTTTTTTTCTTTTACTTTGATAGAATATAAATTTCACTGTAATGTTAAACCACAATTTTAATACTATAATATACTGCAATTGAAATATAATACAATTAATGATTTCACAAAGTTATAAAAATGTCAGCAGGTGAATATTTCATTCAAGGTTTTACCACCTGTGCTCTGCTGGACCACTAAATTTGTTTCTTTAATAGTTCCTCCCTACAATGCTTCTTTCACTAATTCTCTCCATATGGCTTCGTAAGTTTGGGCTGTTATAACAAATTACCGTAGATTAGAAGTCTGAGACAAGGATGCCAGTATGGTGAGGTTATGGTGAGGGCAGATAACCATCTTTTTATATCTTCATGGAGCCAAAAAAGGGCTAGCAGCTCTCTGGGGTCTCTTCTACAAAGTCATTAATCCCATTCATAAAAGCTTCACTCTTATGACTTAATCATCTCCCAAAGATCCTACCTCCTAATATCATCATCTTAGGAGTTAGGACTTCAGTATATGAATTGGGGTTGGAGGACACAAACTTTCAGACCATAACACTGTGTTATTGCTATTACTCCTTTTCTCATGTTAAAAATATGGCAAACAAATTTAAATCTAAATCACTCACAATACTACCACTTAATATACTTTTCAATATAGTATATTGACTTTTGTTTATATACTTACTCCAAAGTTGCAATCATAGTCTATATATCCATTAGAAATTTATTCTAACTTGAATTCATTTTTTATGTTTGTGTATGAAATTCAAAATTCCATCTTCATTACTTCATATTATTTGAACTAGCAAATATGCCAGAGCATAAACATTTGTTTAATATTGGTCATTTTGTAACCACCTGATGAATAAAGCCAATTGTACTGAAAACAATAGGTATTGCAGCAAGGAGAGTTTTATTATCACAGTGTTAGCCAAGCAAAGAGAACAAGGAGAAACTTCCCAAACCCATTTATATCTGAGAATTTGTAAGCTAGGGCTTTTTAAGGGTGCTTTGGCAGCCAGGGTACAGGGAAACTGAAACGATTGCTGAAATCACAGGGGTGTCTAAAGCTGTTTTTGCTTAACTAAGTCAGATCCTGGCAGAGTCCCCCAAAACCAGGTGGTGGCTCTTGGTCTGCCAAAGTGCTAAGTCTGAAATATCTCAAAGACCAGTTCTTTAGGTTTCACAATGATGATGTTATCTATTGAAGTAGGTGGGGGAATTAAAAATCTTGCGACCCACAGTTATGTGACTCTGTGGTAGTAAACAACTGATAGGAAAACAAGCTAAGTGATGCCAGGTCATTGTTAAACTATGCCTATTCTTTAGCAAAGTTTAAGCTCCTATCACACATTTATCCTTGCCTTATGAATGCAGAGTTTTCTAACAAGGAGTTTTCCTTGCCTCACACTTTAACTACAAATTCAATTATTCTCATAGTAATCTTGGCCTCTGTGTTAGCAAAACAACCTATTTAAAAGCCTTTAAGGTTAGAAACAAGATGGAGTCAATCATGTTAGATTTCTCTCATTATTTATAATTCTGGAAAGGCAGTTTCAATTTTGGCCACTTCCTTTGTTCCTTCCTTCTTCTTTTCTTCCTTCTTTCCTCCTTTCATTCTATTATTTCCCCTTTCCTTCCTTTTGTTATTTCTTCTTTTTCTGTCTTCCTTTTTTCTTTTGTAGATATGTAGCAATGCTATAAATGTCTATCATCTAGGTAAATATATATTTCTATAATGAATTTTCACATGAGAATAAAATGTTAGAGTCATATCTTAAAAGTAACAGGTCAAAAGGTATGTATATTCTTAGTTATCTTGAAGTATTGTTGCTTTTTAAATTTCCATCCAGCATTGTGCATTCAGTAGCATTTACTCATCGAAATTATTATTTTTTTTCACTATTCATAGGAAATTTATGCCCAAAGGATGTCCTTTTCACCTCAATCTTAGCCAGTCTCCAAACATTACTATTATCAACGGTATTATTATTACCATTTCCTTTCCTCCTACCTACCCTACCTTTAAAACATTACACCACAGACCCAGTCCCCTCTGCTGATCAAGAATTTGCAACCCACAATGCATTTTTCAATATCTCCACTTGTGCTCAATACATTTCCTTTGCCTGGAATGATTTTCCTCAATTATGTGGAATTCTTTCCATCCTCAACACCCATTTTTAGTTTTTCTCTAGACTGAAATATTTCCATTTCCTACAAGCCAGAATAATTAATATCACCTTCCATGCTACTCTAATATTTATTATGTTGCTCTATGCCTAATTAATTAAATGTAATTTACAGGGTTCTTTGCATAATCTTTGGCCCACAATAAGTTCTCAATAAAAGTAAAATAGGGAAACAATATATCATGTTGAATATTAAAAATAATAAATACAATACTGTTACAACTTATAAAAATATATTTTTCTCTATATTAATGTTGAAATCATTAAAAATACAAATAATGTTTTATGTATTATTGCATATAGACATATATAGATATAGAAGCACACACATACACAAACACATGCGTATTTTGCAGAGTTTCTAGAATATAGGATATAATATTTTTTAAATTACATTGAAATAAAATGTAAGAATGCCCTTCTTTCCTCTTTCATAATATTGGAAATTTATTTTCCTAAAGGCTAAGTTTTAAGATAAAATTCTCTGTCAAGTGTTTCTTGAGTAAGTTCATTATGAATTTTTCCAGCCTGTGCCTCTAGCTTTGAATATATAAATTTATTATCACGCTCAACACATTTGACAATAATAAGCAAATATGTTATATCTCTTTTGCTAATTGTGAGCAATCTTAAATCAAGTAGTTTTTATGTATTATATTTGGTGTCCTCATTCAAGCACAGTGCCTGACTTATACGAAGTTCTCAATAAACGTCATAAGAAAGATAAGGCAACAGATCTACTGCATTTAAAAAACACTTTTTAAGTGTCAACGCTTATCTATATTGTACAATTTTATAAATGTTTTGTACTTATGCATACATATATATTTATATATATGTATGTGCATATTTATGTATGCTATATGTTAATTTCAAATAGTTTGAAAATGTGTTAAGGAAGCCATATGCTCATAGAATTTCATATAATTATCTCAGTATACATTAAACTCATAAGCAGAAATGTTAACAATGTAAGACCGATTTTATATTCTATAATTTATTTAACTGTTTCTCACACACTTCCTGGTATAATTTAAACACAGTTATTCCTGAAAATATAAATTTTCAGACTGACCAAATTAATACCTGATAAAAGTATGATAGATTTTAAATACATATTATTTTGTCTAAGATTATGTGCTATATATTTATTTTTGTCATGAAGTTTTTTTAAGAACAGCAATACTTTTCCATTGAAAGTTAATTATAAATTTTTTATAATTAACTGAATCTATGATTTGTCAGAGTAATTTTTTATATGTAAAAATTAGGTGGCTTAGCTTTCTTTCACCAAATATATTCAAATACCTATACACAGAATAACTTAATTTGCAGCCTAAATAAAGAATACCTTTCTGAGTAAGTACAGATGCAGTTGTTGAAAGACTAAAGCTTGCAAAAATAATAATAATAGTGTTAATAACACTGTTTATACTGAACAATCAATTTGTTGTTAGAAACTATGGGATCTGATACTGACTATATAATTGACATGCTCCATTTCCAGTAGGAATTCCAGGGTATTTTTGTTCATATCAGCTAAGGAGGAAATTCAAGAATACTAAAAGCCAAAGAAAAGATATTGGCCTATTCTTTTTTTTCTTTTAAAAATATGTCAGTAAATTTTCAATGTGTCTAAAACTTTTTGAAGCATCACACTACCTGACTTCAAACTATACTACAAGGCTACAGTAACCAAAACAGCATGGTACTGGTACCAAAACAGAGATATAGATCAATGGAACAGAACAGAGCCCTCAGAAATAATGCTGCTTATCTACAACTATCTGATCTTTGACAAACCTGAGAAAAACAAGCAATGGGGAAAGGATTCCCTATTTAATAAATGGTGCTGGGAAAACTGGCTAGCCATATGTAGAAAGCTGAAACTGGATCCCTTCCTTACACCTTATACAAAAATCAATTCAAGATGGATTAAAGACTTAAATGTTAGATCTAAAACCATAAAAACCCTAGAAGAAAACCTAGGCATTACCATTCAGGACATAGGCACGGGCAAGGACTTCATGTCTAAAACACCAAAAGCAATGGCAACAAAAGCCAAAATTGACAAATGGGATCTAATTAAACTAAAGAGCTTCTGCACAGCAAAAGAAACTACCATCAGAGTGAACAGGCAACCTACAAAATGGGAGAAAATTTTCGCAACCTACTCATCTGACAAATGGCTAATATCCAGAATCTACAATGAACTCAAACAAATTTACAAGAAAAAACAAACAACCCTATCAAAAAGTGGGTGAAGGACATGAACAGACACTTCTCAAAAGAAGACATTTATGCAGCCAAAAAACACATGAAAAAATGCTCATCATCACTGGCCATCAGAGAAATGCAAATCAAAACCACAATGAGATACCATCTCACACCAGTTAGAATGGCAATCATTAAAAAGTCAGGAAACAACAGGTGCTGGAGAGGATGTGGAGAAATAGGAACACTTTTACACTGTTGGTGAGACTGTAAACTAGTTCAACCATTGTGGAAATCAGTGTGGTGATTCCTCAGGGATCTAGAACTAGAAATACCATTTGACCCAGCCATCCCATTACAGGGTATATACCCAAAGGACTATAAATCATGCTGCTATAAAGACACATGCACACGTATGTTTATTGCGGCATTATTCCCAATAGCAAAGACTTGGAACCAACCCAAATGTCCAACAATGATAGACTGGATTAAGAAAATGTGGCACATATACACCATGGAATACTATGCAGCCATAAAAAATGATGAGTTCATGTCCTTTGTAGGGACATGGATGAAATTGGAAATCATCATTCTCAGTCAACTATCCCAAGAACAAAAAACCAAACACCACATGTTCTCACTCATAGGTGGGAATTGAATAATGAGCACACATGGACACAGGAAGGGGAACATCACACTCTGGGGACTGTTGTGGGGTGGGGGGATGGGGGAGGGATAGCATTGGGAGATATACCTAATGCTAGATGACGAGTTAGTGGGTGCAGCACACCAGCATGGCACATGTATACATATGTAACTAACCTGCACAATGTGCACATGTACCCTAAAAATTATTATGTATAATAAAAAAAAAGATTACTGGTATTAAGAATAAAACTTCTCTTTTAAAATTAAAAAAAACAAAAACTTTCAAAAAATTTAGAAAAATCAATAAAATTGAAAAAATAATTATAAGTTGTTCTTCACTGAAATTAATGTAATTCATTGAAAATATTTGTCACTGAATATGGACAAATTAAATACATGTTAGATACAGATAAGTACACATATAAGCCTACATATTTTAAAATATGGCATCTATTATTTTTAGAAATGCATATTTTTGAGATTTTTAAAATTAAATACTTAAATCTAACTAAACAACAATATATTCATAAAGCGAACCATCAAGAATAGTATATCTCTGTGCTTACCAGTCCCAGAGAACTGTCCCTCATCAATGTATAAGTTGTATAAGATTTTACTGTGTCAATTTTCCAATTAACTCTATTTAATTATTGGCTTTGTATTAATTATGCACTCTCTCTCTTAATTTAGCATGGGACATCAGCTTATACTTCATACTTATTATCTTGAATCTGAAATATATAGGGTGGGCCAGTAGGCTGAAAAGTCAGTTGTGATTTCCATGTTAAAGTATTGGGGCAGAATTCCTTCTTCTATGGGAAATCTCCATTTTTGCTCATCAGTTTTTTTTTTATGATTATTATACTTTAAGTTCCAGGGTACAGGTGCATGATGTGTAGGTTTGTTACATATGTGTACATGTCCCATGTTAGTGTGCTGCACCCATTAACTCGTCATTTACATTGGGTATATCTCCTAATGCTTTCCCTCCCCACTCCCCCCACACCACAACACGCCCTGGTGTGTGATGTTTGCCTTCCTGTGTCCAAGGGTTCTCATTGTTCAATTCCCACCTATGAGTGAGAACATGTGGTGTTTGGTTTTTTGTTCTTGTGATAGTTTGCTGAGAATGATGGTTTCCAGCTTCATCCATGTCCCTACAAAGGACATGAACTCATCATTTTTATGCCTGCGTAGTATTCCATGGTGTATATGTGCCACATTTTCTTAATCCAGTCTATCACTGATAGACATTTGGGCTGGTTCCAAGTCTTTGCTATTGTGAATAGTGCCGCAATAAACATACGTGTGCATGTGCCTTTATAGCAGCATGATTTATAATCCTCTGGGTATATACCCAGTAATGGGATGGCTGGGTCAAATGGTATTTCTAGTTCTAGATCCTTGAGGAATTGCCACACTGTCTTCCACAATGGTTGAACTAGTTTACAGTCCCACCAACAGTGTAAAAGTGTTCCTATTTCTCCACATCCTCTCCAGCACCTGTTGTTTCCTGACTTTTTAATGATCCCCATTCTAACTAGTGTGAGATGGTATCCCATTGTGGTTTTGATTTGCATTTCTCTGATGGCCAGTGATGATGAGCATTTTTTCATGTGTGTTTTGGCTGAATAAATATCTCCTTTTGAGAAGTGTCTGTTCATATCCTTTGCCCAATTTTTGATGGGTTTGTTTGTTTTCTTGAAAATTTGTTTGAGTTCTTTGTAGATTCTGGATATTAACGTTTTGTCAGATGAGTAGGTTGCGAAAATATTCTCCCATTTTGTAGGTTGCCTGTTCACTCTGATGGTAGTTTCATTGAGTCGATTTGCAGAATAATGAATTGGGAAATATCTATAACACATGGAGTGATTTTTATGTTTATGTTAACCTTATATGCCATTATTTCATATTCCAAGAAATGTGGGTGTATAATAGTTACTGGTATCGAAATACTTATTCCCAACAGACTTCAGTTTAATAACATTTATCTACTATTTCTTAAAATATTATGTTTTGCCAGATTACTTTATTGAATTTCATTTTAATTCTTCAAGTTTTCCCTGCTAATGTTTTCATGTGATGATAAACTGTAGAATTGAGAATCAAAGAATAAATTGCATAAACCAGATGTTTTAGTTTGTCAGATAAGTTCTGCTGGTCCACCAGAAGAAACAAAGCATTTTCCCTGACAAGAAGACCAAGATGAAGATGAAGACGAAGATGAAGATGAAGATGAAGAAAAAGAATAAGAAAAGCAACTGTGGCTACTGGGTTGAAATTTTAGTAGTAATATTGTTGATAATAACAACAATAATAAGAAGAATGAAAATGATAATTATTTTATTTTAAGAGATTCTCACAGTCAGCGGCACAACTTTGCTCAAGCAAGTTGTAGTTCTAGAGTTTTCATCTGTGGATCTTAGTCTCTAAATTTCTAGGTTTATGGTGTTTGCATCTGGATCTTCTTGAGCTTTGTAGTTTTAGTTCATTGATTTGTTCTGTGGGGACTGTGGAGACACAGCCTTGATAACCTCCCTTGCTGTCCTGGGAATATAATAATGCTTTAAATGTGTACTTCTTGGCACACTCTTTATCTAATATCTGTGTGTTTTGTAGAGAAAAATGTAATACCTGATCCACCTTCTTGCCTGAGTCTCTATTATGCTCAGTGTGATAAATACAAACTTTATTGTATGTTATTATTTAATCACTGTGCATAAAATATTTCTCCTGAAGCTCCTATTTTTTAATGCTCCTTTTCTTTGTAAGCATACTTGCTATTCAATCTAATATTTCTGAATGTCTTCCAGAGTTTACAGATTTATTTAGCAAATTAAAATCCAGGCCTCCAGACCTATTTGAATTTATGATAAACAACAAATATATTTTAGTATAATTATTTTCCAAATATTTCATTTTATATATTTAAACCAAAACTCTATTTGTTGTTTATACAAAATTCAAATTTATCTGGGTGCTGGATTTTTTTCTGGCAACTCTACCTAGTGTATACAGCCTCTCACTCCACATCCTCTGCTAGTTTGGTACATATTACCTGCTTTTCAATAAAGCCTCACCTGACTCTCTCTCCTGACTAGAATGATTGCATCCATAACTTTTTGTCCTGTGGATGTTTTCTCTTATGTCTCTAATGGCATTTGATATCATGATATATCTGATTACATTTGGGAGTTTCCTGTAGGCAGAGACAGTGTTCTATTCATCTTTGTACCCACAGCACATACACAATGCCTTAACCTTAAAAGGACATTATTTAGTCATTGCTGGCTACATTAATATATGTTTGTTCCTTCGTTTGATTTAGCAATAGACTTTGAGAGAAAGTGCACAATAATAGTAATAATGGCTAATATTTCTTGAGTGTTGTCTATATGCTAAGCATTATTCTGTGTTCTATTTCTGCTATAATATAATATAATATATGAGTTACTGCAAAACCTCAGATTTTACAAAATCATGCATTAAATATAAGGTAGATAGAAGCAGAAAATTCAAATCATATACAGGTTTGTAATCAGAAAACCAACAATAACAATATAGATTCTAGTAACTATACTGGTTCATATTAAAAACAAGTTAAGTTTATAATAAGTAATAGAAAAAACACTACAATAAATCTAGTACTTTACATTAAAATTAAATTTCTTATATAAGAATTTTATATAAATGGTATAAGGAAGTGTTGTGGTTGTTCAGTTATGGAGATATGAGAAACATGTACAAATCAGGTAGAACTATGAAATAAGTATATTCAGGAAAGAGCATGGTGCCAAACTGAGCATCAGAGAAGAGCGATTGGGCATCACATATAACACTGCATGGTGCATGGTGTTACGGTTTGCTGTTTCCTGTTGTGTATGTCACTTTTTGTATAGCTGATTTTATCTGGAGGAACAAAGTTAAGTGAATAAAAAAAGCTGGGAAAATTTGGCATGGACCAACACAAATTCCTTGTTATGTCAACATTATCCCTATTTACCGATTACCTATATGATTAATTTGATGAGTTAATGATTCTAAAATGCCTATGCAGTTAAGAACTAGTTTTTTTTTTTCATTTTCCTAGCTCTTTTATCATTTAGAAAAAATACCTGGGACAAAAACCAAAGTTTTTTTTTAAATTTTTTTTTATTATACTTTAAGTTCTAGGGTACATGTGCACAACGTGCAGGTTTGTTACATATGTATACATGTGCCATGTTGGTGTGCTGCACCCATTAACTCGTCATTTACATTAGGTATATCTCCTAATGCTATCCCTCCCCCTCCCCAAACCCCATGGCAGGCTCCGGTGTGTGATGCTCCCCATCCTGTGTCCAAGTGTTTTCATTGTTCAGTTTCCACCTATGAGTGAGAACACGTGATGTTTGGTTTTCTGTCCTTGCGAGAGATTGCTCAGAATGATGGTTTCCAGCTTCATCCATGTCCCTACAAAGGACATGAACTCATCCTTTTGTAACATGTCTATGATAACATAGCTAGTGAGGATAGAGCCAAGTTTCCGGGATAGATTGCCTGAGACATAATCATAACTCTTGTCTATGAAGATATTTGTGTACTTTTGAATGGTTGTTCCTTATTGAAGTTGTAAATTTTGACGTTAGTGTTTTAAAACTTCCTGATTGATAAGCCTGGAAATATCAAAAGAATAACTAACTTTACATCCTCATGGTTCAGAACACAAAAGTATATAAAATTTAACATGTCAAATTCATCTCTAAGGTTATCTTTTCTGAAGTACTGATTTTTAATATCAAAATACTGAAATTGATTTGTAATTTATTAATAGTTACATGTTTTCTAAGCTCATTTATCATTCCCACTATATATGATATGACCTCAGATCTATGCAGCTAGGTCTTTGGTGGGAGTATGTATATTTTACAAATTTTCCTCCTTGCCTCGAGCCAAGTGGACACATTTTTCAAGTAGAGCAATAATATTTTGTTTCCCTGAAATTCAGAATTTTAGTTCACAGTTTTTACCCAGTCTGAATATGACTAGGATTATTTTATATAAATTCAAGAAAAGTGGGCAATAATATCTCATCATATGAACAAAAGGGCAGAAAATCTATCTGTAATATGTGTATTTTCAGAGAGATGAGGGTACAAGAGATATTATAAATGTATTTTGTCACATACTGATGGTTTCCTAGTTCCTTGTTTCACCTAAGACTTAGCTATCCTTTGCACTTATAAGAACCACTCCTACCTTATTGATTAAGAAAAGCTATGTCTTTACATAAAAAAGAATGAATACACCAAAATCATGTAAATAATGTTTTCTTTTACATGTATAGATTATTTTTTTGCAAAGAGCTTCTTTAAAATTACAGAATATAATTTTACAATACTATAGTTGATAACATTTAAATATCAATGCCACAAGAGTAATTTGTACAAAGTTAAATTCTATGATGTGAATTCAGTAATCCTAATTTAAATTATTATGTTATGGAAAAGAAGCCCTCAGGTAACACTCAGCTTTTTTGGTTGAATCTTAACAGAATATCTTATAATAGTTGGAAATAAAAATTGACTCTGTCTTTGGAAAAATAACTTACTAAACATTTTTACTATTTAAAAAGGGCTTTAGAACCCATGAAGAGTCAACACTCTAAAGAGATGAAAATATGAATATATCTTAAAAGAAATCTAGCACTGTTATTAAGAGTTTATGAAATTAGGGAAAATATTTTCTATTTAAATTTTTTGCTTTCAAATAATGTTGTGATGATTATTAAGAAATTACATTGAAAAATTAAATCCTTAAATGTTCTTTGAAACTCTATTTTATACTCTAAAAAATGATAGTAGCTATTATTGAATATTCTTATTATTCATTTGCATGCAAAGTGATACATAATAAAATCAAAATCTTGATGTAATTTTCTCCTGATACCAACTTCAAATCTGCTGATTTCTGCCTCATGGTAAGTTAAGAAAGAGAGGCAGGGAAAAAAGTAGGAATGCATGATTCATTCCAATAAAAAAAAATAGAATGTGAACTGGCAAAAGCTGGTGAGGACACTCATCAAGAGTGTTAGGCAGTAAGTGGTTGTCAGAAACATCATTTAAAAGCCCCAATGACAGCTTCAGAATATGCTTTTCAAAGTAAAATAAATCGATATATTCAACAAAACTTGTTACTTTCCTCCTCTATTTTAAGCTATATTTTTATTGGCAGTGTGATTCTTCTCAGGCAGATTTGTAAATTAACAAGAACTCTAAGTAATTCAGAGTCAAGTTTATAATTAGGAAACATTAAACTTCTATTTTTATTTTTTAAATAATAAAATTATTTTAGTAATTCCCAATGTCTGCTAGTTGCTTGCTCTACAGAAGGCTTTTCTGTTGTGTGTAAGTGAAAGTATTTTATTTGCTCATAAACCTTAGGAATATTTCCAATCTGGTGCTTAGATGTAGCATAATTTTTTTCTTAATTTTTGTGTCCATTCAATGAATGCCCTTTCATTCTACTTAATAATAAAGGCCTAAATTAAAGATCAACATTTCAATAGCTGATCATAGTATTCATTTGAAATCCTAGTTTTTATGCAAATTATTTATAAACTAATTTGAATATGAATTACTGGCAATTTTATAGCTAAAAATAATGTTATTGCCATAGTTGTGCCAAGAGGATAAGCAAGGGTATTTTGAATGATTTTAAAACTCCAGGCACTAACATTGTAAGATAATCTTGAGTGAATAAATCTGTGAATAACACAAGAGTCTCTCTAGGCTTTTTCATATGGTCTGTGTTGTTGTAATGCTTTCTACACAGCAATGAGCTGCCTAATAATGTATTTTTGTTAATATAATAATTAAAAATAAAGAAATATATAATTTTTACAATACAAAGTTCTGATGTGATATTAGACATATTTATAATATTTCTTAGTTTTACACATCTTTGCTAAATGGGAAATACATTTCAATTGCATTGAATAAAAACCTTTGAAAAATGTATTTTATTAATTGATTCATTGATACATATTTGTTTTTCACCATTTTATTCCAAGCACTCTTCTAGACCCTACAGATAAAGCAATGAACAAAAGAAACAGATATCTTCTTGTGGAGCTTATATTTTAGTTGGGGAGATAACAATAGCAAATGTGTATAGTGTTAGGTAGTGATAAGTTCCCTAGAGAAAACTAAGGTAGAAAGTTTGATAAGTTTGATAAGTTTGATAAGGAATATACCAGGTGTAGGAAGGATTTAATATAAAATATAGTAGATAATTTTTTACTGAAAAATTATAAATTTTGAGTAAAACTAGACAGATGTGAGGAAGCATTTCACCAAAGTAAACATTTTTTAGTTTACTACAAATAAAATTGTATTTTATTTCACTAAAATCAAACATTTTTAGATAAAATATTCCAAGAAGAGCAAAGGCCCTAAATATATTATCTAGCATGCCTGAAGAACAGCAAAGAGGCCAAGATGACTCACACAGAGTAGTGAAGTTGGTGAAATAACAAGAAATAAGGTCAACTAGAAAACAAGATGTTGGAGAGAAGTGGGTAAAATTGCATGGAACTTATATGGAGTTTACCTTTTGTCTAAGTGAAATGAGAATATTTGCAGGATTTAGTGCAAAAGAGGGTCATGCACTTTGACATGATTATTAAAACTGTGTTAAGTGTAGAATGAAGATGACTAATGCTAAAATTAAGAAGACAAGTTAGGGAGTCATTAAAGCAATGCAATGGAAAGATGATAGTGACTTGGAGCAGATAAATGCACTGCATATTAGGGTGGTCAGCTAGGACTGTATTTTGAAGCTACAGCTTTCCACCAAATTTGGTGGAAAATTGAATTGAAAATGTTTAGCATGAGAAAAATAAAACAATATACAAGGCTTTGGGATTATACTACTGGTACATATTCATTGAGTTAGCTAAAACTGTGGAAGTGACATATATCACATGGCTGGAAAGGGGGATGAAAAATATTTAGTTTTGAACATGTGAAGTTACTTGAGATGCTTATTTGCCACCCAGGTAACAACATGAGTGAAACAGGAAAACATTTAGTTGAGATAATCAGAATCACATTTTATTTAACAGCATTTGTCATGCTACTCTGTTGATATAAAGGTGGAAGGGAGCAGTCCAGGCCAATGAGCTGGATTGGAAATAGGAAAATTTACTATCAATAAAAATATCATATGTAGTGGACACATGATTCATACTCTAACCAAACTCTAATGAGCAGAAGTATATCATTTAATACTGGGATCTGAAAAATAACCAATAAATAAATAAGCCTTGAACTAAAGACTTTTGGAGTTGATAGTTTTCTCTAAAATCACCTTTCCAGGAAACAAGCAGCTCTCAAAAAGACCAAACCCAACTGTTATGTATATTATTCATTACCCTGGTAAGAATTCATAACAATATGTTTCACCAGCATACAGATGATTATTTTGAAGTTTGCTCATAATTGTACAGAAAGGTATGGAGCTACCAGTTATCTCAGGTTACAAACTAGGATAATGAATGTTCCATCCACTTGAGTTCTTTAGTGAAGTTTTAAGGGGGCTGAGTTTAAAATAAGTATCAGAGTGTAGTAGTTAAAATTCTTAAAATAGTCCTGCTCTTGGAAGCTCATTATTAATTTGATTGAAAGCTTCAAGGAAGCTCATTATTTGAATGACTTGTTATTCCTGGAAAAAATCACATTTTGTAAATATTGTTCATTTAACAATAACACCAGATATAGAAATTTCTCAGTCCTCTTTGGTCTCCACAAGTTTTTATTTCAATTTATTTTTATACAACTGGCAAAACTGGGTGTGTGTCTTTTGTTGATCTAATAATAAGTTGTGTCAAGTCAGCCAAGACTTTTATAGAAATGTTTACTATTGCCCACTTAAATACAATTGGTCTCAAGGCACACCTTTTATAAGCCAAGAATACAGACATAAAATACAATTTATATTTTAATTTATTTGGAAATCACTCCGGCTAGATCAGCCTCCCAGCCTATACGGTTACCATTGATCTCCTCCAATTATGGTAAGCAAACATATGTCAGACAACTAGAATGTTCCCCACTGGCCACTGGAGTGTACGAAATTGTACTCTCATTTTTTCTCATGATACTTGCTACATGCTTGGCAAAGGATATACACTGGATTATATTTTTAAGAACCAATATAACATGCTTCAATTAAATAAATTTATTAACCCGCTGTTGTGGCAAATAAGAAAGAACTAAGAAAAATGCATGTGGGAAAGATCAAAACACTAATCGGAGGGAAGCTATATAACATAATGCCCTCCATGAACTACTGGTCAAGATCTATGTTTTTCTCTTTAAATGATGTAACTCATCTTGATGTCATTTTGTAGTCACTCCTCAATAATGGGAATTGACATTGTCCCAACACTATGTCTTCATTTTGAAGGACTGGAATATCCTTAAATGGACAGTTACTAAATATGGAACATTTGGGAAAAGAATAATTAAAGTCCCATGCACCTCCCTATCCTTATCCATTGACCCACAAATATCCATGTAGCACACAATTTATACCCTAACACAAAAGAAAAAACCTAAACATTAAGCATTACTGTCAAGTTAAATATGTATATAACATTAAGCAGTTTTAAGCACCAAATTATTCCCAGTTCCCCACTCTTTTTCACTGGTGAGGGCTACAGAAAGACGTGCAAGTGTGGAACTAAGGGTAGCACCCAGTTACATGGGAAGGAAAGTCTAGTGTAATCAGCTGGGCAAATAGTACACTTTTTCCTTAAATAAAATAAAATAATAATAGTTAATTTTCTTTAAAAAATGTATAAAGTAACTGATTTTCTAACTTATGAATGTATTATACAAACAAATTTAATAATAATGAATTTAGCTGTACCTGAGAATATTTATACGTGACAATGTTTCTATTACATGAACACACATGGTATGACAGTCTCAGTTTGGTCAGAAAACTGACCGTATATGTGCTATAAAATAAAGACAGATGTAGAAATAAGAGTTTACTTGTATGCAGATGGAAGATGGGAGGAAAAGTAGATCTTCAATACTGCCCCTGATGCATATGAGAAACTGGCATTATTGAAAGATCTAAGGGGCATAGCGTCTGGCTACCACTATGAAAGAGGAGCAAGCAGAGAGGTCTGTGAAGCCATTGGCCTACCCCAAAACATCACAGCATAATCTCAGAAGTGAAAATTACTATTCTGACATAACTAGTTACCATTTTTGAGAGTCAGGGATCATGAGAAAGTCTGCCAGGCCATCTCATCTGACTACAACATGCCCCATGAATAATGCTTTTTCTTTGTTTTCCTCATTCATTTTCCAAATATTTTATAAATTCCTCTCATTGACAAACTCTAACCCAAAATGCATAGGTAATGAGATTCTGGAAAACCTATAACAGGCTCTTTTGCATTGCACAGAGGAATGTGGGGATAATACTGAGTAGACCAGCTAATACAGTACAGCCCACCTCCTCATAGACTTAGAATATATACATAACAATAACAACATCACTCTTTACCTTAACTTGATGCAACTATCTCTCACACCACGAAAGTCATGCTTACCTCCACCATAAATGGAGACATACCTCCCATATGCCACTTTATATTTATTGATATTTATTTGTTTATAGCTCATTCACTATTTCAATGAGCTTTCCTGATTTGTAATACTGAATTAAATACTGAAATATGTAGAATATCTTACTATATAAGAAATATGTAGGAAATCTTACTATCTTACTATGTAGAAAATATGTAGGGAATATTACTATAAGTATATACTTAGTACACTCATGCACATGTGCACAGACACACACACACAAACACCATGCACACATAAAACAATGATTACATTTGTGTTGCAAATTTTTTCATGGACGATTTGGAGTAAAAGGAGCCTCACCTACATAAACTTCCTGGTTTCCTGACCAGCATATTCTGACTGTGGGAGATAATATTAACATTTATTTGTTTCTAGTTCAGATACTCTACTACCTGAAACTAGAACTAAGTATTCAAAATGTTATTCTACTGCACTTTTAGGCCATCTTCTTTAGCTCAAAGTAACACCAATGAGTTCTGTGGTCTAGATACTGTGTTTTGAATTATAATGAGTTACATTTAGAAAGATACCTTATTATTCCATAATGCTGTGTGGATTACCCTGAGAGCAAATAACATTTTATAAATATATAGATAAGTGTTTTGGCGGAAGCACTGTAGGTAGGGAAGAAAATAAATATATCCAGGTAAGTTTCTTAATGTGTGACTATCAGAATGGCCATGTAAGGATCTTAGTGAAAACTTGTAAAACCAAGACAGCAATTTAACCACAGAATATTACAAAAACATAATCATTAAAATTTCTGAATACAGTAAATAGAGAAATCTTTGTTCATGAAAATCTACTAAATCTTAACAAGAACAGTGGATGTCTGTGTCATTTGTGGTATTATCTATTACCTTACTTCAGCCCCTCCCACTCATTTTTCTTAGGGAAACTCTATACTGGTAACGTGCAGCCAAACATACAGGGTTCCCCTATTCTCCAAACAGTCAAGGTGTTGTTTTTCACCCATTCACTCAAGTGCATTTTGGAGAGGCTGTATTCCAGGTAGACACGGCTGAGACAAGCAGGTCTCCCTTCCTCTAGCCAAGTCCTCTAGAAGTCCTACCCCAGGTATAACAGGCCAAAAGCCCAGGTTTGCTACTCCCAAATCTCCAGTGCCCTCTCATACAGCAAGGCTGTCACTCTAGGAAAAGCAAGTTTCTGCCCCAAGCTCTGGTCCAGTAGAGCAGGGAATCCACATGATGGAAAGGTGGAACATGAGGATGAGGAGATTCAGAGATTGGTCTGAAAGGATGTCACTGACATGACCAGATAGCCAAATTAAAAAGAAAAATAATGAAGTTGGACTCCTACCTCACACCATATGCAAAGTTAAATTAAAATGCTTTAAGGCTAATATAAAAGCTAAAGGTACAAAACTAAAGAAAACATAGCACAAATATGGGTGACATTGGCTTTGGCACTTTCTTTCAGCTTTGACATTTTTAAATTTTTATTTTAGATTCAAGGTGTACATGTGCAGGTTGTTAAAAGGGTATATATAGTATGATGCTGAGAATTGGACTTCTACTGATCCCATCACCCATATAGTGAACATAGTACCCAAAAGGAAGGTTTTTAGCCCTTGTACTCTCCACTCTTCCTTTTGGAGTCCCCAGTGTCTATTGTTTTCATCTTTATGTCCATGTGAACACAATGTTTAGCTCTCACTTATAAATGAGAACATGCAATATTTTTTTTTTGTCTCTATGTTAATTCACTTAGGGTAATGGCCTCCACCTGCATCCATGTTCCTGCAAAGGACACAATTTCATTCCTCTTTATGGTTGCATAGCATTTCATGGTGTGTATGTACTACCTTTCCTTTATCCAATTCACCATTGATGGGCACCTAGGTTGGTCAAACATCTTTGGTATTGTGAATAGTGCTGCAATAAACATGTGAGTACACGTGTATTTTTGGCAGAATTATGTATTTTCCTTTGGGTATATACACAGTAATTCAATTGCTGGGTTGAAGGTAGTTCTATTTTTAGTTCTTTGAGAAATCCCCAAACTGCTTTCTAAAATGGCTGAGCTAATTTACATTCCCACCGACAGTATGTAAGCATCCCCTTTACTCTGCAATCTCACCAGCATCTGTTGTTTTTTGACTTTTTAATAATGACCATCTGACTTGTGTGAGATGGTATTTCGTTGTGGTTTTGATTTGCATTGCTCTGATGATTAATGAAGTTGAGCATTTTTTTCATGTTGTTGGCTGCATGTATGTCTTTTTCTTAAGAAGTATCTCTTCATGCCCCTTGCCCACTTTCAATGGGATTATTTGTTTTATTTCTTGTTGATTCATTTAAGTTCTGGATATTAGTCCTTTGTTGGATACATAGTAAATATCTTCCCTCATTCTTTAGGTTGTTTGTCTACTCTTGATAGTTTCTTTTGCTATGCAGAACCTCTTTAATTTAACTAGGTACCATTTATCAATTTTTTGTTTTTGTTGCAAATTGCTTTTGAGGACTTAGTCATAAATTCTTTGTCTAGGTTGATGTCCAGAATAGTATTTTCTAGGTTTTCTTCTAAGATTTTTTATAGTTTGAGGTCTTACATTTAGGTTTTTAATACATCTTGAGTTAATTTTTGTATATGGTGAGAAGCAGGGGTCCAGTTTTATTCTTCTGCATATGGATAACCAGTTTTCCCAGAATTATTTATTTAATAGTGCATTCCTTCCCCCATTGCTTATTTTTGCTGACTTTGTTGAAGATCAGTTTGTTGTAGGTGTACAGCTTTATTTTCTAGGTTCTCTATCCTCTTATATTGGCCTATGTGTCTGTTTTTGTACCAGTATCATACTGTTTTTGTTACTGTAGCCTTGTAGTTTAGTTTGAAGTTGGGTAATGTGATGCCTCAGGCTTTGTGCTTTTTGTTGTTGTTGTTTGTTTTGTTTTGTTTCTTAGAATTGTTTTGGATATTTGGGATATTTGGGATCTTTTTTGGTTGGAATTTTAGAATTTTTTTTCTAGTTGTGTAAAAAAATGATGGCAATTTGATGGGAATAGTATCAAAACTCTAGATTTCTTTGGGCAATCAGGCCATTTTAATAATTTTTAAAGTTTTTATGTGGCACTGTATTCAGTTTGCTAGTATTTTGTTATGGATTTCTGTATCTATCATATTGGCCTGTGGTTTTCTTTTTTTGCTGTGTTCTTGCCAGATTATGGTATCAAGTGGGATCTTGTTTCTTATAATAAGTTAGACAGGAGTCCCTCCTTCTTAATTTTTTTGAAATAGTTTCAGTAGGATTGGTACCAGCCCTTCTTTGTATATCTGGTATGGTTCATCTGTGAGTCCATCTGGTCCTCAGCTTTTTCTGGTTGGCAGGGATTTTTTATTACTGATTAAATTTCAGAATTCATTGTTGATCTGTTCACATCTAGAGCACAGCAACTAAAGGAGGGAGGAAAAGTCAATAATGTGGCTGTTTTTAAAATTAGAAACTTTTGTGCATAAAAATATAATAACAAGAAAATGAAAAAAAGCACAGATTGGGAGAAAATATTTTCAAATTACATGTCTATAATCTATCTATCTATCATCTATCTATCATCTATCAATCATCATTTTTTTTTTTGAGACACCATCTCGCTAACGCCATTGCTGGTCTTGAACTCCTGGCCTCAAGGCACACTCCCACTTTGGCCTCCAAAAGTGCTGTGAATTCAGGCATGAGCCACTGTGTCCAACCTTATATGTATATAATAAGAGAAGTATATCAACAATATAAAAAAACCCTTTAACCCAATGTTTTAATATAAAAATTTAAATAGATATTTTATTTCAAATAAGATACACAAGTAGCCAATAAGCAGCACATGAAAGGATATTTAATGTTATTAATCATTAGGAAAAGGCAAATCAAAATCACAGTGAAGTCACATTTCACATTTTCTTTAAGGCTTTAATTAAAAAAATAAGATAGATAATAACAAGTATTGGTAAGGATGTCCAGAAATTAAAACCATCAAACATTGCTGGTGGGAATAGAAAATAACACAACTACTTTGCAAAACAACTTGACACATTATCAAAATGTTAAACATAGACTTAAAATGTAACCCACCAATTTTACTCCTAGGGATATAACCAAGAGAATTGAAGAAACTTTATACAAACAAAAATTTATACATGAATATACATATTGACATTTTTGTTAGTATCAAAAAGTGGAAATGATCCAAATATCTATCAAGTCATGAATGGATAAATATTTTATATCAATGCAATAGAATATCAATCAACAAAAAATGAATAATATATTATTACATGCTACAACAAAGATAGAACTTGAAATATGTTGTGAAATATCCAGCCACAAGAAACTACATAAGAGTTCAAATATATAAATTGTCCAAAATAGACAACATTATAAGAACAAAATGCAAGCTAGTGGTTACTGGGAAGAGGGGACATGTGGGTGAAGTTTAGAGTGATTGCTAATAGATGCAATTAGGATATTTTTGGTATTGACAAAAATATTCTAAAATTAGATGTGATCATGTCTACATAATCATGTGTGAATATACTAAGAACATTCAATTGTGTACTTTAAATAGGTAAATTATATGGTATCTTAATTACATCTTAACGAGGCTGCTAAAAATTAATTATAACAGAAAAGAAAGGTGTCCATCTTCTAATGAGGATAAAAATGTCACAGTAGAATTGGTTCGATGTAATCAACATGTTTTCAAGTGGCTTGCAATTTCCCTTGTGCATCTATGCTGTAGGAGGAACCACTGATAGTTTCTGCTGTTGGCTATGACCAGATCAGCCTCATTAAATAGAAATTATTATTGTTGAATTTATATACAACCTTCTCGCTGCTGTGATCAACACTCTGTAGTGAGTCCATAGAACAAGGACAAGAGCTACTGGAGGAAAAGCTTACTGGAACCCAGATAACTTACCTTGATTACCTGATTACTGAGAGCCTTATTTTTCTGTGCTTAACTTTTGATGTACACTCTTTTGGGAAACAAACCTTCTCAAATATTTGTCAAATTGAGAGGTCTCTTCACGTAGCTCTTTCCAGACCTCCTTATTATCCAATGTCCATTCTTTTTCCTCCTAAGGTTTTGACCTTTCAGCAAATTATCAGCTATGTTCCATGTGTTCATGTCAATTCATGCTTACCTCTCTCTTCAGATGAAGTCAGCAACTGGAGGTGAAGAGTTAAGTTTACCCACTTGGAGGATTTTCACTTTTGCAGTTGTTCACTTTCAAGTGGCACTAGTATGTTTATTAGCATTATCCTAAATTAGATCTCATTCATTTTTCTTCCTCAGTTAAGCGACTGTAGGAAATACTCCATGGGGCATTGTGGGTTTAAGGTGAGAAGGCAATGTGGAAATGTGTTCCACAAACATCTGATCTACTTCCTTAGGCAACTTACATGCCTTTCCAACACCTGTTACCTTATATGCTCACATGCACATTTTCATTTGACAATAGACTGCTGCTAATGCACTCAAATTTATGGCTTTATGGCTCAGATCTCTAGAGTCTAACTGAGATAGACCAGTTACATAGTAACCTGAAGGTTTATGCTAAAGCACTCTATTTCTACCATCTGCCAAGTTAACAAAGGATATTTTTCCAAAGAACACACTCTATATTCAATGGCTTATATTTGCTACAAACTACTTAGGGTATATACATTATAGTTCACTAGTGGTGGTCTTCCTAAAACATTTCTATTTACCATAGACACTTCATCCACAATCAGATCTGCTGTATCATATGACCCAAGTATTAGAGCACCTTGTTCCACAGTCCGAATCTGTTTCTCTCCTGTGAAACTCAAACCAAATATGTGTTACTTTGTAAATGAATTTGCAGAAACACTCTACAAAGTATCAATAGGTGCTGCCAAAATCTAGAGTAGGGTAGATATTAAGGGGATGGTGAGTTTGAGGTATCATTTTCCCTTTATACTTCCTGGAAGCCCTGGCCTATTTGCTGTGTCTTTTGTAATTTGATCAAGAGGCACAGCTTCTTTCAGGTGGCCCAATTTATCCACAAAACTACAAAATTGCTCTAACTCTGATATATATATATATATATATATATATATATATATATATATATATATATATATCAGAGGTGTACAGCTTTATTTTATTGTGTATATATGTATATATTATTGATTGGATATATATCCAATCAAATAATCACTCTCTCATCATTCATATTGTCCTTTCAAAACTGTGAGTAGTAACATCTCCTACTCTTATTTACTACAAGATTATTTCCTCTGTGCTTCCCCTAAATCTACTCCCTATCGTGTAAAATATCTTTGATAGAAACTGAGTACAGTTAATTATTTCCTTCTTCACAGGATCCTGAAGGACTGAATATATGTTATCATTGTATTTTAGTAGTTTACAATATTACCAATGAAAAATGAAATTTTATTTTATGAACTTTTTATCTTGCTTTAATATTTATATTTTAGAAATAATTTAGCTGAATCCTTTAAGATATGGAGAAAAGAAATTTAGATTATTTTTTCCTTTCCATGTTTTTTGTTGTTTTTGTTTTCTTTTAGAACCAAGATCTCATTCTGTTACCTGGCTGGAGTGCAGTGTCGTGGTTATGGCTCACTGAAGCCTTGAACTCCCGGGCTCAGGTAATCCTCCTGCCACCTCAGCTTCCAGAATCACTGGGATTACAAGCATGAGCCACTACACTAGACAAGATTAAAATTTTTTAATATTGATTTTTGGTAACTTGTATTCAAAAATTTTCCTTGGCATGTTGTTTGCCTTTCAGCTCAGGTATTTATTTTTCTCTAATTAAAATTTTGATTATTACTTTCCTACTATTTCTTTAAGATTATTATTCATTAATGCCTCATAACTGAGAATTACACTTCTACTTTGTATATACATATCAATTATTATCACTCATAATTCTGATTACTTTGTCATTTTCTATTGTATCAATATCCATCTTCGGTTTGACTTTAAAAATACAGATTGCACATTCTTTTGTGTCAAATTTGCTTTCTGTTGACTTTTAATGTAGAATTTCAGTCTTCCTACTAAAATTTTACAGAATTTGCTGGCTTTTATTATTCTTGTTTGTTCTCATTTCTTCTCAGGCTTTTATTTTGTCTTTTTAATCTGTCCTACATTATAATGAATCTTTCTTATTTATAGAAACACCATAGACTACTACTGTACAGAGAGCAGAAAACAGAACTTCCTATTCCTTACCTTGGCTTCTGATTCTGAGAAAATTAGAGAAAAGCTTTCTTTACAAGTCTTAAAATTAGTCTCATTTTCCAATTTTTAAAATGCTTGATGACACAAAAATGCTCTCTGGCTTACAATTTTCTCTTTATCCTTATTTATATGTGAACTAGAATAAATTTATCCAGTGATTTACGTTGTCCTCAATCTGCTTCTGAGCATGCCTTTTCTGGGAGACTTCTCTTATCTAAAGCTGGATCCCAGATTTCTGTATGTAGCCTATGGTAGAAATCCAGCAGGGGTTAATCTATGATAGTGATAAACTTGGACAATGTGGTAGCATTTCCTGCCCCATTACTTGTTTATCAAAATTTATGAAGAAAATGAATGCCCTGAAGAATCAAAGGCTACTAGTAATTACTTTCTATAGACCAAGTACAGAGAGCACAACTTTGATTCAGTATGTACAGCTCCCAGGGAATTTTAGTCTCCATTTCTTGTTGGAAAATGTACAATTATACATTTTCTTTTCTTCAGTAACATGGTAGAGATTACAATTTGTATTTTCTGGTGGATTAGCAATCTATTCTCAAAAAATGAGTGTCCCAAATCAAGTAAATGTAGGCTTTGCACTTCCAAGCCTAGGGTGAGAAGAATGATGTGAGGTGTGTCTTCTTCCTCCGAAATTGTTTAGCATGTATTTCCTTCCTTCTGATACTAGATGCAGTATCTTTACTGTTTTGCCTATTCTATGAGCATTATATTACGTGGCAATTATTCTCATAGTGTAGCAGATTCAGATTCTTTTTGTTATTGCTGTGAAAAAAAATTATTTGTTTTTATATCAGCAAGTTTTCAAGGATGTTTTTGTTGAAAGAAATCAAGGAATAGCTATTAGACTTCAGAATGTTTAGACCTGAAGTCTGCCTAAGTTTTTGACAAGCTAACATTTGTCCTTGTGACAGGTGTCCTGAATTTCAACATAAGTACATCTGTCCATTGCCACAAAAGGTGTTGCATGGGGTAATGGTAAATAACAGACAAATAAAAGCAGATTTATCTAATAGTACTACAAATACTAGGAACCATATGCTCCCTAGAATAAATAGCATTAATTATACCAGGAGCATTTCAATTTTTACAGAGTGAGCTTAATGTCATAGAGTGAATGCTAATTGTTCCTTCTGCAGTAAAAGTTCGTTGTTTGTAGGTTGTGGCTTCCTATGATGTCCAGTTTCTCTTCCTGAATATAAGCCTTTCAGTGAATTTAAGCACCTATTAGGAAATTAAATATCTTGATCATGATAATGAAATCAGTTTATCTGATCTTTTGATAGTATAGCAAAATGAACTGTCCAGAAAGTAGAGAATTTCAAACTGATTGCATCTTGGCTGTATCTTTCTATTGATATTAACTAGAAAAATGAAATTATCACTGCCTTTTACCATTGTTATAAGTAGAATATCCACTTGTGAATTTGTTTTCAAACTTAAGTTATAGCAAATATTGAAAAGAATTTTATGTAACAAAATGTAGTGTTTAAATGTACAGCAATGCTAGAAGTAGAAAAATACTTTTGCCAAAGTGTAGTAGTCATAAAATCAAAATTAGCAATTATGTTATTATACCTATTTTCTCAAAATACAGTGTTATCATATGTATTTTAATGTAAGCATTATAGGCCAAGATCTTTACTATTAAATATAGTTTCTAACATAACGTACTTTTAAATACAATTACATGATTTGGAGATTTTCTAAAGATTATATTTTCCCATGTATTTCTTAATCATAGAGTGTTCTTTTGAAGTTGTGAAAAGTAGAGTTCCTTTGATAAATTGATGCAGGGGAAGTAAGCCTCAAAGTGGAGCTTAGCACACTGGGTTCTTGGCTTTGCCCAGGAAAGAATTCAAGGGCAAGCCAATGGTAGAAGAAAACAGCTTTATTGAAGAGACAGTGTTACAGCTTTGTGACTACTTCTGCAGAACAGGAATATGATGTAGGCAGAGAGTAGCAGCTCAGGGAAGTTTTGCAGTCATATTTATACCCACTTTTAATTGCACATAGATAAAGAGGTGGTTTATGCAGAAATTTCTAGGCAACATAAGGACACATGTACTTACGTTGAATCTGTAGGGAAAGGGTAGTAACATTTGAGTCATTGGGTCATTGCCATGGAAAAGGCAATAACTTCTGAGTGTCACTACAGCAGCAGTAACTTGACATGGCATGATGGTGGGTGTGTCTGATGGAAAGCTGCTTAAGCCCTGGTCCTCTTTTTGCCAGTCCTTCACCTGATCCAGAGTCCCAGCCCTGTCTCTGGAGTCAAGTCCTGGCCCCTGCCTCAAAACTATTTGGAAAATAATGATAGATGTTAAACAACAGTTTTCAATATAAACTTGGATTGATATTTATTATTTTATTCAACAAATATTTTAAAAGTATAATAATTTTCTAAATTACATTTATGTTCTAAGTATTAGTCCTCCAAGAAGTGCAAATTTTCAATGAAAAGTGTAAACAGATATATTTATACAAGGAAAAAGACATACTTCTTGATAAGATAAGAAACAAATTGTCTTTTCTGCTAGTAAAGACATTGGTATGTGAGAATAATTTTAATTTGTAAAACAAAATGGAATACTAAAAAGCAGATAAATCATTCTGTTGCTTTCACAAATATAAACTATAATTACTGTTAATGGGCCCTGTGGCCCTAAATAAAGTAGATGGAATGAAACATATTAAGGATTATTTTGATCTCTGGAAAATTACTATACATGTGAGATAACTTCAGAGTTTTACTTTCACTCTAATGAAATTTTGCAATTTGAATAATAAAACTGTCAATTAGTATTTTATGCTTGGATTATATATTAATATCTTGATTATTTAGTCCTGGGATGGGCAAACTACTGCTCACAGGACAAATTCAAACCACCACTGATTTTGTAAATAATGTTTTATTGAAACAAAAATACATTTTCTCATTTAGGTTTTGTCCATGTGTATTAGTCTGTTATCATGCTGCTAATAAAGATATACCTGAGACTGGACAATTTACAAAAGAAAGAGGTTTAACTTGATTTACAGTTCCACATGGCTGGGGAAGACTAACAGTCATGGTGCAAAGCAAAGAGGGGCAAGCCACATCTTACATGAATGGTGGTGGGCAAAGAGAGAGAGCATGTGCAGGGGAACTCCTCTTTATAAAACCATCAGAACTCCTGGGACTTATTTACTATCACGAGTACAGCATAGGAAAGACTTGTCCTCATGATTAAATTACCTCCCACCAGGTCCCTCCCACAACATATGAGAATTCAATATGAGATTTGGGTGGGGACACAGCCAAACCATATCATTCCACCTCTGGCCCCTTCCAAATCCCTTGTTCTCACATTTCAAAACCCATCATGCCTTCCCAACAGTCCCCCAAAGTCTTATTTCTGTATTAACTAAAAAGTCAACAGTCCAAAGTCTCATCTAAGACAAGTCAAATTCCTTCCACCTATGAGCCTGTAAAATCAAAAGCAAGTAAGTTACTTCCTAGATACAATGGGGGTACAGGGAGTACAGGCAAATACAGCCATTTCAAATGGGAGACAATGGCCAAAATAGAGAGGCTACAGGCTCATGCAAGTCCAAAATCCAGTGGGGTAGTCAAAGCTCAATGTTCAGAAATGATCTCGTTTAACTCCATGTCTCATATCCAGGTCATGTTGATGCAAGAGGTGGGTTCTCATGGTCTTGGGCAGCTCCATCTCTGTGGCTTTGCAGGGACAGCCCCCCTCCTGTCTGCAGCTTTTCAAGAAGCATGGTGTAAGCTGTCAGTGGATCTACCATGCTGGGCTCTGGAGAATGGTGGCCCTCTTCTCACAGCTCCACTAGGCAGTGCCCCAGCAGGGACTCTGTGTGGGGGCTCCAACGCCACATTTCCCTTTCTCACTGACCTAGCAGAGGTTCTCCATGAGGGCCTTGTCTTGCCCCTGCAGCAAACTTCTGCCTGGGCATCCAGGCCTTTCCATACATCTTCTGAAATCTAGGTGAGGTTCCTGAACAACAATTTTTGACTACTGTGTACCCACAGGCTCAACACCACATAGAAACTGCCAAGGCCTGGGGCTTGCACCCTCTGAAGCAACAGCTTGAGCTGTACCTTGATCACTTTTAGTCACACTGGAGCAGCTGGGATGTGGGGCACCAAGTCCCTAGACTGCACACAACAGAGGGACCCTGGACCCAGCCCATGAAACCATTTTTTCCTCCTAAACCTCTGGGCCTTTGATTAGAGGGGCTGCCACAAAAGTCTCTGGCATGCCCTAGAGACATTTTCCCCATTGTCTTGATGATTAGCATTTGGTTCCTCATTACTTTTGCAAATTTCTGCAGCTGGCTTGAATTTATCCTCAGAAAATGGGATTTTCTTTTCTATTGCATGGTCAGGCTGCAAATTTTGTATTCTATAAAATATATAGATAATTTGTATGAGAATATATACAATTCTGCAAATTTATATATATTATATAATATATAAATATATAGGTAATTTGTGCAAATATACATAATTCTGCAAATTTTCCAAATTGTTATGTTCTGTTTCCCTTATAAAACTGAATGCCTTTAACAACACCCAACTCACATCTTGAATGCTTTGCTGCTTAGAAATTTCATCTGCCAGATAACCTAAATCATCTCTTAGAATTTCTTCTGCCAGATACCCTAAATCATCTGTTCAAAGTTTCACAGATCTCTAGGGCAGTGGCAAAATGCTGCCAGTCTCTTTGCTAAAACATAACAGGAGTCATTTTTGCTCCAGTCCCAACAGGTTCCTCATCTCTATCTGAGACCATCTCTGCCTGGATTTCATTGTCCATATCATTATCAGCATTTTGGTCAAAGCCATTCAACAAATATCTAGAGAGTTCCAAACTGTCCCACATTTTCCTGCCTTCTTCTGAGCCCTCCAAACTGTTCTGACCTCTCTCTGTTACCCAATTCCAAAGTCACTTCTGTCTTTTCAGGTATCTTTTCAGCAGCACCTCACTCTACTGGTACCAATTTATTGTATTATGCTAATGAAGACATACCCGAGACTGGGCAATTTACAAAAGAAAGAGGTTTAATGGACTTACAGTTCCACATGGCTGGGGAGGCCTCACAGTCATGGTGGAAGGCAAGGAGGAGCACATCACATCTTATGTAGATGGTGGCAGGCAAAGAGAGAGAACTCGTGGAGGGGAATTCCTCTTTATAAAACCATCATATCTTGTGAGACTTATTCATGAGAAGAGCTTGAGAAAAACTTGCCCCCATGATTTAATTACTGCCCACTGGGTTCCTCCCACAACAGGAGGGAATTCAAGATGAGATTTGGATGGGTACACAGCCAAACCATATCATTATGCCTACTTTTTTGTCATAGACTGTGTGGACCACAAAGTCTGAAATATGTACTATCTGAACTTTTATAGAATATAAACTTTACTGTATTATTAATAGCAGTACAAATATGAGAAACTTTTCTCCTAATTATTCTGTTGAAAATAAATTGTGGAAAAAAAACTTGAAATGCTTAAAAGACACTAAGACATTCACGAGGGTATTTTTGATAATTAAAAAAATGCTTATAAAAGACCCAAATTTGTGTTGTTTTATTTTTCGCATAGAGTAGTATATAGATTCTAGTAATTATACCTATTAAGAATATGTGATAATACTCATATGTATTATTAAAGTAATATTTTCATTATATACAATTTATGTATTCAGTGATTATAAAGACAAAATACAATAAAATAATTACCATACTTTGGAAGCTAGTGGTTATATGATTTTTTTCTCTGTTTTCAAAAATTCTGTTTTATGCTTAAAATGTGCTCTTTTTAAACAATTATTTTCATTTTTATTTTATAAATAATATTTTGCTCTGTTGCCCACATTGAAGTGAAGTGAGTGGGCAATCATAGATCACAGTGGTCTTGAACTCCTGGGCTCAAGCAATCCTCCAACCTCAGCCTCCCAACCCTCAAGCTCAGTTCTCTCAGCTGGAACTATAGGCACATGCCACCATGCTTATCCCTTTTTCCTTCCTTTCCTTCCTTTCCTTCATTTCCTTCCTTTCCTTCATTTGCTTCCTTTCCTTCTCTTTCTTTTCTTTCTCTTTCTTTCTTTCTTTCTTTTCTTTCTTTCTTTCTTTCTTTCTTTCTTTCTTTCTTTCTTTCTTTCTTTCTTTCCTTTTTCTTTCCTTCTTTCTTTCTCTCTCTTTCTTTCTTCTCTTTCTTTCTTTCTTTTCTTGAGATAGGGTCTTCCTTAGTTGTCCTTGCTGGTCTTGAACCCCTGGCTTCAAGTGATCCTCCCACCATGGCCTCCCAAAGTAAGATTTGCTCTTAGAGTGAAAAAGATATAAATCATTATGCCCTCAGTTTTTGTTTTTTTTTGTGTGTGTGTTTAAGGTATATTTTAAAATACATGATAAATATTCCGACATTGCAGCTATCACATTTAATATAACAGGCTTTTGATATTAAAAATAAATTTAGATATCAACTAATCTACATTTCCAATTAAATATAAAAGTTTTCTGGAAAGTAACTGTCAAGACATTTTTCATCTTCCTCTTCATCATTTCAATGAGAAGAGCTTATAATCAGACTACTGTATATACCAGAATCTAAAGCTAGAAAATAAATCTCTTTCATATAACTACTTACTTAAATGTCGCATTTTTTTTTCAAAGTGATTACCTTTAAGTATCATAAGAGATGAAAATAGTTTATATAGACTGAAGTTTCTTAGTTTCCTATCTATGACATGAATGTATTTCAAGACATGCTCCACGCTTTTCCTGGATGTGCTTATAAATGGATGCTGGTCGAGTTTTGATGAGAATCCACAGGCTTCAGTCATGACTCAGAAAATGCAGGTGACAGATGATAGAATAAAGGTCACTACGATCAATCACTCGCTCAAACTTACTAATGTCTACAAATCCTATTTATTGTTCTGGGCTTCTAGGAATACTTTTGTTTTCAGAAATGCTGGATAAGTGCCCTTCTGTAGACAGACATATTTGTTGTATGGTTCTGTAATTCTGAATGTAATTTATTTTCTTTTTGCTTTTTTGTTTTGTAGCATGTGAGTTCACCCTAAAGTATTGAATGTGTAAGAGGGACTTTTGAATCCTTATAAATTACAGATTGTGACTGCAAGTGTCAGAAAATTCTACTTGTTTTAGATTATCATCCTTATTAATGTCATCTAATGTTTGTTTAAGTCTGAGATATTGTGAGGGAAAAACATACTCCAATTTATCAGCAGTTAATTTAGTAACTTATAGAGAAAATCAGTAAATACAGTTTTAAAATAACTGTGGATCTGTTATTTACTCTCATTGCTTTGCTGCTATGATATTGGGAAAATGAATCTACAGTTACTCTCTGAATCGTCATCTGTCCTATTATTATACTTTTCTAAACCACTAATGCATGCTTTCAGCTCCCAATTCCTCAATGATATGACCAAGTGGATATATATATATACACACACACACACACACACACACACACACACACACACATATATACACACACATATATACGTATATATGTACGTATGTATACATATATATATATATATGACCTACTAAGTATTTGTGATGTGTTCTTACTCTTGAAATTACTTGGTGTTGAGCCTTTATGCATGTTTATATTATCTTAACTAGAAAAATCTCAAGTATATCTTTGTAATTTTAACTATATCTTTGTGAATGTTTACAATGTTTTTATTATTGGTGTCACTGCAGACGTCCAGCTAACATAGAAATAATGCAGATATATTTTTTTACATACTCACTGATTATGCAAGGAAATGTTGTTTAATATTTTACTGACTGCTGGAGGTAGTGGGGAAAAGTATCTATGATGAAATGGTACTCAGGTTTTTGAAGCTAAATGGATGTTCAAAAGACTCAACATGTTAGTAGGATAAACTTATATTTTAAAAATGCCAAGAGTGGAATTGCATATATTGACAAGGCATTTATTATTAAGGAATGTATTTTAGTTTGTTTACATTGACAAAGGCGACATCAATTTTCCCAGTTTCACTAAATATGTAGTATATATAGTCTACAACTTCTTTCTCTTTACATACAAACTGAAATTGAATCTAGCTATAAAGCATATTTTTTGGCCATTTTTCTCAGTGTTAAAATTGTATTTGAATTTTAGAAATTGAATGGCACTCTATCCCTTGAATAAATAAACACATGAACTAAAACGCAAAGTAAAATTTACAATTATCTGATGTGAATTCTCTGTTTTATTGAATATGAATAATCCATATATTTTAATTATATGTGAAGAATATATATCAAATACTTTTGTAAAACAAATTACAGAAAATATATATTGAATGGCTGATTTTTGCTCATATGTATAAAATAAATTATTATTGAGTAAATAGAAACTATTCACCTATGGTTGAAATCTGTTCAGATTGAGGCAGTGTAAATCCATGAATCAGTAAGCTGAATTAGAAACATACACACTCATTCAAAATTTAGGAATGTGCTAAACAAATGAGCAAGCAATGAAGCAAACACTTGAGGTGTTACTAATTTACTTAATTTAGAATGACGCTTAAAAAAAATTTCAATTTGTTGAAACTGGTTTTAATTTAATAAAGCCTGTATCTTATTGCCAATTTATTATTGTAGAAAGATGAACTTCAAAATATTATAAAAAACATTACAGAAAAGTATAAAATTCTACAATGGAGATTTTCTCTTCTACAGTTACTTTTTTGTACCTATGCTTTTAATGTATGGAACTTTTTCTTTGCAGACAGGCGGTTGGAGGCACTAAAACTTCTATTTCTAAAATCAAATATAAATATCTGAAATTACTAGTTCTTGGCTCTTTTCCTTCCTACATTTCTTTCCCTCTGGCTGAAATTACTTTTTTTTTTGACATTTCTGGTTTTATTTGGAAAATTAAGTTAAAATTGTTATTGTGTTTAAGATTACATTTTGCCACAACAGCTACCATTGTGATTCTCAGACCCATAACAAAAGATATAAAACATGACATTGTCTTCAAAAAAGGAACTAGTTACAAAACAGGACCAAAAGGAAAATTCCCATTTTGGTCTCTGGTCCAGCAATAAATACACCTTCCAAAGAATATATATCATTAGATGTGAGATTTGTCAAAATCAGTAATAAGAAAACCAGTTGATCTTAATTACAATGTACAATTCTTGCTTTATTGGTGTATATTACTCAGTGATATAATTGCTACCTCAAAGTGCCAGTCACTTAGGATTTGACTAGTTACAATGCAAAAGAAAAGACACAATAAAACAGTTCCAATATGGAGGAATCTTCACAGGTAAAAAGAATGGAGACAGTCTGGAACTGGGACAGTCTGTGTGCTGCTGGTAGGGTGCCTTTCTTAGAGAAATGAAATTTCCAGTTGATCCATGTGTCCAGTGCATTCTCTAACGGAATCCACATTCTCATTCATATTCGTAAGTACTGCTCGTTCCACTCATTTGCATACAGAAACTCTTCCCTGAGTTCACACAGGTCAGCGTTGTAGATGATATGGTTGTTAGAAATTCTATCGGCTCATGGAAAAGGCAGAACTTTGCAAAAGTCCATGGAAGTTTGTTCCTTAACAGGCCAAATGGCTGCAGGTGTAAATTCTTGACTGACTGACGGCAGGTAGAGAGTTTGCTGTGCTCTCTCTTGGGGAAGGGCTTCTTACAGATCCAAGGGAGAGTCCTAGATGTTTCCAAAGTATGACATATGGATTTCTTTAATTCAACTTAGGCTGAAGTAGGCTGGTGATTTCCATGGCCAATAGCTTTTTGAGTTTATGCCATCGGGGGCCCTCCACGCTCACAGCTCTATCATGGCTCAGTTTGGGGTCATTCTTAAAAACAAATAAAAGGACATAGAAAACATACCCAGAGTGCTGCACTTTCTTGCAATCCATCATAAGGTGTACTGCTCCAAGAAGTCAAATAGAAAACAGGAACAGGACTATTCAAAACAAAAATAGATATTGTTCTTTGTACAAATGCTACTGAATAACTTGTAGCTTTTTTTAAAGTGTCAAAAAACCTCAGAAATGGCATAATTCAGAAAGCTTATCAAAATAGGCCTTCTTTCGTGGTAAAAATGTGCTTTGTTGGTTCAATTGCTAGAGAAGTCAATGGTTTTAACACTAGACATAAAGCAAAAAAATTAAAAAAGCTTTATTTTGAAGGAAAAAAAAAGTTGTATCTGCTCTAGGCTGGGTTTTCAGTAAGAGCAGTGAAGGTAGTATTTTTTGTTTGTTTGTTTGTTTGTTTGTTTGTTTGTTTTGTATTATTCCACCAAGATTCTGAAAGTGTTTTTCCTGGGCTTTGGGTGTGTTTTATTCAGTAGGAAACCCAAGCAGTGAGGGTAATGTTTTGTTTTGTTTCTCTTATACCACCAAGATTCCTGAAAGTGCTTTTCCTGAGCTTTGGGTGTGTTTTATTCAGTAGGAAAATCTTTTTCCAACATCTGCAGTGGAAGGCCAGGGTGGAAACTGCTCAGGGCACCAGACCCCTCTCTCTGGGAGAATCTCATTTCTGTAGTTTGTTACTGGCTGAAATGTCTATAAATTTTATTGGAAATACATAATTTCCAACCCATTTTTTTCACGGTCTCTTTAAAAGCAACTTTATTGTGCATGCTTGTACATTTTAATTAACAGTAATAGTAACCTCTTAGACGGAAATAATATATAGATAAGTATGTCCAACTACTTTGTTTCATCATAAAGTATACACAATATTTTCATTAATTTTCACCTTTTAAAATGTTGGAAGTTATGCAAGTTTGTTTCTTTAAGTGGCTATATATTCAATTGCCACAATCCAATGACAATATGATGATAGATAACATTTATTGAGTACTAACTATGTGTTCAAACTCTTGGTTAAATGAATATTATTTAACTTTGTTTAATCCTCACAATCAATGCAGGAGTGGGTATCAGCATTAGTTTCCTAGATGATGAAACTGAGGATTAAAGTGAAAAAGTTCCTTGATTAGGATTACATAGTTTGTAATTTATGGTGCTGAAGTTCAAATCCAGGCAGATAAAACAAGTATACTTTTAAATGCCACAAAATTTTCTTTCCCAAGTAAGTTTGGATGACAACCAAGGACTAAGAAACGCATGAAAATAGTGTTTCACTGTTCCAGCATTTTGATGGAAAAACACACACACACACACAAACACACACACTATTTAAATGATATATTTATTGTCACAATTTTTGACAGATCTTGCTGGAGTGCAGTGGTGCTCTCTTGGCTCACTGCAACCTCCACCTCCCGAGTTCAGGCAATTCTCCTGCCTCACTCAGCCTCCTGAGTGGCTGGGATTACAGGCACCACTACCATGCCCGGCGAATTTTTATACTTTTAGTAGAGATGGGGTTTTGCCACGTTGGCCAGGCTGGTCTCGAACTCCTAAACTCAGGTGATCCGCCCGCCTTGCCCTCCCAAAGTGCTGGGATTACAGGTGTGAGCTACTGCACCCGGCCAAAAGTTATGTTTCTTATTCCTTAAATTCTTGAGATGAAAATTTATTTCATGGTATAGATTTCAAGAAGGTACATCAGATAATTAACTGAAATATCTTTATGCTATAGAAAATCACCTAATGAGTAAAAAACAAATCTTAATTACTGCTTTTGTTTTTAAGTGTGTGTCCTGTAGAATCAAGTGCACATTTGTAACTTGAATGTACCTAGTTTTGAGAGTACAGTATATTTATGTGTTAATTTACTTTTATTCTCCTCTAGTTAGTAACCCATTGATTGTAGCTAATATTATTTTTATAAATGTTGAATTTTAATACATAACAAGGCACCAGAATATAATGAATGCTTAATAATTGTTTGCAAAATGAATTCACATGCCTACTTTCTTACAGTAATAATGGTCAGGTTTACGTACCTATATATTCTACATTAATAAATATATATTTAGTTGAAAAATCAAAGCTTTTGTGGATTATATTCTTTAAAACTTAAAAGCACTGAAGTATATTTATCTAGCGCCCTCTATGGTAAACTATATTTATATCCTGAATTAGTGCATATTTATCTATGAAAGAATATATAGAGTTGAGATAGCTATTTTTCAAAATCATTTAAGGAAAGCATATAGTACTACTTTAATGTAAATTGCATTGTCTGTGAGACAGTGCCATATTTTAAATTAGGCCACACAAGAGCAAGATTGTACCTTCTTTAATTAAAAAATAACAAAATTAATTAATCTTAATAATGAGTAATTTTAGTGGTATTATATAATATTTTACATAACAGTTAAATAACTCAGTCTGAATAAAATCTATGTGATTAGACAAAAGGATTGAAAATATATAATACATAAAATAATATTCAAGATTTTTAAAATGTAAAAATAGGATATATCATAACTTAATACTTAGGATTTCATAAAGTTTTTTGTTACAGAAATTTCTTCAGAAAGGTTGAAAGTGAATGGGAACTTTCTGAAAGTCATGGTGTATTTATGATGGCAGCAATGGAAATGAATCAATGAAATATCCTTAAAAAAAAGATTTCCAAAGAAATAAGATCAAATGAGCAAATTCTCAGATGTTGAACAGAAATAAATTCTGGTGCATCATCCAAAAAGATCAAAGAAAAAGCTCTCTCTAAAGTAAACAGAGTGATATTTTTGTTTGGGTGCCATAACTTTTCTGGTAACTTGTCAGTCTTAATAAGAAGGTGTAAAAATCTCTCTGCATGACACAGAAACATCATTCCTAAACCTGAAGCAAAGTCACGTTGAGCAGAAAACAGTTTTAAAAGAACTCAAAGAAAGATCAGAAAAAATTGCCTATATCAGTGTTCAAATTCTAAGAAGCAAAAATGTTTTAAGACTCAGGGATATTATAATTTTCAGAACATTTATCATTTTGGTCAACTGAAAATTTTCATAAACTATGAGTACGCAATTGCTCCCAAGCATATCTCAGTGCCAACCAAATTCTACTCCAATAATTCAGAAATGCTACGCATTAGATTAAACTCCAAGAACAAAAAATTATATTTTTATTACAGTAGAAATGAAACTACAGATGAATACAAATTTAGAAAGAAAAGTCCTACTTATTTAGGTTTTACACATATGTTTAAGAAAATTGATGCAGAGGTAAGAAGTATTTTTAAAAGTCATTGTTGACCCAATGTGTTTGAAAATAATATTTGACTCATCAATATTCTGAAGTCAGGTTGGTATTAATTATAATTGTACCTAGTTTCTCAAAACCTCTAAGCAAATGACGTGTCCGAAATAATTATTTTTATCTCTCCTCTGTAAATTTGTAAAATTTACTTAGAGATATCAAAAACATGTTATGGAAACTAAACTTAGGCTTTTATTTTAGACTAATATATGTGTATTTAGAGCTATTTTAGAAAATTCTCATATGAATCTTGGCTAAGAACCAGTCTCAATTATAAAGTTTTGAATTAATTGATTCCAATATTATATAAACAGATTCTGGCTACATGATATTTATTCTCAACCATGTCACTGGCAAAAATTGAAGAAACAAAATAACACCTGTGCTAATGGTGATGCAGTAAAACTGACAATATTAAATCGCGCTAGAGAAAATATAACTTTTATATATATATATAAGTATATATATATATACTTCAAATGCTATCATCAGTGAGTAAATCTGTCAGCAATAAAAAATGTGTTAGGCTATAATAGCTTGTAGTATTCTAATATTACTGCTGAGAACAACAAGAAAGTTGCATAACATGTTTATCTATCCTATTTTCAGAGAAATAAGAGAACTATTGAAGCAGTGAGAAGTAGAAGGGCAAAGAGTTTGCATAGGGGAGAATCAAAAAGAAGTATTCTAAATTTTTTTCAGCCATTTATTTTCATGGGAATTTCTCAAATCTCAGAAAACACATGAGATTAAAAATTGTGTTCTTCACCCTTTGCCACAGGGTCGCTACTGAAGGACAGTCAAACTGACAAAACTTTTGGTTATATTGTAGTGTCACAGTAAAAAAAGAATTATCATTGCATAGGTGCTAAATCCATGATCGCTTTCTCCTGAATAAATCTGCTAAATTGTGAAGACAAGAAGGTTAGAAGCTAAGGCAAAACCAGTGAAACTAGACTGAATGTATTATCAAGCTTGTGGGAATGAGAAGACAATGCAGACAGAAAAATAATTGCTAACGGAGCCCAGAAAAGAGGATATCATTTTAAATATACAATTTTATACATAAGATAACATAAAGATGATGTATGTATGTAAACCTGAATTAAGAGAGTATTTTTCAAACTATAATCCAAATGACGTATTTCTATTTCTGATTTTTATAAAGCAATAAGGGTCTAGCTACTTAACAAACAAAAAGGTTAACACTCTCTAAAAGAAGAAACTACCATTTAGACTCTACAATTATATATATATAATATATAGACAATGAAAAAGTTTATGGTAGCACTACTGTATATCAGAAAAACTGGAAGCACCCAAATCCTTATCTACAGTTTACATATAAATAAACTTAGCCATAATCATATTTTTGAATAATATACATCAATGAAAGTGAATATGATATAACGGTACAATAAGTATGAGTGAGTCTCCTCAGCAGAAATCACACACATCTCATAAACATAACCAAAAGCAGATGTGCATTAACTGTATGAGTCAAATAACAATGTTTATAGATGCAAGAAGAGAGAAAAATAAGTCTGAAAAGTAAGAAAAAAAAACCCTTAAAAAATTCAGTCTAGACAACAGACTAAATTATATATGTTAATTTATATAAGTTTCTGCCATATGACAATACTTAGAAGGATATATGTGTCAAACAAAAAAGCCAACATTCTACTCTCAGGTGTATGTAAAATTTGAGCTACATACATACATTCATATTATAACGTTATAATTACTACAAAGTGCTGTTTGTCAACGGATTGTCCAATGGTAGATATCACATTCCAACAACAGATACATTCATTAATTACTAACTGATTTATCACATGGCAAAACTCATTGCAGTGTGATATTGCTAATTTTTTAATAAATTGTGTGGGATTCTATTTTTAATAAATGGTCATTTGTATATTAATATATAAAATAATAGATATTCTTTCATTTTGCACAAAAGTTCTGATTGATTAAATATTGAAGTATAAATAATAAAAACTTAAGTTTCTAGATGTAAACCTGAAAAACAGCCCTAAAACTTGGCATACATACGTAGTCCTTTGGAAGTATCCAAGATACACTAAATAAAGAGAAAAATTATGACCATTAGTACATACGCATTATGAGTTTCCACTTACCAAACCACACTTGACTAAATGAAAACCAAATAATGAGTTAATCATATTTGTAATAACAATATTTGAAAAAATTTAAATACTAAATAATGTACAAACTAATAATGAAATAAGTAATGAATGAGCAGAATACTTGAACAGACACTTCACAAGGAGAAGATATCCAATTTCTTATTTCATGCAAGCTAAAAAACATTGAGATATTAGCATGCATTTATTAGACTGGCTAACAGAAAAATAAATATACAATGGTAAGTCTTCTTGAAGATTTGCAGAAATTAGAACACTTACTTTTGAAAGAGTAAATTGGATCAACTAGATTGAGGAAGTGCCAATACAGTATCTATAAAAATTAGCCATACAAGCACACACGGCCCCGGAATTTCCCTCCTTGGTACGTGCTAAACTAAAAGCATGTTACTATGTTAATTGAACAACATAAAAACTAAAGTTTATGTTAGCACTATTGTATATCAGAAAAACTGTAAGCATCCAAATGCTTATCTATAGTTTACAGATAAATCAACTTTGCCATAATTATATCCTTGAATAATAGACATTAATGAAAATGAACATGATACAATGGTAAAATAAATATGAGTCAATCTCCTCAGCGGAAATCATACACAAATCTCACAAACATAACCAAACACAGATGTGCATTAACTGTATGAGTCTACATTTATAATGTTTTTAAAATATGCATAACTAAACTATGATGTTAGATGTCTAGATATTGTTACACTTGTGGAATTTGATGATTTAAGACACATGGGGAGCCCTCTGAATTACTTTAAATGTTCTTTTTCTTGATCTGTGTGATAATTACTCAGGAATGTTTACTTTGTGAAAATTTACCAATCTCTGCATCTATGTATTGTTTTCTTTTAATCTATGTATGTTACATAGTTACAATGAAATATTAAAATAATGCATGTGTTTTTAAAATTAACAATACAAGCTCTAGGGATCATTTCCAATTGTTTCCATCAAAACCACCTGTACTTTGATTCCAACAGACCTACTGTACAAGAAATATTTTAAGAAATTTTTTAGAAGAAAAATGATACAAATGGAAATATAAATCTGAACAAAGAAAGAAAGAATATTGGAAACAGTAAGTACATAGAAACCTTTATATGCTTTTTATCAATTATTCAAATCTGTTTAACATATAATTAATCAGTTAAAAAATAGTCACTATATAGCGTGGGATTTATTACACACATGGGAGAGGAAGCATGAAAGCATAGAATTATAAGGTACAGTATCACTTACTTTAGACTGAGAAAAGTTAAAGATGCATATTTTCCAACTGTAAACTAACAATTAATATAACATGGATTATAACAAATAAGACTGTGAAAACGTTTAAAAATACTAACAACATATTCAATTGACTCATAAAAGGAGAGAATAAATTTGTAAAAAGCACATATGAGTAAAATTAAAATTAAATAGATTTAATCATAATAGGAATAATATACAAAGTGTACATAGTCAAAAATCCCAACTGGCAATATCCAAACTATATGTTGCCTATTAAAACACTCTTTAAATATAAAAACACAAATAAATTTGAAGTAAAATCTTGGTTAAAGATTTACAATGATAAAGTTAACTAAAATTGGAAATTGCTAGATTAATATGAGATACAGTAGATTTTAGAGAGAAATATCACTAGGAATACAGAAGTTCATTGCATAATTATAAAAGGGTCAACTCATTAAGAGGATGCAATCATCATAAATGTTTATGCCCATAATAACAAATCTTCAAAATAAATGAAGCAAAACTCTACAAAACTATGAGGAGAAACAGTAAATCTGTAAAAGTTGGAGTTAGAGATTTCAATACCCTTCGTATTAGCATTTTCACACTGCTATAAAGAACTACCTGAGACTGGGTAACTTACAAAGAAAAGACATTTAATTGACTCACAGGTCAACTGGGAGGCCTCAGGAAACATGCAAAACATGCAATAATGGCAGAAGGGGAAGTGGAAGGAAACTGGTCTTACCATGGCAGAGCAGGAGAGAAAGAGTGAAAAGGGAAGTGCTACACACTTTGAAACCATCAGATCTTGTGAGAATTCACTTGCTCTCATAAGGACAGCAAGGAAGAAATCCTCACTTGTGATCTAATCCCCTCCCACCACGCCCCTCCTTCAATTAAACATGAGATTTGGGTGGGGAAACAAATCCAAATCATATCACCAGTCTTCTCTGTATTTCTTGAATTTGTATGTCAACCTCTCTAGTGAGATTAAGGAAATTTTTATGGACTATATTTTCATGGACTATGTTCTCTATATTGGCCCCTCCCAAATCTCATGTCCTTCTCACATTGCAAAACACAATGACCACTTCTCAGCAGTCCCCAAGTCTCAACTCATTTCAGCATTAACCCAAAAGTCTGAGTGCAAAGTCTTATCTGAGACAAGGAAAGTCCTTTCTGCCTATGACACTGAAAAAAAGCAGGGGGAAAAAGGTAATTACTTTCAAGATACAATGGGTGTACAGGCATTGGGTAAATGTTCTCATTCCAGTTAGGAGAAATTGGCCAAACAAAGCCACAGGCCTCATGCCAGGCCACAACACAGCAGGTCAGTCATTAAATCTTAAAGCTCCAAAATAATCTCATTTTACTCCATGTCTCACATCCACGGCAGGCTGATGCAAGGGGTGTGCTACCAAGGCCTTGGGCAGCTCCACCCCTGTGGTTCTGCAGGGTACAGCTCTCCTCCCCCAGCTGTTTTCATAAGCTGGTGTTGAGTGTCTGTGGCTTTTCTAGGTGCCAGTGCAAGCTGTAAGTGAATCTATCATTCTGGTGTCTGAAGAATAATGGCCCTCTTCTCACAGCTCCACTAGGCAGTGCTTCAATGGAGACTTTGTGTGGGTGCTACAACCGCACATTTCCCTTCTGTACTTCCACAGTAGAGGTTCTCCATGAGACTTCTGCCCCTGCAGCACACTTCTGCCTGGACACCCAGGCATTTCCATCCTCTAAAATCCAGGCAGGGGCTCCCAAACCTCAACTCTTGCCTTCTGCACACTTGCAGTTCCAACACCACATGGAAGCTACAAAGGCTTAGGGACTGTACCCTTTGAAGCAATGGCCTGAGCTGTACCGTGAACCCTTTTAGTCCCAGATGGAACTGCAGTGACTGGAATGAAGGACACCATGTCCAAAGGCTGCACAGAGTAGTGGGGGCCCTGAACCTGGCCCACAAAACCATTTTTCTTCCTAGACCTCCTGGCCTGTGATGAGAGGTGCTGCCATGAAGGTCTCTCACATGCCCTGCAGACATTTTCCCCATTGTCTTGTCTATTAACATTTACCTCCTCTTTACTTATGAAAATTTCTGCAGCAGGCTTAAGTTTTTCCTCAGAAAAATGGGTTTTTCTTTTCTACCATATAGCCGGGCTATAAATATTCCAAACTTTTATGCTTTGCTTTCCTTTTAAATATAAGTTCCAGTTTCTGATTATCTCTTTGTTCAAACGTACGAGTATGTGTACATGCTCAGAACAGCCAGTTCACCTCTTGAATGCCTTGCTGCTCAGAAATTTCTTCTGCCAGATGCCTTAAATCATCTTTCTCAAGTTCAAAGTTCCATAGATCTCCAGAGCAGGGCAAACTGCCACCAGTATCTTTGCTAAAGCATAGCAACAGTCACCTTTATTCCAATTTCCTGTAAGTTTCTCATCTCCATCTGAGACCACCTCAGCCAGGACTTCATTGTCCATATCACTATCAACATTTTGGCCAAAGCCATTCAACAAGTCTCTAGGAAGTGACAAACTTTCCTTTATCTTTATGTTTTCTTCTGAGCCCTCCAAACTGTTCCAATCTCTGCCCATTAGCCAGTTCCAAAGTCACTTCCACATTTCAGATATCTTGATAGCAATTCCCCACTTTCCTGGTAATTTTCTGTATTAGTCCATTCTCACACTGCTATAATGAGCTACATGAGACTGGGTAATTTATAAAGAAAAGAGGCTTAATTGATTCAGTTCCACAGGCTTAACAGGAAGCATGACTGAGAGGCATCAGGAAACTTATAATAATGGCAGAAGGGGAAGAAAGCACATCTTATCATGGCAAAGCAGGAGAGAGAAGGAGAAGGGGGAAGGCCACACACTTTTAAACCATCAGATCTCATTGAGAACTCACTCACTGTCATGAGAACAACAAGGAGGAAATTCACACACATGATCTAATCACCTCCCACCAGGCCCCTCCTCCAATTTGACATGAGATTTGGTCAGGAACACAAATCCAAAGCATATCACCTTCTCTCAATTATACATAGAACAAGTAAACAGGAATCAAGAAGACTTGAAAAACACTATCAAGCAACTTGTCCTAATTGACTTTATAGAAGATACCATACAACAACAACAGACTATAAATTATTTCCATGCGTGCACAGAATATTTACCATAATACAAACCATAAAATAAATATCAATACACATAAAAGGATTCAAATCATAAAACGTGTTTTCTGATCACAGTGTGATGAAATTAGAAACGATATTAGAAACTAGAAAAAAGTAACAGAAATATCTCTGGAAAATTCCCAAGTATATGGAAAATAAATAGAAGTATATAAAGGAACTGAATAAAACTCTTCTAAATGACATAAAAAACACACTTTCATTCATGAGTAAAAAAGAAAATTACATAGAAATTAGAATCTAGGATTGAAGCAAAATGAAAGCAAAACATTGAAATTCTCAGAGTGTACAAAATTGGTAAACTAGACTTCATCAAAAGTGACTTCTGATATTCACAAGGCACTATTACGTAAATAAAAGGCAAATCATAGCCTTGGAGAACATATTTGTATATCATATATCTCATAAAGATCTTGGATCCAGAATATATAAATAACTGCCAAATCTTAGTAATAAGAAAGCAACATAGTTTTTATTAAATGGTAAAATAGTTAACAGACACTTCTCCAAAGACATACAGATGGCAAATCGGCACACAGAAATCTGCTTGACATCAATAGTTAAGAGTGAAATGCAAATTAAAGCCACTCTCCTATCAGAGAGGCTAAACTTAAAAACACTGACCACATCGAGTGTTTGTAAGCACGTAGAAAAACTGGAATCCTCAGGCACTGTTAGTGGGAATGAAAAATAACGCAAATACTTTGGAAAACAGTTTAACAGAACCTTAAAATATTAAATATATACTTACCATCAATCGAGCTATTTCATTTCTAGATATCTGCACCCCTCAACCACAACAATATATGTTATACAAAGAATAGAAAACCAATGATTATAGCAGCTTTATTTATAATAGTTTCAAACTCAAAACAACCAAATGTCCATCAACATTTGGATAAATAAATAAATTGTGGGATATTCATAAATAAAATAATACCTTAGCAATAAAAACAAACTATTGATATCCTAAAAAATATGTATGCACCCAAAATAACTATTGAGTGAAAAAAATAAGATCTTTAAAAAATTTATCCTGGTTATAGAAAATTCTAGAAATAGCAAACTGAGTTTTAGGGACAGAAAGCAGGTTATTGATTACCTTTGGACAGTGGGAGGGTCAGACAGGAATAATTACAGAGTAACATGTGAAAACTTTTAGAGATAATGGATGTTTGACTATCTTAATAGTGGTAATGTTTTGATGTGTAAATACATATGTCAATACTTAGCAAGCTGCCTACTATATAATTACAGTTTATTGTATGTCAATTACAACTCTTTAATGTTGTAAAAAGAAGCCAATCACCTGTACTTAAAATTTAAATGCAAGATCATTAATTTCTTCACTGTTACTAATGGCAAAAATAAAAAAAATAAAACTGAGTAACCATCAATAGGGAAATATTTAAGAAAATTGTGATTTATGTAACTTGTCATATAGTATGTAGCCCCTAAGTCAATGAGCTCTTCTTAAATGAGAAAAATCAAGACACAGAGATTAAAGTGTGATTTATTTTTTAATTGGAAAATTAAAAAGTAGTCAAGATATATTAACACATACATACTTTTAAAAATATTTTTTAGCTAGTGGGGAAGTCACTGGCTAACCAAACATAAAAATAAATCAGAAGAATTAGCTGGAGAAATATTAAAGTGATTGTTGGCTATGACTCCTGGTGCTTTCAACACAAATAGGTGTACGAAAGTTAATCTATTCATATTTTATTTATTGCTACAACTGTACTTCTGATGTTTCCAAAACAGCTATATCTTTCTGTGTTAGTCTGTCTTCATACTGCCATAAAGAACTGTTTGAGAGTGGTAATTTATTAAAAAAGAGGTTTAATTGACTCACACTTCTGTGTGGCTGGGTTTGCCTCTGGAAACTTATAATAATGGTTGAACGCAAATGGGAAGAAAAGCACCTTCTTCACAAGGTGGCAGGAATGAGAAGTGCAAGCAGAAGAAATGCCAGATGCTTATAAAACCATCAGATCTCATGAAAACTCATTCGCTATCATGAATAACAGCATAGAAGAAACTGCCTCCACGATCCAATTACCTCTACCTGTTTCCACCATTGACATGTGGGGGTTATGGCGATTACAATTAAAGGTGAAATTTGGAAGGGGACACAGAGCCAAACCGTATTATTCTGTCCTTGGCCCCTCCCAAATCTCATGTCTTTTTACATTTCAAAACTAATCATGCCTCCCCAACAGTTCCTCAAAGTCTTAACTCATTTTAACATTAACTCAAAAGGCCACAGTCCAAAGTCTCATCTGAGACAAGGGAAGTCCCTTCTGCCTATGAGCTTGTAAAATCCAAAGCAAGTCAGTTACTTCCTAGATACAATGGGGTACAGGCTTTGGATAAATAGTCCCATTCCAAATGAGATAAACTGGCTAAAACAAAGGGGCTACAAGCCTCATGCAAGTCCAAAATACAATAAAGCAGTCATTAAGTCTTAAAAGTTCCAAAATGACCTCATTTGACTACATGTCTCACATCCAATCACACTGATGTAGGAGGTGGGATACCACAGCCTTGGGCAGCTCTGCCTCTGTGGCTTTGCAGGATACAGCGCCTCTCCTGGCTACTTTCATGAGGTGTTGTTGAGCGTCTGTGACTTTTCTAGGTGTACGATGCAAGATGTTGGTGGATCTACCATTCTGGGGTCTGGAGGTTGGTGGCCTTCTTCTCACAGCTCCACTAGTCAGCGCCCCAGTGGGGACTCTGCACTGCCCTAGCAGATGTTCTCCATGGAGAGCTCTGCCCCTGTAGTACTCTTCTGCCTGGACATCCAAGAGTTTCCATACATCCTCTGAAATCTAGGTGGAGGTTCTCAAACCTCAATTCTTGACATCTGTGCATCTGCAGGCCCAAAACCACATGTAAGACACCATGGCTTGGGGCTTTCACCCTCTAAAGCAATGGCCTGAGCTGTATGTTGGCCACTATTAGACACAGCTGGGATGCAGGGCACCAAGTTCAGAGACTGCACAAAGCAGCAAGTCCCTGGGCCTTGCCCACAAAATTATTTTTTCTCTCCAATCCTTCAGGCCTGTGATTGGAGGGCTTGCAGTGAAGACATCCGACATTGACTGAGGCCATATTCTCCATTGTCTTGGTGACTAACATTTGTCTCCTTGTTACTTACGCAAATTTCTGCAGCAGGCTTGAATTTCTCCCCAGAAAATGAGATTTTTCTTTTCTATTGCATCATCAGGCTGCAAATTTTCTGAACTCTTATTCTCTGCTTCCCTTTTAAACATAAGTTCCAATTCCAAACCATATCTTTGTGAATGCATACAACTGAATGGTTTTAAGAGCACCCGAGTCACTTCTTGAACACTTTGCTGCATATAAATTTCTTCCACCAGATATTCTAAATCATCTTTCTCATGTTCAAAGCTCCACAGATCTCTAGGACAGAGGCAAAATGCCACCAGTCTCTTTGCTAAAGCATATATAGCAAATAGTCACCTTTATTCCAGTTCCCAACAAGTTCTTTATTTGTATCTGAGAGCATCTCAGCCTGAAATTTATTGTCCATATCAGTATCAGCATTTTCGTCAAAGCATTCAACAAGTCTCCAGGAATTTCCAAACTTTCCCACATCTTCATGTCTTCTTCTGAACCCTGCAAATGGTTCCAACCTCTGCCCATTAGCTAGTTCCAAAGTTGCTTCCATTTTCAGGTGCCTTTATAGTGATGTCTTTACAGCAGTGCCTCACTCTCCTGGTACCAATTTTCTATTTTAGTCCAGTTTCACACTGCTATAAAGAACTGCCCAAGACTGGGTAATTTATAAGGAAAGAGATTTAATTAACCCACAGTTCCACATGGCTGGAGAGGACTCAGGGAACTTACAGTCATGGCGGAAGGCAAAGGGGAAGCAACTGCCGTCTTTGCAAGGCAGCAGGAGGCAAAATGCTAGGAGGGGAAATGCCATATGCTTATAAAAAAATCAGATCTTATGAGAACTCACTTACTATGAGAAAAGCATGAGGAAAACTTCCCCCATGATCCAGTTACTTCCACCTGGTCCTGCCCTTGACACATGGGGATTATAATTTGAGGTGAGATTTGAGTGAGGAACACAGAACCAAACAATAACATTGTCCTATATATAGAGTTTACTCAAAGTATATAACCACGTCTTTTAAATTTTTGGTCTTCACACTCCTATTAGGTCTCTTCTTGATAGTCTCATCTCATTTATAATCTGTAGCATTTCTTGATTTATGGGAAAAGCTGCTGCCATGAGTAGCTTCTTGTCTTCGCTTCTTTTGAACTTCAGTGTTTTCCCCATCACCACATTCAACTTTTTTTCTCACACTCCTAAAACATGTCACATACACAGACTTTAGAACACATTCCATCCCTTCTGCCTAGTGATTTCATTATTCTATAAATGGACACTTCTATGTTCTGAGTATTTGTTTTTAAGCAAGTAATTGTTCTATTCAAAATCAAATTATTGAGGACCCATGAAAGACAGAAAATGAAAACATTGCAATGTGATATTTAAACACAAACTTACCTGATGTTCATATTTCAAATAACACCTGTAAATTCACCAACAGAAAAAGTGTCTGATATTGTCCTTCACTGTTTTTTCACGTGTCATTTTATTTATTTATTTTTGTTATTATATATATATTTTTTATTATACTTTAAGTTCTAGGGTACATGTGCACAACGTGCAGGTTTGTTACATATGCATACATGTGCCATGTTGGTGTGCTGCACCCATTAACTTGTCATTTACATTAGGTATATCTCCTAATGCTATCCCTCCTCACTCCCCCCACCCCACAACAGGCCCCGGTGTGTGATGTTCCCCTTCCTGTGTCCAAGTGTTCTCATTGTTCAATTCCCACCTATGAGTGAGAACATGGGGTGTTTGGTTTTTTGTCCTTGTGATAGTTTGTTAAGAGTGATGGTTTCCAGCTTCACTCATGTCCCTACAAAGGACATGAACTCATCCTTTTTAATGGCTGCATAGTATTCCATGGTGTATATGTGCCACATTTTCTTAATCCAGTCTATCATTGTTGGACATTTGGTTTGGTTCCAAGTCTTTACTATTTATTGTGGCACGTGTCATTTTAAGTAAAGAAAGATGATGTTCACAATAAAACAATGAGAACTATTTTAGCTTTGGCGACAAAATGTATACTTCAAATTATATTTTGTTAATTTTAAACTTCTGGCACAATTTACCTTTTTTCCAATGATAGATTTGACTAGTTAATATCAATAATAAAATGCAAATTTAGAACCTTCCTGAGTCATTGAATCAAAGGGATTAATTACCATACTCCAAAATATACTAGGTTATCCAAGGAATTAAAACACCTCTAGGGGAAAAAAAAACCCAAAAATAAATGGAAGCTCAGAGGAAGATATATAGACTCTTAAGTCTTTCAATTAGTAATCTTTCTATGAAAATTTTAATTATATGTTATTAGGGAGTCAAAAGTTACACACAAAGTTTTGAGTGTATAGGGAAGTCAGTGCCCTGAAACCCCAAGTTATTCAAGGGTCAACTGATATATACTGTACATTCAACTGTATATATCTACACACACACACACACACACACACACACACACACACACACACACAGTTGAATATACTCTACATATTTTTTCTCTTTCTTGTACTTCCCCACCATTTAACTCTCCCATCAAACCCTTCTTCCCCTTTTCCTTACCTGATATCCATTCTATAACTTCTCAACTACCATGGAACTTTCAGTATACTTCGAAACATCTCCAGACATTGAGAAAAGTTATTTTAAAGCATTATCCAAACAAGATTGTTATAAATTTGCTTTGTCCTCTGTTTCTAGAAATATCACATTAATATTGATTGACAGAAATTTAGGGGCCAGTGAAGAGCCCTGTGGAGTCCTCTTAAATTCCTCACTGTATGTCACTAACAAATCAGCTTATATAAGATCAGACATGAACCAGGCAAACGTGTCAAAAATATTGACAAATTTTTTTTTAAATGTAATCATGTCACAAAATTGTGCTTATACCACATCACTTTTTTTAAAAGAAACAATAAAGGATTATATGGTCGCACAAAATAATTGATATGCAACTTATCCTTATCCAAATTAATTCCAAATATAAAAGTTTAAGCAACTTATACTCAATTATTTTTTGAGATGGAGTTTTCCTCTTGTTGTTGCCCAGGCTGGAGTGCAATGGCACAATCTCAGCTCACTGCAGCCTCCGCCTCCTAGGTTCAAGCAATGCTCCTGCCTCAGCCTCCTGAGTAGCTGGGATTACAGGCACCTGCCACCATGTCCGGCTAATTTTGTTTTTTTTCTTTGGTATTTTCGGTAGAGACAGGATTTCGCCATGTAGGCCAGACTGGTCTTGAACTCCTGGCCTCAGGTGATCCACTGGTATCAGCCTCCCAAAGTGCTTGGATTATAGGCATGAACCACTGCGTCCAGCCTCAAATTTTTTTATGTTGAAAAAAATAATGAGACAGAATTTTAAAATCTCACTTATATTTGTACTTCTGAAAACAAAGGGTCTGAAGTGTTACTGTGTAATTTTCTAATTACATTTTGTTTTCCCTAATTGATACAATTCATTGCTCACATTAGTTTTTAAGAGATTGCAAACAAAAGCCATTATTATTCACCAATAATCAATTATAACTGTTCTAATCACATTCAGTTTTCCTTTATTTTAAAGAAAGTTATAGAAGTTAAATTTTACATGCTGTTTTAATTCTGGAAAATTTCACACAATTTTGTCAGACAAACAATTTCACAAAATGTTGCTTGTATACCTGCCTCATGGAGAAATGCCAGCATCCTTTGCAAATCTGAGAGGAGATTTGCAAATAATTCTGATAACTTTCTCAATATCAAGAGTTGTTAGTCAGCTGCAAAAGTGTTCTTCAGTGTACCCTACAATGATAAATGGCAAAGTGATGGTGCATACAATGGCAGGATGATCAGTAGCCTGAAGAAGCGTAGGAATGCAGTAGGTCATCATTTCCATTTTTATTAGAATTCTTTTTTTCCCCAGAGCATCATTCCTTTCAGCATTAGCCAAGTTGCTTTTGCACTCTAAGTCCTTGAGCAGATATAATTTCCATGTCACACAGTGCTCCTTTTGTGAACTTTTACAAAATTTAATCCAGTAGTATTTTTAAAGTGCTTTCACACTTATTTTTCCCAAAATGATCATATACTGTGACCAGAATATAAAAATATTTTTTCTTTAAAATGTATAAAGTATTATAAGTCACACTCAAATTGGTTGAAACAATTATGTACCTTGTACAATACATTGAATGTCAGCTCATGATTCCTCTTCTACCCTATTTGGTTTTTAAAAATTATTTACTTATGTATGGTTTGTTCATTCATTTGTTTGTTCATTCATTCATTGGATGTAAAGCATCTAAAATGAAGTAATTATTTTGAAAATGAGAAATTAATACCTGATATGTAATGAATAGAAATTAAGCAAATGACCATTTTTTCCCATTTATTACATTCTTTTCTCCTAAAAGCAGTCTCACGTTAGCTCTGATCTTGCCATGAACAACTGAACTCAAATGAAAAGATCTGTTTTGTAAGTTATAGTTTTCACCTCTTCCGTGTTAAATTAAGATGTCATTTCACTGGAGTGCTTCTATAATTCCCCCACTGGTCCTAAAATGTATAAGTTATGAACATTTTTTTAGACTAGGGACCATTTTTCTAGCATTGACCTACTGCACGTAATCTTGGGGTGAATGCAGTTTTGTTTTGCTTAATTATCTTAGCATGACTGAAAATAAGCAGAGTCATTGGAACTGGATTTAATATTAACTCCATGATTTGTAGATAAATGTAATTTTGTAATTTTTTTACTTTGTATTTTTTCTTCTACAAAATGTGCATTTATAATATCTAAATGTTGAAAGAATTACATATAATATCTGAATGTTGAAAGAATTAAATAAGTTTATGTATGTAAAGTGCCAACATATTTTGAATTCCAAGGGAATCCATTGAATAGTTATTTGCACAGCCACTCAAAGTGCCTCATCTATAAAACTAACTAAAATTGCCTCTCAGGAGTGAGAACTGAATATGATTGTGTATGTATAGATGACACATAGACTAAAAATTGCTAGGTGGGTATTGATAATTGTTATTCTAAGAAATATCAGCATGGTCTGAATAATAAAATTGTCAACTTCATTTTAACTTTTATGTATAGAAATTTTATGCATAACCAAATGGGAAAATTGCCTATATTTGATAGCTTTTTATGTGAATTAGAAAACTAACGTCAATAATACTATAACTATACCATTTGTTGGGTATTGTCAGTTAATCTAATTTCTAGGCTTATAAATATTAGACACTAATACCATTAGATTAAAATTATTTTTAAATAACATTCGACTGTTTGGGGGTTACTGCTTTCAGTATATAAATGAATTGTTCTCTTGATGCTTAAAATTCAAATTTTCATATCCTTTTCCATATTAAATTAGTTTATAATAATATATTTAGCAGAAACCTTTTGACAGTTGTTTCTTTATTAACATACACTCTCTTAATACCTTCATCAATCCAAGGAATTATATTACCCTCCAAGTTGATAACACAGGATAGGCAACACCATTCCTTGCTAAAATAATGTTCTTAGAGTGCCTAGTAAGGCACATTCTTATGAGTAAGCTCAATAAATAGCAAAATATTTTTGGCAATTATGTGCTTAAATTGTCTCAGCAGCATTTGTGTTGTACTTGCCTTGGATTGCTTTCTACTTTATATTGACTAGTATCATAGTCTATTCATAAAGACTAAATGGAAATAATTAGAAGTGCCTCTACTCAGGAATATAGTAAATAAAAAAAATACAGCATTCCTTGAAGGATTGCAGAGATTAGTGTCACCATTAAAAACTTCCAAGATGTAAACGGGGTGATTCTCGCTACATCCCCAATCTACTCTCCTATTTGGCCTGTAGAGAGAAAGACAGTAAATTACCATAAGTTTAACTAAGTGGTGACTCCACTTGTAGCTGCTCTACCAGATCTGTTTTCATTGCTTGAGCAAATTAGCGCATCCTCTGATAGCTGGTATGCAGCTATTGATCTGGCAAATGCCTTTTTCTTCATACTTGTTTATAAGGCTTCATACTTGTTTACAAGCAATTTGCTTTTAGCCATTAAGGTCAGAAATAGACCTTCACTGTCCTACTTCAGTGGTTATATCAACTCTTCAACTCTGTCATAATTTGGTTTGCAGAGATTACCTTTCTCTTCCACAAGACAGTACAATGGTCCATTACACTGATAACATTATACTGCTAGAGTCTACTGAGCAAGAAGTGGCAAACACTCTAGACTTATTTGTAAGACATTTGCATGTCAGAGGGTGGGAAATAAAGCCAATTAAAATTCAGAGACTTTCAACCTCAGTGACATTTCTAGGGCTCCAGAGACGTGGGGCATGACAAGATATGCCTTTTTGGGTGAAGGATAAGTTGTTGCATCCCACTCCTCCTACAACCAACAAAGAAGCACAGTGCCTGGTAAGCTTATATGGCTTGTGGAGGCAACATATTTTTCATTTGGGTGTGTTACTCTAGCCTATTTTTCACATGACCCCAAAAGTTGCCAGTTTTGAGTGGGGCCCAGAGTAAGAGAAGGCTCTGTAACATGTCAAGGCTTCTGTGCAAACTGCTCTGCCACCTAGGGCATATGATTCAAAAGATCCAATGTTTCTTAAAGTTCAGTGGCAGATAAGCATGCTGTAAGAAGCCTTCGGCAGGCCCCTGTAAGTAAATCACTGCTGAGGACTTTAGAATTTTGGAGCAAGTTTCTCATGCCGTCATCCGTAAATAAGACTCTCCTTTTGAGAGTTAGCTCTTGGTCTGCTACTGGACCTTAGTAGAAATTGAATACATAGACACCAAGTCAATGTGTGATCTGAGCTGCCTATCAAAATTTAGTGTTATCTGACCCACAAAACCATACATGTTGGGGACATATGCATAAATACGCCATTATCAAGTAGAAGTGATATATATATATGATCAGGCTAGAGCAAGCCCTGAAGGCACAAGTTAGTTACATGAACAAAGGGCCCAAATATTCATGGTTTCCACTCTTGCTGCATTGCCTTCTCTCCCAGTCTGAACCTATGGCCTTAACAAGGATTATCCTACAATCAGTTGACAGATGAAGAGAATAATGGGGCTTGGTTTACAAATGGTTCTGTAGGATATGCAGACACCACCTGAAAGTGAACAGCTGCAGCACTACATCAATTTTGTGGGACAGGCCCTAAAGGATCATGGTGAAGAGAAATCCTCCTGGTGGGCATAAGTTCAACAGGTGTACCTGTTGTGCACTTTGCTTGGAAGGAGAAATGGCCAGATGTGTGATTATATATTATTCATAGGCTGTAACCCATGGTTTGGCTGGATAACTAGAGTTTAGGAAGGAATACAATCAGAAAATTCATGCCAAAGTAATATGGGAACAAATAAGCAAATTAGAACTCTCTGAATGGGCAAAAATGGGAAGACAATTTTGTCCTATGTGAATGCCCACCAAAAGGTGACCTCAACAGAGGAATATTTTAATAATCAAGTGGATAGAATTACCCATTTAGTCAATACCGGTCATCCTCTTTCCCCAGCCACTTCTTTTATTGCCCAATGAGATCATGAACACAGTGGTTATAGTGGCAGAAATGGAGGTTTTTATGGACTAAGCGACATGGACTTTCAGTCACAAAGGCTGATCTAGCTATGGACAAAACTGGAGATTTGGAAAAAAATTATTAAGACATGAAGTTTGTGTTTTTACATTATACTATATTTATCAAATATATGTGTAAATACATCATGGTATATGGTATATTATAAATATATCTTATATTACTTATAATATTACTTATAATAAGATATATTTGAAATAATTGACTATTGTGGGGGTTGGCAAGTGTTAAATCAGTGGGACAAGCTGGCAGGTGGTAAACTCTCTAATAGAGGCTGCTGCAGTCTTAGGGTAGAATTTCTTCTTCCTTAGGGAAGCCTCAGTTTTGCTCTTGAGGCCTTTCCACTGATTGAATAAGGCTTGCTTACATTATCTATATAATCTTTAATTGGAGTCAATTGATCGTAGATATAACCACATCTATGAAGTACCCCCACAACAATACCTAGATTAGTATTTAAGATGCTATATCTAAATTGACACATAAAACTAGTCATCACAAATACTGAATAAATGAGTTACTAAATATAATTTTTGTGCATTTTATATTTAAATATATGCATTAGAATTTTAACAAAATATTTTAAACCATCCTAAAATTATATGATAATTTAATGAGTTATATGCAGCTTACCAAGAAAAGACTATCAAAATATATAATTCTTAAACTTTTTGAAAAAAATTAATTTTTCTGATCTTAAATTCAGCAATATTGCGATGCCTTCTGTTTGTGTATTGTAAAGCTTACAACAGTATATTTCCTTTTTATTTACCTGGCCTGTCTTTATTGTTGTCATACAAGTTAAGTCTTATATTTTATTTTATAAGCCACCAAATAGTTTACTGTTATTTTTGCTTTTTTTTTTTTTTTTTTGAGACGGAGTTTCGCTCTTGTTGCCCAGGCTGGAGTGCAATGGCGCGATCTCGGCTCACCGCAACCTCCACCTCCCAGGTTCAAGCAATTCTCCTGCCTCAGTCTCCGGAGTAGCTGGGATTACAGGCATGCACCACCATGCCCAGCTAATTTTGTATTTTTAATAGAGACAGGGTTTCTCCATGTTGGTCAGGCCAGTCTCGAACTCCTGGCCTCAGCTGATCCGCCTGCCTCAGCCTCCCAAAGTGCTGGGATTACAGGCATGAGCCACTGTGCCTGGCCTTATTTTTGCTTTTAATAGGAAACTTTCAAAATAATTGAAATAATTTTTAAATGTTATATTTACTCACGTAGTTAGGATTCCCATTGCTCTTCTTTCCATTTGGTAGACACAAGTTTCCATTAAGTTGCCTTTTTTCTTTCTTGGAAGGACTTTCTTTAACATTTGTAGTAGTGCAGGTCTTCCAGTGGTTAATCCATTCATCTTGTGTATAACTGAAAAAATATGTTTATTTCAATTGTATTTTTAAAAGATGCTTGTGATGGGTATAAAACTCTAATTTGATCATCTCCACCCACTAACCCACCCTTTCATTATTCTAAATATACTGCTGTACTGTTTCCTGTCTCACGATTTTTTTAGGCAAGAAATTTTCCAGTTTAACTTTATTTTTCTGTGGGTAATGTGTCTCTTTTTTTTTTTTTTGTCCCATCTCTGCTTTTAGGATTTTTTTTTCTTTATCACTGATGTATGTAATTTGTTTATAATGTGCCTGGCATAGTTTTTTTTTTCAGGTTTTATGTGTTTGGGATGGCTGACCTTTACTATCTGAAGGCACATATTTTCACCAAATTATTTTCTTTCTTCAAATATTTCTTATGTTCCCCCTATTTTGTGTGACTACAAATAACATATATGCAAGCCCTCTTGATGTTGTTCTATAGCTGTCACTTTAAAATGCTTTTAGATCTCTTCTTTCCTTTCATTTGAGATAATTTCTATTCTGTGACTTCAAGATCACATATCTGTTCTTTGACAATGTTTAATAAGCTGTTGATGATATGAGCACATTTTTCATCGTGAACACTGTAAATTTTATATACAGAAATTCATTTTGGGTCTCTATATATTTGAAGTTTTTATTTAACATGTATAATCCTCCTCTAACTTATAAAACATATTGTCATTTTATATATATAATATATATACACATATATATATGCTGATAATTAGTGTTGTCTACTATCATTTCTTGTTTTCACCTCAGTATATGCCATATTTATGCGCTTTGTTGCTTGACAGGTAATTTTTCATTTGATGCCAGATATTGAAAATTTTACTTTGTTGTGTGCTGGATATTTTTGCATTCTACAAACATTTTGAACTTTGATCTATGCCACAGTGAAATTACTTGCAAGCAAGTTTCCTTGTGTTGAAGTCTTTTTCATGAGTTTTATTATGTAGGGCCAGAGCAACATTTATTTTAGGGCTAAATTTTCAGCTCCTATTCTAAACACTTTGTGCAATACCCCTAAGAATTATAAGGGCTTTCATGCTTACTTGTGGGAAAAACAATTATTTATTTTCTTTTGTGCATTGTTCCCCACAGATCTTTTGGATGGCTCATTGTCTCTTTTCCTATTTTCTCCTCCTCTTTTTTATTCTCTCTTTATTTTTCTCCCTCCCATCTCTCTCCTGTTTTCTGTTTTATATTTTCCCCCTGTGAAATGCAGCTTCCTCTTAGACTTCAGACTGTCAATTTTATTTGCTCATTTCAGGAAAAAATCTGGGCTCCCCTTTCTCCCTCCTGCATCACTGCTTGGAAATTTTCTCTAGCAGATAAAATGAGTTAATTGTAGGATTTGGTTGTTTTGTTTTCCATATCTCAGGGATCATTGCCTTATTGCCTACATCTTGAAAATGGCTGACATACTTTGTCTGTGATTTTGTTTACTGCTTTTAGAGCGGAAGAGAGATGCGTTTCCCATTACTCCATTTTAGTCACATGAGTTTAGCATGGTTTGTAAAGTTTATGATAAAAATTGTCTGTGTGGTGAATTCAAAAATTTCAGTATTACATTTCATTATGCAGTCTGAAATCATTCGTCTGGTATTCAGAGATAAATAGATTTAAAGAATCCATGAGTTATCTTTATTGGGATCAGTGCTTTTTAAATCTTGGCTAAACAATTTTTTTCCTACAGAAAATGGAAATTTCTACTTAGATGTTCTCCTTTTAGAAAAAAATATTTTAAATGGTTCAGTTAAGCTTTTAAGTTTCATACTGTGACCATAAACAAAAATTTAAAATGTCAAACTGTCTCTATTCTTATTTGCCCATTTTTTTTTTTTTTGCTGCTCTACTTATCTGTATTTACTTTGTATCAGCATTAGTAGTACTCAGGTTCTATCAAGTAAGAATCAATTGAATAATTGTAATCAATATACTATAAATACATCCTAAATGTAATAAAGCACAATTTAGAAAAAAAATTCTTATGAATGGGTTTCATTGAAAGTAGGTCATTTTTTCTTTGCTGGATAGTACATTTTTCTAGTATTTATAAAGCTTGCTCTGCTGGCAGTTAATTCATGGCCCCAAAATACAGAATATAAATTACTGTTCTTGTTGCATGGAGCAGAGAAACATCTGCTGGTTATTAACATAACATTTGAATCTGACAGAATTCAGTTCTGGTTTGTAAAGTTTATTACAAAAATTGTGTGTGGTTAATTCAGAAGCTTTAGTGTTACTTTTTATTGTGGTGCTTAAAATTATTCTTCTGAAAGTTGTGTATTTTTTTCTTTTAAAATTTTAAAAATTTTTCTTTTTTTCTTTTCTTTTGAGACAAGTTTTCACTCTGTCACCGAGACTGGAGTATAGTTGTGTGATCAAGGCTCACTATAGTGTCAACCTCCATGGCTCAGGCACTTCTCCCACCTCAGCCTTCCTATTAGCTGAGGACACAAGAGTCTCCCTATGTTGCCCAAGCTGGTCTCAGAGTCTCAGACTTCTGGGCTCAACCAATCCCCCTGCTTCTGCCTCTCAAAGTGCTGGGATTATAAGTGTGACCCACCATGCCCAGCAAAAAGTTTCTTTTTTGAATAATTTTTTAGAATTAAAATAGGTTATTAAAACCACAAACTTCTCATCTATGAGGCCTATTTGGTTTTTAATTTATTTTAGTTATTATTTATATATTTATATCATTATCTTTGTTGATGAGTTGTAAGATGACTTAATTTTGCTCATTTGCAAACCCCTCAGGACTTCCTAAGGAGAGCTCTCCTTAGAGAATTCCCTTCTTCTATTATTGGTGTCCCTGTTGTATCTTATACTACTGATGCTAAGGACCTCCATATAAGCATGGCCTTCTTTATCTACAAGAAGAAAAATAGAAGGAAAATACTAATATAAATCTTCACCTTTTAGAAAATCTTATCTTTATGAAAACAGTTGACAAGATGACCACCTGTAAGATGTCACAAGTAAAAGTCAAAGACAAAACCTCATAAATATTTTATAGACATACTACTGTATTCTGTTACTACTAATTTGAACTCTGTTCTAGGTACAATATACAATCAATGCTAACATTTAAGGATATTATCAACAGAGGCAGGAGAGAAAAATGTGTGTTTTCACTCAAGGTTTATATCTGGCATTCTTAACATTTTTCTTGAGGTATTTGCCCCAATATACCAGAAATATGCAAATACTATGACAAAGAAATATATGAGTGTTTTCAATATTCTGGAGACAAGACCATAGTCATGTTCATAAATTACCTTCTATAACGTTTATCTGTTATTAATCTAAAAATAAATACACTTATCTGATGTAAGTTGTTCCTAGAAAGGGGAAAACATAATCACTTTATTATTTGACAATAAGATAATTGCAATTGAAGCTGAAATGCATTGAATGCTTTTAAAGATATATTTCTCAAGATTTAGATAATTTTTTAAAAATTAGTTCTTCTCGGCTGAAATTAGCAGTCATAAAATGATATAATCAAGGGAAGCAAAGTTTAAAAAAGGCCAAGATTCACTTTAAAACAATATATCTTTTAAATGACACACCCAGGAAAAGTTATCTCAATTCTATTTCAGGGTTTTCCAATTTAAGTCCCCTTCATATTGCATATTATGTTTCTTCTTCCATTAATTAATCAACTCATGAAAGTTTAGATCACCCTCTTTGTCACATTTCCAAACAACCATTGTCAATTTCTGCTTCTGACAAAATGAAATAGATGCACATATTCTATTCCTTCTACTAAGTTCAATTAAAATTATTGTACATTACATGTAAAACAAACGTAAGAAGCCTCTGAAAAGTGGAAAGAAAAATGCAGACCAGTTAAGGAAATCAGGACCTGAGGAATCATTATGGCGCTGAGTTTCCTGGGTTTTCTTTTTGCTTCATTTTTCTACAACGTGTAGTTGAAGCAGCTGGTGAATCAGAATAGCCAATGGACACAGATAATAAAAGCCCTACCAGGACAAAGAAAGCAATCAGGAAAAGACAGTAAACTTTTGTACGATAATTGTTTTAGTCTAGTCCAATACTGCATGGAAAACTGGGTGTCAGACCCAATGAAACAATCAAAGACTGAATGGTGATCTAGATCTCTACCCTGGCAATGCTGTAGAGAGGTGGCCCAATACTCTGCTGTTACTATCAAAGAAGACTATCAGGGTGCCAGAATTTTCCACCCTGACTGCAGGTAATATAGTGCTTCCTTTCTGGAAATCAGTGGAGACCACAAAAGGAACCTGGGGTCCCACCTTCACTGGCAGTAAGGTGTGCTCCTACCCCTCACTTCTCGGGTAGTGTAAGAGGTTGCTTAGTGGAGAGTCAAGATTTTCACAATTGCGCATCAGAAATGAGGCCACTCTCAACTGCAGTGCCAAAGAAATCCATGTGGGGGCCAGGCGCGGTGGCTCACGCCTGTAATCCCAGCACTTTAGGAGGCCAAGGAGGATGGATCACGAGGTCAGGAGATCGTGACCATCCTGGCTAACATGGTGAAACCCCGTCTTTACTAAACAAACAAACAAACAAACAAACAAACAAAAAACAAAAAAAAATAGCCGGGTTTGGTGGCGGGCGCCTGTAGTCCCAGCTACTCGGGAGGCTGAGACAAGAGAATGGCGTGAACTTAGGAGGCGGAGCTTGCAGTGAGCTGCGATCGCATCACTGCACTCCACCCTGGGCAATAGAGCGAGACTCTGTCAAAAAAAAAAAAAAAAAAAAAGGAAAAAGGAAGAAATCCGTGTGGGGACTAAAAACTCCCACTCCTGCAATGTGGCAACAAGGACCTCCTCACCGGGGTGCTGATAAAAGCTGAGTGAAAAATCTACATCTGTTTGATGGTATTAAGGTAGAGTTCCCCTTTCTCTTGCTGTTAACAGTGTTAGAAAAAAGCCCGTTTGTAAAGGCTTAAATAAAATAAAATCTTATAACAAAATATGAAATGTCAATTTTCAATCAAAAATCATTTATATAAAGAAATAAGAAAACCTCAAACTGAAAAAATCAATAGGTGCCAACAAAAGATGACCGATTTTGGTTTTATATAACCGAAATTTTAAGACAGCTATAATAAGAAAGCTCCAAGAAACACTTTATAACGTGCTTGAAACAAATGAAAAGCCCCAATAATAAAATGGAAAATCACATCAAAGAAATTGAAGCTACAAAGAAGAACTAAAAGAAGAATATTGGTACTGAGTAAAGCAATAAACAAAATAGAAACCTTTTTGAATGGGATCCAGAGCAGAATGGAGAAGATAGAGGAAAGGATCCATGAACAGGAAAATAAGACAATATAAATTACCTAATCTTAACAACAGATTTAAACTAGACTGAAATAAATAATAACAGAGACTCAAGATCTGTAGGATAACAATAAGAATCTAACATTCTAACTTTTTCTCTCTGAAAGTCCCTGACATGATAATGAAAAGACAAGCTACAGATTGGAGTAAAATATTGCAAGTTACTTACCTGGTAATGGACAAATATCTGGAAAATATTTTTAAAAACTCTCAAAAAACAGTAGTAAAAAAAACTAATTAGGACAATTAGGAAATGAGCAAAAGACATGAGGAAACATTTTACCAAAGATGCTTGGTACATCCGTAGATGGCAAATAAGTACATGAAAGGTATTCAGAATTGTTAGCTATAAGGAACATCCAAATTTAAAACCTGTTAGAATTGCTAAAATAAAAAATAGTGACACCACCAAATGCTAGCAAGAATGCAGAGAAACTGGATTATTCAGACATTGCTGATGGGAATGTAAAATGGTGCAGCCACTCTGGAAAGAAGTTGAGCAGTTTCTTAAAAATAAACATATAAACCAACAAAAACCATGAAATTACCATACAGCGTAGCTACTGCACTCTTGGGTCTTTATCCTATAGAAATTAAGATGTAAGTTCACAGAAAAACCTGTACATGCGTTTTTGTAGCAGCTTTATTTGAAGTAGCCCAAAACTAGAAGCAACCAGTTTGTCCTTCAACAGGTGAATGATTGATCAAACCGTATTGTATCCATAACATGAAATACTACTCTGCAAAAAAAAAAAAAAATTGACATGCACAATAACTATCTCCAGATAATCATGCCCATGGAAAAAAAAATGCTAAAAGTTTATATACTATATAATTCCAATTATATACCATTCTTGAAATAGCAAAATTATGGATATGAATTACAGAATAGTGATTACCAAAGATTTAGAAGGTGGTGTGGGTGAGAGAGAAGAGGGTGTAGTTTAAAGGGCAAGATGAGAGATTCTTATGATAATGAAAATTTTCCGTATTTGACCATATCAACCTCACTATCAGGTTGTGATGTTGTACTATAGTTTTATAAGATGTTACCACTGGAAAAACTGGTTAAAGATACATAGAATCTCTCCATATTATTTCTCACAACTGCAAGTTAATCTCTCTCTCTTTCTTTCTCTCTTCTATCCATCTATATATATGTATATATATGTATTTATTTCTAAATATATATGTATTTCATATATACATATATATGAAAATGTATGAAATGAAAAAAGAGATACACACGTTGACCATTGTTCAAATGCTAATGTGAATATCTGCTTCTGCTTTTCATTGATTTCAGAATATATACAATAAAAATATTTTTTCTCTCTCTGTTTTTTGCTTTCTGTTATAAAAAGAGTTATCTATGTTGAGTTTTTGCAGTATACTTGAAGAAAAATATTTACTAAAAAGAGTTACTTACTTGTTCAGCAGACAACGAATATGGAATATTTTGTTTAACCTGTGCCTTCAGATTTAGTAAAGAAGAACCAGTATTTAGCACTATTTGAAGTCAGATAGTTTTACCCTAAAGCTCAAACTCTTAACTATATGGTTTATTCCTTCACTCAATCATCATTCATATTTTGACAAACTTACAAAATATATATCTACTCTGAACTATTTATTGAGTTTCAGATCCATAAAACAGCTTCATAATGAATATAAAGTAGCTACCAAAATCTTAGATGTTAAAGCTGGACTCATCAGAATATCAGAGTGGACTGTAATATCATACTGGGTTTGTATCCCTGCTCTATCAATTACTAGTTGTGTAAGTTTATATATGTTATTTTTTTAAATCTAAATATCACAATTTCTTTATGTGTAAAAGAGGTGAAAAATTACTACTATTATACAGGAATTTTGTGGGAGTTGACAATATATGTTAAGCACTAAGTGCCTGGCACATAATGCTATATCAATGTGAATTATTTTTGACATTTTATTGTTATCATTATTAAGAGAAGTAGCTATATAATTATTTATTATGTCCCCGTTTTCTCCCTGTACTTTACTTTCATTATTTCTGAAGTCAGGGTGTTTAATGATCCTTCATTTAGTGGCCAAGTAAATCTTGAACATTAATCTTTTTATGTTCTATTGTGGCATGTAATCAATCTTTAAATATTGTTTATATTTTCTTCTTAATATATCTGAAATGTGTTCTCTTCTTTAAATTGTATAATGTTAGCACCATTAGGTTGCAGACAATAGGAATTAATATTTGTTCACTAAATATTGCATATATTTCAAATTGGCAGGAGGGTCTGAAATCAGCCTTAGGAATGGTAAGAAAATAGATCAATTTTAGGGCATTGAGTGATAGAAACTCCTCAACAGCATCCTGGGGTAACCACCTCCAGAATGAATGAATGAACTCCACTATGCATGGGTTCTAATGTAGACAAAATGTCTTTAGGAGTTAGCCAGTTCCCCGGAGATATGATATCAGGGGCTCAAATGTGGTTGTATTTATTCACAAATTAAGTACTCAGCATCTTTGATAAAGTTTTTTTTTTTGTGTGTGTGTATGTTTATTTTCCTTTCATTTTTGATACTAGACATCTGTAACTCTGTGGACACCGCTTACAATTCCAATTCGAAAACTCTATGGTGGCTAAGAAAGGTGTTCAATTGGTATCCAGTGAATGGGCCTTCCTCATCTTCAGAGTAGGAAGACTTTTTCTGTAATATTTGTACTGGGTGAAACTTTCTCTTACTCTGGGCCCTTTCTGTGCGGCTATTTTGCTTACTGCTTTTCAAAAATTCCCTGTCACCCATATACCAAATGTGCTTCCTTATGGTTCCTGGTCAGTGCCTATAAGTCTGAACAGATACCAAACTTAGACAAACTGGATCTTTCAAGTCTACCCACTGAGAGGGTTTTACTTTTCCAGTGCCCTTTAGGACCACTTTCACTTGAGACTATAACACCAATAAAATACTGTCTGCTTTTCATCTAGTAAAGACTAGACGGGGAGGTTCTTACATATGAAAATGGGATGGAGATGTCTCAATGGCTGTCTGTGAAAGTTTTCATGCTTTACCTGCATACACATGAGCCATCAAGGGTGGCACTTCTTTCTTCACTTTCAGTGCTCTTTTAACACATATTCCACAACACTGGATTGCCCATGCATATTAATCATAATAATCTACCATTCTTTATTAAATCTGTTTATTTGCAAGGAATACAGGGTGCCTGCATGTTTTAACAAAGGAATTTCATTAATATAGTGTATCAGCATGACATCTTGTGAGAGCCTGAATTTCTCAATGTTGATATGATTAAGTTGAGGCACTGAACAAGAGAATCAATATTGATAAAGATACTTTAGCAAGAGTACACTGTTATGTTTTCTAGATAAAAGCACCCTTTAAATATTTTCTCTTCAAAAAATTGAGTAAAAGCATTCCTTAATGCAGCATCTATACTGATTTATTCCAATTAAGGACCAAGTCTGCCATAACAGCTTAAATTTGAAATACTTAATTAAACTTCTTAACATTCATTATCACACTTCAAATTTCATTTCATCCTTTTTCTGATATAGATAACTTAGAAAATAAATCAAGATTTATTAAAAATCACAACGAATGTTTATTTCAAGTATTTGATGGTATGGACAACCAATTGAAAAGCAAGTCTGCAATAACAGCTTAAATTTGAAACAATACTTGTATTATATACTCATGTATTTAATGGTCTGAACAACCTGCATACTGAACTTCAACGATATATAATACTGAAGGAATTTGACACTTTCTAATAGCTTTCCCTAAGAGGAAGTAAAGTAACAAGGGAACCAAGAAATGTTTCAGAGTTCTGACTCGAAGAACATAGAGCTGAGCATAGACAACTATAACCGAAGAACTGAACATTTATAGGAAGAAAATAGGCACAAAGGAAACAACAGAAAACTGGGGATATTTAATCAAAGAAAGCAGAGAAGAAAGGGAGAAGTAATATCAGATGTGATTTGACTGGGGATGTAAATAAATAACCAAATTTGAAGTACTTTGTAGTCTAAGTAAACGTGTTTTTTTCTTCATTCTAAGAGCAGCCATGTAGCAAAGAAAAGGTGTTAAGCACAAAAAAGTTTTAAAACTAATATGATCAGTTTGTGCTTTCATTTAATTACACGTTATTCATGTCACAGTTTAGAAGCCACACCTCCTAACAAACTTCTAGTCTTTGTTACAAATGCACACAAAATATCGTTATTTGGTCCCATTATTTACATTAAAAGCATAGGTTGTTTAATGTTTCATAGTATTTATTAATCAGTTTTATAATTGTTTACCTTTTAAATTTTATTCTAGAACAAAGTTTCTTTGAAAACATAAATGATGTCTTTCACATAGCATGGTTCACAGTAAGAACTCAGTACATTCTTGTCAAATAAATGCTTAAAAGTCAAGTATGCTGTTCATTGTTGTCATATATTGCCATTATTGTCTCCTGTTAGTTATTCCTGTCAGTTACTGTCTCCTGTTTGTGAGCCTCTGTATTGCAGCATATGTTCTAATATCTTATGTCTCACATCTCTCTAGTAATCTAATGGTAGCAATTTTCTGCAACTTTTATCAGACTCTAAGCATCTCATTTGTAAGTGAAAATTATAAAAGAAAAATTAGTGCCAATATAATTTCTAAGTCTCTATGGTATGATTCAAAAGAGAAACTGATCATAACAATGTATCTTCAAGTGATACTCTCTATAATATCTTAATTATAATCTAGTCAATAAATGTTACTGGTTTCCAGTTTAGCAATGTGTTGTATAAAGTTCTTATTTTACTTTCTCACTAAAATTAAAAGAGAAAATAAACAGTTGGAAAGTGAGGTCAAAGATTTCATTATAGATGAAAAAATTAGTCAAGCTAAGAAGATAAGTGTCATGCTGTGTTTTTACTTTATTTTCACTAATTTGTTTTTTGAAATGGGTCATATTTTTCTTTCAACTCTTTGTAAAATAACTGCAATTATACTTTACTATGTTCTATAGCTACCATTAAATTAGGCAAATTAAGAAACAATTTTCACTATTGATTATTTTGAGTGTTACCCACCCATCTTTCATTTTAACTGGTGCACTTTATTTTTTCAAAAAAAGCAATATTACCTAATTTAAGATAACAAGTATATCAATTTTAATTTGTTTTATTTTCATGTTTACTCTTGCCTGAAGTACTCCAAAAACAAAATCTACATGTGATTTACTTACAATTTAATAAAGTATGCTTTATTTTCATATTGGATAACAAGGTTTAAGATTATATAATTTCAAAATAATAGACTTGAAAGACAAGTAAACCCAAAGTAAAATCAATAAGCAAATAAATGACACTTCATCCCAGTTCCTGACTGAAGTCAGACAGCTTATTAATTTCAAGTATATAGTCTACTTCATCCTAGCTCTACCCCACTTCATGTTTAGCTTTCCTTCCTGACTGCTGCTCACTATAGAAAAAATTCCACTATAAACAAAGCTTAAATATTACTGTCAATGAAACAGACATTGGTCTACTACCATTTGCTAATAGAACAGCCTTACATATATTTCTGCATTAGCTTCTGCAGTTGCATAAGGTCTAAACTTTACAATAAAAAACTTATTTTATGTCAATATCTACATCAGTGAATCACTTATTTTATAATTTATGTTGCTTCCATTTCTCTGATAAAATGCTGACTGATACATGGCTAAGGTATATGACAGTTTTTCACTCAATACATATATGTATGTTTAAATATAAGATATAAATACATAGTAGCAACACAACCAAAAATGTCTCTGAGAATTTTAATCAATCTTCATATCTGAGCATTATCAATGGAACAGTACTGAATGTAGATACAATTTACAAAATGCTATCATAAGCTATTTTGCATAATAACTGCCAAATAAAGTTCAGATTAGAAGTGTTCCTCTGAGTTAAACACATAAGAAAAGTCTGTAATTTAACGAAGTTAATTAAATTTACAGTAGTAAAACTGGATCTAATTGAATAATGAATTGAGTAATAAAATATATTACCATATCTTATAAAAAATTGTAATTGAAGAGTCATTTATGGATTAGAAATAGTGAACATTTTAAAACTTGGAAGGTTCATTATTTATCCAGAATCCAGCTCCCACACCAACACAAACATGCAAAAAACACCTTCGTTTAGATTTTTTAAAGACATTAAAAAGTCCCAATATTATAAAACATATTGAAGTATATGTTTATTACTGGTACCTCTGTGAGCAAAGTTGCTTGTAAAACAACACAAACAAATAAACGGTGAAATGGAAAGTAAATGACTGGGCATGTAGAAAACATTACATTTAAAAAAAAGCTGCTACACCAAAAATACCACTATTAACAAAGTTTAAGTATTACTGATAACAAAATGGAAAAGGCAAAATTTATGAGACAAATATCACAATACTGAATAAGAACTTTCATATAGGCATTAAGAAGATTAAAGAAAAAAGCAAATCATCTTTTAAAAAATAACCCTTGTAATGAAGAGACAAATAAATGTTGATAAGTTGATTAAATGTTGATTAACATTTAAGACTAGTATAACGTTAACACTATAACTTCTTAAGGATAGGAAAAGCAAAAATACTTAAAAATCACCATTATTTTGCTTAATATCTTAAATTTTTGGAGGTCTTACAGATATTCAGGTCATAGTAATTATTTTTGAATACCAAGTCCCCAGCTTGTTTTTTCTTTTAGTAGGGCATTAATTCTTGAATATGTCCTCCATCTGTCTCCCAATCTAAAATATACATCCTAGCCTTCATCAAGCCCAGCCCCATGTAATATCAATTGTTTTTCAGGTAAAGTGCTTTGTGGCACTAATTTGGGTAGTGTACAAAATTCTTGATTTTGTTCTTACCACATGAGAATCAAAGGATACTTAGAAAAACTAAACATGGCTGTCAATTATTCATATAATCAGCAACTTTTCAGGTTATTATGTAGTCAGCCTACAAGATCATTCCTTCCCAGAGACCTCACATAGTAAAGATACATCCGTGGGCCATACCATTTCCGTTAATATGTCTAAGATACTTCATTTTGTCTAGAATATTAAGATAGTAAAAAACACAGATTTGCCTCCACTATGTTTACCTCTTCGTTTCTTAACCTAATCCTTTCCATGATTGAATCTCAACAACTCTTTACTAACAAAGCATGCAACCAACTATACAATGCTTCAAACTAAATAGTTTGTACTTGAACTATCTACTTAAATACTAATTTACAATTTTCAAAGAATGATAATAGATTGTTTCAAATACATATATATATATATATATATATACACACACTCAACTTTCATAAATGCTGCCAAGACTTTAAAGAAGTAAAGAGAGAGATACCAATTTTGCTAATGTGAAAGTAGTTGTTAACCTTAGCAAGAACAATTTTATTGCAGGCATGGAGGCGGAAACTAGATCAGGCTGGTTGAAGTGTAAGGAGCAGGTAAAGAAAGAAAAAAACTGGTAAAATTAAAAAAAAAAGTCCTATGAAATTAAAGTGATATTTTTATTTCTTTTCCTCTCTGCCCACTCTCTCTATCCTCATTCATTACTAATGACAGTAAAAATCTATAAAGAATTTTTATTCTAGTAGAAAGGATCTAATAGGAAAGTTAAAGTTAATAATATAGAACAGAAAGGCAGTATCACAAGGGAAAATATATTTGAACAGATGAAAAGTGTTGGAATTGAAAGCAAATATTCAAGAAATGCCCTGTTACGGGAAGTCAGTGTAGTAAATTTGTATAATTTTATGTGTCTTGGCATCCATTTTGAATATAGATTTAACTTTCTCATACTAGAAGCAGGGCTCAGTCACCTTTGACAGTTTTCAGTTCTATACCACATCCAAAGAGCTCGAGAAAATGGCCAGAGATAAGGACTTAGAGGCATTTCCACCTAGTAGACTGAGCTCCTCCCTTTCCTGTGCTTCCTTTAAAGGGATCATTCACCCATTTGTCCTTGAACTTGAAGTGACCACACCCTATTTTTTTATATATACTGCAAGTTGCCATGTTCCCTCTCTTGCTGCCTGATTCTTCATTTCTGCCTTGCATTACTTGAGAATGGAGAGCTGTCTTCCCCACTCATTGCAACTTCCCTGCCCAGGATCTGTAAGTTTAAAAAGAAAATGTGATAATGTATTAAATTTGTACCTTCTATCAAAATACTAGGGGTTGCTCCAGGCCAGTTTTTCCCCAGGATGCTGGGGAAAACACAAGGTCAGACTCTTAGCTCCAGAGAAATAGTCAGGCAGGCATAAACTGGACACGAGTCAGGCAAAAGTGTCTGCCAGGATAAATAAACTTTTCATGTGAGGGATGTCCTGGTCATGGGCAACTAGGCATTAAGACATCCACTAGTTGAAAGAAATATCCCATAAAAGGTATACTGTAAAAAGTCACATTCAGCTCCCCTTTATTTTCCATTAGGGCTTGGTACTCTCATACTGGAATGCTAATTTAGTTGGTGGATCTCAAAACAGGCAGATGCTCATACTTTAAGAAAAGTGAAGAAGCAGATGTGATATACTTAGTGGTAGAAATATTGGGTGTAATACCTGATAGCTTCTATTTTCTTAATAGATTAGAGATATCTGAAGAAAGATCAGATGAAAAAAATTATTCCTGAGAGGAAAAAGAGCTAAATATGAGAATTCCATGGCAATAATAATTAGTATTTAAGTTTATGATAATAAGATGTAAGTAAAACCAATCTTTTCTCATTTTACTTTACTCAATAGTGTTCAAATGCTTAATTGCATGCAAAATAAAGGTCAATAGTTGAATTTATCCAGGTGAACAGGAGAAAAGTGAATGCTAGGGCTTAAAGAATTATATTTTCCAGGGAGTGACTAAAACAATGGATAATGCAGTTTAAGAAGGGCAAATAGTTAATTGTAACAAGTTGTGACTGATGCTAATTGTTAGATAAATCATTAAAAGTGTTTGTGTCTGTGTGTGTGTGTGTACTCTATGCTGACTTATGTTATATAAATTACTGACGTAAAAACATCATAGGGAAATAATATAATAAAACACAAACCTCTATACTATATCTGACCTTGCAATTAAACCCTACAAGATCAATTATCCTTTCAATTATCATATATTCACCATCAAATTTCATCACTTTTTTGCAAATATTTGAATGATACATGTGTTAGATTAAATGTCCCCCAAAACCCTTGTGTTTCCTGTCTTAATAAATCTTTACTTTTCATCATAATTATCAAGAAATTCTGCAACAATAAAAAGTAAGAACAACTACACACTGTTTAGTAAATACAAGGTGAGGTACCCAGATCCCATGCCTCCAGGGCTGAGGCACTCATTTGCCCAGATGCTGGTGCGATATTGGCAATATTGACAGCTGTTAGCGGAGTTCCTTGCTGGGAAATTTACTGGATTGAAGAGGCTACTTCACCTAAGTTTATGTCTCCGTGTGAAAGAGTTCAGTGATTTCTTGATGGGCATGTAAATAGCCTGGCTCTTCATCCCAATTACAGACGTGGCTAAAACTCTAACCCATCTCCATATTTTCTCATCAGGTGAACTGAGAACTTTTAGGCAACTGCCTTGTAGTTCAAGCTCTTGCTCTGCTTGACTTCACTTACTATACTTCCTGAAAGTTTTTGGTCTTTAACTTTTACAATTATTTGAATATCAATTTTCACCCCAGAGGCTGCTTCAAGAGAAACCAGACCTATGATTTCTGGTCCAAAGTTTAGTCAGGATAAAGTAGTTAGAAAGTGGACTTTTACATGTGATTTTGTAGCTTGTTTACCCAATGCCTCACTGGCAATGTGGTCCTCATGAGTTGTGATAGGTGGAGCATGCAACAGTAATATGTTTGTTAAAATTTTCATTAATGGTGACCTGCAATAGTTTATCAGTGCAAGAGAATTATCTTGAGTATAAAATATATTATGTACTTGAGAAATAGTGAGATATAATAATTATATGACACTTAAATCTTGGGAAATCCATGCTTTGCAGGAAAGAGAAACACTTAGGAAAATTAGTCATCCATTAAAAGTTAAGTTTGAAAGCCAGAAGATATCTCTGGCCACATACAGAGAGACTCCAGTATCCTGCACCAGAAAGCAGAAATAGATGAGGAGAAGGCAAAGAAAGAAATTATAAGACAAGCAGTTATAAAGGTGTTGTTTTATTCTCAATTAGGCCATCATGTATGTCTGATCAAGCCCCTGTTAAAAAGATGAAAGCCTAAGATTGGAGACGGTATAACTGGATCAATGCAGATGAAAATATTAACTCAAACATATTCCTTTGAATCATTTTACCCCATTGAATCAGTCAATTTCTCCCCGATAAAGATAGTGCTAGTACCTTGCCTAAGAAAAATATGGACACCTCTACCTTGCAAAACAACACATATTTACCTTAAAAGGCACTTGTTTTATTTTCTTGGTCAACAGATTAAAAACTAGAGCTGTTTCAAGATGTAATACAGCCAGGAAAGTTTGATATCTTCTATGATTAAAAAAGGTCAAAACTTTGAAAGAGCCACAAAACATTCAACATGCACCAGCAGGGGCAAAGAGAGTATAGCAAATCCTGAGAAATGGGGAGAATTAGATTTCCAAAGTTACCACATTATTAGATTAAAGTATAGTTTTCAACAACAACAAAATTACAAGGCATACAAATAAGCAGGAAAGTATGACCCATTCAACAAAAAAAATAATAAACCAACAAGTCTGTCCCTTTAAAACACCTGATGGCAGATCTACTAAACAAAGATTTAAAATAACTATTTAAAGATGTTCAAATAATTAAAGAAAGTTAAGAAAATATTGTTCAATCAAAAAATAAACATCAATAAAATTAAAAAGAAACTGTAAAGATAAAAGGTACAAATACAATTTTAAGAAATCACTAAAGGGATTCAATGGCAGATTTAAGAATCAGAAGAAAAAAAAATCAGCATTCTTAAAGATAAAACAATAGAAATAATTAATCTGATGAGCAGAAGAAAAAAAATTGAAGAAAATTAAACAAAGTTGTGGAACACAATCGAGTGGTCCAAAATACACACTCTGGAATTCTTGGAAGGAGAAGACACAGAGACAAGGACAAAGAAAAAATTTGAATAATTAATGGCTGAAAACTTCCAAATTTCATAAAAGACAGGAATATAAACACTGAAGAATCTTAAAGAACCGCAGGTAGGATGACTTCAAAGGAAACCACACCCAGACACATTATAAGCAAACTTTCAAAAAACAAAGGGAATTTTGAAAGCAGCAAGAGAGAAGCAAATCATTACATCAAAGTGACCCTCAATAAGATGAACAGATTTCTGATCAGAAACTTAAGAGACCAGAAGGCAGGGAGCTAACATATAAAAAAGGTCTAAACAAATCTGTTAACCAAAAATCTTATCTTCAACAAAACTTTCTCTCAAAAGTGAGGTAGAGATTAAGACATTCTGAATAATCGAAAACAGAGGAAGCATGCTACCAGTAGTCCTGTCTTTCAATAAATGTTCCAGGGAGTCATGCATGGTAAAATAAATAGCACCAGAAAGTAATTTGAATCTTTGTGAATAAATAAAGATTTGAATATAGGTAAGTAAATACACAGGCTATTATAAAGATTAGTATTATTGAAACAATAGTTTGTAACTCTACTTTCTGTTTTCTATATAATTTGAGAGACTAATACATGTTTAAAACAATCTGAGAGCTAGTATTATTGTAGCTATGGTTTGTTGTAACACCACATTTTGTCTTTTATGTAAATTAAGAAACTAATGTCTTTAAAATAATCATTAGTTTATATTTTTGGACACACAATGTATGAAGACGTAATTTTATGACATCAGCAACTAAAGGAAGTATTGGAATTAAATTTGAAAAATTTAAATGAGTGTATTAACTTCAGTATGCTAAATATAATTCCTGTTGTAACCACAAAGAAAATAGGTAAGTAACATATACAACAGGAAATCAAGTAGGAATTTGAACGTTTCACTACAAACACACACACACACACAAATGAACATATTTGCCACAGTGCCTCCTTTATCTATAGCTTCGAAATATCTCCTGTAGAAATGGCAAGAAAATGGCTTTGAAGGTGCCTCCTTCTCCATAACGAAGGCAGAAAATCAAAATTGTTCTTGTTTTCCGAGGAGAATAGCAAAGATTTGTACCATTCTTAACAACCTAAAGGATACAGGGATGGTGAGATACTATTATATCACACTTAACTCACCAGTCTGTTTTTTATGAAAAACCTGAGAGATCATTGGGTATGACAGTAGATTATCACAAATACAATTCATTTGTTCCCAAATTGCAGCTGCTGTACCAGATGTGCTCTCTTTGCTAAAGCATGTAACTACAGCCTCAAGTACACATAATGCATTTATTACCCTGAAAAATTCATTATTAACGACCTCTATCAAGGAAATAAATTAAAAACAGTTCACAATGGACACTGTGAACAGCCATGAATATTTATATCTCATTTCAGTGCTATATTAACTTGCCACTGGCTTCTGTTACAGTATATTATAAAACAAAATGTCATTTGGGAACTCTGTGGAACATCACTTTTTTGTATGATATCTCTGTTTTCGTGTTAATCAGATCAGATAATTTTAAAAATGACTATAATTTAGAGGTCTTGGTAATGCAAATGCTGTGCAAAATTAGAAAATAATTCCTATCAAGTTTCAGGAATCTATCACATCATGAGAATGTTAGCAGTCCTGGTAATCTGAGGTTACACAGATAGGCCCAAAAGTGTAAAAGACAAATGGTTGTACCTCATTCTTTCCACCACTAAGAAGGAATCACCATGCTTCTCAGGCTTCTTTGGATTCTGGAGGCAGCATATTCCGGATTTAGGGATATAAATTTGACTCACGTAACCAATGAACAAAAAGACTGGTGGGGCCAATATAAGCTGTAAGGTGGCTTAGAACCTCATTTCATTTCTCCTGCAGTTGTGCTGGCTTCTGTCTGTCTGCTCAGACCTATGATGAAACAGGTGTTTCTTAGAATATATGGAGAAAAATGTAGGCTTCTTTAATAAGTGGACCCACTGAAATATGCCTACAAGCCCTGCCTCTCACAAAAGACTGCAGTTGCATTACCACTTCCTTAGAGATACCTCTGAAAGACAGCAGTGAAGGAAGCCCAACCCCCTCTCTCCTTCCCCCAGCAGGGAAGAACTTTGTATGATGCATTTCATCACCCACAAGTTGAAAGAGGCACATAGTGTATGCAACCCAAAGCATATGGAATTAATAAAAAAAACTCTCAGATTTTTTCCAAACTCAGGGCAATTTTTGGAGGTTATATTTGTGTAAATTAAAACATCTGCAGTTTTGATGTGCTAAGATTGAAAAAGAATGAAATAGGATGAAACCAAATCAAATACCTAGACTTTCAGAATTCATAGTTTTACACACAAAAGCCTTGTCATCTAAACTTAGTCTTTTATTCCCATCTCTTTAAAAGCCACTCACACATAGGTATCCAGCCTCAATTTCAACATATGGAAATAAGGTATTTTCCTCCCTTAAATTTGTATCAATGACTGGATTATTCATTTTTACTCCCAAAGACATTACTATTTTCTAGACCACAAAAATTAAAACCTTCAAAATATATCTTCTTTGTTGTATGTCTTATTTTATATTTAGTATATGTGCTCTTTTCTGATATTAATGGTCTGTTAACATTGCTGATCATCAGGAAATCATCCATTGCAATGTGTGCAATTTATGTAGGCAGTAGCATCTGAGGTACACATTTTTTATGACTGAAAATGGTCACACCTTTCCTTCTGCTAGGATTTTTATACAGACATTTGTACTAATCAACTTAGCATGTGAATTAGTTTGTGATTTGCTGTTAAGTCTATACCTATTTTTAGTGCTCCTTGGCTTTCACATCCTGTAGAAACAGCTTGTGTCTAGGGTGAAAGGTGGTTTACCAGAGCATGATTTAAAAAACATATTTATGAAATATATTTATGTTTATCTTTGTGTTGTGTCTCAGAATGTGTACCTTTGCAAGTTCTTATTGCTCTCCTGTCCCTCTCTTAGCACTTGTTATTTGAAATTCATTACTTTGGCTGAGGGGCTTAATGGGGCCCCTGTATGTGGCTTGGTTTGAATCTTTGTGGTTGTAATAAAGTTATCCTTCCCATGGTATCACCACTTCTATAGTCTAGACAGTGGAGACTTCCTTTTCCTGTCTCTCCCCTGCCTGTCCTACTTGGGGTCAGCACTTAAACTCACAATTCCTTCCTGAATTGTGCTCACTCTCCCTCTTCTTCCCTTCTCCCAACTGTAATAAGTATTCATCAATATCTTAAGGTCAGCAGTGTTCCATTTTGTCACCAATTAAGGCTTTTATTCCATAATGGAGAGAGAAAAAAATTTCTTCACTGCAGAAATTTCTGTTGAACAGAACTAATACAGAGTTCATTGCCCACACTGCAGCTGTGTTCACTTTTTGAGAACTCTTCTCTGTCTACCTGCTGAGTCCATGGCAATGGGCCTATAAGGGGGGAGTGCAGACTCCCCTCTTTCTGGACCTTCAAGGATTTTCCCACTGTCTTATAAGCCCAAACACAGCCTTTTCCAATTTGTTACCGGTCTTAAATGAATTTTTTTTTACTAGTATCACTTTTTACCTGTATCTACCTTCAGATGATCATGGGTGCAAATCTCCTTTCTCCCTGGAGATACTTTCTATCCTTAGATTTTGGGCCAGTTGTTTTCTCTCTTTCCATAGGTTTTTCAAATCTATGAAAAATTTGAAAGAAATGTCAACAATTAACTGTGGATTTCTTCTAAGGATTGGAGAGAAGCTACTCCTTCTCTCCAGATCCTAGGGTAGAAAATAATTATCTTTGTGTCTGAAGAATACTATCTTTTGTTACACATAAAACTCTACATATAGTTTGTCTTCTCCGAGCACATTAAAAATGTCAGTCCTTTGACTATTGGCCTTACATTTTTTTTATATACTAAGAAAAAGTATGTGCTTCTACCTAATCTCAATCAGATTATCACACTTAAGAAATTTAATAGAGCCTTAAAGGGCAGAACAAAATGACCCACCTTCTCCCTGTGACCCCCTGAACACCACATTGAATAGCCATCCATACAAGGAAGCACCTTCATAAGAGCCTAAAATCAGGTGAGCAATCACAGTATCTGGTTTTAACGTCATATCAAGGAAAGAGAAACTGAAGAGCGTAGAAAGGACAGTCTTGAATTGCAGATAAGACAGCTCTCCCATCTCCCAGCAAAAACGAGTGACTCAGAGACAGAATCTGTGTGCTTGATGGGTAGAAATCTCAGTAATGGTGGGATTTTGCATTGGAACTAGTGCTTAATGTTGCCCTGTCACCGCAGAATGAAATGCAGAACAGAATTCAGCCAGAGCCCATAGGGACAACATTTAGACCAGCCCTAGCAGGAGGGAAAGTTTCCATCCTAGTGGTTGAAACCTGAGTTCTAGCTAGCCCCACCACCACAGGCTAAAGTATTCTGGGGTCCTAAATGAATTTGAATGGTGGCTGTGAGGACTACAATTTCTAGGGAAGTCCGGGTGCTGTGCTGGATTCAGAGCCAGTAGATTTGGGGTATATATTACCTATGAGATACCAGTGGGGCAGCCAAAAAAGTGTTTGTGTCACCCCTCCCCCAACCCAAGGCAGTGTAGCTCACAGCTCCAGGACAGACTCCTTCCTTCTGCTGGAGGATAAGAGAGGGAAGAGTAAAGAGGACTTTGCAACTTAGATACAAGCTCAGCCACAGTAGGATAGACTACCAGCAATGTCCTGAGCACTACATGCAAGGCCTTAGCTCCTGGACAATATTGCTGGACACACTCTGGGTCAGAAGGGAACTTGCTGCTTTAAAGGGAAGAACCACGTCCTTGCAAGATTCATCACCTACTAACTAAGGGGCCCTCAGGCCATGAATAATATTTGTGTTACCCAGACAGTATTAGCCACCAGCATCGGGTAGGACCCAGGGCTGTTCTGGCTTCAGGTCATACCCAGCTCATTCTTAGCTGTGTTGGCCTTGGCGAGAGCTTCTGTCTGCTTGAAGAAAGGAGAGGAAAGAGCGAGGTCTTTGTTTTGCAGCTTGGGTGCTGACTCAGACACAGTAGAATAGAGCACCATGTAGATTACTAAGATTCCTGATTCCAGACCCTGGCTCCTGGGCAGCATTTCTGAACTCACCCTGGGCTGAGAGGGAGAGTTCACTGCCCTTAAGGGAAGGACAAAAGCCTAGTATGATTTGCAACCTGCTTAGTGAAGAGTCCTTGGGCCTTGAGTGAACATTGGTAGTAGCCAGGCAGTGATACTGCAGGTATTGGGCAAGTTGCAGTACGGTCTTGGCTTTGCATATGAACCAGCACAGTCCCAGTGGTGGTGGCCACAGTGAAGACTGATTGTTTTAACCCTTCCCACAACCAGGCTGCTCAGCACAGAGAGAGAGACTCCATTTGTTTGGAGGGGAGTAAGGGAAGAAAGCAGGAGTCTTTGCCTGGTAATCTAGGGAATTATTTTGAGTCTTACCCTAGATCACCATCTTATAAAGTTATAAACTTACAAATCTTATAAAGTCACAGCAATCATGGGCTTTGGGTGCACCCTAATGTACATATGGGTACAATGACCAAAGACTTAGATCACAACACTCAATTCTCTTTGAATAACTGGAAAGACTTCCCAAGAAGGACCAATAAAAACAAGCCTAGACTGTGAAGGCTACAATAAATACTGAACTCTTCAATGCCCAGACATTGATAAACATCAGTACTACCTAGGAAGCATCATTACCATCTAGGAAAACATGACCTCACTAAACAAATTATATAAGGCACCAGCTACCAATCCTGGAGGGACAGGAAAATCATCTCTTTAGACAGAGAATTTAAAATAGTTGCTGTGAGGTAACTCAACAAAATTCAATATAACACAGAGAAAGAATTCAGAATCTTATCATATTTAACAAAGCGATTGCAATAAGTTAAAACAATTGAGCAAAAATGCTGAGATAAAAAAATTTAAATGACATGAAGAATGCATCCGAATCAACCACAGAATTGATCAAGCAGAAGAAATAATTATGAGATTGATGACACGCTACTTGAAAATACAGTCAGAGAAGACAAAAGAAAATGTGCAAAAACTAATTAAGCATACTCACAAGATTGAGGAAACAGCCCCTAAGGGCAAATTTAAGAGATATTGGCCTTAAAGAGGAGCTAGAGAGAGAACTTGGAGTAGAAAGTTTATCCAAAAGGATAATAGCACAGTGTTTTCCAAACCTGGAGAAAGATATCAACATTCAAGTATAAGAAAGTTATAGAACACCAAGCAGATTTTATTAAAAAAGGACTATCTCAAGGGATTTGATAATCAAACTCCAGAATATCAATAATAAAGACAGGATCCTAATAGCAGCAACAGAAAAGGAACAGATAACATACAATGCAGCTCCAATTCTTCAGGCAGAAGACTTAGTGGAAACCTTGCAGGCTAGGAGACAGTGACATCACATGTTTAAAGTGCTGATAGAAAAAAAAAATACTTTTACCCCAGAATAGTCTATCCAGTGAAAATATCCTTCAAACATGAAGAAATGAAGATGTTTCCAGAAAAACAAAACCTGAGGAATTTTATTAACACCAGACCTATCCTACAGAAAATGATAAAGGAAGTTCTTCATTCTAAAAGAAAAGATACTAAGAAGAAATAAGAAAACATTTGAAGGTACAAAACTCTCTGGTAATAGTAAATACACAGAAAAACAGTATGTTATTACACTACAATTGTGGCATGTAAATTGTTCATATCTTGAGTAGAAAAAAGTAAATGATGAACCTATCAAAAATAATAACCGCAATATTTTTTCCAGACAGATAGTATAATATGATATAAATAGAAATAAAAAGTTAAAAAGTAGAGAAATGTACTTAAAATGTAGAGTTTTTATTCTTATCTTTGTTTGTCTGTTAGTTTATTTGTTTGTTTTTCCAATCAGTGTTGTCATCAGTTTAAAATAAAATCACCCCACTGCACTCCAGCCTGGGTGACACAGTGAGACTCCGTCTCAAAAAATAAAAAAGGAAAAAGAAAATATTCAAATAAAATTAGAGATGGAAAAGGAGACATAACAACTGATACTGTTAAAATTCAAAGGATTGCTGGAGAATACTATAAATAGCTATATACCAATAAATTGGAAAACCTAGAAGAAATGGATACATTCTTAGACACGTACAACCTAGAAATATTGAATCATGAAGAAATCCAAAACCTAAATAGACCAATAACAAGTAATGATATCAAACCCATGATTAAAAGTCATCCAGCAAAGACAAGCCAAGGACCTGAAGGCTTTACTGCTAAATGTTTGGTAAAAGTTTAAATACACAAAGATCAATCAAAATGAATTAAAGGCTTAAATCTAAGACCTCAAAACATGAAACTAGTAGAAGAAAACTTGGGGAAGCTCCCTAAGACATTGATCTGAACTTAAGTTTCTTGAGTAATACCTCAGAAGCACAGGCAAGCAAAGCAAAAATGGACAAATGGGATCACATCAGGTTTAAAAGCTTCTGCACAGCAAAACAAATAAACAAACAAACAAAAAACAAAGAGACAACCCACAGAATGAGAAATATTTGCCAACTATCCAACAAGAGATTAATAACCAGAATATATAAAGAGCTCAAATAACTCAAAAAATATAAGAATTCAATTACATAGGCAAAATATCTAAACAGACATTTCTCAAGAGAAGACATAAAAATGACAAACAGTTATATTGAATGGTGATCAACATCATTGATCATTAAATAAATGCAAACCAAAACTACAATGAGATATCATCTCACCCCAGTTAAAATGGCTTTTATCCAAAAGACAGGCAGTAATAAATGCAAATGATGATGTGAGCAAAAGGGAACCCTCATACACTGTTAAAGGAGATGTAAATTAGCACAACCATTATGAAGAACAGTTTGGAGGCTTTTCAAAAAATGTCCAATAGGTCAAGTGTGGTGGCTCTTGCCTTTAACCCCAGAACTTTGAGAGGCAGTGGCACGTGGATCATTAGAGTCCAGGAGTAGGAGACCAGCCTGGGCAACATGGGGAGACTTTATCTCTACAAAAAATACAAAAAATTAGTCGGCCAGCAGATCACGAGGTCAGGAGATCAAGATCATCCTGGCTAACACGGTGAAACCCTGTCTCTATTAAAAAAAAATACAAAAAATTAGCCAGGCGTGGCGGTAGGCACCTGTAGTCCCAGCTACTTGGGAGGCTGAGGCAGGAGAATGGTGTGAATCCAGGAGGCAGAGCTTGCAGTGAGCCCAGATCGCGCTACTGAACTCCAGCCCAGGTGACAGAGCAAGACTCCGTCTGAAAAAAAAAAAAAAAAATTAGTCAAGAATTGTGGCAGACACCTTTAGTCCCAGCTATTTGGGAGGGTGAGACAAGAGGTCAAGGCTTCAGTGAGCTGTGATTGCACCACTGCACTCCAGCCTGGGTAATGGAGTGAGACCCTATTCTCAAAAAAATTACAAAGAGAGCTGCAAGCCCACTGCTAGCTATCTACCCCAAAGAAAGGAAATCAGTATATCAAAGAGATATTTGCATTCCAATGTTTATTGCAGCACTATTCACAATAGCCAATATTTAGAAGCAACCTAAGCGTCTATCAACAGATGAATGGATAATTAAAATGTGATATATATTTGCAATGGAGTACTATTCAGCCATAAGAAATGAGATCCTGTCATTTGAAACAATATGGATAGAAATGGTTGATATTATATTAAATGAAATAAACCAGGTGCCAAAAGACAAAGTTTGCATATTCTCACTCATGTGTGGGAGTTAAACATTAAAACAATTGAACTAATGGAAATAGAGAGTAGAATGATGGTTACCAGAGACTGAGAAGAGCATTGGGGAGGGTAAGGGGAAATGAGGAAGTTAATGGATACAAAAATATAGTCAGGTAGAATGAATAAGATCCAGTATTTTATAGCATGATGAAGTAACTTACAGTCAATAATAATTGATTGTACATTTAAAAATAACTAAAAGGGTGAAATTGGAATATTTTTAAGAAAGAAATGATAAATGCTTGAGGTAATGGACACAGCATTTACCCTGATGTGCTTATTAATCATTGTATCCTTGTGTCAATATATCTCATACGTCCTTTAAATACATACACCTGGCCTGGCTTGGTGGCTCAGGCCTGTAATCCCAGCATTTTGGGAGGCTAAGGCTGGCAGATCACTTGAGGCCAGGAGTCAAGAGCAGCCTGGCCAACATGGCGAAATCCCGTCTTTACTAAAAATACAAAAAATTATCCGGGCGTGCGCTTGTAATCTCAGCTACTCAGGAGCCTGAGGTATGATAATCACTTGAACCCAGGAGGTGGAGGTTGCAATGAGTTGAGATCATGCCACTGCACTCCAGCCTGGGCAACAGAGTAAGACTGTCTTAAAAAAAAATTTACTTGCACTTACTATGTACCCATAAGAATTAGAAATTAAAAAATAATAGTGATAAAATGTTAATATCAAATATAGACTTTCTATTCAAGTTTCTCCAATTATTTAAAGAATGTGTGATTTTTAATATTCCTTATAACAATTTTGTTTTTTAATTCAAGAGCCAATCAAAAGTTTATCAATAATTTATAATTTTGAAATAATTTCCCTTCTTATATTGTTTCTTTCATGATATTAATATTTTTAAAGGGTACAGGAAACATTAAAATTGTTGTCTGAATAATAGCATTTCTGAAATTGAGGTTATTAAGGCACATATTTCTTAAGAAGGGCAAGGTTTAGAACTAAGCTATTCAATATGGTATCAACTATTCATATATAAGTAGTTAAATTTAGATTTAAGTTAGTAAAATAAAATAAAATAAAAATTTATTTTTTCAATTGCACTAGCCACATTTCAAATGCTGTATAGTCATTTGAAGCTAGTGGATATTATTCTGGACAATGCAGATACAAAACTTTTTTTCCACTGCATTAATTTTTGTTGAACATCACTTGTATAGGACATAACTACATTTTTGGTGGCTAAAGTGATATGAGTGCATATACATTTAGTTAAAACATAGGTGTAACCTGTAACAAAATGACTAAAAATATCGATGTTTATTCCTCTTTGATTTTCTGATTTGAATAAAAGAATTTCAATTCTGAAAGAGAATCTTTACAATGTTAGAAGCTTAATTTTGTTTTATCTTATTACTCTATCATTCTCAGCACATGACTTTATAATTCATATCTAAATACAAGATAGCTACCCCATTTATCGTCATTAAATCTACACCCAAATCCATGTTTCAAAGTGAAAGAAGAAAATGAGGGTGCTCCCAGTTTTGTTAAAGTTAAAAAATAAAAGTATGCATAGCTTTCTTTAATATTGCATTGGCAAACATGTGGTCACATAGCCTCAAATATCTCCAAGTATGCCACAAAATAATTGTCTTTAGCAAAGCAGCCCTGTATCCAGCTAAAACTCAAGAGGTTCTAAATCTCAAAGGGAAAAATGGTGTTGGAGGATAACTAACTGTATCTGTTAATGTATTGGACTAAGAAAAAAAAGCTCATTTTATATTGCATCATTATAGTGTTCTGATTAGTATGGTATTAAATCCATAGTCTCAGGAACTAATGATATAAATCATGATATTAAATATATTAATAGTCATTTTTTAGGGATGCCAAGATAATTGTTTAGAGCTTTGGGGTTTTCAGAGCACTTTTCCATGTTTATCTCATGTATTCTTTTGTTAATACAAAATCTGGATGATCTTTGCTCAAGGTTTAGTGTGTTCTGGGAACAGTTCAAGGTCGTCCAGATATGGAAGCAAGCAAAAGAGACAAGAATTGTGTCACTATAAACATAAAAACAGCTACATCAGATATTTTCAATTGTAGTTATTTATATCGATAAAAATAAACATATGAGAGTGTCTGGGATCACTTTAGCTAAGATACTGAGGTAAAGCCTCTCTAATTCAAGCCGAACACAGAAACACAAAATTATTTTCACATTGTTCAGATATGACATAGGATTAGTTAGGGGAAAATTAACAGGAAGAGAAATTGTAGAACACATGCAGTTAACTGATGGGACATTATTCCATAAATATTCATAGATATGCATCTTGGGCACATTTCCAGCAGAAATGGCTTTTCCTAAAATGGCAGGCTAGACAAAGGGAAGAGGATGCCTCATAAGAAAGAATGCACTCTACTGCCACACTGCAATAAATATTTACAGGTTATCATAACAAGGTTTAAGGATTACCTAGCTTCCCTAGGATAGACATATATACAGACCCAGAGAAAACAATAAGGAACATGCATACCAAGGGCTAAGAACTAACTGCACTCCAAGAATCCTGGGAACATGATGTATACCAAGAATGCTGACCTCATGCAAAGGCCTTTTACCACCAACAGCTGACTCCATCCAACTGATGAGTTCTAATTAACTACCCATACGAAAAATGAAACAAAACTCCAGGGACAACTAGTTTTGTCTACCACCTCTATAGAGATTGCATTAAATCTGCTATTTCAGTGATGAGTTGTAGCCATATGTAAATCTCCAGGGAAAAATACTCTTAGGGAAAACCAGTATTTGGCAATTCCAAAAGCAGATTTTGGAACTGATCTTCCTAATAAGGACACTTGTCAGGGCTGGGAATACAATTATGCAAATTAAAGAAAAACAAAATCCAACTTCAGTTTAAGTAAAACCTTTCCCCATAATTTGCTTCAATCAGTAATAGTGAGCATTTCTTTAATTATAATTCAGGAAAAATAAGGTTCTAGGAATGTATTATTTACTATTAAATATTACTAAGTTAGACTGAAATAATTATCATGATATATTTATTAACATCCCTATCTACAGAGAAAGACAGAGAAGTTTGGTATAATTATTTCACTAATTGTGAAGGGTCAAACTACCACTTGAAAACACTGTATCTGGTTCTAAATCCCGACACACCACTTATTTCCAGGAAGGAATAGAAGGGAATACTCTGACTTTGTATTTCTTGGCACCATTCTCCAATATATTTTGTATTTGAAAGAGGATTTGGCATGTCTCTATATAAAAATAATCCAAGGAGGAATACATTTAACACAGTTTTCTAATAAATTACTTTCCAGCTTCTGCAACCATAACATACCAGCAACTTAATTCATAAACTCTCAAGATAGTGACTTTGTCCATAAAACTCATTTATGCATTAATACAATATCCTCAGCAAGTTATGAACCTCAATAAAAGTGAGAGATTAAAGAATAATTAAAATAGTTTTTGTTTGTGTAAGGTGAGGCCTTTCACAGTAGAAATTATAAAATATACAATCTCAGCAAAAATATTTATTGCCTTTTGTATGTTGTTATTAATTTTTATTATTTGAATCTGTTAGCTTAGAAAATGACCTATTCTGTCTGTGCACAGATCTTTCTTTCTTTTTATGATTTCACTGCTTATTTCACATATGGGGGGACATGTGAAGATTTGTTACATTGGAATATAGCATTATGCTGAGGTTTGGAGTCTACACAATCCCATGATCCAGGTAGTAATCATAGTACCCAATAGGTAGTTTTTTAACCCATTCACCCTCCGCTCTTTGTTATTCCAAGTGTCTGTTGTTCCCACATTTATGTCCATGTGTGATCAATGTTTAGCTGCCACTTCTAAATAAGGACATGTGGCATTTAAATTTCTGTTTCTGCATTAATTTGTTTAAGATTATGGTCTCCAGCTCAATCCATGTTGCTGCAAAGGACATGATTTCATTCTTTTTATGGCTGTGTAGTACTCCATGATGTATATATGCCACATTTTCTTTATCCACTCTGCCACTGATGATCACCTGGGTTGATTCCATGTCTCTGTTATTGCGAATGGCACAGCAATTAACACACAAGTGCATAAGTCTTTTTGATAGAATAATTTACTTTTTTGAAGGGGGTATTTACCCAATAAGAGATCTGTTGAGTAAAATGGTAGCTCTGTTTTAAGTTCTTTGAGGAATCTCCAGACTGCTTTCCACAACTGCTAGACTAATTTACATTCCCACTAACAGCGTATGAGCATTCCCTTTTCTCTGCAGCCTTGCCAGCAACTGATGTTTTTTGACTTTTTAATAACAGCCATTCTGGTGTGTGACATGGTATCTTATTGTGGTTTTAATTTGCATTTCTCTGATGATTAGTGACACTGAGCATTTTTTCATGTTTTTTGGCCACTTGTATGTCTTCTTTTGAGAAGTGTCTATTCATATCCTTTGCCTATTTTAAATAGGGTTGTTTTTTGCTTAATTTGTTGCCTTTGTCAGATGCATAATTTGTGAATATCTTCTTCCATTCTGTAGTCATCGGTTGCTCTGTTGATAGATTTTTGGTTTTTGTTGTTTTTTGTTTTCCCTTTCCCTGAGCAGAAGCTCTGTAGTTTAATTAGGTCCTATTTGTCTATTTTTATTTTTATTGAAATTGCTTTTGGAGACATAGCCAAAAATTATTTGCCATGACTGATGTTGAGAAGAATATTTCTTAGATTGTGTTCTAGGATTTTTATAGTCTGATGACTTATATTTAAATCTTTGATTCACTTTGAGTTAATTTTTGTACATGGTAAAAATCAGGTGTCCAACTTCAATCTTCTGCATATGGTTAATCGATTATCCCATCACAATTTATCAAATAGAGAATCCATTCCCCATTTCTTGTTTTTATCAGCCTTGTCAAAGATCAGATAGCTGTAGATGTGCAACTTTGTTTCTGGGTTCTCCATTTTGTTCTATTTGTCTATGTGTCTGTTTTGGAACCAGTCCCAAGGTGTTTTGCTTACTGTGGCTTTATTCCTGGGATGTGAAGCAATAAATGTAATTCACCACATAAACAGAATCAAAAGTGAAAGCCATATGATCATCTCAATAGATGCAGTAAAAGCTTTCAGTAAAATCCAACATCTTCATAAAAACCTCTCAACAGATTAGGCATCAAAAAACATACCTCAAATAATAAAGCCATCTATGTCAAACCCACAGCCAATATCATACTGAATGGGCAAAAGCTAGAAACCATTTGCCTTAAGAACTGGAAAGAAACAAGGAAGCTCACTCTTACCACTCCTATTCAACATAGCACTAGAAGACCTAGCAAAAACAATCAGGCAAAAGAAATAAATAAAAGGTATCCAAATAAGAAAATAAGTCAAACTATCTCTGTTCACTGACAGTAAGACCCTATACCTAGAATATCTTAATCTTTCAAAAGGCTTCTAAAACTGATAAACTAGTTTAGTAAAATTTTAGGATATAAAATCAATGTACAAAAATCAGCAGCATTTTATACACTCAACAAGATACAGGCTGAGAGTAAAATCAAGAACACATTCCACTTACAATAGCCACAAAGAAAATCAAATATCTATGAATATAGCTAATGAAGGAGGTGGACAGTCTCTACAAGGAGAACTGCAAAACACTGCTGAAGGAAATCAAAGATGACACAAATAAATGGAAAAATATTTTATGCTTATGGATTGGAAGAATCAATATCATAAAAATGGCCATAGTGCTCAACTCAATTTACAGATTCAATGCTATTTCTATCAAACTACCAATGTCATTCCTCACAGAATTAGAAGCGTTATTCTGAAACTCATATAAAACCAAAGGAGAGCCCAAATAGCTAAGACTAAGCAAAATGAACAAAACAGGAGGCATCACATTACCCAACTTCAAACTATACTAAGAAAAGTTTGATTGAAAAAAGATTTTAAGTATTACCTTTCTTAAAATTTTAAATTTACTGTATCTCTCTTTAATGCAGTATTTTTCTTCAATTTTACTCATATTTTCTGTCTTTCTAAAAGTTGTGATAAAATGTTCCATATATCATAATGAATCCCTGTTATTTGGTGGCTGTTGAGTTTTCTGGATTTTTGGAAATCAAATATCATTACCTTAGACAAAGCAACATTATTTCATCAATATAAATATATGATCTTCAGTGCCTGAAATAAGAATCCCTATGGGAGGGAGGGGCCAAGATGGTCAAATAGAAACAGCTCCAGTCTGCAGCTCCCAATGCAGAAGGTGGGTGATTTCTGCATTTTCAACTGAGATTTCCAGTTCATCTCACTGGGACTAGTTAGTCAGTGGGTGCAACCCAAGGAGAGTGAGCAGAAGCAGAGTGGGGCATTGCTACACCCAGGAAGTGCAAGAAGCCAGGGGACCTCCTTCCTCCACCCAAGGGAAGCCATGAGAGACTGTGCTACCAAGCCAGAGTACTATATTTTTCTCATGGCTTTCGCAATCCACAGATCAGGAGATTCCCTTGTGAGCTTACACCACCAGGGTCCTGGGTTTCAAGCACAAAACTGGGCAGCTGTTTAGGCAGGCACTGAGTTAACTGAAGGAGTTTTTTTCATACCCCAGTGGTGTCTGAAACCCCAGTAAGACAGAACCATTCACTCCCCTGGAAAGGGGGCTGAAACCAGGGAACCAAGTGGTCTCACTCAGTGGGTTTCACTCCCATGGAGCCCAGCAAGCTGAAAACCACTGGCTTGAAATTCTCACTGCCAGCACAGCAGTCTCCAGACTGGGATGATAGGGCTCAGTGGGGGAGGGGCATCCAGCATTACTGAGGTTGTAGCAAGCAGTTTTCCCCTGACAGTGCTAAGGAGACTGAGACATTTGGACTGGGCGGAATTCACCACAGCAGAACAAAGCACCTGTGGCCAGACTGCTTCTCTAAATTCCTCCTCACTGGGCACAGCATCTCTGAAGGAAATGCAGCAGCCCCAGTCAGGGCCTTACAGATAAAACCCTCATCTTCCTGAGACAGAGCACTTCGGGGAAGGGGCAGCTGTAGGTCAAGCTTCAGTGGACTTAATTTTTCCTGAATGTCAGCTCTGAAGAGGGCAGCTGATCCTGACAAGAGGGATTCTCCCAGTACAGCACACCAGCTCTGCTAAGGCACAGACAGCCTCCTCAAGTGTTTCCCTGACCCCCGTGTCTCCTGACTGAGAGAGATTTCCCAACAGGGGTCAACAGACACCTCAAACAGGAGAGCTCTGGCTGGCATCAGCCCAGTGCCCCCTGGGATGAAGCTTCCAGAGGAAGGAACAGGCAGTAATCTTTGCTGTTCTGCAGCCTCCGCTGGTGATATCCAGGAAAACAGGGTCTGGAGTGAACCTCCAGCAACTTGCAGCAGACCTGCAGAAGAGGGGCTTGACTTTTAGAAGAAAAAATAACAAACAGAAACAACAACAACAACATCAACAACAAAGACCCCACACAAAAACCCCATCCAAAGGTCATAAGCCTCAAAGATCAAAGGTAGATAAATCCACGAAGATTAAAAAAAAAAAAAAAGTGAAAAAATGCTGAAAATTCAAAAAACCTGAATGCCTCTTCTCCTCCAAATCATTTCAACTCCTCTCCAGCCAGAGCACAAAACTGAATGGAGAATGAGATTGATGAATTGACAGAAGTAGGCTTCAGAAGGTCAGAAATGACAAACTCCTCTGAGCTAAAGGAGCATGTTTTAACCCAATGCAAGGGAGCTAAGAACCTTGATAAAATGTTACAGAAATTGCTAACTAGAATAACCAGTTTAGAGAGGAACATATATGACCTGATGGAGCTGAAAAACACAGCATGATAACTTCGTGAAGCATACACAAGTATCAGGAGCCGAATCAAGCAAGTGGAAGAAAGGATATCAGAGTTTGAAGATCACACTTGCTTAAAGAAGGCGTGAGACAAGATTAGAGATAAAAGAATGAAAAGGATTGAACAACGCCTCCAAGAAGTATGAGACTATATGAAAAGACCATACCTACAATTGATTGATGTACCTGAAAGTGACGGGGAGAATGGAACCAAGTTGGAAAACACACTTCCGGATATTATCAGGAGAACTTCCCCAACCTAGCAAGACAGGCCAACATTCAATTCAGGAAATACAGAGAATACCAAAAAGATGCTCCTCGAGAAGATCAACCCCAAGACACAAAATCATCAGATTATCCAAGGTTGAAATGAAGGAAAAAATGTTAAAGGCAGCCAGAGAGAAAGGTCAGGTCACCTCAAAGGGAAGCCCATCAGACTAACAGTGGATCTCTCTGCAGAAACCCTACAAACCAGAAGAGAGTGGGGCCGATATTCAGCATTCTTAAATAAAATAATTTTCAACCCAGAATTTCATGTGTAGCCAAAGTAAACTTCATAAGCAAAGGAGAAATAAAATTTTTTTACAGACAAGCAACTGCTGAGGGATCTTGTCTCCATCAGGGCAGCCTTACAAGAGCTCCTGAAGGAGGCACTAATTATGGAAAGGAAAAACTGGTACCAGCAACTGCAAAAACACACCAAAATATAAAGATCAATGACACTATGAAGAAACTTCATCAACTAATGTGCAAAATAACCAGCTAGCATCATGATGACAGAATCAAATTCACACATAACAATGTTAAACTCAATGTAAATGGGCTAAATACCCCAATTAAAAGACACAGACTGGTAATTGGATAAAGAGTCAAGAACAAACGTTGTGCTGTATTGAAGAGGCCCATCTCACTTGCAAGGACACACATAGGCTCAAAATAAAGGAATGGGGGAATATTTACCAAGAAAATGGAAAGAAAATAAAAGCAGGGGTTGCAATCCTAGTCTCTGATAAAACAGACTTTAAACCAACATAGATCAAAACAGACAGGGAAGGCATAGTGGCACACACCTGTAATCCCAGCTACTCAGGAGGCTGAGGCAGAACCCAGATTCATAAAACAAGTTATCAGAGACCTACAAAGAGACATAGACTCCCATAAAATAATAGTGGGAGACTTTAAAACCCCTGTCAGTATTAGACAAGTCAACAAGACAGAAAATTAACAAGGATATTCAGGATTTGAACTCACCTCTGGATCAAGTGGACCTAATAGACATCTGCAGAGCTCTACATCCCAAATTAAGTCTTCTCAGTGCCACATGGCACTTATTCTAAAATCAACCACATAATTGGAAGTAAAACACTCCTCAGCAAATGCAAAAAAAATAATAAAATGGAAATCATAACAAACAGTCTCTCAGACCACAGTGCAATCAAATTAGAATGCAGGATTAAGAAATTCACTCAAAACTGCACAAACACATAGACATTGAACAACCTGCTCCTGAAAGACTACTGGGTAAATAACAAAAATTAAGGCAGAAATAACAAAGTTCTTTGAAACCAATGAGAACAAAGAGGCAACGTACCAGAATCTCTGGGACACAGCTTAACTAGTTTAAGAGGGAAATTTATAGCACTAAATGCCCACATCAGAAAGTGGGAAAGATCTGAAATTGACACCCCAACGTCACAATTAAAAGAACTAGAGAAGTAAGAGTAAACAAATTCAAAAGCTAGCAGAAGACAAGAAATAACTAAGATCAGAGAAGAACTGAGGAAGATAGACACATGAAAAACCCTTCAAAAAAGCAATGAATCCAAGAGCTGTTTTTTTGAAAAACTTAACAAAATAGATATATTGCTAGCTAGACTAATAAAGAAGAAAAGAGAGAAGAATCAAATAGACACAATAAAAAATGATAAAGAGAATATCACCACTGTTCCCACAGAAATACAAACTACCATTAGAGAATACTATGAACACCTCTACGTAAATAAACTAGAAAATCTAGAAGATAGGAAAAATTCCTGGACACAGACACCTTCCCAAGACTAAACCATGAAGAAGTTGAATTCCTGAATAGACCAATAAGAAGTTCTGAAATTGAGGCAGTAATAGCCTACCAACAAAAAGAAGTGCAGGATCAGATAGATTCATAGCTGAATTCTACCAGAGGTACAAAGAGGAGCTGGTACCATTCCTTCTGAAACTATACCAAACAATAAAAAAAGAGGGACTCCTCTCAAACTCTTTTTTGGGGGTCAGCATCATCCTGATTCCCAAACCTGGCAGAGACACAACAAAAAAAGACAATTTCAGGCCAATATCCCTGTTGAACATCTATGTAAACATCCTCAATAAAATATTGGCAAATTGAATCCAGCAGCACATCAAAAAGCTTATCCACCATGATCAAGTCGACTTCATCCCTGGGATGCAAGGCTGGATCAACATACACAAATCAATAAACATAATCCATCACATAAACAGAAACAATGACAAAAACCACATGATTATCTCAATAGATGCAGAAAAGGCCTTTGATAAAATTCCACATCCCTTCACATTAAAAACTCTCAATAAATTAGGTATTCATGGAACATATCTCAAAATAATAAAAGCTACTTATGACAAACCCATAGCTAATATCATACGGAATGGGCAAAAGCTGGAAGTATTCCCTTTGAAAACTGGCACAAGACAAGGATGCCCTCTCTCACCACTCTTATTCAACATAGTATTGGAATTTCTGGCCAGGGCAATCAGGCAAAAGAAAGAAATAAAGGGTATTAAAATAGGAAGAGAGGATGTCAAATTGTCTCTGTTTGCAGATGACATGATTGTATATTCAGGAAATCCCATGGTCTCAGCCCAAAAACTCCTTAAGCTGATAAGCAACTTCAGCAAAGTCTCAGGATACAAAATCAATGTGCAAAAATCACAAGCATTCCTATATGCCAGCAAAAGACAAGCAGAGAGCCAAATCATGAGTGAATTTTCATTTGCATTTGCTACAAAGACAATAAAATACCTAGGAATACAGCTAACAAGGGATGTGAAGGACCTCTTCAAGGAGAACTACAAAGCACTGCTCAAGGAAATAAGGACACAAATAAATGGAAAAAAAAGTTCCATGCTCATGGATAGAAAGAATCAGTATCATGAAAATGGCCCTACTACCCAAAGTAACTTGTAGATTCAATGCTATTCCCATGAAGCTACCATTGACTTTCTTTGCAGAATAAGAAAAACAAAAAAACAAAAAAACTACTTTAAATTTTTGCCAGGCTCAGTGGCTCACGCCTGTAATCCTGGCACTTTGGGAGGCCAAGGCAGGTGGATCACCTAAGGTCAGGAGTTCAAGACCAGCCTGACTAACACTGTGAAACCCTGTCTCTACTAAAAATAAAAATAAAAAAATTAACCAGGCATGGTGGAGCACACCTGTAATCCCAGCTACTCAGGAGGCTGAGGCAGGAGAATCGCTTGAACCTGGGAGGTGGAGGTTGCAGTGAGCCGAGATCATGCCACTGCACTCCAGCCTGGTGACAGAGTGAGACTCCATCTCAAGAAAAAAAAAATTATATGAAGCCAAAAAATATCCCATATAGGCAAGAAAATCCTAAACAAAAAGAACAAAGCTGGAAGCGTCACACTAACTGACTTCAAAATATACTACAAGGCTATAGTAACTACAACAGCATGGTAATGGTACCACAATATATATATAGACCAGTGGAACAGAACAGAGACATTAGAAATAATACCACACATCTACAACCATCTGATCTTTGACAAACCTGACAAAAAAAAGTAATGGGGAAAGGATTTGCTATCTAATAAATGCTACTGGGAAAACTAGTTAGCCATATGCAGAAAACAGAAACTGGAACCCTTCTTTATACCTTATAGAGAAATTAACTCAAGATGGATTACAGACTTAAATGTAAAGCTCAAAACCATAAAAACCCTAAAAGAAAACCTAGGCTATACCATTCAGGAGATAGGCATGGGCAAAGACTTCATGACTAAAACACCAAAAGCAATTGCAGCAAAAGCCAAAATTGACAAATGGAATCTCATTAAACTAAAGAGCTTCCACACAGCAAAAAAAAAAAAAAAAAAAAAAAAAAAGAACTATCATTAGAGTTAACAGGCAACCTACAGAATGGGAGAAAATGTTTGCAGTCTACCCATCTGACAAAGATGCAATATCCAGAATCTACAAGGAACTTAAACAAATTTACAAGAAAAAAAACAACCCATCAAAAAGTGGGCTAAGGATGTGAACAGACACATCTTAAAAGAGGACATTTATGTGGCCAACAAACATATGAAAAAAGCTCATGATCTCATGCCAGTTAGAATGGTGATTATTATGAAGTAGGAGGAAACATATGGTGGCAAGGCTGTGGAGAAATAGAAACGTTTTTACACTGTTGGTGGGAAGGTAAATTAGTTCAACCATTGTGGAAGACAGTGTAGTGATTCCTCAAGGATTTAGAACCAGAAATACCATTTGACCCAGCAATCCTATTACTGGATATATACCCAAAGGTTTATAAAGCATTCTACTATAAAGATATATGCACACATATGTTTACTGCAGCACTATTTACAATAGCAAAGACTTCAAACCAACCCAAATGTCCATCAATGATAGACTGGATAAAGAAAATGTGGCACATACACACCATGGAATACTATGGAGCCATAAAAAATAATGAGTTTGTGTCCTTTGCAGGGACATAGATGAAGCTGGAAACCACCATTCTTAGCAAACTGACACAGGAAGAGAAAAGCAAATATCACATGTTCTCACTAATAAGTGGGAGTTGACAATGAGAACACATGGACACATGGAGGGAAACATCACACACCTGGCCTGTCGGTGGGTGGAGGCCAAAGGCAAGGAGAGCATTAGGACAAATACCTAATTCATTAGAGGCTTATGGGTTGATAGTTGCAGCAAACCACCATGACACATGTATATCAGTGTAACAAACCTGCACATTCTGCACATGTATCCCATAACTTAAAGTAAAACCAAAAAGAAAAAAAGAAGAAAAAAGAATCCCTATGCTTATGTACAATTATTCATAATATTTTTCAATTTTCAATTTCCTGAGTTACTTCATGTATCTATTCCTTATAATTTATTGATACATTTACTTACTGAAAATTTATTATGTTAAGCTTCCAAAACAAATGGTAAATATTATGTATGATATTTCTTCATCTATTTTATACCTAATCATGGAAGCATAGAGGAAAGGGCATGGTTTTGAATCCAAGATGTCTTGAATTTGCATCATGGCGCATCCAATTATTCTGTAAACTTGGTCAAGACACTTAACCTCTCTGAGATTCAGTATACTAATATATAAAAAGGAATACTGATAATTCTATCAAAATCATTGAAATATTAAAAATAATATATTTTGTTTTTCACATCCCATATATATTGTATGATAGGTATTATCTAATTTAAAACACACGGATTCAAATTTACATACTTTAATCTGTGCTAACTTTGTAGTCAACATTTATGTAAATAATTTTCTGAAAAACAATATTTACATTATTATTAAATTATGCCTTATATATTGATTATAGCTGTTTTCTCTCCATCCTAGGCTTCCGTTAATAAATGTGAGTAATGTAAAATTGGTTTTAATAGATTCTAGACTTTTAAGATTCTCAGCCGGTTTCATTTTAAATATATATAACATTAATATATTTTTGGATTTTTATATATTAAAATGGCCAAAATAATTTATACATCAGTATGTCTGCCATGCAGCACAATGTGTGTGTATGTATATCTAGTCAAATAAATACTTAATTATTTTCTTTTTCTTTTTATATACTTAGCTAAACTGAAAGTACATGTCCATGTAGCTACAAATATTATGATTTACTATCAGAGAAATTTTCATTATCTTTGAAAGGGGAAGTTGAGCCCTAGTCCTAAGCTCTGAAGATTGATGTGGAGTACCAGAATCTGACTTACTTTGTTGGCATAAGGCAGAAGCTGAGTCTGAACTTCTCTAGAGACCTTTTAATGTCTCCATTCTTCTTCTCTGATTTTGAACCATTTATATGTACAACTTCATGACAAAGGGCAAAAGGCTGTGATGTAAGTTGGTCGTGTTGCTACAATTAGAGTTCATGAGAATCATAACTGAGTTCTACTCTGACCTCATTAGTTCTAGTTTTCTTTGTTGGATCTAATTGGTTCACACACTCTCTTACTTTCTGTATAGTTTCTCTTTGTAATTACTGCTACTCTTGACCTTCAGTGACTTCAGGCTCACCATAATAAAAAGATAAAAGAGCTTTCTATAGATATTGTCACTGGATCTCATAAATCCATAAGATCTAATTTCTATAATAAATACTTTGTTTCATATCAGTCCTAGCGGTTTTACTTTGTTAACTGAACTCTGATATACAAATTCTAGATATGTCCTGTAGATAGAAAAATCTATAAAGCAAAGTGATAAATAAAATTAAATAAGCAATGATAATAGAAAATGACAAAGGTTTATTATACAAGTCCAAACAATAAAAAAGTGGAGACTGCCACCTTGAAATAAAGCAAAGGATACTCAAGCCCCAAAACCCTTACTTCCTGAGAATATAGAATATGCTTTCATCTGCAGTGCACATAGCTCTTCCAGAAAATTTGATACTATTATAGTTTGACAATAAAATGTTTAACAAACTTTATAAAATAAAACCAGTAAAGATAAAACAGACCGCAAATGAAATATATATATATATATATTTTTTTTTTTAAATAAAGAAGAGATCCTTAGACTTGTGGCTTTATCCTATTACACTATAGTGCTCAGGCTAATAAGGAAATTTTTTAAAAAGTGAAAGTTTATAAAAAGTAATGGTAGTCATTAGGGTTTCTGGCTCTGCATGTAAGGAGCACCCAAGTCACCATCCATACTAAAACAAGTAAATATATGAACAGACTGAAGTATCAACAACTCTTCTGGGATCTTTAAGAGAGATATGGATACAGGAAGAATGGCTGCAACCAAGACTGGAGAGTCAGACAGAAAAACATAGGAAATCATGGCTTACTGGGGCAGAGACTAAAAAATGGAAATCACCAAGGAAATCAGCACTGGGATGGGAAAACTTAAACTGCAATTGACAAATTTTTGGAGGCTCACTTAGGACAAGCCGTAGAGTTATATACCCCAAGGGGCCCCACAGTTTTGTGAGTTTTACCTCCAGGAACTTGACCAGCTTATCATGGTATGTATTGGGGTGGGGGGATCTCTTTACGCTTCCGGCAAGGAGAGGAGAAAAGCAAGCATTTTAAGATACGCCAGAACACTCTGTTCTTACTAGGAAAGTCTGTCTTAGGAAAGACTATTTGACCAGAACCTATCTTGGCGGGATATTATAAAAGCCAGACTAACCTGGGAGAAGGGAAATACCCAATTCCAGTTGGCTCTAGCCTTTCCTGTGGAGGAAGGAAAATACTGAACTCTACCCCACTCTAGCTATCAATCCCCACCTCAGGATAAAAGGAAAAAATAAGAAACACTTGTGAATTTTCTAGTACAGACGTTTAGGCCCACTAAATGACTGAGATGTAATCAGAAGATCATAGGATTACAGAAGGCTTTCTGCTCCCTTCCATACTTTACTGTCATGTTATTAAAAGCCTATTTACAGCAGTTTATTTTAGCTGCTACATCATGCTCAGCCATGCAAAACAAAACAAAACAAAACAAAACAAGGCATACTAGAAGGTAAGAACAATTTGAAAAGGCAGAGCAAGCAGCAAAACCAAACAAGGTAGGAATGCTGGAATTATCAGACCTGGAATTGAAAATATTTCTAAATATTTCTGAATAATATGCTTAGGGGTCAAATGGATAAAGTAGACCGCATGAAAGAATACATGTGGAAAATCAGTAAAGAAGTGGATATACTAAAAAAAAGAACCAAAAAGAAATGTTACAGATAAAAAATTTTGTAACAGAAATATTAATAAATAATGCCTTTAATGGCCTTATTTATACTTATGGTGTGGCTCAGAAAAGAATCTCTGAGCTTAGAATAGAAACTTTCAAAACTGTAAACCAAAGAGAGTGAAGATTGAAAAAAAAAGAGAGAATATCTAAGGGCTTTGGAATAACTACAAAACATTTAATATATGTGCAATTGAAATACTAGAGGAAAAAAAAGAGAGAAAAAAACAGAAGAAATATTTGAAAACATGTGACAGGTAATTTCTTCCAATTTGTTTCAGACGCCAAAGCACAAATCCAAGAAGTTCAGAGAATATCAAGCAAGATAAACACAAAATATATATATATATAGACATATCATTTTCAAATGACAGAAAATCAAAGATAAGAGAAAAAATCCTGAATGAAACTAGAGGGAGAAAAAATACCTTTTATAAAATAAAAATGAAAATTATATTTAACTTCCCTCAGAGTCAGTTGCACTATCTGGTAACCAAGGCTGTAGACTGAAGTATTTAAAAGTAGTGAGAGAGCAAACATCTAACCTAGAATTATGTGTCCTAAAAAATTACCCTTGAAAACAGAAAATGAACTAAATACTTTTTTAAACAAAATAAAAACTGAAGTCACTTATTGACAAATTTGCCTTGCAAAAAAGGTTAAAAGAATTTCTTTAGACAGGATCTATTAATGTGGGACATTGAATCTACATTGAAAAAAGAAGAGCATCAAATAAAGAATAAGTGAATAACAAATAAAAACCTTTTATCCTTGATCTAACATATAATGGTTTATTCAAAATAAAAATAGCAATATGTATTCAATTATATATACTTATGTATGTATCATATATAAAAAATATAAACATATGTTATATATCCTTATATATAAGTAAAATGAATGACAGTAATGGCATAAAAGATGAGAGGGAGGAATTAGAATTATTTTGTTATCAGAATATACTCATACTACCCATGTAGTGGTATAGTGTTATTTGAAAGTGGGCTTTTACCGGTTTTCAAGGTATATTCAAACTCTCAGGCAATCACTAAAAAATACATAAAAAGAAATATAACTTATATGACAAGGAAAGAGAAAAAAAATATACAAAGTGCTCAATTAAAACCACAAAAGAAAAAGGGTAGATGACAAAGAGACAAAGGAAAAAAATAAAAAGCAATAATAAATATAGTAGATATTAACCAGAATATACTAATAATCACTTTGAATAGCAATGGTATAAATGCATCAATTAAAAGACAGTAATTGTCACAGCAGACCAAAACTCAAGACCCAGTTATATGCTGTTGACAAGAAACATACTTTAAATAAAAATATAGAGGCTAGTTCATGAGATTTAAGAAAGGAAGCTACCTCCATAAATAAAAGTGCAAGGTGATGCAGCAAGTGCTAATATAGAAGCTGCAGCAAGTAATCTAGAAGATCAAGATAAGATAATTGATGAAAATGATTACACTAAAGAACAGATTTTCAGTGTAGATAAAACAGTTTTATATTAGAGAAAGATTATAAATCAATGGAAGAAAAACATATAATGCTAACACTAATCCAAAGAAAGTGGGAGTAGCTATATCAATTTCAGACAGAGCAGACTTCAAGAAACATTTTTAGGGATAAAGGGCATTAACTAACAATAAAGGCGACAAGGCTACAAGAACACACAGCAATACTTGACATGTATGCGTAATACAGCATCAAACAACATGAGGCAAAAACTTACAGATCTGCAAGGAGAAACAGATGAATTCACTATTGTAATTGGAGACCTTAATAACCCTTGTAATTATTTGGGAGTACCATGAAGTAGACCTGTATAAGGCAAAATAAATGTTATTAGTGTTCAGAATGCTCCATTGACCAGATTTTTCTTCATCTCTCTCCCTCTTCTTGTGCCTCCCTATTCCTGAAGACACAACAATACTGAAATTAGGCCAATTAATAACCTTGCAATGGGCTCTAAGTGTTCAAGTGAAAGGAAGAGTCATACTTCTCTCACCTTAAATCGAAAGCTAGAAATGGTTAGGCTTGGCATGTCAAAAGCCAAGTAGGCCAAAGCTAGTATTTTTGCAGGAAAACATTAGCCAAGTTGTGAAGGCAAAATAAAGTTTTTGAAGGAAATTAAAATGACACTCTAATGAACACACCCATGATAAGAAAGCAAAACAGCTTGATTGCTAATATGAAGAAAGTTGTAGTGGCCTGGATAGATGAAACCAGCCACATCATTCACATATACTAAAGCCCAATCCAGAGCAAGGCTCTGTCTTCAGTTCTATGAAGGGTAGGAGAGGCAATAAAGCTGCAGAAGAAAAGTTTGAAAGCAGAGGTTGTTTCCTAAGATTTAAGAAAGCAAGCTGCCTCATAAAATAAAAGTACAAGGTGATGCAGAAAATGCTAATATAGAAGCTTCAGCAGGTGATCCAGAAAAATCAAGCTAAGATAATTGATGAAATGACTACACTAAAGAACAGATTTTCAGTGTAGATAAAATAGTTTTATACAGGAGAAAATGGCATTGAGGATTTTTACAGCTAGAGAGAAAAAGTTAATGTCTGGCTTTAAAACTTCAGAGTTGGACTTTCTTGTTAGGGAATAAGGCAGCTGGTGACTTTACACTGAAGCCAATGCTCATTTGCTATTTCGAAAATCTTAGGACCTTAAGAATTATGCTAAATCTAATCTGCCTATATTCTATAAATGGAACTGCCAAAGTCTGGATGACAGCGTTTCTATGCACAGCATAGATTACTGACTATTTCAAGCCCATTCTTGGACCAACTGCTCAGAAAAAAACAATTATTATAAAATATTATTGTTCAGTGACACTAGTCACCCAAGATCTCTGATGGAGATTTACAAGGAGATTAATGTTGGTTTTATGTCTGCCAGTACAACATCTATTCTACAATCTATGGATCAAAAAATAATTTCTAATTTCAAGTCTTATTATTTAAGCAGTATATTTTGTAAGGCTATACCAACCATAGTCATTCTTCTGATAAATTTAGGCAATGTAAATTAACAACTTTGTGAAAAAGAATCACCATTCTAGATGTAATGAAGACCATTTATGATTTATGGGAGTACGTCAAAATGTCAATGTTAGCATGAGATTGAAAAAAGTCAGTTTCAACCCCCAAAGTCAATGACTTTGAGGGATATAAGATTTGAGTGGAAGAGGTAATTGCAAAGTGGTGGAAATTGCAAGAGGGCTAGAATGAGAAGTGGAGCTTGAGGATGTAACTGAATTGCTCTAATCACACTATCAAACTTAAATGAATAGGGAGTGGCTTATGATGATGAGCAAAGAAAGTGGTTTCTTGGGATGGCATTTAGTCTTCATGGAGTTACTGTGAACATGGTTGAAATGACAATAAAAATTTTGGAATATTTCATAAACTTAGTTTGTAAAGCAATGATAAGGTTTCAGAGGACTGAATCCAAGTTCTGTTAGTAAAATGCTATCAAACAGCATTTCCCGCAACACAGAAATCCTTCACGAACGAGTCCGTCATTGTGGCAAAATTTATTGTTATCTTATTGTTTTAAATTTCCACAATGACCCCAAACTTCAGCAACCACAACCCTGACTAGTCATCAGTCAACATTTATGCAAGACCCTTCATCAGCAAAAAGATTAAGACTCACTGAAGGCTTAGATTATTGTCAGCATTTTTTAAAAACAAAATATTTTTAAATTAAAATATGTCCTTTTTCAAAATAATACTATTGTGCATATAGGCTACAATATAGTACAAACATAACTATTATGTATACTGAAAAACCAAAAATTTGTTTGACTCATTTTATGGTGATACTCACTTTATCACAGTCGTCTGGAATGATATGAGAAATATTGATGAGGTAGGCTTGTACTTTACCCAACAACAGCAGAATACACATTCTTATCAAGCTCATGTGGAACGTTTCACTAAGATAGATCATATTCTGGGCCATAAAACACACTTAAAATTTTAAAATAATAAAAATTACACAATATTTAATCTCAGAAAACATTGGATTTAAACAAGAAATAAATGACAGAATGATAAATTTTAAAATCTCCAAATATGTAGACATTCAACAACACACTTCTAAATAACACACAGACTAAAGAAGAAATAGCAAGAAACATTTTAAAATATATCAAGTTAAAGAAAAATAAAAATACAAGACAAAACAACATAAAAATTGTAAGGTACAGTAACAGTAGGGCTTAGAAGGAACATTTTATAATTGAATGCATATATTAGAAAAAAACAAAAATCTAAAACCAATAATATAAGTTTCCACCTGTCCGAACCAGAAAAGAAGTGCAAACTAAATCAAAAGTAAGCAAAAGAAAATAAATAATAAATATCATAGGAGAAATTATTGACATTGAGAACAGGAAATCAATAGAGAATATCAACAAAACCAAAAGCAGATGCTTTGATAATACCAATAAAATTGATAAAACTCTTATCTTGTTATCTAAATAAAAAAAGAGAAGAGACAAATTACTTTCAGAAATCATAAAAGTAAACATCACTTCAGATCCCATGGACAATAAAAGGAGAATAAAGGAATACTACAGAAAACTTCATGGTCACAAACTTGATAACATGTAGGAACTGGACTAATTCCTTGAAAGACACAATCTACCAAACTCACACAAGAAGAAATAGACAATTTAATTGAAGAAACTGAAAAAATAACTAATAATCTTTCTGAATGGGAAGCATGAGGCCCAGATGGATTCCCTGAAGAATTCTACGAAACATTTAAGAAAGAAGTTACTCCAATTGTTTTTACAATTTCTTTCAGAGGACAGAAGCAGACTTTCTGACTCATTCTATGAGACCAGCATTACTTTGATAACAAAATAAGACAAGGAAATTTCAAAAAAACTAAACTATAACCAATGTCTCTCATGAACATAGATGCAAAAATCCTCAAAAAAATACTATGAAGACAAATTCAATAGTGTATAAGAATTACACACAACAACCAAGAGGGATTTATCTCATTTAGGCAAAGCAATTTGAACATTTGAAAATTCATTGATGTAATTTACTATATCAATAAGCTAAAAAAAATCACATGATCATGTCAATATATGCAAAAAAGCTTTTAACAAAATTTAACAACCATTCATGTTAAAAAAAATCTCTCAGTAAACTAGAAATATGGGAAAATGTCCACAACTTAATAAAGTGTATGTACAAAACAATATTATAAGTAACTTCATACTTAATGATGAGAAAGTAGAAGATTTCTCATTAAGTTAAGGCAAGACTATCCCCTCTTACCACTTCTTCAATCTCATACTGTAAGTTCAAGCTAATGAAATAAGATGAGAAAGGGAAGTAAAAGGAGCACAGATTGGGAAGGAATAAATATATTTTTTAATTCACAGATGACATGATCATCCCTTTAGAAAGTTTGAAAGAATTGACAAAATACTCTAGGAACTAATAAGTGATTATAGCAAGGATTTAGCATACAAAGTCAGTACAAAAAATTCATAGCTTTCTGTAAAAAGTTTCTTTGTAAATATAAGAAACAAACAAGTGCAGTTTGAAATTTAAAAAATAATTTAAAAATAAACTAATAAAACATTTATATTAACATCCTAAATAATGAAATACTTAGGTATAAATGTAAAAATGGTATACAAGATCTATATGAAAAAATATAAAACTGATTAATAAAATCAAATAACTATACAAGTGGAAATACATTTTATGTTTATAAATAGGAAGACTTGTTGGGGAAAAGCTGAGTGTTGGGAAAAATGCTGAGGTAGGGCTTGCATGTCTGACATAATGTAAAAGAGTCTTGGAACATGTCTGGGGTCCAGGGTCTAAAACCCCTTGTGGCCTTTGGAACACCAAGCTCTGTGCAAAAGGGTGGAAGGGTGCCCCGCCACACCACAATCTAAGCCCAGGGCATAAAAAGCCTCATGGCTTGGATGGAATCCAGGGCTCAGGGCATAAAACCCCCTGTGGCCTCTGGAATGTGTCTAGACTTGCTGGCTCCTTGCTCCTAGCACTCCCAGGTTCATAGATCAATTGTATCTTAAACTAGAACATGTTTCCCATTACCTCAAGTAGCAGAACATGTTCCATATGCTTCAGAGAAAATGCTAAACCATCACAGCTGTAGATCATGCACTTGATACACTGCTTTCTTTCAACCTTCACATCCTCACCACCTGATTCTTTGTTTGATCACTAATAAATAGTTTGGGCTTCCAGAGTCAGGGGACTTTGCAGCCTCCATGCTAGCGTTGGCCCCCTGGTCCCACTTTATGCACTCTTGTCGTCTCATTCCTTTGACTCCACCAGCCCCCACAGCCTGGTGTTAGGTCTGATCAACCCAACAAAGACTCAATATTGTCAAGATGTCTGTCAATTCTTCCCAATTTGACCTATTGTTTCAATGCAATCCCAATTAAAATTCCAGTTTTTTTTGTGGACATTGACAAACTGATTCTAAAGTGTATGTTGCAGAGGGAAAGATGCAAAATAGCTAACACGATACTGAAGGAGAAGAAAAAATTTGAGGGCTAACACTCTTGATGTTAATACTCCCTATAGAGCTACACTAAGGAGGACTGTGTAATACAGGCAAAATAATACACATATAGATTAATGGAACAGAATAGAGAGCCAAGAAATTGACCCACATAAATACAGTTAGCTGATCTTTGAAAAAGAAGCAAAGGTAATATAATGGAAGTAATATAGTATTTTCAACAAATGATGCTGAAACAACTAGGCATCCAAATGCAAAAAATAAAAATAATCCAGACATTGACCTTTCAAGTCCAGAAAACTGTCTTTAGTAAAATAATGCTCAATTACTACAAAACAACACAGAAAAAGAGGAAAAGAAAATAGCAGAATGATATACTGAAATCTGTTTCAATAAAATCTGTTTCTATGTACTTTGTTTAAATATTGCAAATAAAAATAGGGCTTGTGAGATTGTATTTAAAAAGCAGCACCTACTTATATCCTGCCTACAAATAAATACAACAAAACAAAACAAAAAAACAATAAAAGAAAACTTGGAAATCCATAAAAAAGCAAACCTTTAAATGCATAGATAGAAAAAGTTATATACAATGTTAACATTATACAAAGGAAGGCTGTTATAGCTGTATTAATAGCAAAGCAAATTTTAGGAAAAAATAATATTTGCAAGGATTAAAAAAGATTTCCAAGATATAGGGCAGAAAATAATAAATAAATATTTGGGTATGCAAAATTAAAAACAACTTATAGAAATTTGGGTAAAATGTAGTGGACATAATTGTGAAGAGTCAAAGGACCCCTCAGCTAAACTGTGTCTGCTTCCAAATCTCTACACAACATTGATTTCTTTTCACACTACCACCACTATTTCCAGGAAGATATAGAAGGTAATATGCTGGAATCATATCTCTTGACAGTGTTCATATATATAATTATATATATATATATAATATTTGAAAGTAAACTTAGAACTAAGAAGTAAAGCACATTTGACTCTAGTTTCTAATACAGTGGTGTTCTTTGGGAACAATAATATACTAGCAACTTGGTTCCTATACTTTTGAAAGACAGTTTGACTGTTGTGGCCAAATTTATAACTTAAAATTTATCAGAATAGTGATGAAAATTAAAGTCTCATTTTTGGTTAAGCATTTTGAGTAAGAAAACAAGAATAATGAAATAGGTAATTTTTACATTTTAAATATTTCCAACTTTGTCCTTATCCATTTTAGCATGATCGTCATCTTGTATATTAACAAGATACTCAGTTGAATAAAATAACTTTTATTTGTTATTATTGCATTAGAAAATCTCTTTCTATAATGGTAATGAGAGAGAATTGAAGACAATAACCTCTGAAGCTTCAGTATTTCATCTTCACATCTACCAAAATTTTTAATTATTTAGGTTTCAAATTTTTTTCTATTTATGAGGCTACATTTAAAAATTGTATACTTTACTCAACAACAAAAGATACCTAGAATAAATAAGAACACTGCAAAACAAATTGCAGGTAAAGTTAAGAAGAATATTAACTTATTTATTAATTGAATAATAGTTGTAATGGGGATAATTGAACAAGTAAAATATGAGTTTATATTTGCAGAGAAATGAGTTTGTATTTTATTGAGAGATTAAGCAATATCAGACAATGCTAATAAAAAGCTATGACTTTTCTTTTGCTGTTAGAGATGAGGTGAAATCAGTCATGAGAAATGAATTATTAAATAAGTGTAAAAACAGGATTAAGGAAGAGTCATCCATATGGACACTGAAGTCACTCTGAATAATTTTTAAAAATATAGATGTTGAGTAACACAATGAACCAGGTGTGCAAATTATCACTACATGAAGAAGATTGCCATATTAGTGTGAATTTTCAAGGCTGATAGTGTAAATAATACCAGATTAGTTGTTATTTTCTCAGCATTTTCATGGTATTTTATTTGCTGCTTTGGTAAAATATATATTGTAATTATCATTGTTTACCTTTGGATTCTCTTTGTTCAAATGAATATGTTGAAATTTTTAGGTATGAATCTTGTTTATGGTTTATATTCTCTATAGAATCAAATTATACATTGAAGCTGAAAGAACCAATTCTATAAAGCACATAAGGAAGAATTGTATATAATTTGAAAATATAAATAACCAAATGAAAATTAAAATGTTAAATATTGACTGTTTTATACTTAAAAAGGTAGTTTGGCTTTTTTTTAAAAAAAAAAAAAAAAGAAGCAATTTTAAGCTGCAGAACTACATAGGACATCAAATTCCAGCATCATTTGCTTTGGGTTATTAATTCCAAACGTTAATAGGGACATTGATTTAGTAATATTCCTCATAAGAACAATGAAAACATCACCATCATTATGAAAAAATATAAGTTGCTGGGCAAGCTTACTTTGGAAATAAAACAGTGTTGAGGGCTCTCTTCAGCTATTTACCACGTAGCTCCATAAAAAAAGTCATGGTGCCAAATGATTCAGGATAAACGAATGAATGGAAATTTTAAAATGTTTAAACACAGAGAACAGCTCTCCAGAGAACGAGTGTCTTTTATTGGGTGTAATCTTCCTTAGGAAAGAATGAGCTTCTCTTAACTTGACTGATGTTAAGTGAACAATTGAGTTCCATTTCTTTAGGAGCAATCTGAAATAATCACTTTCCCCTAGAAGACAGCTATATTGGAAGGTTTCTTATAAGCCCATCAGCTAATGGTTCTATACATTATTTCATACATTATATGGCATGTTTAAAAACCCCAAATTAATAACTAATTTTTATTGAACAACTCCTACTCAAAGGGAAATTTAATTGCAATTTTGTTAGCTTATTGTATATCAAAGAAAAATAGTATTTTGTTAATGTTTAGATAATATAAATAGAAAAAATAATTATGGCTAACTCTATATCACAAAGAAAATTATGTCTTGTTGTTTAGGAAATTAATTTCTTTTTCCTCTTAACGTCTATGGGAAAAGTGAGTTGACTGGTCTTACTTTACAAGAAAAAAATTATAACTGAGAATACATTTGAATTTATATGAAGTTAACAGGACATTTATAAGAAATAATTCAAATAGTATAGAGTAATGCTTACAGTGCATATTTCAAAATCTATAAAATTATATGATACCATAAACAGAACAAAATTGTAATAACCAGCCATCAAATTCAAGGTCATTATTTCCTCAGTGGAATGAGTACTTTTTAATATTCATACTCCTTCTGAAATTTTAAAATGCATTATGTATTACAAGTTCCCTGCTAAAAGATAGTTTGAGCAAAAATATAGAACATCAGCTCTCTCTTTAATGAATCAGGAGATAGTCCACATTTATACATATATACATAATGCATTTATAAATAAACCACTAGTGAAATTACTTATGTTATCATGCATGCTTTAAAAGAATTTCCAAAGTAAATATCAATTTACATTATCTAAAAACATACGCAACAAATAATGCTTTACAAATACATATTAAAACAATGAACAAAACTATTAAGGTTGACATTTTTCCAATATTAGGTTTGCATATCTATATTTCTTTACAAAAGTAATTTATACTTATGCATTTGATTAGAAGGAAGAAAACTAAGGTCATTTTCAGAAAACAAAATAAAACTTGAATTGGATTTTTGCTCAAAAATGTGTATAGAATATTGTTTACAGTCTGACAGTTTTATAATAAAAATATTATGTGTACTGGTTGCAGTTTTACCATTTATTAGCAAGTTGTCAATTGAGTGAAAGTTTGTAAGTTGTAATCATTAGACCGTTTTTATAAAGTAAGTAGAATAATATGGTTAAGATTGTAAGAATTGTTGTTTCTTTCACTGTTAGTCATCTCTGAGATGGGCTCAGAAGTACAATATTAAGATTGTTATGTGCATAGCTCTGTGGTTTTTGTTAATTTATATAAAAATATTACAATGGTTTTGGCAAAATACATAATTTTGGAAATTATTCCTTTATCAGTGAAGCACAACAAAAATGATGCAGGGACTAATTTCACAATTGAAGAGACTTTTGTTTTATTGCACATTCAGAAAATATGTTTTATACAAATCGTGTTTCCTGTTGATTTTATTCAGTCTTGTGGTATATGTTATTACAATTTTGAAATTGAATTCTGTGTACTTTAAAATATGTATAAAATATAAAAGAACAAATCGTGAAGTTGTGGAGAAAAAGCAACCCTGGTACATGATGGGTTGGAATGTAATTAGTATAGCCTTTAAGGAAAACAGTGTAAGTCTCCTCAAAAAATTAAAAATTGATCGACCTTATGATTCAGCAATCTTACCTCTGGGTATAGATTAAAAAACTGAAATCTATATGTTAGAAAGATATTGGCACTCTCATGCTTTTTGTACCATTATTCACAAAAGTTAAGATTTGAGACAAATCTAAGTGTTCATCAACAGATGAATGGTTTAAAAATTTGGTGTATATACACAATCAAATTATATTTAGCCTTAAAAAAAGAATTAAATCTTGCCATTTGTGACAATATGGATTAACCTGGAGAGCATTATGATAAGTGAAATGGGTCAGACACAGAAAGAAAATTATTGCACAATCTCATTTGCGAAATATAAAATAGTGAAGCTTACAGAGGCTGACAATATAATTGTGGGCACCAGGGCCTTGGAAAGAAAGGGGGATGAGAAGTTGTTAGCCAAAGCATACAAGTTTCAGTTAGATAGGGTGAATAAATTCTTGAGATCTATTGTTAAGCATGATGGCTATAATTGATAATACTGTATTGTATAGTTGAAAATAGTTAAAGAGCAGATCTTAAATGTTCTTAACACACACAAACATAAATATGTGAGGTGACAGACATGTTTATTAGCTAACCGTGGTAGTCATTTTACAATATATACTTAAAACATATGTATACATATACCATTTTCTACCATAAATATATACAATTTTAAACTTGCAATTATAACAGACATTCATAATAAATTCTTTTAATAGAATCTAAAGTAAATAAATAGTTATCTACAAAGTAGTGTCTAAAAAATTTATTCGATTGAAAAAAGAAGAAAGTTCACATTATTTATTCAACTTAATTTTGTCAAACTAATATGTTAACATTTGGTACACTAAAATCTTTAGCAGAGATTAATTTCATTCATGTTATGAATATAATCTGTCACTGAATATTTATGTTTTTCAAATGTTATTTCTGTTATTTATTAAGCAGGAACTATACACATATAAATCTATTATCTGTATCTTATAAAATCTTATATATTTATGAATATTTTACAGTATGATATATAAATATGTAAAAATATATATTTTTATTTAAGATAGTAAAAATAGACTTTGATTTCTTAAAAATAGCAAATGGAAGGTGAATGGGAGTCAAAGTCAGTTGTTTATTTATTTACTTTTAATGTTTAACTATATATACTGATCGAAATTTGAATACCTAAAGCATGGAAACAAATCAGTGAATAAAACACATGAATAAAACCAAATATCTAAGAAGAAACCACTGTAAAAACAGAGCTATTCATAATTTTCTTTTAGAATATGATATTTGAAGCTGTTGTTTCAAAAGAATATTTTGTGAACTTATTGCAATTTAAACACTTTTATTTATTTTCAAAAAATAAAATAAATAGGAATATTTTGCCAAAAAAATTCATTGAGCTTTGCCTTTATATATATATACACATATATTTTTTGAACATTTCTAATGTATTTTCTTAAAGATGCAAGTAGTGTAATGAATTTTATGCACTTTCAATTGTAAATTAAAAGACATAGTATTATATTAATTTTTAAAAACCTATGTTAAAAAATCCTAGTTTGATGTATTTCAATATTATTTGATGGCATACTATTTTAATGTATATATATATACATGTATCATAATATTAATTAATTTTAATAACTGCAGTTCTTTTCACTGAAGTAAAAATTAACATAATACTAAAGATTATGAGAAGATAAAATTTAATGTGTTACCAACAAATGTATTTGGTAATATTATAAAGACTTGTTATTTTATGTAGTTTTTGTAATAATCCCTATGAGTTAGGCACTATTATTATTTACATTTTATAGATGAGGACACCGGTGCACTAAAATGATGAATAACTTTCCTAAGGCCACATTGTTTGATTTTCTAATCTTATTTTTTGCTCTAGGGACAAATTTTTTTTAAGGCTAATTCCTTTTTGAAGTGTCACTCTTAAAAGATTATAAGATATGTATGGAAGGACAAAGTTGGATGCATAACAAAACATGTCTCCCAATATTTTTGCCACTTAATAGGAAAGAACAAGATAGGAAAAAGAGTTTCAATATTAAGGTGTACACTTGGCATAACTGAAAGACAGAGCATATTAAACTACAAAATAACAGTGAGTAAAACTGAAATACCAACAAATTACTGTTTGCAGCATCTTGGGCTACCACTCCACAGCAGCACAGCTTCAGGAATTCATGAAAAGCAAATGTAGACAGAAAATCTGTAGAAGAGTAGACTACTAAAGGAATCTGAGCAGGATATTTAATAACCACCGAGAAGATTAAATTCACTCTAAACCCAAAAACACGGGAAAACTGTCTAGGCAAATTAGAGTATGGTCGACAGGACAGAGATTTCAAATTAGCCACTTGAAAAAGCACACTTTAAAGCTACAAGTGCTATTTAAAGAAGTCAGCTCAATTGTAAAGAGTTTTATGATTTAAAGGTTAGTTGTTGAAACACATAAATTATGTGTGCGGGAAAAATAGACAAAAATAAAACAAAAAAAACACCATTTAGCAATTGTGGAAGAAAAAAAAATAAGATATTGAGAGACAAAAGAAAGCCATAAATTGGGCATTCTCACAAAACCTCCCATATCCCCCAAACAAACTTAAACAATATATGTGTTAAAGTAATTGGGCTTTGTGCTTCTGACACAAGAGGGCACCATTAAACTAATAATTTTTGAAAAATTCTATCATTATAAAAATCAGTAAGAAAAAAGTAAAGTCCTTACACAGCAATTGCAGAACATCAGGAAATAACATCCCAAACATATAAAGGGAGAAAAAGTATTCACTAAAAACAACCCTAAAGAAGAAGAAAATGTAAGTCAACAGAACAGTTATACATAATCAATTTTCGAGGATGTAAAAACATGTTGAATTCGAAATTCAAAAACTAAAAATAAAAAGTAGACAAAAATGAGTATTGAAGATAATTTATTGACATCAGAAAAGTAAAAGAAAACATAAAGTTAGAAATCATAGTAAATTGTATAAGTCCCCAAAAGGAATAGATTCATATAAAATTAAATAAGGGACATTAAAATGCAGAAAAGCAACCAAGAGAAGAAAAAGGACCCCCCCCAAAATTTTTTTAAGTGGTTAGGTTTAGTATAAATGGAAAATTGGCAAAGACGCAAAAGTGTCTAAATTATCAGTTACTAAAGATAAAGATTTTTTAAATGCAAAAATATAAACAAATTACAGTATGTGTGTGTGTGTATATATATATATATATACATATATGTATATATAAATATATATATATATATAATTAGTCCATTTTCACACTGCTCTAAAGAACTACCTGAGAAAAGAGGTTTGATTGACTTGAAATTCTGCATGGTTACGGAATATATTTATATATATATATATATAATTAGTCCATTTTCACACTGCTCTAAAGAACTACCTGAGAAAAGAGGTTTGATTGACTTGAAATTCTGCATGGCTACGGAGACCTCAAGAAACTTAAAATAATGGTGGAAGGCAAAGGGAAGCAAGACATATCTTACCTGGTGACGGGAGAGAGAGCAAGATGGGGGAACTGCCACACACTTTTAAACTGTCATATCTCATGAGAACACACTCACTATGGAGAAACCGCATGGGATAAAACTGTCCCTATGATTCAATGACCTTCCACCAGGTCCCTCCCCTGACACGTGGGCATTACAATTGCAGATGAGATTTGGGTGGAGGCACAGAGTGAAACTATGTGAGTATATTCCAAGAAACTTTCCAGAAATAGAAACAACAGCAACAATCACATAATTCTGTTGATTTGAAAGTGGTTACTAGATACCTGAAAAAATTAACCAAGAAAAATTAACTTCAAATCATATTATAGTAAAAATATTACATTTCAAATAGAAAAAATGTATGATGACATCCAGGGAACAAAGAAAATAAAATAACTTACAAAAGCAAAAGTAGCCGACACGCATGAGACTTTTTAAAACCAGGAGGCAAACGGAGGTAGCAATGAGGCAGTATTAAAAGAGTATGAATAAATGAAAGAAAATGTGAACCACAGATGTTACATGTACCTCATCTGTCTTTTAAATATTAATCTTTGAGAAAAAAATGTTTTCAGCACATTTCAGACTTAGGAAAGTCTTTCCCCTTTGGCTTTCTTGAAGAATCTGTTACAGGATAAGTATTATTCAACTAAGTAATGACTTAAAAAGCTGGTAAGCATTTTAAAATAAATATATTTTGGCAATAGAAAAAAGAAAATGGAAAAGTTTATTTTTATATAAGCAAATGTGTATTATAGGATATCACAATAAACTGATAAAGTAAGTCATTAAACATTTAAAGACATTAAAACATAAGTAAAAAGTAAAGAACTTGAAGAAATACAAAACTTTCTAAATACAACAAGCAAATACACAAATAAAGAAAAAATACACATTTTTAGAAAATTAAATGTAGCAAATAAAAGTTTTAAAATGATAACATATTATTACAGAGTTGAGAAAAAAACTTATGATTCATAATAATAAGTTAGAATGAGCTTAACTCACCTGTTTAAAAAAAAAGATTTTTATTTTGACTCACAAAGAAGACATAATTATATGGCATATAAAAGACTCACTAAAAACAAAGAAAAAAGAAAAGGTACATAGAAAGTGTTTTTTTAAAAAAGGTGCTTCAGGTAACTGAAAACAAAAAAGAATGCATAGTGATTCTTTTTTTTTTTTTTTTTTTTTTTTTTCACAGCTCATTGACTTATGGTCTTTAATGAGGAAGCCACAATGGAGCAATTATTTCACTGATAACACATTTATTATTGCTCTAATTTCCTCCTTAGCTCTGTTAACTGTATTATTAAATAAATAGCAATACTCACAATTTCTTTTAAAATGCAACTAACTGCTATGTAAAGAACAGTGAAGTAAAATATATTTATAAAAAATGAATATTTGTTTACTTTTTTTTGTATTCTACTAAAAGACACATAGAAACTGTAGGAGTCAAAAAAAAGAAAAAAAAACACCTCTTTGTTCTCTAAAGGTTTGTTGAAAAATCAATTCACACAAGGCAAATTAATTAAAGAAAAACAATATAAAATTTATTAACATGTACACAGGTAACCTCAACGTGAGATTACTTAACCCTCAGTAAGGTGCAGAACCTTATATACCATCTTGGGATAACAAAAATAATTAGGGACTTGGATTATGGCATAATATGTTATGGCAGCAAAACAGGTAATGGCAGACAGGGGGTATTAGGCCTGGCTAGCAAAAGGGGTCTTGTTATATAAATGAAATCTCACAGGTGGCAACCTTCAGAAATAATATATAATATATGTTTCTTTCATCTCCTTTAATCTTTCCTAGATCTAGGTGAGGGAAGCCCTGGCTACATCAGTGCACATTCTCTATAGATGAAAATTTCTCCCATGAAAGGTAGCTTTGTCAGGCTACTCCTGTTTGTTGCCTCTCTAAGAGCCATCTCAAAATATGTCAAAAAAATATATATTGGGGTAAAATATTTTTATATTTTAAGAAACCCACTCTGAAACTATAAAAAGTTTCACATATTAAAAACCAAGTTAATAGATTTGGAGAAGGCTAAATGTTGTAAGATAGAGACAGACAAAGGAGTGAAAAAACAAGTTGGAATAGGTGAAAGAATAAATTTAAAGATTTCACCCCATATCTTTTTGAGCCAGTCTCTTAGCCCAAAGAATAGATCAGTTCAGTTAAACAGCTGTATCTCATTTCAAGAGATGACACTTCCAACGGGGTAGACCTCCATAAATGATATAGGCAAACAGATCATTAATAAAAGTCATTTCTATGGAAACAGAAGTAAAACAAAGGTTAAAGTCTGTAGTGGTCTATAAACTAGCTTTTCTGGAGTCTCTGAAGCATCTTCGGATTGCAGTGGCAATCTGATAGATTTTTCTGTATTACAATTAGTATTAGGAGTACACATGAACATTCTGACTAGACCATACATCAGCAGACATGAAGACTGTTTATGTAGAAGTTGCTGTGATTTCTTCCGAAGTTTATTTAATTTGTGTAACTTCAGTTTGCAGGGCTTTACAAAAAGCATAGTTTCTATTTCTAGTGCTTTCAAGTCAGAAAAATGGAATAAAAAAGTTGAAAATGTTAGTTTTTGGACTTGTAGCTCAGAAAAAATTCAAAATACAATTTAAATTGTATGAAAATAATACAACCATAATAGGACCAATGTATTAGCAAAATGAGTTCTACAAAAGAAGTAACCTGATTATTTGCATAAAGTTCAGAAAGAATAGTAGTTGTCTATGCAGTTTCTCTTTAAATTATCTTTACTATAACTTTTTTATAGGGAGACTAATATTAGACTTTTAAAATCCTCAAGGATAAGAAGCCAAGCAAGGGGGAGGAGCCAAGATGGCCGAATAGGAACAGCTCCAGTCTACAGCTCCCAGCGTGAGCAACGCAGAAGACGGGTGATTTCTGCATTTCCATCTGAGGTACTGGGTTCATCTCCCTAGGGAGTGCCAGACAGTGGGCGCAGGTCAGTGGGTGTGTGCACCGTGCGCCAGCCGAAGCAGGGCGAGGGATTGCCTCACTTGGGAAGCACAAGTGGTCAGGGAATTCCCTTTCTGAGTCAAAGAAAGGGGTGACGGACAGCACCTGGAAAATCGGGTCACTCCCACCTGAATACTGCGCTTTTCTGACTGGCTTAAAAAACGGCGCACCACGAGATTATATCCCGCACCTGGCTCAGAGGGTCCTATGCCCACGGAGTCTCGCTGATTGCTAGCACAGCAGTCTGAGATCAAACTGCAAGGCAGCAGTGAGGCTGGGGGAGGGGCGCCCGCCATTGCCCAGGCTTGATTAGGTAAAAAAAGCAGCCGGGAATCTCGAACTGGGTGGAGCCCACCACAGCTCAAGGAGGCCTGCCTGCCTCTGTAGGCTCCACCTCTGGGGGCAGGGCACAGACAAACAAAAAGACAGCAGTAACCTCTGAAGACTTAAATGTCCCTGTCTGACAGCTTTGAAGAGAGCAGTGGTTCTCCCAGCACGCAGCTGGAGATCTGAGAACAGGCAGACTGCCTCCTCAAGTGGGTCCCTGACCCCTGACCCCCGAGCAGCCTAACTGGGAGGCATCCCCCAGCAGGGGCACACTGACACCTCACACGGCAGTGTATTCCAACAGACCTGCAGCTGAGGGTCCTGTCTGTTAGAAGGAAAACTAACAAACAGAAAGGACATCCACACCAAAAACCCATCTGTACATCACCATCATCAAAGACCAAAAGTAGATAAAACCACAAAGATGGGGAAAAAACAGAACAGAAAAACTGGAAACTCTAAAAAGCAGAGTGCCTCTCCTCCTCCAAAGGAACGCAGTTCCTCAACAGCAAGGGAACAAAGCAGGATGGAGAATGACTTTGACGAGCTGAGAGAAGAAGGCTTCAGACGATCAAATTACTCTGAGCTACGGGAGGACATTCAAACCAAAGGCAAAGAAGTTGAAAACTTTGAAAAAAATTTAGAAGAATGTATAACTAGAATAACCAATACAGAGCAGTGCTTAAAGGAGCTGATGGAGCTGAAAACCAAGGCTTGAGAACTACGTGAAGAATGCAGAAGCCTCAGGAGCCGATGCAATCAACTGGAAGAAAGGGTATCAGCAATGGAAGATGAAATGAATGAAATGAAACGAGAAGGGAAGTTTAGAGAAAAATGAATAAAAAGAAATGAGCAAAGCCTCCAAGAAATATGGGACTATGTGAAAAGACCAAATCTACGTCTGACTGGTGTACCTGAAAGTGATGGGGAGAATGGAACCAAGTTGGAAAACACGCTGCAGGATATTATCCAGGAGAACTTCCCCAATCTAGCAAGGCAGGCCAACGTTCAGATTCAGGAAATACAGAGAACGCCACAAAGATACTCCTCGAGAAGAGCAACTCCAAGACACATAATTGTCAGATTCACCGAAGTTGAAATGAAGGAAAAAATGTTAAGGGCAGCCAGAGAGAAAGGTCGGGTTACCCACAAAGGGAAGCCCATCAGACTAACAGTGGATCTCTCGGCAGAAACCCTACAAGCCAGAAGAGAGTGGGGGCAAATATTCAACATTCTTAAAGAAAAGAATTTTCAACCCAGAATTTCATATCCAGCCAAACTAAGCTTCATAAGTGAAGGAGAAATAAAATCCTTTACAGACAAGCAAATGCTGAGAGATTTTGTCACCACCAGGCCTGCCTTACAAGACCTCCTGAAGGAAGCACTAAACATGGAAAGGAACAACTGGTACCAGCAGCTGCAAAATCATGCCAAAATGTAAAGACCATCGAGACTAGGAATAAACTGCACCAACTAACGAGCAAAATAACCAGCTAACATCATCATGACAGGATCAAATTCACACATAACAATATTAACTTTAAATGTAAATGGACTAAATGCTCCAATTAAAAGACACAGACTGGCAAATCGGATAAAGAGTCAAGACCCATCAGTGTGCTGTATTCAGGAAACCCATCTCACGTGCAGAGACACACATAGGCTCAAAATAAAAGGATGGAGGAAGATCTACCAAGCAAATGGAAAACAAAAAAAGGCAGGGGTTGCAATCCTAGTCTCTGATAAAACAGACTTTAAACCAACAAAGATCAAAAGAGACAAAGAAGGCCATTACATAATGGTAAAGGGATCAATTCAACAAGAAGAGGTAACTATCCTAAATATATATGCACCCAATACAGGAGCACCCAGATTCATAAAGCAAGTCCTGAGTGACCTACAAAGAGACTTAGACTCCCACATATTAATAATGGGAGACTTTAACACCCCACTGTCAACATTAGACAGATCAAGGAGACAGAAAGTCAACAAGGATACCCAGGAATTGAACTCAGCTCTGCACCAAGCAGACCTAATAGACATCTACAGAACTCTCCACCCCAAATCAACAGAAAATACATTTTTTTCAGCACCACACCACACCTATTCCAAAATTGACCACATACTGGGAAGTAAAGCTCTCCTCAGCAAATGTAAAAGAACAGAAATTATAACAAACTATCTCTCAGACCACAGTGCAATCAAACTAGAACTCAGGATTAAGAATCTCACTTAAAACCGCTCAACTACATGGAAACTGAACAACCTGCTCCTGAATGACTACTGGGTACATAACGAAATGAAGGCAGAAATAAAGATGTTCTTTGAAACCAATGAGAACAAAGACACAACATACCAGAATCTCTGGGATGCATTCAAAGCAGTGTCTAGAGGGAAATTTATAGCACTAAATGCCCACAAGAGAAAGCAGGAAAGATCCAAAATTGACACCCTGACATCACAATTAAAAGAACTAGAAAAGCAAGAGCAAACACATTCAAAAGCTAGCATAAGGCAAGAAATAACTAAAATCAGAGCAGAACTGAAGGAAATAGAGACACAAAAAACCCTTCAAAAAATTAATGAATCCAGGAGCTGGTTTTTTGAAAGGATCAACGAAATTGATAGACCGCTAGCAAGACTAATAAAGAAAAAAAGAGAGAAGAATCAAATAGACGCAATAAAAAATGATAAAGGGGATATCACCACTGATCCCACAGAAATACAAACTACCATCAGAGAATACTACAAACACCTCTACGCAAATAAACTAGAAAATCGAGAAGAAATGGATAAATTCCTGGACACATACACTCTCCCAAGACTAAACCAGGAAGAAGTTGAATCTCTGAATAGACCAATAACAGGAGCTGAAATTGTGGCAAAAATCCATAGCTTACCAACCAAAAAGAGTCCAGGACCAGATGGATTCACAGCCGAATTCTACCAGAGGTACAAGGAAGAACTGGTACCATTCCTTCTGAAACTATTCCAATCAATAGAAAAAGAGAGAATCCTCCCTAACTCATTTTATGAGGCCAGCAACATTCTGATACCAAAGCCAGGCAGAGACACAACAAAAAAAGAGAATTTTAGATCAATATCCTTGATGAACATCGATGCAAAAATCCTCAATAAAATACTGGCAAAACGAATCCAGCAGCACATCAAAAAGCTTATCCACCATGATCAAGTGGGCTTCATCCCTGGGATGCAAGGTTGGTTCAATACACGCAAATCAATAAATGTAATCCAGCATATAAACAGAGCCAAAGACAAAAACCACGTGATTATCTCAATAGATGCAGAAAAAGCCTTTGACAAATTTCAACAACCCTTCATGCTAAGAACTCTCAATAAATCAGGTATTGATGGGACGTATTTCAAAATAATAAGGGCTATCTATGACAAACCCACAGCCGATATCATACTGAATGGGCAAAAACTGGAAGCATTCCCTTTGAAAACTGGCACAAGACAGGGATGCCCTCTCTCACCACTCCTATTCAACATAGTGTTGGAAGTTCTGGCCAGGGCAATCAGGCAGGAGAAGGAAATAAAGGGTATTCAATTAGGAAAAGAGGAAGTCAAATTGTCCCTGTTTGCAGACGACATGATTGTATATCTAGAAAACCCCACTGTCTCAGCCCAAAATCTCCTTAAGCTGATAAGCAACTTCAGCAAAGTCTCAGGATACAAAATCAATGTACAAAAATCACAAGCATTCTTATACACCAATAACAGACAAACAGAGAGCCAAATCATGAGTGAACTCCCATTCACAATTGCTTCAAAGAGAATAAAATACCTAGGAATCCAACTTACAAGGGATGTGAAGGACCTCTTCAAGGAGAACTACAAACCACTGCTCAAGGAAAGAAAAGAGGATACAAACAAATGGAAGAACATTCCATGCTCATGGGTAGGAAGAATCAATATCGTGAAAATGGCCAACTGCCCAAGGTAATTTACAGATTCAATGCCATCCCCATCAGGCTACCAATGACTTTCTTCACAGAATTGGAAAAAACTACTTTAAAGTTCATATGGAACCAAAAAAGAGCACGCATCGCCAAGTCAATCCTAAGCCAAAAGAACAAAGCAGGAGGCATCACACTACCTGACTTCAAACTATACTACAAGGCTACAGTAACCAAAACAGCATGGTACTGGTACCAAAACAGAGATATAGATCAATGGAACAGAACAGAGCCCTCAGAAATAACGCCGCATATCTACAACTATCTGATCTTTGACAAACCTGAGAAAAACAAGCAATGGGGAAAGGATTCCCTATTTAATAAATGGTGCTGGGAAAACTGGCTAGCCATATGTAGAAAGCTGAAACTGGATCCCTTCCTTACACATTATACAAAAATCAATTCAAGATGGATTAAAGACTTAAACGTTAGATCTAAAACCATAAAAACCCTAGAAGAAACCCTAGGCATTACCATTCAGGACATAGTCACGGGCAAGGACTTCATGTCTAAAACACCAAAAGCAATGGCAACAAAAGCCAAAATTGACAAATGGGATCTAATTAAACTAAAGAGCTTCTGCACAGCAAAAGAAACTACCATCAGAGTGAACAGGCAACCTACAGAATGGGAGAAAATTTTCACAACCTACTCATCTGACAAAGGGCTAATATCCAGAAGCTACAATGAACTCAAACAAATTTACAAGAAAAAAACAAACAACCCCATCAAAAAGTGGGTGAAGGACATGAACAGACACTTCTCAAAAGAAGACATTTATGCAGCCAAAAAACACATGAAAAAATGCTCATCATCACTGGCCATCAGAGAAATGCAAATCAAAACCACAATGAGATACCATCTCACACCAGTTAGAATGGCAATCATTAAAAAGTCAGGAAACAACAGCTGCTGGAGAGGATGTGGAGAAATAGGAACACTTTTACACTGTTGATGGGACTGTAAACTAGTTCAACCATTGTGGAAGTCAGTGTGGCGATTCCTCAGGGATCTAGAACTGGAAATACCATTTGACCCAGCCATCCCATTACTGGGTATATACCCAAAGGACTATAAATCATGCTGCTATAAAGACACATGCACACGTATGTTTATTGCGGCATTATTCACAATAGTAGAGACTTGGAACCAACCCAAATGTCCAACAATGATAGACTGGATTAAGAAATTGTGGCACATATACACCATGGAATACTATGCAGCCATAAAAAATGATGAGTTCATGTCCTTTGTGGGGACATGGATGAAACTGAAAGTCATCATTCTCAGTAAACTATCGCAAGAACAAAAAACCAAACACCGCATATTCTCACTCATAGGTGGGAATTGAACAATGAGAACAAATGGACACAGGAAGGGGAATATCACACTCTGGGGACTGTTGTGGGGTGGGGGGAGGGGGGAGGGATAGCATTGGGAGATATACCTAATGCTAGATGACGAGTTAGTGGGTGCAGTGCACCAGCATGGCACATGTATACATATGTAACTAACCTGCACAATGTGCACATGTACCCTAAAACTTAAAGTATAATAAAAAAAAAAGAAGCCAAGCAAAAGTTTGCCATCAGATTGTGCTTGCAATACCTGTTTGAATTGGGTGGGTTTCTATTTTTCAAAGGTCCCAAAACAAGTTGAGGTTTGTGGACCCGTTGGAAAGTTGCATTATTTACTTACCACAGGTCAGGAACCTTGTAAAGGAACCACATAGACAAGATACCAGGCCAATATTTCAAGGGTTTTTTTTATCAGTTCTATAAAGTCAATTTTAATTCCTCATAGCAGTCTGCTCATATGTAAAATGTTTGCCATTCCAGTCAAAGCCTTGGTAAAATAACCAGTGTCTTGAATTGTGTGCTACTTATTCCAATGGCATGATTTTCAAAGTTATTAGTATCCTGTATTCAAGAGTACTTGTCAGTCTTTTTCATAATTTTCTTAAAGAAACAGCAAATTTTGAACCGTAGGTGTTTATAAACTGCTTTTTGAGGAGAACCAAATAAAACAATAATTCTCTGTGAATGATTATTTCTGTCATAAAACAATTTAACTTAATAATCTTAATTCTTACTGATATCAGAGTTTTAGTACTCTTCTACAATTTTGGAACACATATTAATAATGAATTTATGTGAATATAATCCAAAGAAAGTTAAACACAGTTTCTTATTTATCACTACTTGCTGTAAGATTTTAACATACCAAATATTTATGAGGTGTCTCTCTTAAACTTTTAAAAGTCCTAATATCTAAAAGGTTAGTTTGAGGTAAAAAAGACTGAATTTAAAATTTGAGATTTTGATTTTGAGAAGATTGTCAGATGTTATAGGTTGAAAACACTTGTTCTAAATAGGATCACAGATCACTGCAAAATCACTCATTTATTTAGCCAAAGTGATAAAAATTTCAGAAAGCTAAAACTTTTACCTTTTGTTAGAGAAGAGATTTAGTTTCCCAAGCAAACATAAGATCTAACAAAGACACCATGATGAGTCTGAATATCTCTCCTTCTCTTTCATTGCTATTATTATTTTTGCTGTTCATTCCAAAGGTAAACAAAAATATTTTACTATATTGTATTAATATACACAAAAATCTTATTAAAACAAGAAAACCAAATCCAACCTTTGCATCCATGTGCTATTAATGCTAAAGGTAGTTTTAATAAAATCTTATAAAAAAATCGGACCACAAAGTATGTTTTCCCTAAACCTTTTATGGCCTCTTACATATTTTCTACCCTCTTTCTTTTATAAAATGTTTATATCTATTATCTTTAGTTTTTCAATTTTAAACAACTCTTAAAAACCTCTAAACTGGACAAAATTACTTTTCGTTGAACAAAAGTCACATTACACATTACCTTTTTTTTTTTTTTAACAAGAAACACATCCTACTTTTCTTATAGTAAGAAATTGTACTATGTACCAAATGCAGAGCCCGGCCAAATGACAGCTGTGAAGACAGTGCCTGGAAAATCCAATTTCTCTTAGTATGGCCAAAAGTCACAGCTGGTCCAGGAAACAAGACTCAAGTGTTGTCCTTACGCCTCACTTTGATTACTTCTCTAAACCTCATAATCTGAATGCTCAACTCCAAATATATAAGCTCACAGACAAATTAAGTAATTATCAAAAATGAAATCATAAAAGCAAGAGTTTTATAATCTTAAAAATTATTTTCCTGACAGTATAAAAGTATCTGACCAATGCACCTAGGCAAAAATGTCCACATTCAATTTTGAAGACATTTTTCTTTTAATTTACCATCAAGCTTAAAATTATGCTTATTAATCATAGATTACTAAAATATATGAACTTGGAAAACATTTGAGATAGTTATTTATTAGTACTCATTTGTTTATAGGTCAATTCGATATTATATAGATCATCTATAAATAAGCATGCACACATTTTTCCAAAATGACATAGCAAAGGCTTTTAGCATGCCTCAGCCACTTGAAAATACCAAGATAGCATATAAAGATCAACTCTGTGAGCTTTAAGACAGAAAATGGGAATCCTCCAGAATTGTGAAGGACATCCCATATTCCAGGGAGGAGAACACAAACAAACAGGCTCCATGATGGTGTCTGAGTGGCAGAAGTGAGGATAGCCTCAGTATATGAGAAGGGCAGAGAGTCTCCCTTGGTGACTTACATTTTCACAGAGGAACTGAGCAACTCAGGCCAATGGGGAGCACTATGTTTCTCCCAAGCCCTGAAGCTAACCTGGGAAGAGGCTTGGAGATCTTGTAAGGGAAAGACAGTAGGAAAATCTGCAGACATAGTCTCAGACCTAGGACCAAGAGCAGGGTATCATTTTTAATACATACTTTTAATCCATACATAAAAATGTAGCCATTCTCTAGTGAACCGGCAGCATGGCCATGAGGCATTTTATTCCCAGGCCAGAGTGTAAGGCACCTGCTGATAAGTCACATAGGAACCTCCTAAGCCAGAACTGTGGAAGGAACTTCAGTAGTAGGTGCTGGAATTGTGCTCTCCCCAACTGCAAGCCTGGGGTGGGAAGAGAGTTGCTACAGCGGCAGTTTCTTCTGGGTGGTAAGACACAGCTAGGGCCAGCTTGGCAACCTGGAACTGATCTGCATATACCATTTCTGGGTGCCCCAGCCTGTTCCTCTGAAATTGTAGTGCAGCAGGTCCTACTGTGCTTCACGTCCAAGCAGAAACACAGGCATTTGGAGCATCTGCTTGCTGGGACCAGCCATCAGAGCTGCCCTCCTCTTAATGGTCACAGATTGTGCTGCACAGGGGCCTTCTCTGCTCCACACCCAAGCAGAACTCCAGGCAGGCATTTGGAGCACCAGCTTACCTAGGTTCAGCACCGTGAGCCTTGTCCTTCCAGGACATAGATCATGTTGCAGTGAGCCTCTCTCTGTTCCAAGCTCAGATGGATTTGCAGGCATTTGGAACATCAGCTTGCCTAAATTTGAAGCCTGAGCTGTCCTGCCTTTCCTATGCAGACATCCTGGTGCAGGGGGATCCTCTGCACTACAGGATCAGGCATATCTCCAGGTGTTTGGGGCACCCTCTCACCTGGATCAGCAACCTGACCTGTCCCACCCTTTCTGTGCAGAGATCCTGGTACAGGGATGCCTTCTCTGCTTTATGCACAGGCATATCATCAGGCATTCAAAGCACCCACGTGGTACAGAGTCTGAGCTGCCTGACACTCCAGTGCAGACATTTGGGTACAGGGGATTGAGAGGGCTATCTGCTACACATTCAGGCAGATGTTCATGTATTCAGAGCACCTGCCTGCCTGGTTTAGCAGCCTGAGTCACCCCATTTCTCATGTGCAGAAGAATCCTCTCCAATTCATGCCTAGACAGCTATCTAGGCATCTGAAACACCTGCTCTCCTGGATTAGGAGTTTTGACTGACCCCCAGCCCCTTGCAGAGAACACGGAGCTGAGGATGTTTCCCAGCTCCATGCCATGCCTAGGCATATGACTGGGTGCTTTGTGGCTGCCCACCGGATTCTCCCTTGGCACTGTGCTTGTTCCTGTCATTAGGGCATGGGCCTGCTCAGGGCCTGCCAGGTCTTCCCCTGCCTTTTGTGGCCCCTGCCTGCTCAGGGCTGAGTAAGTAGCTAAGGCCACTGTGAATTTCATGAATCAGCCCATTGCCTGAGACAACAAAGAGCTTCTGCCAGTAAACAAGTATCAAGTATATAGCCATGTTGACCACAGCCAGCCCTTATCTGTAAGTGCCATTTACTGGCTTATAGGTCAAGCTTCATAGCCAAATATAAAACCTGCCAAAGAAGTGCATAGGACTATAGAAGCAAAGCTAAAAGACCCTATCAAGCACTCTCTATAGCCATACACCCTCAGGAGGGTGAGAAAAAAAGAGGGAAATAAAAAATAATATTCAAGGAAAATAAAGAAAAATAAAATTCTACCTGCATGAAAATGATTGTAAAAATTAGAAGTACCAGCATTTCCAGATGAGAAGAATGAGAGAATTCTGGCACCATGAAAAATCTGGATGTAGCGACACAACCAAAGAACCACACTAGCTATTCTGCCATGGTCCCTAAATAAAACACACATTCAGAAATGACAGATAAAGAATTCAAATCATTAATTACAAGGAAGCTCAATGAAATCTTTCTTGACCTATGAAAAGATGTATACAGCCACATAATAATAGTGGAGAACTAAAACATCCCACTGACAACATTAAAAAAGTCATTGAGTCAGAAAACTAACAGAAATTCTGAACTTAAACTTGACACCTGACCAATTGGACCTAATTGAAATTTACAGAATACTCCACCCGGCAACTACTGAATACATATTCTTCTCATCTGCACATGGAACATACTCTAGGATTCAGCACGTTCTTGACCATAAAGCAAGTCTCAATAAATTCAAAAAGAATCAGTAACTAAAAATCTACCAATCAAAAAAGCCCTAGGCCAGATAAATTCATACCCAAATTCTACAGGAAATGCAAAGAAGAGCTAGGATCACTTATCGGGAAACTATTTGGAGAAAGGACTCCTTCCTAACTCATTCTATAAAGCCAGAAACACTCAGATATGAAAACCAGGCAAACACAACAAAAAGAGGAGACTATAGGCCAATATCATTAATGAACGTAGATGCAAAATTTTCAACAAAATACTAGCAAAACAAATTCAACAGCACATCAAAAAGTAAATTCACCATAATCATCTAGGCTTTATACCTGGGATTCAAGGTTGGTTCAACATATGCAAATCAATAATTGTGATTCACTACATAAATAGAATTTAAATATATATATATATTTATATATAGATAATATATATATCATATATATATAATCATCTTAATAGATGTAGTATATATATATATATATATATATATAAAATCATCTTAATAGATGTAGTAAAAGCTTTCAATGAAATTCAACATTCATTCATAATAAAAACATCCAAGATAATAGGCATTGAAGGAACATACCTCAAAATAATAAGAGCCATCTATGACAAATCCACAATCAACATTATACTGAATGGACAAAAACTGGAAGCATTCCACTTAAGAACTGGAAGAAGACAAAATGCCCACTCTCATCATTCTTATTTAACAGAGTACTGGACGTGCTAGCCAGTGCAATCAGGCAAGAGCAAGAAATACACAGCATTCAAAAAGGAAAAGAGGAAATCAACTTATCTCTCTTCACTGACAATATAATTACATACCTGGAAAACCCTAGAGACCCTGCCAAAAGGCTTCTAGAACTGAGACATAACTTCAGTTAAGTTTCAGAATACAAAAACAATATACAAAAATCAACAGCATTGCTATGCTCTGATAACATTCAAGCTGAAAGCCAAATTAAGAACCGAATCCCATTTAAAATAGACGCGCACACACACACACACACACACACACACACACACACACACACTCTGACTAGGGATACCTTTAACCAAAGAGGTGAATCATCTCTATAAAGAGAACTACAAAACCATGCTAAAGTAAAACAGATGACACAAACTAATGGAAAAACAAAACAAAACATTCTATAGCTCATGGATTGGAAGAATCAGAACACTAAAATAGCCACATTACAAAAACAATCTACAGATAAAGTGTTTTTCTTATCAAAGTACCAATGACATTTTTTACAGAACTGTTTTAAGATGTACATGGAACAGAAAAAGAGCCTGAATAGCCAAAAAAAAAAAAAAAAAAAAAAAGCCAAGCAAAAAGAACAAAGCTGGAGGAATCACATTACCTGACTTCAAGCTATACTATAAAGCTACAGTAAACAAAACAGCTTGGTATTGGTATGAAAACAGACACATAGACCAATGGTACAGAATAGAGATCACAGAAATAAGTCCATGGATATCAGGTTTTTAATAAAGTTGAAAAAATAAGCAATGAGGAAAGGACTCCCTATTAAATAATTGGTGCTAGTATAGCTGGCTAGTTATGTACAGAAAAATGAAACTGGACCCCCAACTTTCACCATATATAAAAATTAACTTAAGATAAATTAAATATTTAAAGTAAGACCTCAGACTATAAGAATCCTAGACGAAAATCTAGCCAACACTTTTCTGAACATCAGTCTTGGCAAAAAAATTATGACTAAATCCTCAAAAGTAACTGCAACAAAAATTGGCAAGTGGGACCTAATTAAACTAAGAAGCTTCTGTACAGCAAAAGAAACTATCAACAGAGTAAACACACAACCTACAGAATTGGAGAAAATATTCACAAACTATACATCTAACAAGGGTTTAATATAAGGAATCTATAAGGAACTAATACAACTTAACAAGCAAAACTATGAACAATCCCATGAAAAAATGAGCAAAATGCATGAACAGACATTTCTGAAAAGAAGACATAAAACTGACCAACAAAGAAATAAAAAAATGCTCAACATCACTAATCATCAGAGAAATGCCAATCAAAACCGCAATGAGACACCATCTCACACTAGTCAGAATGGTTATTATTAAAGAGTCGAAACAATAGATGCTGGTGAGGCTGTGGAGAAAAGGGAATGCTTATACACTGTTGGTAGGAAAATAAATTAGTTCAGGTACTGTGAAAAGCGGTTTGAAGATTTCTCAAATAACTTAGAATTACCATTAAACCAAGCAATCTCATTGCTGGGTATATATCCAAAAGAAAACAAATCATTCTACCAAAATTATACATACACTTGCATGTTCATTGCAACACTATTCAAACTGATCAACAGTAACTAGGTAATAAGGTATTTTCATAAACCATAAACTGGAAGAGATCACCAAATGTATCCATATTCATATAATAATATATTTAATATCAAATATCCAATAAAATATTCAATAATCCAATATCAATATAAGTCCCTGTTTAAAAGGAAGCAAATGGATAATCAAGGAACATGAGATAATCCTGAAAACCACAGAATACAGAAATCTCTGTGTCGTGTGTCTGTATTCTGTGGTTTTCAGGATTATTTCATGTTCCTTGATTATCCACTTGCTTCCTTTTAAACAGGGACTTATATGAGAACACATGGACACAGGAAGGGGAACATCACACACCGGGGCCTGTTGTGGGGTGGGGGGAGTGGGGAGGGAGCATTAGGAGATATACCTAATGTTAAATGATGAGTTAATGGGTGCAGCACACCAACATGGCACATATATACATATGTAACTAACCTGCACGTTGTGCACATGTACCCTAAAACTTAAAGTATAATAAAAAAATAAAAACAAAACAAACAAACAAACAAAACCAAATATAGTAAGTGGGTCTATTTTAGATCTGGATCAAATTAACTGTAAAAACACAAAAAATTATTTTAGTAAGTAGGTAAATTTGCATATGGACTGAATATTAGAGGATATTAAGGAATTATTGTTAATTCTGTTAAATGTGATAATGATGCACTGTAGTTACTTAAGAAAACATTTTTAATTTTGTTTTAAGATAATGAAATATTTAGGGATGAAATGACAGGATGAATCAATTTGATTAAAATGTTTTAGCAAAAAAAAAAAAAGAAAAAAAAGAAATCTCTAATGAATCTTCCTTTAATTAGTGAGTCTTCACTTGGGATAATAGTTTGCCAGGCCTTAGAAAAATAGTCAAAGTCAAAAGGGGTTTTTGATTTTCAACTTGGGCTGAATGAAATATATTTTAGTTCTAGTAAGTATAAAAAGTTATGAGTATTTGTACATACTGCACCCTAAAATTACTAAACTAGCTGGCCAAAACATTCTACCAGAAAAATCTCTAAAATTAATAGATGTTACTGGAAATATCTAATTGAAGTAGGACATGGTCAACAAGGTAAAGGCAGGATACACATCATAGTATGGAGGAAGAGAAAGAAAGTGAAAAATTAATGAAAGCTTGTTGTACCTACATGCCAACAAACAGATGAAATATTTAACTCACTATATTAAAACCACTTGTATTAGTACATTTTGCTTTCTATAAAGTAGTACCTGAGACTGAGTAATTTATAAAGAAAAGAGATTAATTTTTGGCTCATGGTTCTGCAGACAGTACAAGAAGCAAAGTGTTGGCATCTGCTTAATGTGAGGGCCTCAGGAAGCCTACAATTATGGCATAAGGTGAAGGACAGTAGTGTGTCACATAGTGAGATTAGGAGCAAGAAAAAGAGAGGAGGTGGTGTCAGGCTCTTTTTAACATTCAAATCTCATGTAAACCAACAAAATGAGAACTCACTTATTACCTCGGGGGGAAGGCACCAAGCCATTCATTAGGGATCCACCTCCATGATTCAAATACCTTCCACCAGGCCTGAATTCCAACATTGGAGATCACATTTCAACATGAGATTAAGGGGACAAACATACAAACTATATCACCAACTAAAAATAAAATTATGAAAATAATTGCAGCGATAAGAGAATAAGTCAGAATAAGCTTAAATTAGAAAGGTGACAAGAAAAATTTTAAAATGGATAGGTACACTCAGAAAAAAAGGAATTAAAAATTAACTCAAAAATAAAGATTAAAATTAAAATAGACACCAACATACAAATATATGAATGGATAATGAGGAATGTGTAATAAATAAAATAGAAGATGTAAAGTAGAAAAGAAAAAATGGAATTAAACCAAAATAAGAAGGAAATTATGACATGAGTGATTGAGGCATTTGGCAAAACCACATTATGAAAGCAACTACAAAACTGGACAAAATTGTGAAAAACACAAATTGTAGCAATCTGTAAATTGATTAAAGGAATACAACGAATTTGAAGCTTTTTCTCATGAAAATGATTTCACTTGGGTATGAAGCAGTCTGTGGCACTAGAGCTCATGGCTTCTCTCATATGCCCTCCTTGGTTTAGTTAAGAGTAGAAATTCTACCAGAGTAAGGCAGATCATGAAAACTATCAGATTCCATGTCAGAGGAGGCTTATAATTTGAAGCAGAAATAAATTTTTTTGAAGTCAAATAAGTCTGAGGTTGCTGTTCTGGTTGGGAAATGAATGACTTGTAGAATCCTTACAGATTTAACGTGTAATAAGACTTGATAAATGTGACTGTGTTCCTGTTAATCAAGACATCAATAAATATAATGAATAATACATGTTACATTTTAAAATGTACACCTTAGACAATGGAGCGGGAATGAGGCTTCTGCTCTAGTAAGGACATGCATGGTTTGACTTCTTTACCAGTGGCAAGACAAGGAGCACCCGGCTGGCTTTCTTATTAGCTTGGCCAGTTGTGAGGCAGAAGAGGCCTCATAAAATTTTATTGATACACTAAAAGTGCAAGAGCCATAAATCTATTCCATCACTATACCTGAATGCCTGGAACTCTGAAGTATGTCACATGACAATATTTCCAGAAAGAAAAATAGTTAAGGTCATTATTTAGCAATTTTTGACATATTCAGATATAATAATGAATTTGAATCCATTTTTAATATTTGACTGCAGATAACTTTCAAGCCCCACCATTGCCTCTGCCTCTTCTGCCCCATAAACGGCCAAGCTAATAAGAAAGCCAGCCAGGTGCTTCCTGTCTTTCCACTGGTGGAGAAATCAAACCATGCAAGTCCTTACTAGAGTGAAGCCTCACTCCAGCTCCATTTGTCTAATCATGATAAAAGTCAAGCCAGTCCTTGGTACTTGTGTGGCACATCAGTGTCAACACTGTTGTGGCGGGTCCACTCCACCTCTGAAGAGTTACTACAACATGTGTGAAAATGTTTGTATCCACTTACTATAGATAATGTAATGGAAAGTAAAAATCAGCTAAAAAAAAGAGGTGCTAAGTGTAGGTTTGAAGCTTAAAAATAGTGGTTTTAATATAGATATTTTCCATATAGTAATGATGATATGTTTGGATATATTTTTCTGTTTTCACATGTACTGCTTGTAGGAGAACAACTATTAGTACCACAAATTATATCAGTTAGAAACGGTTGAATCTCTTTCAATGCTATCACATCTGCCTAGTAAAGAGTGGGCTATCCATAGGTACCACATGGTAAAACATAGTCATGCCAACCTTTCACAGTTTATTTGTAAGCTTCTTCCTAGTATATATGGGTTTACTATTTCAAACTAGTTAGACCTCAATTCCTAGTAACTGTATAAAATTTGAGTGCAAAGTTTTAAGAATAAAAACACATAACCAACAATGCCAGCAAAATGAAACACTAATAAACTTTGCAACGGATTAAATTGCTCAGTGAATGAATTTTACTCTCTTTCAGTTGTTTGACCTGGTTAGTTTATGTAGAAAAATAGCTGATGTTCTGTGTATTGGTGTAATTGCTTCTCTTGAATTAAAAGCTTCTTAAACAATTCTAATCTTACTTCTTAAATCACTCTTCAATAATGTGTGTTGCTTAATTTTCACAGCTTCTGAGCACATAACACAATTAATTTAAACAAGCCTTCAAGCCAATGAGATTTTTTTATGAATATGAGATTAAAAGCTGGAAATGATTATTGCTGTGAGAATTACTGAGTCCCATTATTTTTGTCAAATCAGTCTATAGATTTCAAGGCATGTAGGAAAACTTTTTTCCTCTTTTTATTTCTTGCTATTGTTTTCTTCATTATTTCACTTCTTCTCTAAATGTGGCTTGATATTTACTCCTTACTTAAAAATAGACATAACATTTTATAATTGAATTTGCCACAGCATCTTTTAATATCAAAACTGCCTGTATCATGGGAAGTTATAGGTAATCACTTTTTAAACATTATTTGTTTTTAACCCGACAAATTAATAATTTATTTATATAAATTACTAAGGTAGTCAATTATTTTCTAGGTTATTACAAATATATGATTATGAGTACTATTCCATGACTAAACATGATGAAAATAACTATATAAATAAATATATTAAATTAATACTACATGCTAATTATTGTGCTAACCACTGAAAAAACTAGAAGATTTAACTTAAAAATGGAAAATCGTCCCAAATGTTGCTTTTTTTTCTGACTTGGGTGCCCCTAATGTAATGAGATAAATGAGGGAAAGAATTGACTTCTGCCCAAAAATTAGGGAAATTTATCAAACATACAAAAAGTATGAAGAATATAATAAATGCATACATAATTTAAGAAGTAACACAGAGACAATGTGGTCCAGTCCTGTGTAATTCACATATAGTGTCATATTGCTGAATCTCTCCATGCTCCTTCACATTTGGAGATCACCACTATCTTAAATTAGATGTTTATCATTCCCATGCATAGCTTCATACTATCATTACAAGTGTACATACAATATACAAGTGGTATATTAGATTAATGACCTAGTTTAAACTTCCCACAAGTGGCATTATACTCTGAATTTGTTTACAAAGTTCAAAATGGTTTATCTTCCTTACAGATGGCTTTCAAATATTGATCCAAAAGCCCAAATTTCTTTAATCATGTAGTTCTGTTTACCATCAATATGCGGCTTTAGTGATGACTGTGTTAGTGTGAGTCAGATTAAGAAAAGAGGAGAGACAAAGATTGTATGTACATTAATATATTATATTACACCAAAACACAGGAATATAATAGAGCTGCTAAAACAGGTAGATCTATATACCCATGTGGATTTTTCTAGTGTTAAATGGGAAAGACAAGAACACTGAGCATTATGTGAAGTATGCAAATGTATATATAAAAGTATTACTTTATACTTAGACAATATATGTATATATTCCCAAAAATATATAGGATGCATTGTCTACTTTGAATTTTATACAAATTGTATCATTATTTATGTATATTTTTGCAATATTTTTATTTGGTCAAAAGATTTTTGTGGAATTCATCAATGTAAATACTGGAATCTCACTGCAATTATTGTCATTGTAGTAAAGTATCATCTGCAAAAATTTAGCAGAATTTATCTTTCCTTTTACTAGTGGATTTTATTCTGGTTTAGGCCTTTTTGGTTAATTGCTGCAAAAAGCATTCTTTAAAGGATTTTTATGTGCTTTTGTCAGTTTTTCAGCAAGAAATTTCTGACTATGTGCATCATAAGCTTTGCTGGATATATTCAAAATCTTTTCTATTGTAGTTGTACAAAGGGTTATGTATAAGAGCTAAATGAGATCACATCATTAACATTTATCTCATTGAACATTTATTTTTATTTCTTTCATTAATTAATGTTTCATATTTTAATTGCATTTAGGAGCTTCAATTGCATTTAGGAGCTTAATTGCATTTAGGAGCTTCAACTCTTAATTACTAGGTTTCAATAGTTAGTAGAATAAGAAACACAATTAGGTACATTTTCTAATGTTACCAAGCATAAATAAGTTAAGGCCAAGAGAAGGAGTGAATTTGTAAAGGTAGCTAGATTTTTATCAACTACTTCAAAAAGTTAATAGATACTCCATTAAATTTAAAAACGGTCTGAAATATAAACATGTTATATAAAAATTGAGTTAAACAACAGTAATAAACTTTCAGAGTTACAAAGTTTTTTTCTTTTAATAGTAATGCTAGCAATGGGCAAGTGGAAGTTACTTTTAATAAGAACACACAGACACAAGATATGTATGAATATGTATATACACACACTTGCTTAAATATACATAAAATACCTCTGTGAGAATATATAAGAAATGGGCAACTGCAACCAAAACTGGTTGTGGAAAGAGGAGAGCAGGGGCAGTGTGTAAGAAGAAGGCTTCTCTTTCATTGAATGTCATTTTTTCCTTTTGTTTTCTTCGCTTGTGATTAAATCATCGATTAAGAAATAACCAAAATATAATTTTAAAAAATTGAGTCTACCAAGCTGTAATCAACTATGTTTTAACTATCTCTGGAGTATAGTAGTTGTCAAAATAGATTTAACAAAATATTTAATTCAGAGATAAAAAAAAGAAAGTATGTGTAATATCTATATTTAATGAGTTATTAATTTCTGGATATTTATAATACAGAGAGCTCATAACTTGATCTGTCACTAAGAATATCCATACTGGTAATAGGTTTACAAAAGACCTCTAATATTTTCTAAAGAATGCACTTTATATTTTTTGCATTGGCAATGATGTCTTAAAAAAATCACATTTATTAATTTTGAATTCTATTTACAGATAATAAAGTTTGAAGTTATTCATCTTAACATAGAACCTTCATTTATTTTATATAACATGGTGACATTGGCAATTGAGCAATTGTTACTACTTTTGTATGTTTTACATTTCATAACTATATCAGAAAAATCTAATTGTAGAATTTGATCTCCTTTCTTTCCTACCTTCTAACACTCTATGATTTTCAATTATTTCTCAAATTTGCATACATTGACATTTTCAACATTTAAAAAATTACATAGTTTTATTTTGCTAGGCTGAAATGTGAAAGCATCTAGCAATTATGGCTCATTGATATTCAATTTAATAAATGTACTTCTCAAATAAGAACAGCATTTATCATTTTCAAAACTGTCTCCTGGCTTACTTTGTTGTGATGAATCTTTAATTTTCATATCTACATCTAATATGCTACAACATTTACAAAGTTGTGAATTTTTTTGATACTGTGTGTATTAGTCTATTTTCATGCTGCTGATTAAGACACACCTGAGGCTGGGAAATTTATGAAAGAGGTTTATTGGACTTACAGTTCCACATGGCTGGGGAGACCTCACAATCATGGCAGAAGGTGAAAGCCACTTCTCATTTGGCAGACAAGAGAAGAGAGCTTGTGCAGAGAACTCCCCTTTTTAAAACCCTCAGATCTCATGAGACTCATTCACTATCATGAAAACAGTGCAAGAGAGACCTACCCCCATAATTTAATCACTTCTCACCGAGTTCCTCCCACAATACATGGGAATTGTGGGAGTTACAATTCAAGATGAGACTTGGGTGGGGACAAAGTCAAACCATATCATTCCACTCCTGGCTCCTCCCAAACCTCATGTTTTCATATTTCAAATCCAATCATGCCTTCCCAACAGACCCCCAAAGTCTTACTTAACTCATTTCAGCATTAACTCAAAAGTCCACAGTCCAACGTCTCATCTGAGACAAGGCAAGTCCCTTCCACCTATGAGCCTGTAAAATCAAAAGCAAGTTAGTTACTTCCTAGATATAAAGGGGATATGTGCGTCAGGTAAATACAGAAATTCCAAATGGGAGAAATTGGCCAAAACAAAGGGCCTACAGGCCCCATGCAAGTTTAAAATCCAGCAGGGCAGTCAAATCTTAAGCCCCAAAATGATCTCCTTTTACTTCATGTCTCGCCTCTGGGTCACACTGATGCAAGAGGTGGGGTTCCCATTGTCTTCGGCAGCTCTGCCCTTGTGGGTCTGCAGGTTATAGCCTCCCTCCTGGCTGCTTTCATGGGCTGGTGTTCAGTGTCTGCAGCTTTTCCAAGCATACAGTGCAAGCTGTCAGTGGATCTACCATTCTGGTGTCTGGAGGACAGTGTCCCTCTTCTCAAGGCTCCACAAGGTGGTGTCCCAGAAACAATTCTGTTTGAGGGCTCTGACCCTAGATTTTCCTTCCACAATCCCCTAACAGAGGTTCTCCATGAGATCCCTGCCCCTGCAGCAAACTTCTGCCCGGGCAGCCAGGCTGTTTTCATACATCTTCTGAAATCTAGGCGGAGGTTCCCAAACCCCAGTTTTTCACTTCCATGCTTTTGCAGGCTCAACACCATGTGGAAACTGCCAAGGTTTGGGGTTTGCACCCTCTGAAGCCATGGCCCAAGTGGTATGTTGGCCCCTTTCAGCCATACCTGGAGCAGCTGAGAGGCAGGACACCAAATCCCTAGGCTGCACACAACTAAGGAACCTAGGCCCAGCCCTCAAGTCTGCATTTTCCTCCTAAACCTCCAGGGCTGTCATGGGAGGGGCTGCTGTGAAGACCTCTGACATACCCTGGAGACACTGTCCCCATTGTCTTGGGAATTAACATTTAGCTCCTCATTATTTATGCAAATTTCTGCAGCTGGCTTGAAATTCACCTCAGAAAATAGGATTTTATTTTATATCACATTGTCAGGCTGCAATTTTTTCAAACTTTTAAGCGGTTTTCCTTCTAAAACCGCGTGCCTTTAACAGCACACAAATCAACTCTTGAATGTTTTGCTGCTTAGAAATTCCTTTCACCACATACCCTAAATCATTTCTCTCAAGTTCAAAGTTTTGCAATTCTCTATGACAGGGGCAAAATGCCACCAGTCTCTTTGCTAAAACATAACAGGAGTAACCTTTGCTTCAGTTCCCAAAAAGTTCCTCATCTCCATCTGAGACAACCCCAGCCTGGACCTTATTGTTCATATCACTGTCAGCATTTTGCCCCAAGCCATTCAACAAGTCTCTAGGAAGTTCCAAACTTTCCTGCATTTTCCTATCCTTTTCTGAGTCCTCCCAACTGTTCCAACCTCTGCCTGTTTCCCAGTTTCAAAGTTGCATCCACATTTTTGGGTATCTTTTCAGCAATGCCCCACTCTAATGGTACCAATTGACTGTACTAGTCCATTTTCATACTGCTGAGAAAGACATACCCAAAACTGGGCAATTTACAAAAGAAAGAGTTTTATTGGATTTACGGTTAGACATGATTCAGGAGGCCTCACAATCATGGAAGATGAAAGGCACATCTCACATGGCAGCAGACCAGAGAAGAGAGCTTGTGCAGGAGAACTCTCCTTTTTCAAACCAGCAGATCTCATGAGATTCATTCGCTATCATGAGAAGAGTGCAGAAGAGGCCTGCCCCCATAATTCAAACACCTCCTACTGGGTTTCTCCCACAACATGTAGGAATTGTGGGAGTTACAATTAGGTTGAGATTTGGGTTGAGACACAGCCAAACCATATCACTGTAGAAACCAATTTTATGGCCTCTGCACAATAGATGTATAAATTAAATTTCCAAATTTTCTATTGAATTTCTTTAAAAAGAGAGGCCATGATGACATTTTAAAAATATTGTTTAGTACTAAATCAGTTATATTTGTGAGATATTTGATATGTGCCTCATTAATTATTGATTGCTGCTTTAAAGATTATCCACATAGCAGCTTAAAACAATATTTATTATCTCATAGTTTCTGTACATTTAGAAGTCCAGGTACAATTTGGTGTCTCAGTGGGCCAAGATCAAGTTGGCTGCCCAAATGTAGTCTTATCTGAAGGCTTGAATAGGGAAGATTTGGTTTCTATGCTCATTCAGGTTTCTGAAGAAACTCACTTCTGTGAGGTTGTTTGAATAAAGTCTCCATTTTCTTGCTATCTGTCAGCTGAAGATCCCTCTCAGCTGCTAGTAACCACACTCAGGTTTTTACCATGTGGCTTTCTCCTCTTAGAATATGGTAGCTTGTTTGTTCAAGGCCCTTGTGAAGAGTATCTGCTGTTTTTTTAAATATCTTTTAAGAGCTCAGCTGATTAGGTTAGTCCCACCCAGGTTCATGCCCCTTTTGATTTACTCAAATCAGCTAATTAGAAATCTTAATTGCATCTTCAAAATTTATCTTGCTATATAAAATAAAGCACCTATGGTAATCCCATCCAGTAATTTTGATGGGCCACTTCTACTATGCAGGATCTGGGATTATGAAAGAAATGTGCAACTGGGGGAAGAAACCTTGTGGCCATTTTAGAATTCTGCCTACTACAGTGCCATATGATATTTTAATACCTGAAATGTGAATCACCTTGTTTTTTCTTTTCTGAAATATTGAGTAGGCTTAGCACAGACATATAAGTCAGGTACTCCAAAAAATATAGAGAAATTATAATTTCAGCCCTGAAAATGTCATGATTATTTTCTTCTAAAAAGGGCTTCATGGATCACTGTTATTAGTTTATTCTCACATTGCTATAAAGATACTACCCAAGACTGGGTAATGTTTTAGGTTGGTGTAACAGTAATTATGGTTTTCGCAATTACTTTTTCACCAACCTCATATATAGGAAAGAGATTTTATTGACTCATAGTTCTGCATGGCTGGCAAAGCCTCAGGACATTTACAATTTTGGTGGAAGATGAAGATGAAGCAAGGACTTTTGTCACATGGCAGCAAGAGAGAGAAGAGAGCAAGAGCAGAAAAAATTGCCTTATAAAACTATCAGATCTTGTGAGAACTCACTCACTATCACAAGAACAGCATGGGGAAAAATGCCCCCAAGATCTAATCACCTCCCATCTGGTACCTCCCTCTCTACACATAAGGATTATGGGAATTACAATCCAAGATGAGATTTAGGTGGGAACACAGAACCAAACCATACCAATCACTGAAATGAGAAGAATTGCATGCCAGGAATAATTTTCTCACAACCTTCTACCTCAGTCCAGTGCTCAACATAAGCTGTTGGAGCTTGGTTACCTATGCTAAAAGTGTTTTCTGCTTAAACAAGAACAAGGAAGCTTTTTTTTTGATGTTACTCTTTACCTAAGCTTAATGCCTGACATGTTTACTTCTTTTTTCTCAAATTCTTTTACCTTTTAGATTAATTTCTCATTTTTGCTTACAAATGTCCATGTACTTGGTATTTTGACTATAATTTCGTATCATATTTTAATAATTAGTTCTTCCTAGACATTTTATCTTCTCATTTAACTACATAGGCAGTATAAGTAAGCCCTGGGCATGGTTGGCTTATCTACTTTGGATGCGGGATTTCTATTCAATCTTTTATAAAGCTTTTTGGAAATAGATTATTATATAACAACGGTTTATGACCTCTTGCACTCCCCCACTTTCTTGGGCCAGGGTTTAGGAGGGTTTTTAGAGAATTTATTATATATGATAAGAAGAACATGAAATATAACAGCCAACATGTTTTCTGCAATCTTACCCTTTCCCTTTCTCCTTAAGAGTTTAAACTGAGTCTTGTTCTTTTAATTATAATTTAGTTATTTAAAAACAGAAACGGGCCAGGCAAGGTGGTTCACAACTGTAATCCCAGCACTTTGGTAGGCTGAGGCGGGTGGATCATCTAAGGTCAGGAGTTCAAGAACAGCATAGCGAACATGGTGAAACTCCATCTCTACTAAAAGATACCAAAATTAGCCAGGTGTGGCGCTGCATGCCTGTAATCCCAGCTACCTAGAAGACTGAGGCAGGAGAATCCACTTGAACCTGGGAGGCAGAGGCTGTAATGAGCTGAGATCACACCACTGCACTCCTGCCTGTGCAATACAGCAAGGCTCTGTAGCAAAAAACAAACAAACAAAAAAACAAAAACTCAGAAATGTTCTAAATTTATTCACTTTTTCATCTAAGCTTATTCTCTAGATTTATCAGAGAGAATGAAGAGATCAGGCCTTATATGCTAAGTCAGAAGCAAATGAAGAAAAACATAAATATAAAAGTCTTTAAGTAACTATGTTAATACATGTGAGTCATCCTTCAAATTAGCTTTAGTATACTCAGTATAATTTCATATCAATAATATTTACTTTTTTTCTGGGGTTTCCTTTCCTTTAAACCTTACATTTTTGTTTCTTTTTAACTGTTGTTAGTTTTTTGGTGATTCTGCATGTTCACTTCTATAAGTTTATTTTTACTTTATTTACCTTTTCTAAAGTTAGTGTTGTACTTTGTTTTATTTTCTGTCCATTTATTTTTATTTTTTATCTCTACTTCTTTTCATTTTTTTCTACTTACATAAACAATAGTCTTAAATACTGTCACAATTCTTCTTTCCTTCTCAAATACCTCAGGATTTTTAGCGGCCTGAATTTAAAAAATTTATTCAGGAAAGAAAATTAAAATGTATAAGATGCTTAATAACATACAAACATTAAAGGTTTCAATAATGTTTAATGTTATTATTATGAACAAACTTAGAAGATTTCTATATTTTTGACATCTTCTATTATAAAGACATTTTAGGGACTGCTTTTTCCTACAGAAAATTTCTTATTTGAATTTAAGGATTAAAACGTTAATACTACTTAATTTAATAAAAATAAAAGTTAAAAATCCAAATAATAATTCTATGTTTCATATAACAGAAAGAATTATAGTATACTAGGAAGAGAAACCAAGTTGTTTTGAATGCAGTTTTGGCTATTTTGATTTTGAGAATATCCAAACCAAAATGCGCACAAAATATTACTTATATAGCATAAGTCTACAGGTAAAATATCTGCATATAATTGGACTAAAAAGAAAAGTATTTATATTTAAATTGGATAGTGTTAAAATAGATTATGTACCAGTAGAAAAATTAAAGATAACAAAACCTGAAGCCATCACATAATGATCTTCAATCCATAATTTACTCAGCATGAGTGTGCAAGTGAATAGTTGAAAATCTCATAATATGTCAGTTTTAATACATGAGCTAGTCTTTTAAATTAGAAACGTTATACAATTCATTTAATCTTCATAAATAAAAGTTTCTACAATTGAATAATTAACTATATATAAATCAAAAGTTTATTTATTATTCTTATACTTTCAGCTTCTACTTCAGATTCAGGGGGTGCATGTACATGCGTTCTTCATGGATATATTGTGTGATACTGAGGTCTAGGATGCAAATGACCCTGTTACCGAAGTAGTGAGAATAATACCCAATGGTTTTTCAATCCTTGCTCCTCATCCTTCCTCCCCTATCTACGAGTGCCCAGTGTCTATTGTTGCCAAAAATACGTCCACGAGTACCCAATGTTTAGCTCCCACATATAAGTGAGAACATGAGGTATTTAGTTTTCTGTTCCTGCATTAGCAAATACCCTCTGGACATCCTTCTTGGGAAAGAATTTACAACTAACTCCTCAAAAGCAATTGCAACTAAAAATAATGGACAAATGGGCTCTCATTAAACCAAAGAACAAAAACCATAGCAAAAGAAATTGTCTACAGAGTAAAGAGATAACCTACAGAATGGAAGAATGTTTTTACAAGTTACGGGTCCAGTAAAAGTCTAATGTCTAGCACCTATAAAAACTTAAATAATTCAACAAGTAAAACACAAATGACACCATTAAAAATTGGGTAAAGGACATGAGCAGACACTTCTGAAAAGAAGACATACAAGCAACCAACAAACAAATGAAAAAATTCTCAGTATCGCTTATCATCAGAGAAATACAAATCAAAACCACAATGAAATACCATCTCATACCAGTCAGAATGGCTATTAGTAACAAGTAAAAAACAACAGATGCTAGTGAGGCTGCAGAAAAAAAGGGCATGTTTGTACATTGCTGGTAGTAATGTAAGTTATTTCAACCACTGTGAAAAGGAGTTGGAGATTGATCTAAAAAAACTTAGAACTGCCATTCAACCCTGCAATCCCATTACTGGATGTATATCCACAAGAAAATTAATCATTCTACTGAAAGAACACATGCACCTGTATGTTCATCAGAGCACTAGTCACAATAGCAAAGACAAGAAGTCAACCTAAATGCTTATCAACAATGGATTAAATATAGAAAATGTGGTACATATACATCATGGAATACTATGCAGTCATGAAAAGTAATGAAATCATGTCCTGCATTAGTCTTTTTTTCACATTGCTATAAAGAACTACCTGACTGAGTAATTTATAAAGAAAACAGGTTTAGTTGACTCACAGTTCCACAGGCTGTACAGGAAGCATGGCTGGGAAGGCCTCAGGACACTTACAATCATGGCAGAAGATGAAGGGGAAGCAGTAACAGTTTACACAGCCAGAGAAGGAAGAAGAGAGCAAAGAGGGGGAAGTGCTACACACTTTCAAGCAACCAGGTCTCATGAGAACTCACTCACTATCACAAGAACAGCAAGGGGAAAGTCCACCCCATGATTCAATCTGGTCACTCCTCTAACATTGGGGATTACAACTGGACCTGAGATTTGGGTGGGGACATAAATACAAATCATATCATGTCTTTTGTAGTAATATGGATGCAGCTGGAGACTATTATCCTAAGCAGATTAATGCAAAAGTTTACTTATGAGTGAGTTGAGACTTTCTGTTTATTGTTATGTGAATTAAGGGTACTATATGTATTTTTGAATGTGATTATGTCAATAAATAAAATCATAATGTGCCAAATTAACCACATGTTTATGTAATATTTTTATATTTTCACAAATATATTATTTACATAGATATATGTACTTTATAATTTTTCTTTTGATAGTCAACCAAGAACAAAACAGTTTTGCCTGAAGTGAATGTAAACCAGAATAAGTTTACACATCACTGGATTTTTTTTACTTAAACAAAACTGGTAGTCACGTGGTGAATTTGTAGTGAAATATTAGAAAAGAGCATGAGCTGCCCAGTATGAAATAATTTCAAGATAGTAAAACAGTATATATGTTAGAATATATCAATATTTATCTTTTTAAGAATCTCTCAGTGGAAGGCTTTAAAACTTAAATAAAGAACACTACTATCAACTTTATAAATATAGTTTTCTGCATATTGAATTGCTTTTCTGAATTATCTCATACTAATAGCATTATGAATATACTATCACTTAAAACTGAAAACAGTTGGCTTTGCATTTGCGAAACACCTGAATTACTATACTCTTTTGTTTAGTAGCCATCTAACTTTTCCAAAATTGTGTAATCTATATAAATTTGAATTTTAAATGTGATGCATAAAATTTTATTTGTGGAGGTGATATTATGAATGTATAATGTAATATAAGTAAATTTTTCACCATAGTATCTGGGACCAATTAAGATCCTAACAAAGGACACTTACTATTTCCATTATTCCCAGATACTTCTTAGATCAAGATACTGTAAAACAAAATGTAATAAAATCCTTCTATCCATCTCAATACTTGTAAATACAGAGATCCAATCTAGAGAACATTTCCAGTAACTATAAAGCACATTACTTTATACAAGATAAAACAAATTTTAGTGAATAATAATGTTAAAAGTTATATTAATATATATTTATCACCATACATTGAGAAAGATTTATTTTAGATTCTTGTTGAACACTGAGATAAAATATTCAGGGGAATATTCAGAAAAATAGAATGCTAGTTTTTTTTTTATGTTTTGAAGTATCTTGAAGTAATAATATATTTATTTTAAGTAACTTAACTAATGAAGGTTTGAAAAGAATTTCAAACTAAATTATAAATATTACTATGGAAGCAAAGTATAAATTATACTTTACAGATTTTATATTGGCCCTACTTTAGATAAATAAAAAGATATAAAATATAGTTTATACCAAAGATCAGAAAAAAATCAGTGGGCAGTACACATTTAAAACATTTAATACAATTTAATAAGAAAATGCTAAAGATTAAAATAAAAACTTGCATAAGTGAAACATAACACAAGGAGAAAGTAAGGCAGTAATTTTATTTATTTTTTTATTTTGAGACAGAGTCTCACTCTGTTGTCTAGACTAGAGTGCAGTGGCATGATCTTGGCTCACCGCAACCTCCACCTCCCAGGTTCAAGGGATTCTCCTGCCTCAGCCTCCCTAGTATCTGGGATTACAGGCATGTGCCACCACACCAGGCTAATTTTTGTATTTTTAGTAGAGACGGGGTTTCACCATGTTGACCAGGCTGGTCTCAAACTCCTGACCTCAGATGATTCACCTCCCTGGGCTTCCCAAAGTGCTGGGATTATGGGTGTGAGCCACCGCACCCGGCTGCAAGACAGTAACTTTTTTAAAGGAGTTCACTCTTCATACTTAAGAACATTTGAATTATTGTTTTAATTAAATGTGAAAAATTTCTACTAAAAACTCAAAAAACAAACAAGCAACAATTAAACTACTAGTTTCTAAACATCTAAGACTAAGTTTTCATACAAAGTCCATTTTAACTTCTTCATTGTAAATGCCTACAGTAATAATTCTACATGTTACTAATTTTTTATCTTCTTCTAATATGAGTATATAGGCACACCTCATTTTATTGTGCTTTCAGTTTATTGCATGCCTAAGATACTGTTTTTTTGAGGGTTTTTTTTGTTTGTTCTTTGTTTTTAATAATTGAGGGTTTGTGTCAACCCTGCATCAAGCAAGTCTCTTGGTGCCATTTTTCCCAACAGCATGTGTTCTCTTCATGCCTCTGTCACATTTTGGTAGTTCCCTCAATATTTCAAACTTTGTTTTATTATTATCCTATCTAATATGGTGATTTATCATTAGTGACTTTTGATATTACAAGTGCAATTTTTCTGATGCTCTACAAACCATGCCCAAATAACACAGCAAACTAGCTAAATGTTGCCTGTGTGTTTTCTGAGTGTTCCACTGACTACCACTACCTTATCTCTCTCCTCCTCAGGCCTCCTTACTCCCTGAAACACACTCACTAAATTAGGCCAATTAGGCCTCTCTACTTCCTAAGGCACAACAATATTGAAATTAGGCCATTATAGAGGCTGCACTCTAAGTGTGAAAGGAAGAATTGCACGTATATCTCTCACTTAAAATAAAAAACTAGAAATAATTAAGCTTATCGAGGAAGGCATGTTAAAAGCTGAGATACACTGAAAACTAGGCCTCTTGCACCAAAGAGTTAGTAAAGTTGTGGATATAATGGAAAATTTCTTGAAGAAAATTAAAAGTGCTACACAAGTGAACACATAAATGTGAAAGCAAAAGAGCTTTACTGCTGATGTGGACAATGTTTTAGTGGTCTGAATAGAAAAGCAAACCAGCCATAATATTTCCTCAAACTAAAGTTTCCCTTAACCCAGAGTGAGGCTCTAAATTGCTGCAACTCTCTATGAAGGCTGAGAGATTTGAAGGAGCTGCAGAAGAAAAGTTTGAAAATAGCAGAGGGTTTTTCATGAGGTCTAAGATTATGATTTATGGAAGGCTCAGATGATCATTACAATATTTTAGCAATGACTTATTTTAAATTAAGGTATGTACATTATTTTTTCAGACATAATGCTATTGCACACTTAATGAATGACTTGTTATTTCAGAATAAAAATAAAATAAAACTGTATTCAGTAAAATAAAACTGTATTCAGTTAAATAAAAATGTAAGAACTTATCCCCTAAAATTATCCAGAGATTTTTTTTTTTAATTTCTTCTAAGGAGTTTATTTAGAAGTACTTACTGAGAAATTCACTTTAGGAAGGAAAAAAAATGATGGAACAAAGGAGAGTCTGAAGTACCAAAGATATCTTTAAGAAAACATAAGTTTAAACTAATTGTATACAATAATATCTAATTTGGCATATTAAAATTATACAACTAAAATTCTAATTTATGCTTAAACTTATAGATTATTCCAATGTATGATTCTGAAAACTCATGACATTGTACAGCATAGGTATTTGTCAAATGACAGGACCTACTGTTGGGACTGAGTTATCCCCATGAACATTTAGTTTTCAGGTAATTACAATGTCCCTCTACCTGCATCCACAGCCTACCACAATTTCATTTTTACTTTTAATAACCTGCCAATAAACTATCCAACAGTATTAATGGCAAGAACAATCATGATTGTGTTAAACACAAGAAATTTCATTTCTTTTCCCTGCTTATGTCAACATCTGTCATCAAAATATTCTAGAGCTTTTAAGATTCCTCCATATCTTTTCATGAATTGATAGCTCATTTCTTTTTTTTTCTTTTTGAGATAGAGTCTCACTCTGTCACCAAGGCTGGAGTTCAGTGGCATAATCTCAGCTCACTGCAACCACCACCTTCCAGTTTCAAGCAATTCTAATGCTTCATCCTTCCAAGTAGCTGGAATTACAGGCACCTGCAACCATGTCTTGCTAATTATTACATTTTTAGTAGAGACAGGGCTTTGCCCTTTTGGACAGGCTATTCTCAAACTCCCGACCTCAAGTTTTTGTGGCTTTTGTAGTTTGGCAAGTGGGAGAAAATGCTTTTCAGCAGCTTTTTCTCCCCTGTTGCTCAGTGAGTGGAAGGTAGGGTTACAGTGTTACAGAATTATCTTGTGCTGCCTCACCAGCTGGAAATCTCTGCAGCTACCATGTCCTCTGCCTGGGGCCTCACATGGTCCTGCAGGGCTCACTCCACCCACTCAACCTGGCAGGCTGCACTTTGCTCATGCTACTGGCCAGAAACCTGTGCCTGCTGCAGCTCTGTGCTCAACCCGCAGCTGGAGCAGGTGTACCTCAGCAGCTTCCATGTTGGGTGCTGGCATGTAGATGAAGGGGACAGAGTCGCACTCTAAAATTCAGAAATGCCAGAAACTTTGAAGTCTCAAGGGGTGTTACAGCTTTTGCTCAGGGAGTCCCAAGATCTGATCCCCCAGGGAATGTTACAAATCTCTCTTGTTCCCACCACCTGCAGCTCGTTGAACAAGGGTGTTATAGCTCATTTGTTCCTGCTGCCCACAGCTTGGTGAATGGTGGCATGTTATAGCTTGTTCTTTGCTGCCACCTGCAGCTCTGTGAGCTCTGGTTTCTTTTCCTTCGACCAAGAAGAATAAGGTACATGGACACCAGAGAGTAAATAGGGTGGAAAAGAATTTTATTGAGTAACAGAATAAAGCTGTCATTGGAGAGGAGACCCAAGAGCAAGTATATGTGAGTCTAGGGTTTTTATGGGCTCAGAATGGTGGAGTGTGTGCTGATTGATCCATGACTGCTCACAGAAAAAGCACCATTTAAAAGACATCAAGGAAGTTCTCACTCTGGGTCATAGGCTTTATCCAGAACCAGCAGCTTGGTTTTCAGGCTTCAGACAGTTTTAGCTTGAAGGTTGGGATTCACTGGGGATCTGTCCCTGTCTACCTAGGAATTTGTCTTTCTCCTGTCATCAATTTCCTCTCTGAAGAGTTACATCTAAACTGTCATTAAAATAGGAATGGTGACTGCTATAAGTGGTTCATGCAGACAGGGGGCATAGTTTTGGGAAAATGGGAGTGAGATCTCTCTCAGAGGGCTATCTAATGGTCCCCAGTAAAAAGAAGCCATCATCTGAGGTTCCATTTACATGACCATTTCCAGTTTGATGGTCTTTAAGTGAGAAGAAACAATTATACAAGGAAGTTGTGACGGTTAATATTGAGTGTCAACTTAATTGGATTGAAGGATGCAAAGTATTCCTAGTGTTTGCAAAGTTCCTAGGTGTGTCTGTGAGGGTGTTGCCAAAGTAGATTAACATTTGAGTTAATGGACTGGGAGAGATAGTCCCACCCTCATTTTGGATGGGCACTATCTAATTACCTGCCAGTATGAATAGAATAAAGCAGGCAGAATAAGATAGAAAGAGCAGACTTGCTGAGTCTTCCATTCTTCATCTTTCTCACACACTGGATGTTTCCTGCCCTCAAACATCAGAATCCAAGTTCTTCAGCTTTTGGACTCTTGGACTTACACCAGTGGTTTGTCAGGGGCTCTTGGGCCTTCAGTCAAAGACTGAAGACTGCACTGTAATGTAAGCTTCCCTACTTTTGAGGTTTTGGGATTCACACGGTCTTCCTTTCCCCTCAGCTTGTAGATGGCCTATTGTGGGACTTCAGATTGTGATTGCGTGAATCAATGCTCCTTAATAAACTCATATATATGTATATATATATATATATATATATATATATATATATATATATATATATATATATACTGTCATTTCTATTCCTATAAGGAACACTGATTAATACAGATTTTGGTACTGGGAGTGGTTCTAGAGTAATAGAATTTTAACAATGGATTTCTTTAGTTGGTTTTGGGGTTTCTGGAGTTGGCTGATTAATCTGATTAGACACAAAAATGCTAAGGACTTTACTTCTAATACTATGGAAAACACTGATAGTCCTTGGCATGAACATATGCAAAATAAATGCATTTGATACTCCTGATTCACTACTCTTCAGAGGCAAGAAGTTTAGTGACTCTATACATAATACCTTCAACCATACATGGAGAACCAAGGAATATAATGAGGTTGGTTGGTTGTTCCTAAGTTCGCTGGACAAAGTGTTGAAAGAAAATGATGAGCTCAGGGATTCTAACTCCTGGATCCAGAAGTGCATAGTGAGTCTCAAATCTTCTAAGATTGCCCTGAATATGTATTTTATTTCCTGTAGACAAAGGGCTGAAATTGTGGAAAATCAGACACAAACTCATAACATGTGAGTGGCTGACCTCCAATAAAAGGTGCACACTTAGCCTGGCAAGGTGTATACTGTAAAAGTGAGAGCATTGATTGGAAAAGAATGGGACCTGCAACTTGGAATGGGGGGATATGTGGGAGGACTCTGATGATGCTGGGGACATTGAGTTTTTAAACTCTGATAAGCCTTTTTTTTTTTTAACCACAGAAAACAGTCTTTCTATCCCTAGTGGTGGCAACATCCCCTTCCCCACCCATACTTTTATAAGCTTTCCACCTTTGCCTGGGGAGATTAAACATCCACTGCATGAGGCAACAGTGATGGGCTGCTCTGAGGCAGTTGCCAGGCAAGACAATGTTGATTCTCCTCTGGACCCACCCTCAACACCCCTTTTGCCTCTAGATCTATAACTAGACTCAATTCCTGGCAGGCCCCTAGAGGTGAGGTTCAGAGTGTACCCCACGAGGAGGTGCCTTATTCTCCAAAATAACTGCTTGAGTTTTCTAATTTATATAAGCAGAAATCTGGAGAACAGGCATGGGAATGAATATTAAAGGTATGGGATGATGGTAGAGGGAACATAAAGTTGTATCAGGCTGAGTTTATTGATTTGGGTTCACTAAGCAGGGATTCTTCATTTAATGTTGCAACTCAGGGAGTGAAAAAAATGTTCTAAAACATTTTTTAGCTAAACATGGATCAAAAGATGGCCCACTATGAGTGAGCTGGAAATGCCTGGTCTCCCTTGGTTTAATGTAGAGGAAGGGATCCAAAGGCTTAGGGAGATGAGAATGCTAGAGTGGATTAGTCACTTTAAACCTACTCATCCAACTGGGAGGATCCAAAAGATATAAAGATATACCCTTTACCAATACCTCATTAAACAGATTTGTGAGGGGAGCAGCAGCATTCTTGAAGAGCTCTGTGATTGCTCTTCTCTATATGCTGGATCTTACAGTGGAAACTGTAGTCACTCAATTGGAAAACTTAAATTCAATGGGAATAATTGGATCTCAAGGTGGCAGGGGTCAAGTGGCAGCTTTCAACCATCAAAGGCAAGGTGGGTGTAGTTACTGTAAAGGACAGCAAAAGCAAAGCAGCAATCAGAAAAGTCTGAACTGTGTCAAGCTCTGGCATTGGCAAATATATCACAGTGTTCCTAGAAGTGGAATTAATAGAAAGACTAATATTTCCTTACTTAATTTGTAGAAGAAGAAAACTTCCTGATCAAGTGGAAAAAAACTAAACTGAATTATAAAAATTGAGAACCACAGTGCCTCAATCATTTTCCAGGCTTGAACCAGTTTACAGACCCAGAACCCGTTTGAATGAAAGAGAGGCTGTGCCCCCTTGAGGAAGGAACCCACTACACTACCAACAATTTATGCTGTTAATCCTTCTCCCATCCTTTCCCAAGGACACCACTGGTCTTTTGCCAGAGTATCTATGCATTAGAGAAATGTGAATGATTAGACCTTTTGGGGACAACTGGACACTGGCTATAAGCTGATGTTGATTCCAGGGGACCCAAAACATCATTGTCGTCCTCCAGTTAAAGTAGGGGCTTATGAAGGTCAGGTAATTAATGGAGTTTTAGCTTAGGTTTTACTTAGAGTGGGTCCAGTGGGTTGCCTGTGGTCATTTCCCCAGTCCCAGACTGCATAATTGGCAAAGACCTACTTAGCACCTGGAAGAACCTCCACATTGGCTCCCTGGCTGGTAGGGTGAGGGCCTCTATTGTGGGAAAGGCCAAATGGAAGCCATTAAAGATGCCTCTATCTAGAAAAATAGTAAATCAAAACAATATTGCAGCCCTGGGAGTATTGCAGAGATTAGTGCCACTATCAAGGCAGGGGTGGCGTGTCTCACTATACCCTGTTCAACTATCCTATTTGGCCTGTTCAGAAGACAGATGAATCTTGGAGAATGACAGTGGATTATCATAAGCTTAACCAAGTGGCAACTCCAATTGCAGCTACTGTACCAGATGTGGTTTTATTCCTTGAAAAAATTAAAATATCTTCTGGTACCTGGTATGCAGCCATTGATTTTGCAAACATCTTTTTTTTAAAAAAAAATTCATGTCCATATGTCCCACCAGAAGCAATTCGCCTTTAGCCTTCAAGGCCAGCAATATACCTTCACTGTCCCACCTCAGGGATATATCAATTATCTGGCTTTGTGTCATAATCTTTTTCAAAGGGATCTTGATTGCTTTTCCCTTCCACAAGATATCCCACTGATTCATTACATTGATGACATTATGCTGATTGGATCCAGTGAGTGAGAAGTAGCTAACACACTGTACTTACTGCTGAGACATTTATGTGCCAGGGGATGGGAAATAAATCTGACTAAAATACGGTGACCTTCTACCTCAATAAAATTTCTAGGGGTCCAATGGTGTGAAGCCTGTCGAGGTATTTCTTCTAAGGTGAAGGATAAGTTGCTGCATTTGTCCCTTCCTACAACCAAGAAAGAGGTATAATGCCTAGTGTGCCTACTTAGATTTTGGGGGCAACACATTCCACATTTGGGTGTGTTCCTCCAGCCCACTTATTGAGTGACCTGAAATGCTGCCAGTTTTGAGTGGGGTCCACAAGAGGAGAAGGCTCTGCCATAGTTCCAAGCTGTTGTGCAAACTGCTCTTCCGCTTGGACCATATGACCCAGCAGATCCAATGGTGCTTGAAGTGGCACTGGCAGATAGGGCTGATGTTTGGAGCCTTTGGCAGGGCCCATAGATGAATCACAGCAGAGGCCTCTAGGATTTTGGAGCAAGAACCTGCCATCTTCTGGAGATAACTACTCTCCTTTTGTGAGAGAGCTGTTGCCTGTGCCTGGGCTTTGGTAGAAACTGAATGTTTGACTATGGGTCATCAAGTCACCAATTGAACTGAACTCTTTATCATTAACTGGGTGTCTTCTGACCCATCTAGCCCAAAAGAGGGGCATGTACAGCAGTATTCCGTAATCAAATAGAAGTGGTATATACATGATAGGGCTCAAGCAGTTCCTGGGCACAAGTAGTTTATGTGACAAAGTGGCTCCAATGCCATGGTCTCCACTCCTACCACCCTGCCTTCTCTCCCCCAGCCTGCACCGATAACCTCATGGGGAGTTCCTTATGATCAGTTGACAAGGGAAGAGAAGACTGGGGCCTGGTTTACAGATGGCTCTGCCTGACATGCAGGTACCACCCAAAAGCAGACAACTGCAGCACTACAGCCCTTTTCTCGGACATCTCTGAAGGACAGTGGCAAAGGGAAATCTCCCCGGTGGGCAGAACTTCAATCAGTGCACCTCACTGTGAACTTTGCTTGGAAGGAGATATTGCTAGATGTGTGATTATGTACTAATTCATGGACTGTAGCCAATTGTTTGGCCAGATGGTTAGGGACTTGGAAGAAACATGATTGCAAAATTGGTGACAAAAAGATTTGGGAAAGAGGTATGTGGATGGACCTCTCTGAGTGGTCAAAAACTGTGAAGATATTTGTATCTCATGTGAGTGCTCACCAAAGGGTGACATCAGCAGAGCATGATTTTAATAATTAAGTGGATAGAATGACTCGTTCTGTAGACACCACTCAGCCTCTTTCCACAGCAACCCCTGTCATTGTCCAATGGGCCCATGAACAAAGTGGACATGGTGGCAGGGATGGAGGTTATGCATGGGCTCAGAAACGTGGACTTCCACTCACCAAGGCTGACCAGGCTACAGCCACTGCTGAGGGACCAATCTGCAAGTAGCAGAGACCCAGACTGAACACTTGATATGGCACCATTCCTTGGGATGATCAACCAACTACTTGATGGTAGGTTGATTATATCAGACCTCTTCCATCATGGAAAGGGCAGTGGTTTTTCTTCACTGGAATAGACATTTACTCCGGATATGAGTTTGCCTATCTGGCATGCAATGCTTCTGCCAAGACTACCATCCACGGACTCATGGAATTCCTCATCCACCATCACAGTAAACCACATAGCATTGCCTCTGACCAAGGCACTCATTTTACGGCTATAGGAGTGTAGCAATGTGCTCACCCTCATGGAATTCACTGGTCTTACCATGTTTCCCATCATTCTGAAGAAGCTTCATTGATAGAATGGTGGAATAGCCTTTTGAAGTCACAATTACAATGCCAACTAGGTGACAATACTTTGTAGGGCTAGGACAAAGTTCTCCAGAAGGCTATGTATGCTCTGAATCAGCATCCAATATATGTTACTGTTTCTCCCACTGCCAGGATTCACTGGTCCAGAAACTAAGGGGTGGAAGTGGAAGTAGCACCACTATCACCCCTAGTGACCAACTTACAAAATTTTTGCTTCCTGTCCCCATGACATTATATCCTGTTGGCCTAGACTTCTTAGTTCCAGAGGGAGGAATGCTGCCACTAGAAGGCAAAACATAATTCTGTTAAACTGGAAGTTAAGACCACCACGTGGCCACTTTTGGCTTCTCCTACCTCAAGTGAACAGACAAAGAAGGGAATTACAGTGTTGGCTGGGGTGATTGACCTGGACTATCAAGATGAAATCAGTCTACTACTCCGCAACCGAGGTAAGGAAAAATATGTATGGAATACAGAAGATTCATTAGGGTGTCCCTTAGTATTACCATGCCCTGTGATTAAGGTCAATGAGAAACTACAACAACCTAATCCACGTAGGACTACAAATGACCAAGACCATTCAGCAATGAAGGTTTGGGTTACTCCACCTGGTAAAAAAACCCATGACCTGCTAAGGTGCTTGCTGAAGCAAAGGGAATACAGAATGGGTAATAAAAGAAGGTAGCCATCAATACCAGCTACGACCATGTGACCAGTTGCTGAAATGAAGAACTGTAATTATTCATTAGTATTTTCTCCTTATTTTGTTAAGAACATGTTTGTGCATGTACACACTTGTATTAAAAATATCTTCATTTTATTTCCTTTATTTTTTCTCTATCACATGACACACGAGTTATTGACTTCATATCAGCATTTAAGTGTTGTTAATTTTTTTTTTATTATTATACTTTAAGATTTAGGGCATATGTGCACAACGTGTAACAAACTTGCATGTTTTGTCAGATGAGTAGGTTGCAAAAATTTTCTCCCATTCTGTAGGTTGCCTGTTCACTCTGATGGTAGTTTCTTTTGCTGTGCAGAAGCTCTTTAGTTTACTTAGATCCCATTTGTCCATTTTGGCTTTTGTTGCCATTGCTTTTGGTGTTTTAGACATGAAGTCCTTACCCATGCCTATGTCCTGAATGGTATTTCCTAGGTTTTCTTCTAGGGTTTTTATGGTTTTAGGTCTAACATTTAAGTCTTTAATCCATCTTGAATTAATTTTTGTATAAGGTGTAAGGAAGGGATCCAGCTTCAGCTTTCTACCTATGGCTAGCCAGTTTTCCCAGCACCATTTATTAAATTTCCCCATTGCTTGTTTTTGTCAGGTTTGTCAAAGATCAGATGGTTGTAGATATGTGGCATTATTTCTGAGGGCTCTGTTCTGTTCCATTGGTCTATATGTCTGTTTTGGTACCAGTACCATGTTGTTTTGGTTTCTGTAGCCTTGTAGTATAGTTTGAAGTCAGGTAGCATGAGGCCTCCAGCTTTGTTCTTTTGACTTAGGATTGACTTGGTGATGCGGGCTTTTTTTGGTTCCATATGAACTTTAAAGTAGTTTTTTCCAATTCTGTGAAGAAAGTCATTGGTAGCTTGATGGGGATGACATTGAATCTATAAATGACCTTGGGCAGTATGGCCGTTTTCACGATATTGATTCTTCCTATCCATGAGCATGGAATGTTCTTCCATTTGTTTGTATCCTCTTTTATTTCATTGAGCAGTGGTTTGTAGTTCTCCTTGAACAGGTCCTTCACATCCCTTGTAAGTTGGATTCCTAGGTATTTTATTCTCTTTGAAGCAATTGTGAATGGTAGTTCACTCATGATTTGGCTCTCTGTTTGTCTGTCATTGGTGTATAAGAATGCCTGTGATTTTTGTACATTGATTTTGTATCCTGAGACTTTGCTGAAGTTGCTTATCAGCTTGAGGAGATTTTGGGCTGAGATGATGGGGTTTTCTAGATATACAATCATGTCATCTGCAAACAGGGACAATTTCACTTCCTCTTTTCCTAATTGAATACCCTTTATTTCCTTCTCCTGCCTGATTGCCCTGGCCAGAACTTCCAACACTATGTTGAATAGGAGTGGTGAGAGAGGGCATCCCTGTCTTGTGCCCATTTTCAAAGGGAATGCTTCCAGTTTTTGCCCATTCAGTATGATATTGGCTGTGGGTTTGTCATAAATAGCTCTTATTATTTTGAGATACGTCCCATCAATACCTAATTTATTAAGAGTTTTTAGCATGAAGGGTTGTTGAATTTTTTTCAAATGCCTTTTCTGCATCTATTGAGATAATCATGTGGTTTTTGTCTTTGGTTCTGTTTATATGCTGGATTACATTTATTGATTTGTGTATGTTGAACCAGCCTTGCATCCCAGGGATAAAGCCCACTTGATCATGGTGGATAAGCTTTTTGATGTGCTGCTGGATTCGGTTTGCCAGTATTTTATTGAGGATTTTTGCATCAATGTTCATCAAGGATATTGGTCTAAAATTCTCTTTTTTGGTTGTGTCTCTGCCAGGCTTGGTGTCAGGATGATGCTGGCCTCATAAAATGAGTTAGGGAGGATTCCCTCTTTTTCTATTGATTGGAATAGTTTTTCTGAAGGATTGGTACCAGCTCCTCTTTGTACCTCTGGTAGAATTCGGCTGTGAATCCGTCTGGTCCTGGACTTTTTTTGGTTGGTAAGCTATTGATTATTGCCTCAATTTCAGAGCCTGTTATTGGTCTATTCAGAGATTCAACTTCTTCCTGGTTTAGTATTGGGAGGATGTATGTGTCGAGGAATTTATCTATTTCTTCTAGATTTTCTAGTTTATTTGCATAGAGGTGTTTATAGTATTCTCTGATGGTACTTTGTATTTCTGTGGGATCGGTGGTGATATCCATTTCATCATTTTTTATTGTGTGTATTTGATTCTTCTCTCTTTTCTTCTTTATTAGTCTTGCTAGCGGTCTATCAATTTTGTGTGTTGTCAACTTTATGTAATAGCATTTACGTTAAGAATGAGTGTGCTTCCAACAGTGTAAAGGATAAGTGTTTTAGATTAGGTGTATTTATTACCTTATCATTTTCTTTTTTTGAAGATTATGTATAATTTCAGGAGATGTGTATGGGTTCAAGTTGACAATGTGTGGACTTGTGATTGCTAATACTGAGAGTCAACTTGATTGGACTGAAGGATGCAAATTATTGTTTCTGGGTGTGTCTGTGAGGGTGTTGGCAAAATAAATTAACATTTGAGTCAGTGGCCTGGGAGAGGCAGACCCACTCTCAATCTGGGTAGGAACCATCTAATCAGCTGCCAACAATCCCTACTAAAATAAAGCAGGGAGAAGAAAATGGAAAGAGCAGACTTGCTCAGTCTTCCATTCATTTTTCTTGTGTGCTGGATGCTTCCTGCCCTCAAACATTGGACTCTAAGTTCTTCAGCTTTTGGACTCTTGGACTTACACCAGTGGTTTGTCAGGGCTTCCAGGCCTTCAGCCACAGACTGAAGACTGTACTGTGGGCTTCCCTTCTTTGGAGGTTTTTGGTATAAACTGGCTGTCTTTCTCTTCAGCTTACAGTTTACCTATTGGGACTTCAGCTTGTGATTGTGTGAGTGAATGCTCCTTAATCAACTCCCCTTTATATATACATCTATCTTATTAGTTCTGTCCAACTAAAGAACGTTGACTAATACAGAGGTTATGTATGCCTGGACCAAATATGATTATTATATATAAAGGAGTTAAAAGGACAAAATCTAGTTTCAAAGATAAGAGAAATAAGAAGTAAAATAAACTAATCATTCTGAAAACAATGTTGTAGCCAGAGTTGTTTCACCCTGGTAAAATAAATTAAATCTTGTATGTGGGAAGGCAGTTAACCTTTAAGAAAGATATAGCTGTTTAGGGAATAGACAATCCCATGGACATTCCAGAATAAGGGGTCCTTTGCAAAGTCTCCATATGGGGAGAAACAGAACAAAGGTGAAAACAGCAAGCAAAGATGAGACTATAAATAGGATATCCAGGGAAGGTTGATAATTGACTCTTTTGTCATTTTTAGCTTGAAGTCTCCAATGTTTTCACACCGGTAATTTGGGTGCTTCTCTGGGTCAACAGAGGTAATTCCGTTAGTTTCCTAGTACTTTACTTGAGTATAATTAATCAAAGAATCTATTCTAGTGATCTTCACTGCCTAAGGAGTAGAAAGATGTACGGTGTAATGTCCCTCCCAATCTGAGTCTAGAGAGGGAGAAAGAAAAAAAAAAGAAGAAAAAAAAACAACAAAAAAAAGTAGTACTGCCTTTACCAGTACTAAGTTTCATGGTTTGAATAGAGGTGTCCTAGTTCAAAGGGTTGGGCCTCTGACAGTTGCTCCAGTTCTTGTTGGAAATGGGTCAAATAAGTTACATGTTTAATCAAATCTGAGGTTTCTTGGTATAGCAATAAATCATTGGTGAGAAAAGGCAATCAATCCATTATTTCAAAGGGGCTTGCTTAAACCCAGCTTTGAAGGGGTGTTTCTATCACGTCATAAGGCTATGGAAAGAAGAGTAATCTATGGAGATGAGTCTTTTGAGAGTTTTTTGAGGTGCATTTTGATAATATCCTGTCTTTTCTACCTTTCCTGAGGATTGTGGCCTCCAAGTTCAATGAAGATGGTATGGTATGCCCAGTGCTTTTGAGACCCTCTGAGTGACAGCTACCTTGAATGAGGGGCCATTACTACTTGGGAGGTACTTAGGGAGTCCAAAGCAAGGAATTATCCCATTAAATAGTGCTTTATCTTCTCAGAGGCTCCCTCTGCCCAAGATGGAAATGATTCTATCCAGTTAGTGAAGGTATTTATCCATAGTAGGAGGTAATGGACGTCCCTTGTCTTTGGCATATGGGTGAAATTCATCTCATAGTCTTCCCCCAAGTAGCCTCCCATTCATTGTGTTCCAGGGAGGAGAAGCTGTCACTTGAGGGGATTATTTAATGACCTGTTTGACCATATTTAGCGGATTTTTACCTTAGAGCAAACATTGAACCAATTGATAGGTTATATAATTACCTAGGTGGAAGTTTGGTGAAGGATTTTAAGAACTTTCCATTGGCTGGAAGCTGTTAGATGAAGTTTGCCATCCTTTGATTGCAGCCATCCTGAGAGTTGAAAGGTGTATCCCTGAGAGGCAGCCAATTCTATTTCCACAGGAGAATATTGGGGTTTTATTTCTTTTACAGAGCACTACAAGATTAGAGGGGCCTCACGTGGATCAGAAATCTGGGATCCTATCACAGCCTATTTAGCTGCTTGTTTTGCTAACTTATTTCCCTCAGCTATTTTATCTGTCCCCTTTTGGTGGCCCTTACAATGCATTACTGCCACCTCCAGGGGAAGGAAAACCAAGGATAATAGTCTGTTAATTTCCTGAAGGTATTTAATGGGAGACCCATTAGCTGTGAGGAAGTTACTCTCCAGATATTGGCATGGACATGGAGGAATAGGAAAGCATACTTAGAATCAGTATAAATGTTAACTGCTTCCCCTTTACTTAATTCAAGTGCCCTCATGAGGGCAGTTAGCTCAGATAGTTGAGCACTTGTGCTCAAGAAGAGAGGCATGCCTTTAGTAGTGTCATTCAGGAGCATTACTGGAAACCCTGCTTTATGGACCCCTTGTTCTCTTGAAAGTATGGCAAAAAACACAATTACTTTTGCACCAAACTAATACAAATGAACTTCCATTCATAAAGGGAGTCTAGTCTGGGTTCTCTAAGTGGGTTTCTTTTAGGTCTTCTCTGGCCACACTGGTTTGCACTACTCTCTGTTTGCAATCATGTTCAAGCTCTCCAGCTTTCTCTGGGTGAAAGGTGGCTGGGTTTAGGGAGAGACAAGTTCTTCACTGGACTGTAGATCTCTCCAATAGCAAAGCTTGATATTTGAGCAGGTAGTTATTCGTTAGCCAGAGACTCCCTTTAAAAGATGGCAGTCCTACTACCTTATGTGGGGTATAAACGGTTAAGTTATTCCTCATGGCTAATTTAGTAATCTGTTACCAACAAGGCTACTGCTGCAACTGCCTGGAGATAGGCCAGCCATCTATTAGCTACCAAATCAGACTCCTTGCTTAGATAGCCTACAGGATGCTGAGCTGGGCCTTGAGCCTGGGTTAGAACTCCCAGGGCCATTCCCTTTCTTTCTGACACCTAAACATTGAATGTCTTCTCTATGGGAAGACTAAGGGTTGGTGCCTCAAACATGGCTTGTTTCAATTAGTCAAAGACCCATTTAGCCTCTGATTTCCAAATTAGGAAGTGAGTCTTAGCTGCCTGAGTTTTCTTTATTAGGTGATATAAGGGACAAGCTATCTCACTGTACCCAGGTATCCATAATCTGCAGAATCCTGTAATGCCCAAGAATGCTCTCAGCTGTTTGAGGGTTTTGAGAGACAAAAGGAGGAGATAGGCTTAATCCTTTCTTCACCTAGTACCCTGGTCCTCTCTGTAAAGACTAGACATAGGCACTTCAATGAATTCTGACAGAGCCGAGTCTTAGATTTTAAGACCTTATATCATCTGTTAGCCAGAAAATTAAGAAGAGCCTTACTGTCTTCCTCAGGGGAGATTTCCTCAGTTGGGGCACAGAGGAGAATGTCATATACACATCTTAAAACTTTAACCTGAGGATAGAGAAACTCAGAGAGATCTTTCAATAATGCCTGCCCAAACAGGTGGGGGCTGTCTTGGAATCCCTGAAGTAACACCATGCAGGTTAGCCAGGTGGTCTGGTTGGAAGGATCCTTGAACACAAACAAATATTGGGAGTTCGGGTACAGTGATATGCAGAAAAAGGCATCCTTTAAGTCCAGGACTGTGAACCATTTAGTTCCTCAGGTATTTGAATTAGCAGGGTATAAGAATTGGGAACCACCAGATGAATTGGAACCACAGCTTCATTAGTGAGGCAGAAGTTCTGTACTAGACTCCATTACCCATTGGGTTTTTATACTCCCAATACCACGATATTACAAATGCTGTTGCAGGGTTTGAGGATGCCCTGGATTTTCAAGTTATCTTAAAGATGGCTTCTAGGCCCTTTCTAACTTCTATCTTTAGAGGATATTGTCTCTGGTAAGGGAAGAAGGTGGGATCTCTAAGATGGATCTGGAGCAGTATGGTGGTTGTAGCTGAGCCAATTTTCCTTTGAGTTGCCCAAACTTCTTTTTTTTTTTTTTTTTTTTTTTTTTTTTTTTTTTTTTTTTTGAGACGGAGTCTCGCTCTGTTGCCCAGGCCGGACTGCGGACTGCAATGGCGCAATCTCGGCTCACTGCAAGCTCCGCTTCCTGGGTTCACGCCATTCTCCTGCCTCAGCCTCCCGAGTAGCTGGGACTACAGGCGCCCGCCACCGCGCCCGGCTAATTTTTTGTATTTTTAGTAGAGACGGGGTTTCACCTTGTTAGCCAGGATGGTCTCGATCTCCTGACCTCGTGATCCACCCGCCTCGGCCTCCCAAAGTGCTGGGATTACAGGCGTGAGCCACCGCGCCCGGCCCAAACTTCTTGATTGATATCTGTCTTCACCAGTGGGAGACAGAGTCTGTCTTGGAGTCAAAAGGATAGTGGTTCACCATATGAGCTGAGAGATCCATGTTCAACAGAGTAGTTGGGCTTTCAGGCAAGATTAAAAAGGCATGGATAAACAAGAGGTCTCCTCAACTACAACTAAGGAGTTGGAGAAGATACTGGGTTAAAGGCTTTTCTGAGATGTCTCTTATGGTCATGGTAAGACAGCAGGGGAGGCCTCGAATGAAAAGGAGAACAGAAATTGCTGCTCCAGTGTCCAGGAAGAGGTCCACTTTCCTCCTTTAAATTTCAGAATCACCCAGGGCTCCTGGATTGTAATGGTGGTCTGAACCATCAAAGCTAAGGAGAGGAACCCTAGGACCTGTCAGTCCTGCTAGACCACTTGGGATACTGGCTCTGGACCTAGTGACCTGTGTCTCCAGGGACAGTCCATCCTCTGGTGGTCCCCATGGCAGATTGGACAGGGTAGAGGTGGCTTCCTCATGCTGCCTGAGCAGTCCTTCTTAAAGTGTTCTGGCTTGCCATATTTTTAACAGTTAACAGGTGTATCTTGGGTATTCTAGGGTTTGAGAGTCTGCAAAGCAGCCATTACAGCCTCTGCCTTTTTCTTGTGTCTCCTTTCTCTCTCTCTCAGGCTTCCTCATGATCCCTATTGTAAAAGACCAAGGTGGCCACTTTCAGGAGGTTCTCCAAAGTACTGTCTGGTACCATGGGCTGTTTCTGCAGCTTCTTCTTGATATCAGGGGCTGCCTGAGTAACAAACTTATCCTTTAGCATTAGTTGTCCTTTGACTGAATCAGGAGATAGAGACGTGTGCTTCACCAGGGCCTATCTTAGCCTTTCTAGGAAGGAAGTGTGATTCTCATCTGATTTTTGGTCTATTATAAATAGCTCAGAGTAATTGAGAGGCTTCGTTCTAGTACTTTGTAAGCCCTCCAAAATGCACAGCTGAAAGTACTTCCTCCTCTATTCTCCCATTTTATCATTGAGGTCCCATTTAGGGTTCTCCAAGGTTCTGCTATTCTTCTGACTGGATAAGGCTCATTCTACTCAGTGATAGGGTTTGATTCAAAACTAACATAACATTCTTCCAGGATAGTTCAAATACTTGGATTAAATTCTGGGAAGCCTGTATTAAGTCCTGTAGAAAAAAGGGTACCTGGACCTTCGTGGGGCCATATTCACAAGGAATCTCTTATAGAGGCAAGACTGAGGCTGCAACCTGCTTAAAATGAGGATTTCTAGGGTGGGACAGGCTTGAGAGGAAATCTGAATAGAGAGTATGGGGTGCACCAAGAGGAGCAAGACTGGAGGGAGCTGACTCCCCCACTTGAGGCAACTCTGGGGTTTGCTTCCCTAGTCCCTTGGGAGTGCTCTTTGCAGCCTCTCCTGAGATGGCCACTAGGAGGACAGAATTCATACTACAACATTGGCAGAGGTCCAGATTATCCTACAAGGCAAAGAAAGCCTGCACATATAGGACCTCAAACAATTTGCCCTTGCATTTACAGAAGAGTTCCAGCTGCAGTATAGTTTCAAAATCAATGGTTTCCTCCTGAGGCCAAGCTTGTCCTACCTGCAATTTATAATCCAGACAAATCCCTGTGCAAATAAATATGAGGCACTTTTTTTTCTACAGCGTCTGAGAGTCAAAGGAGGCCCAGTGATTCAGGATACACTCAAAAGGAATGCAGGCTGAAGAGGATTTGTTACCTACATGAAAGAGAAAAAGAAATGCATCCCTTAGTTTCTTTCTCTCTTCCAGCTAAAACCCAGGATATGTTAGAGAAAGAAAGAAATGTGTCCCATTCTTTCTTTCCTCCTTTCCTTCCTAAGTCCTAATGGCTACTATAGGTACCATCCATGGATGTGAGTGCAACCTCCACCCATGAAACAGAAAGGCCTTTTCAGTAGAAATAATAGCACTTACCTATGCTATGCACTGGTCTTTCACCATCAGTAAGCTTTGGGTTCCCTAGACCTTATCCATGCCATGGATGTAAGCAAGTTATTCATCCATGAAGCAGAAAGGTCTAGTCAGCAGGGAGATTCTTGCTTACCGGTGCTGTGGCCTAGCCCTTTGCTGTCAACTGTCTCTGGGTCCCTCAGATCTAGCATTCTTTTAGAGCTTCAAACTGAAGTTTGGAAAATACATTGGAGTATTTGGAAGATACATTGGAGTAAAGTGAAAGTATGGAAACAGATTCTCCTCAAACAAGAGAAAGAAAGGAAGTCTCAGAAACTGGGGACCTGGCCTAATAAGATGTCTTCCAAGAGGCAAAAAATAATCCCTTGCTTAGAAAAGTTCCCTGTATTCATGGGAGTATGTTGACTCTTTTCATGGTGGGGGGTGGGCAACAAACCTAAATGCAAGGGAGGAAAGGTGCTTGGGGGAAGTAGCCTCTTGCCCTATGCTAATGAACTTCTTCAACAGGGGAATGAAGACTCACAATCATAATATCCTCCTTGCTTCTAAGAATAGACAGAAACCACATTGTTCTGAATTACACTCCTGATGACTGAGCCAAGTGCACTTTCTACCCAGTTATATTATCTCTGTGGTTTGCAACAACACCCTTAACATCTCATATATATGTGTGTGTGTGTGTGTGTGTGTGTGTGTGTGTGTGTGTGTGTGTTGGGAATAGGCCCCAAAATCTGGCCATAAACAAAATCTCTGTAGTACTCTGACATGCTCATGATGGCCTTGATGTCCAGCTGGAAGGTTGTCGGTTTACCGGAATGAGGGCAAGGAACACCTGACCCACCCAGGGCGGAAAACCACTTAAGGCATTCTTAAACCACAAACAATAGCATGAGTGATCTGTGCCTTAAGGACATGTTCATGCTGCAGATAACTAGCCAGGGCCCATCCCTTTATTTCTCGTAAGGAATACTTTTAGTAAATCTTAAGACTGGCTTGCTGTGAATAAATATGTGGGTAAATCTCTGTTCAAGGCTCTCAGATCTGAAGGCTGTGAGACCCCTGATTTCCCACTCTACACTCTATATTTCTGTGTGTGTGTCTTTAATTCCTCTAGTGTCGCTGGGTTAGGGTCTCCATGACAGAGCTGGCCTTGGCATATATGAGCCATGACAGCCACGAAAGAAAAAAGTAAATGAGACAGAAAATGCTGGAGGTCCTAGTGCTGACACCCTAATGGGCTGTTGGGGACTGGCGTCAGTCAAGTGGCCTTTGGATAAGACCAATGTGCAGCCTCAGCCAGAGACCCTCAACTGCCCCAGGACCTCCTTCCAATCCCATGTTATGGTTAGACCTTCATGAAAATAAACTGGATTGGAAAAAAGCCAACATTCTCAACAAGTGAGTGTGATGGGGAATTGACAAAGTCCTCCTCAGCAATTATGTTCTCTGCAGTCATGCTATCCAAGTCTTGGGTCAGCACTTACTTACCCTTCTGACAATTCTTGATGAATGACCCCAAAATGTTGCAGCTTTTGTAGTTCAGTGAGCTGGAAGAAATAGCTCCCAGTGACTTTTTCTCCCCTATTGCTGGATGAGCAGGAGGGAGAGTTACAGTGTTTCAGGATTCTTTCAGTGCTGCTTCCACAGCTGGAAATCTCTGCAGCCACCCTGACCTCTACCCAGGACCTTGCTCAGGCCTACCAGGCTTGCTCCAACAACTCAGCCTGCCAGGCTGCACTTAGCTTGCACTGCTGGGACAGATCTTGTGCCTGCCACAGCTGCACATTTAGCCTGCAGCTGGACTGGGTGTGCCACAAGCAGCTTCCACTTTGTGTGCTGGCATCTAGATGAGGTGCATGCAGTGGTGCCTGAAAACTTAGAGATGTCAACAACTGTGGGGCCCCAAGGGGTGTTACAGCTTTTGCCTGGGGAGTCCCAAGGTCTCAGTCCCCAGGAAATGTTACAGCTCTCTCTCTTATTTTTGCTGCCCACAGCTCAGTGAACAGGGGCAGGTCAAAGCTCATTTGTTTCTGCCACATGCAGCTCAGTGAGTTCTGGGTTCTTGTACCAAAGGAATAAAGGATGTGGACACAGGAGATTAAGTAGGGCAGAGAATAATTTTATTGAGTGAAGTGAAGCTCTCAGCAGAGAGGGGAACTGAAAGTGGGTAGCTGCCTGTGTGACTCAGTCTGGGGTTTTTATGGGCTCAGAATGAGGGAGTGTGTGCTGATTGGCCCATGGGTGGTCTTGGAAAAAGCACCATTCAATTGTTTAAGAGGCATCGAGGAAGTTCTCACTTGGGCCACAAACTGCATCTGGAAGCAGATGCAGCTTGGTTTTCAGGCTTCAGGCTGTCTTTGGCTTGAAGATCAGGTTTCACTGGGGACCCATCCCTGTCTGCTTAGGAGTTTGTCTGTTTTTTGTTGCTAAAAGTGATCTGCCCACCTCAGCCTCCCAAAGTGCTGGGATTACAGGAATGAGCCACTGTGCCTGGCCACTCATTTCTTTTTTAGTGCCGAAGAATTCCATTGTCTAGAAGTATTTACTGTAAACTATGAAATTTGAGTAATAATAATTTGTCAATGTGTTACCAAAATGCCAGGGGTTTGGTCTAGGTCTCATTGCCCACCACACAAGAAATCCAATGACAGAGAAAACAAGTACTGCCATGGAAGAAGGCATTAATAAGGTGCTATAGCTGAAGTGTTGGGATATGAGTCTCAAATCCATCTCCTCAACTGGATAAATTTAGGGGTTTATATACCAAAGAAGAAATGCAACTATGAGTTTGAAAACAGGAATAAGGAGGGGTAAAGCTGATGAGTTGGTCAACAAGCAGGTTGTTGGTTAGGTAATCATCATGAGTGAGGGGACTGGGGTCTCATTGTCTAAATATGGTGATCTGGTAAGTTTTAGCTCCTTAATACTATCTGGGAGGCCTGAAAGTTGGTTTCCCGAGGAAGGAACTCAGATAAGACAAATGTAAGTTTCAATCTTTAAGAGTGGTAGGGTAAATTTCTATGTACCAAAAATCAGTAAATATCCGTTGTATGGGAGAGTTGAGTCAGTTTCAAATACAGTTCATAAATTGTAAAACCGTACAACTCTAATGGGCGATGTTTATAGTGAAAGAAGCTGTGCGTGTGTGTGTTGGGGGGGGCAGGAAGTATATGGGAATTCTCTGTACTTCTGCTTAGTTTTCCTATGAATCTATAACTGCTTGTAAAAGTAAAGTCTGAGATAAAAAGCTAAGAGAAAAAAGGACCTGAAGATTCAATAGTAACTGGAAGGATTGGTTTAGGATGCTAAGATACTCAGAGAAGGAGACCCATCTCCATGGGACATAATTGCTACCAAGTGTTCACAATTGCCCATTTCTTATACTCTGTATTGACAAAGCCTTGGTCAGTCTTCTCTCTTTCCTTAAGGCTTCTTGACTCTGCTTTTCTGAAGCCTCAGCAAGCACTAAAAAGTATAATGGGCTCTCATATCAGCCGATCTTGAGAATAGGCTGGCCACAGGGAGACACTTTTCCTGACTTACCCTGCTGGTAATTTCTCCCCGTTTTCTTAATTTCTCCTTATTTACTTCCTGCTCCTTCTATAAATTGAATGAATCTTTCTGTTCGATTTGAAATGCTTGCATTTCTTAACTTTGAATTATTCTCCTTATCGCAATAGTATTTCTAATTAAAATTTCCTTATCTAAATCCAGATTTGTTTTCATTTTGCAGTGGTTATTTTAATAAACATGATTAAAGTCACATGTTCTGAAACAGTAGTTATGATAACCCTGTCAAAAAATTTTAGATAAAAAAACTGAGAGCTTATCTATCCAACATTCTCATTTTAGAATGTAAAACTATTATTTCAAAGAAAAAAAATATAGTTTTGGTAATTTGCCTAAACTCACTCATGCTAAAATGAAACTTGTCATAGATTAGATAGTATCATAACTTGACAAAATTCTCCTTTTACCTAATTTAATGTACCTGTGCAAAGGTTCTTTACCAGTTACATGAGTTCAGAAAGACAGAGCACTCAGGCAAAGCAGATTTATTACTCATAGAGAGACAGCAGAGATAAACAGAAGCCTAGTATCCATGGCAAGCCAATCCACCAAGCTCAGGAAAGATGCCCAGGGCAGATGGAATTGTGTCTGGCAACCACTAATCCTTTAACTATAGTTACAGTTCTGCCTTTGCCAAAATATTGAATAATTGGAATCATACAGTAAGTAGCCTTTTCAGACTATTTTTTCACTTATCAATACATTTATATATGATTCATCTATTTTGTTGTTTATGTTGCTTAATATTCATTTATTTTTATCTCAGAATAATATCTAATTGTATGGCTATACCACAGTTCATAGATTCAGCTGTTGAAGAATATCTAGGTTGCTTCTACTTGTTGATGAATATGAATGAACTTCTATAATATTCATATGCAGTTTGTGTGTGTGTGTGAAACAGGTTCACTGTGCAGAGATTACCACTTCAGCCCACTGCATCTTGGGCTACAATTTTTACTGTTTTCGTAAGCCCAGTGAGGCAGAACATCGACAGTACAAGTTAAGGGAAGTAAATTTATTACTCATAAATAGGCAGCAAGGGACAGTAAAAGCCTAGGATTTTTAGTGAGTTAGTCTCTGAAGGCTCAGGCATGCTAACCAGAGTAGATGGAATCTTGTCTGCACATGCCCCATGTCATGCCACAGCTCAGGGGCCCCAAAGAGCACTCTGTACTGGGGTTATATACTTGGTTTAATATATACTTGGTTATATACTTGAGTGTTGCAGAATATCCTGCCATAGGAGGAATAAGGACATAGACTGTGATATGGTTTGGATGTCTGTCCCTTCCAAATCTCATGGTTTTGTTTGTTTGTTTCTTTGTTCATGCTTTGAGACAGGATCTCACTCTGCTGCCCAGGCTACAGTGGCAGATCTTAGCTCACTGCAGCCTTGAACTCCTGGGCTCAAGCAATCCTCCTGTCTCAGCTTCCCAAAGTGCTGGAATTACAGGTGTAATAAATCTCATGTTGAAATGTCACTCTCAACGTTGGAGGTGGATCCTGTCGGGAGGTGTTTGGATTAGTGGTTGGATTTCTTATGAATGACTTGGAGATGTTCTCATAGTAATGAGTGAGTTCTCACTCTATGACTTCATATGAGATCTGGTTGTTTAAAAGAGCCTGGAACTTCCTCATCTCTCTTGCTCTCTCTCTTGCCATGTGACATGCTGGCTCCCTTTGCCTTCCATTATTACTGAAAGCTTCCTAAGAAACTCAGCAGAAGCACATGCTGGCACTATGTCTTCTGTATAGCCTGAAGAACTGTGAGCCAAATAAGCCTCTTCTTTATAAACCCAGTGTCTGGTATTTCTTTATAGCAATGCAAATGAGCTAACACAGCCTGGGATATTGGGATATTCCAGAAACTTCCCCCTTACCTCATTATGTTGCATCCTTGGTATATACTGCAGTTATACTAAAATCTATAAGCATTCAAATAATTGCAAAAAGGAGGGACAAGAACTGTGACAGCCAAAGCTATCTAGGGACCCATCCTACAATCTGTTATGATCTATTACCAATATGAGCAAAATTCAAATTTACCTATGGTTAATTTCGCTAAAAATTTGTTTTTCTAATGTTATTTCTAAAATGTGTATATTTATACTTTTATTTTGTTTTATTCTTCCATTAGCTGTATAGATATATATACACACATACACATATATACATAACCATATATAGTGCATATATTATACACCTTAAATATATATGTGATGTATTCACTATTTAAGAATAAATTAGATATAAATGACAAAAGAAAACAAAAAGTATGTTTCTGAATGTGTGTATATATATATATATATATATATTCAATGTATATATATTCAAAATTCCTTATCTGAAAATCCAAAAACTATAATATTCTGACAAAAAGTGTTTATTACTGATGTTATAAAATTTGATTTAACATGAATTTAATGTACTTTTATTCTATATATTGTGAACATCCATAAACTTATATTGAATAAACACACATACACACACACACACACGCATACAAGTATATATATTGAAAGAAAGAGAGACTACTTTATATATCCAGACCTATAATTTCTCATCTAAAAATCCAAAAACAATAATATTCTGAAAAAAAGTATTCATTACTGATGTTACAAAATTTGATTTGACTTGAATTTAATGTAATTTTATTCTATATTTGTGAATACTCATAAATTTATTTGAAGAAACATGAATATGTTTGATACAGGGGTGATTTCCTAGACTCTAAAAGTTGTATTATATAACATATGGTACACATACATATTACTTCTATTTCTGAAATTCAAAAAAATCTGAATTACAAATTATATCTACACCTAATGTTTTAGGATGAGGTTTTCTGGATCTACATATATATTGTTACATACAATTTTTAAGCTTCATTTACTGAGTTTCTTTTTAAAGGGGATATAATGCAGCTATAGTACCTAAGTGTTGCTTATGATGGTAGTATTGCTTCACTAAGTAGTAGAAAATATTTTGCAGTTTTAAGCAATGTTTGTATTTTGTAAAAATATGCTTACAAGAACTGAATGCCTAGTTTCTTTTTTATATCAAAAATTATAGTAGTTTTTTTATAGCGGTTAATAAGCTCTTAAAATGTAAAGACAAAATAAAAGAAGCAATTCATCTCCAAACATGTTTAAAATTTTCACATATTTTCTTTTACTTTGTATAAATATTTTAAAACCTTTTTCTGTTTCATATTATTTTTGTTAGTGTTTCTTCTGTTAATTGTTTTAAACATTATTTCTTTATTTTGTCTCTCTATTCTCTTGAAAAATGAAAGATTTTCTTCAGGTACCTGTTTCTCAATAACATTATTCTGAAATATTATGTATTGATTGATAGAGTATTACAAACAAAATTAATTGGGACATGTTCTATATCTGTTCTTTATAAAATTTGTGTTCCTTAAAACTCCTAATACTTCACTCTTGAATTATATATACTTACTTATCTGATCACAGTACAGGTGACCAAATAAACACAGGCCTGGCTCATCAGAAAACTTGAACCTTCCCCAAGCAAGTCAGAGAACAGAAACGAATATATAACTTTTTTCTGAAAGATGACCTCATAGACAGAAGTGGGTCATGTCTATGTTCCATCCTCCATATACTTTAACAATTTAAACCAGCCTCTTATCCAATTCAGATATGATAATCTATGTTGTCTCCTCTTGAATCTGGGATGGCTTGTGACTACAGTGTGGTCATTATGGCTTTGAAAGCTAGGATAAAAAGCCTTATAGCTTCTACTTGGTTATATTTATAAATTTTCTCTGGGGAAATTCATATCCTCTGAGACTGCCAGGCTGAAGAGGCCATGTATTTGTGCTCTAGTCAAGAGTGCTGGCAGAGTTTCTGGATAACAGAAGGCATTATCCTCCAGCCTTGTTTGCCAGCCATGATGGATGCCCATACTAAAGTTTTCAGATCATCGTAGCCCCAGCTGACACTTAACCGAATATTAGGCATCCCAAGAGAGAGCTCTCTAGCAGCGCCCTGCCCAAATTCCTGAACCACAGAAATTAAAAGCATAGAATGGTCATTCTTCTACACTAATAAATGGCTTGGTACTCAGTTACAGCAATTTAAAATATGTATTTTAATTCTAACAGTATTTATAATGACACAATCAATTATTAAAATTAATTAATCTCTGTTCAAGGAACTTCACAAAATATGCATGATGATGAAAATATATATGTATGGTGTGGTAAGACGTTTTTTAGGGCAACTCATTTTACAAGATTTATTTTTAAAATGGCTAACATTTATTGAAGTTTTCTATTATCCCAGTAATTAGTCATTTCTTCATTAATTTTACTATTCAATATTTTCAAGAAACATGAAGTAAGAATTATTTAATGATGCAGAAATAAATGTTTAGAGAATAAATAATATCTTTTCAGACATAGCACACCTGGAAAATGAGAGATCTATCCAATCTAAAAGCCTTTCATTTTCAAACTGTGGTGTATTCAGAAAAGAAAGTCGTATTTATGAAGTTTGCAATGGATATACTATATTAGCTGTTTGACAAAATTATGTTTTAAGATCATGGCTTCCCCTTTCTTATTTTCTGCTGATACTTCTCATTAGAGTATATTTTTATATATTCTGCAAGAGCATGCTTATTTTATGCTTGTTTATTTTGTACAAATGAATGGCTTTGAAATTGCTGAACAGGTGGCATTAGCCAATCATTTATGGTTTGGGATATTAAAGAGGTCCAGCTTTCAGACAGTGGGAGGTCTATACAAATGTTGCTTGTAGTAAGATTACTTCTTATTTATCTTTGTGGCATATTTAGAAACTGAGGGTTATTTAAATAATTCATGTTCTGTAAAACATTGACAAATGTGTACCATAGCATGGCTCATAGATTCAAGGGTACATTTTAGGCCATTTTGCTGAATGAAATTTATATCTTATTTTGAATACACTTTTCCTAGTATATATAGTTTTGGAAAATAAATGGTAGGTATCTTGGTAGCATCAACATAATAAACATTTCAAACTATGTGCAAAATGTGAAAGAATACTAGGTATTATAGACACCTTAAAAGAACACTGGTAAGACAAATATTTCTATTTTATAGAGACATTTGTGTATTTGTAAACCACATCAATATTATCTTTACTAACTACTTAAAAAAAAACCCTCAAAAGTGGGTTGTTTTGAAGTAAACCAAAGAACCAGTTTTGTTTTCAAGTAGATTGTGATTTTAAAATTTTTAATTATACTTGGAATCGAGAAAGCAAAGCAAAAATCAAAATTTTCATGCTGATGAGTTTTTTGAGAATAAATTCTTTCTAGACACAGTAGTAAATTGCAATAGGAAAGATATGTAATGCACATTCTAAAGAGATAAAACATTGCTATCAACTATTGCCTTATCTCCATTTTCTCAGGCACACCATAAAATTCCTAGAGGCTGATATTTGCTAAATCACAGGTCATCTTTGACTCTATTTCATCTACCCATCATTTCTTTTTGTGACAGCTCATTGATTTCTCAATACTTCAAAAACCATTGATTTCTCAGTACTTCTTTCCATGGATCTCTTATTCCCATGGGAAATTTCTCATTCACATGGGAATATTCCAACACCATGTAAGAGTAAGTGAAAATTTGCATCTATCTAATGCTTTCCATAGATATAAGACATACTTATTTATTTTTCTGGGAACATGATACTTCTATAGAATACTATTATAGGAAGAGAACACACATTTCTACCTGCTTTTTAAATCTTACAAATGGGGATTTCTGTAACCCACCAGTAGGCCACCACTGTTCATTTACATTCACAAAGAATTCTCTTCAATTCCAATCACCCAAATTCTGCATAGTCTTTTAACTATTATTGCCTAACCTCTTTTCTATACACCAGCAATGAACAATTGGGATTTTAAATTAAACACAAGATGTCATTTACAATAGTGTCACAAAATGAATATTTTAGGTATAAATATAATACATACAAAAACTATATGTGGAAAACTAGAACTGATACGAGAAATCCAAGAAAGTCTAAAAACATGGAATGTTATTCATGGTCATATAATGAAATACTTAATATTAAGGTATAATTTTTTCCATCTTAATTTATGGATTAAACACAATACCAATGAAAATCCTGGAAAGTTATTTTGTAAATTTTGGAAGACTAATTTTAAAGTTACTTTCAAAGAAAAAAATACCCAAAGGATCCAATGCAACAATAAAGAGGAAAAAAACTGGAGAAATGACACTATCAATATACAAAACATCAATTAAAATCAGCAAAATACTTTAACAGACTTCTTACCAAAGGAAATAGGCAGATTGTAATTAAACAAAAATGATGTTCATTATCACTTGTCATTGTAAAATTGCAAATTAAAACAACAATGAGACATCACCACACACTACATAAAATGGTTATAATCCCCAAAACCTGACAATGCTAAATACTGGTAAGAATGTAGAGCAAAAGAAATTCTCATTCATTGCTTGTGAAAATGCAAAATGATACACTTTGGAAGACAGTTTGTCAGTCCCTTACAAAGCTAAATATAGTTTTGTTATATGATCCTCCATTTGTTCTCCTAGATACTTACTTAATTGGTTAAAAAACTATTCAAACAGAAACTTATATGCTTACATTTATAACAGCTTATTCATAACGTCCAAACTGAAAGCAATCAAAATGTCCCTCAAATGCAAATGGAACTATAGACTGTGGTACATCTGCACAAAGGAATATTATTCTGCAATGACAAGAAATATACTAGAAAGCAATAAAAATATGAAGAAATATAAATGTATAATGATCAGTTTGAAAGATGAACAACTGCATTGATATCAACTTTACAACATTATTGAAAGAGTGAAATAATTGAGGTGTTAAAAGTGTTAGTGAGTTCCAAGATGGCTGAATACAAACAGCTCTGGTCTGCAGCTCCCAGAGAGTTTGATGCAGAAGACAGGGGATTTCTGCATTTCCAACTGAGGTAACTGGTTCACCTCACTGGGACTGTTTGAACAGTGGGTGCAGCCCATGGAGGGCAAGCTGAAGCAGGGTGGGGCATTGCCTCACCTGGGAAGTGCAAGGGTTCAGGGGATTTCCCTTTCCTAGCCAGGGGAAGCCATGACAGACTGTACCTGGAGAAACAGTACACTCCTGAGGAAATATTGTGCTTTTCCCATGGTCTTAGCAACCGGAAGAACAGGAGATATCCTCCCATGCCTGGATTGGTGGGTCCCATGACCACAGGGCCTGGCTCACTGCTAACGCTGCAGTCTGAGATCAACCTGCGATGCTGCAGCTTGATGGGGGAGGGGTGTCCGCGGTTGCTGAGGCTTGAGTAGCTCACAGTGTAAACAAAGTGGCCGGAAAGCTCAAACTGGCTGGAGCCCACCACAGCTCAGCAAGGCCTACTGCCTCTCTAGATTCCACCTCTGGGGGCAGGCCATAGCAGAACAAAAGGCAACAGACAGCTTCTGCAGAATTAAACGTCTCTGTCGGACAGCTCTGAAGAGAGCAGTGGTTCTCTCAGCACGGTGTTTGAGCTCCAAGAATGAACAGACTGCTTCCTCAAGTGGGTCTCTGACCCCCATGTAGCCTGACTGGGAGACACCTCCCAGCAGGGGCCGACAGACACCTCAAACAGGCAGATGCCCCTCTGGGACGAAGCTTCCAGAGGAAGGATCAGGCAGCAATATTTGCTGTTTTGCAGCCTCTGCTGGTGTTTTACAGCTTCTCCCAGGCAAACAGAATCTGGAGTGGACCTCCAGCAAACTCCAACAGACATGCATCTGAGAAGCCTATTAGAAGGAAAACTAACAAACATAAAGGAATACATCAACCTCAACAAAAAGACATCCACACCAAAACCCCATCTGTAGGTCACCAACATCAAAGACCAAAAAGGTAGATAAAACCACAAAGATGGGGAGAAACCAGAGCAGAAAAGCTGAAAATTCCAAAAACCGGAGCTCCTCTTCTCCTCCAAAGGATCGCAGCTCCTCACGAGCAAGGGAACAAAACTGGACAGAGAATGAGTTTGATGAGTTGACAGAAGAAGGTTTCAGAAAGTCAGTAATAACAAACTTCTCTGAGCTAAAGGAACATGTTCTAACCCACCGCAAGGAAGCAAAAACTTTGAAAAAAACGTTAGACAAATGGCTAACTAGAATAAACAGTGTAGAGAAGACCTAAAATGACCTGATGGAGCTGAAAACAACAGCATAAGAACTTTGTGATGCATGCACAAGCTTCAATAGCCAATTTGACCAAGTGGAAGAAAGGATATCAGTGATTGAAGATGAAATTGATGAAAGAAAGCAGGAAGACAAGATTACAGAAAAAAGAATGAAAACAAAAGAACAAAGCCTCCAAGAAATAAGAGACTATGTGAAAAGACCAAATATATGTTTCACTGGTGTATTGGAAAGTGATGGGGAGAATGGAACCAAGTTACAAAACACTCTTCAGGATATTATCAGAACTTCCTAACCTAGCTAGGCAGGCCAACATTCAAATTCAGGTAATACAGAGAATACCACAAAGATACTCCTTGAGAAGATCAGCCCCAAGACACATAATTGTCAGATTCACCAAGGTTGAAATGAAAGAAAAAATGTTAAGGGCAGCCAGAGAGAAAGGTCGGGTTACCCACAAAGGGAAGCCCATCAGACTAACAGTGGATCTCTCGGCAGAAACCCTACAAGCCAGAAGAGAGTGGGGGCCAATAATCAACATTCTTAAAGAAAATAATTTTCAACCCAGAGTCTCATATCCTGCCAAACTAAGCTTCATAAGTGAAGGAGAAATAAAATCCTTTACAGACAAGCAAATACTGAAAGATTTTGTCACCACCAGACCTGCCTTACAAGAGCTCCTGAAGGAAGCACTAAAAATGGACAGGAACAGCCAGTACCAGCCACTGCAAAAACATGCCAAATTGTAAAGGCCACCGATGCTAGGAAGAAACTGCATCAACTAACGGGCAAAATAACCAACTAATTTCATAATTACTGGATCAAATTCAAACATAACAATATTAACCTTAAATGTAAATGGGCTAAATGCCCCAATTAAAAGACACAGACTCGCAAATTGGATAAAGAGTCAAGACCCATTGCTGTGCTGCATTCAAGAGACCCACTTCACATGCAAAGATGCACATAGGCTCAAAATAAAGGGATGGAGGAAGACCTACCAAGTAAATGGAAAGCAAAAGAAAAAGGCAGGGGCTGCAATGCTAATCTCTGATAAAACAGACTTTAAACCAACGAAGATCAAAAGAGACAAAGAAGGCCACTACATAATGGTAAAGGGATCAATTCAACAAGAAGAGCTAACTATCCTAAATATATATGGACCCAATACGGGAGCACCTAGATTCATAAAGCAAGTCCTTGGAGACCTACAAAGAGACTTAGACTCCCAGACAATAATAATGGGAGACTTTAGCATCCCATTGTTAATATTAGACAGATCAATGAGACAGAAGGTTAACAAGGATATCCAGGACTTGGACTCAGCTCTGGACCAAGTGGATCTAATAGACATCTCCAGAACTCTCCACCACAAATTAACAGAATATACATTCTTCTCAGCACCACATCATACTTATTCTAAGATAGACCACATAATTGGAAGTAAAACACTCCTCAGCAAATGTAAAAGAACAGAAATCACAACAAACTGTCTCTCAGACCACAGTGCAATCAAATTAGAACGCAGGATTAATAAGCTCTCTCAAAACCGCACAACTACAAGGAAACTGAACAACCTGCTCTTCAATGGCTATTGGGTAAATAACAAAATGAAGGCAGAAATAAAGATGCTCTCTGAAACCAATGAGAACAAATACACAATGTACCAGAATCTCTGGGACACATTTAAAGCAGTGTGCAGAGGGAAATTTACAGTGCTAAATGCCCACAAGAGAAAGCAAGAAAGAGCTAAAATTGACACCCTAATATCACAATTAAAAGAACTAGACAAGCAAAAGCAAACAAATTCGAAAGCTAGCAGAAGGCAAGAAATAACTAAGATCAGAGCAGAACTAAAGGAGATAGAAACACACAAAAAAACCTTCAAAAATTCAATCAATCCAGGAGCTGGTTTTTGAAAAGATCAACAAAATAGATAGACCACTAGCAAGACTAATGAAGAAAAGAGGGAAGAATCAAATAGATGCGATAAAAAATGATAAAGGGGATATCACCACCCATCCCACAGAAATACAAACTACCATCAGAGAATACTATAAACACCTCTATGCAAATAAACTAGAAAATCGAGAAGAAATAAATTCCTGGACACATACACTCTCCCAAGATTAAACCAGGAAGAAGTTGAATCTTTGAATAGACCAATAACAGGTTCTGAAATTGAGGCAATAATTAATAGTTTACCGACCAAAAAAAGTCCAGGACCAGATGGATTCACAGCTGAATTCTACCAGAGGTACAAAAAGGAGTTGATACTATTCCTTCTGAAACTATTCCAAACAATAGAAAAAGAGGGAATCCTCCCTAACTCATTTTATGAGGCCAGCATCATCCTGATACCAAAGCCTGGCAGAGACACAACAAAAAAAGATAATTTTAGGCCAATATCCCTGATGAACATCGATGTGAAAATCCTCAATAAAATACTGGCAAACAGAATCCAACAGCACATCAAAAAGCTTATCCATCACGATCAAGTCAGCTTCATCCCAGGGATGCAAGGCTGGTTCAACATATGAAAATCAATAAACGTAATCCATCACATAAACAACCAATGCCAATGACGAAAACCACATGATTATCTCAATAGATGTAGAAAAGGCCTTCGACAAAATTCAACAACCATTCATGGTAAAAACTCTCAATAAAGTAGGTATTGATGGACTGTATCTCAAAATCATAAGAGCTATTTATGACAAACCCACAGCCAATATCATACTGAATGGGAAAAACTGGAAGCATTCCCTTTGAAAACCGGCACAAGACAAGGATGCCCTCTCTCACCACTCCTATTCAACATAGTGTTGGAAGTTCTGGCTAGGGCACTCTGGCAAGAGAAAGAAATAAAGGGTATTCAATGAGGAAAAGAGGAAGTCAAATCGTCTCTGTTTGCAGATGACATGATTGTATGTTTAGAAAACCCCCATCATCTCAGCCCCAAATCTCCTTAAGCTGATAAGCAACACCAGCAAAGTCTCAGGATACAAAATCAATGTGAAAAAAAATCACAAGCATTCCTACACACCAATAATAGACAAAAAGCCAAATCTTGAGTGAACTCCCATTCACAATTACCACAAAGAGAATAAAATACCTAGGAATACAACTTACAAGTGATAAGAAGGACCTCTTCAAGGAGAACTACAAACCACTGCTCAGCGAAATAAAAGAGGACACGAACAAATGGAATAACATTCCATGCTCATGGATAGGAAGAATCAATGTCATGAAAATGGCCATACTACCCAAGGTGATTTATAGATTCAATGCTCTCCTCATCAAGCTACCACTGACTTTCTTCACAGAATTAGAAAAAAAAAAACTAGTTTAAAATTCATATGGAACCAAAAGGAGCCCACATAGCCAAGCCAATCCTAAGCAAAAAGAACAAAGCTGGAGGCATCATACTACCTTACATCAAACTATACTAAAAGGTTACAGTAACCAAAACAGCATGGTACTGGTACCAAAACAGATATGTAGACCAATGGAATGAACAGAGGCCTCAGAAATAACACCACACATCATCCATCTGATCTTTGACAAACCTGACAAAAACAAGCAATGGGGAAAGGATTCCCTATTTAATAAATGGTGCTAGGAAAACTGGCTAGTCATATATAGAAAGCAGAAACTGGATCCCTTCCTTACACTGTATCCAAAATTAACTCAAGATGGATTAAAGACTTAAAGGTAAGACCTAAAACCATAAAAACCCTAGAAGAAAACCTAGGCAATACCATTCAGGACATAGGCATGGGCAAAGACTTCATGACTAAAACACCAAAAGCAATGAAAACAAAAGCCAAAATTCACAAATGGGATCTAATTAAAGAGCTTCTGCACAGCAAAAGAAGCTATCAGCAGAGTGAACAGGCAACCTACAGAATGGGAGAAAAGTTTTACAATCTCCCCATCTGACAAAGGGCTAATATCCAGAATCTACAAAAAACTCAAACAAATTTATAAGAAAAAAACAAATAGTCCCATCAAAAAGTGAGCAAAGGATATAAACAGACACTTCTCAAAAGAAGACATTTATGCAGTCAACAGACACATGAAAGAATGCTCATCATCACTGGTCATCAGAGAAATGCAAATCAAAACCACAGTGAGATACCATCTCACACCAGTTAGAATGGTGATCACTAAAAAGTCAGGAAACAACAGGTGCTGGAGAGGATGTGGAGATATAGGAACGCTTTTACATTGTTGGTGGGAGTGTAAATTAGTTCAACCATTGTGGAAGACAGTGTGGCAATTCCTCAAGGATCTAGAACTAGAAATACCATTTGAGCCAGCAATCCTATTACTGGGTATATACCCAAAGGATTATAAATCATGCTACTATAAAGACACATGCATATGTGTGTTTATTGAGGCACTATTCACAATAGCAGAGACTTGGAACCAACCCAAATGTCCATCAATGATGACTTGATTAAGAAAATGTGGCACATATACACCATGGAATACTATGCAGCCACAAAAAAGGATGAGTTCATGTCCTTTGTAGGGACATGGATGAAGTGGGAAACCATCATTCTCTGCAAACTATCACAAGGACAGAAAACCAAACACTTCAGGTTCTCACTCATAGGTGGGAGTTGAACAATGAGAACACATGGACACAGGGCAGGGAACATCACACACCAGGGCCTGTCAGGGGGTGCGGGTCTGGGGGAGGGATAGTATTAAGAGAAATACATAATGTAAATGACAAGTTGATGGGTGCAGTAAACTAACACGGCATATGTATGCCTATGTAACAAACCTGCATGTTGTGCACATATATCCAGGACTTAAAGTATAATAATAATTAAAAAATAACAAAAACAGTGTTAGTGATCGATAGGGATTTGGGGCGAGGGATGAATAACTAAAATGCAGGTGCTTTGGAGGCAGCTAATTTATTATGTAGGATACTATAGTACTAGACACAAGACTTTATGGACTTCATCAATATCCAAAGAACTTCATAGCAGAAAGAATGAATTTAATGTGTGTATACAACCTGAGACAACAAAACTAGCTGTACTACAAAAGTTTAAAAAATCTCACTGGAGGTCATGGAAGAAGGGATAATGGCATAAATAACTTTGGGAATGACAGTCGTCTGTCATGATAGATGTAAAAGAAACTGCACATAAGCATCATACTCTAGTTGATAAAGTAGTTAAAGAAGAATAGGTTAACAATTATCACAGTGCCATACATTTTTATTGTAATGAAATGATTAAGAAAAAGAATGGGGGATAGTGGGAGTCAGGTTTGTCACTGTGGGATTGGGAACTCATAGATAAACGAGGTGAGAAAAGAAAAATGACCCATGTAGTAATGAATTAAAATTGGAGACTTCAATATGAACTCATGTTTAGCTCTATAAAGATATAGATGTGTGTGTGGATAATTATAAAATATTATGTTACATCATTATTGCAAAAAGTCAATAAATTTTCTATATAATCAAATTATATACATAACGTACATGTATTAAGATGCAATAAATTCAAATAAATGAAACTTTTGAAAAATAATTTCTGTGAATGATTTATTTCAAGTTATTAAACCACTTGCAAATCCTTTTATTTATGCATTTCAAGCCTGCCTACAAGTGACCTCTGTAGCTGTGAATGGAATATTCTGACATTGTATTTTGAACATAGTTAAGAAGAAATTGCCCCAGGATTGTTAAAATATAAGAGCAGTAATGCTAACTTTGGGACTCAATGAATTAAATCACTGAGCAGGAGAATAGTTATTTGGTATGTTGGTATAAACTCTTTCAGGTTGTTGAAATGACTAGTGATATAAGAAAAAGGGAACTTATGATTTAACTTCCTCCCATCCTAACCAAACTTATCTTTTAATGCTAACACACCAGTAACTAGAGGTTACTTCAATGAACAATAAAAAAGAAAACATGCCCATCCATCAGTATTTTTGTACAATGCAAACGTGTGGTATGATTATTTGTTGTTATGGCAGGGAAAAAAATGAAAGACCCAGCCAAATATTGTGTCCAAGTCAACATACTCACCCATTCTTGATCCCAGGCTGGAAATGTCATTTGGCCTAGTACACATGCTGGATATATACATTTTTTGAGTTGGCATGTTTTAAATATGTATTAGACATGGATGCTTACAATCAATTGATTCGAGATACACAAACACAAATACACACATCCTCAGATGTCCAAAAAATATTGTTGCGGTAGAGCCAAAAGTGAGGAAATAGGCACTTTATAGTAGCATCATCTGAAACCAAGTGATTATACTGAAAGAATTTGCTTTGCTTTATAAAACCCTAACTTCATTCCTGGATGATGGTAGTTAGCATACTTCCAAAAAAACTATTCCAGTTTAACTTGAATAGGGAAACCAAAGAAACAGCAAGCAGAGTAAATCTTTGTCTTTAAAATACTCCATTTGTTTCTACATAATTTAGAGCAAAAATAACCAATACATGATTATTGTAAATATATTTTATGTGTTAATCAAATTTGAGAGACTTATAGAGCTAGTTCTTCTAGATAACATACTTAAGATTCCTCTTTAGTGAAGAGAAAAATTATTTTGGGGAAGGTTTTAAAAATTTAGTTTAGCGGGCATAAATAATTGTTGAATATCCTAAATTAACATGCTAACAAATATAGAAAAATAGGAAATTATTATAATGAATAAACAACTTATAATTTTAAAATGGTACGTGCAGCTGGGTGTGGTGGACCATGCCTGTAATCCCAGCACTTCGGGAGGCCGAAGCGGGCAGATCACTTGAGGTCAGGAGTTGGAGACCAACCTGGCCAACAGGTGAAACCTCCTCTCTACTAAAATACAAAAATTAGCTGGGTGTGGTGGTGCACACCTGTAGTCCCAGCTACTCGGGAGGCTGAGGCAGGAGAATTGCTTGAACCTGAGAGGCAGAGGTTTCGGTGAGCTAAGATCATGCCACTGCACTCCAGCTTGGGTGACGGAGTGAGATAACCTCTCAAAAAAATAAATAAAATAAAATAAATAAAATAAAATAAAATGGTACGTGTTCTCTAAGATGTGTGGTGAAAATAAATACCTCATTGTCCTTTTCAATTCCATTAAAAAATCAACCAAAAATATTTTATTACAAAGAAAATTAACTGGCTTTTCTGGATAGATAGTGGTGAGCATCTGAAAGTAGATAAATATTTTCATGGATTATCACTAACATTATACCTTTTCCAAAATGTTATATGCTTACAAAGTATGTTCGGATCAAAGACACTGCCTTACAAGTCACATTTTCTTTTCATTTATTTTATTTTTTTTCACATGAGACAGCTCTAAATGTTTTACAAGAGTTAGTAATATACTTTTGCTTTCTCTAGTAAAGTTTTATTCATCTGTTTTCTTTTTGAATTTTCACTTATTTACTATCATAGATATAATACTAAGAAATATTCTGTGATGCAAAAGGATTCAGTCTTGAAGAGGTGCCAACTTTTCTTACTTGTTCTTTAAAAATATGAACACAAACTTCCATGTTTAGAAAAACAGTTATCATATGGAATATAATTTAGAGTGAGAATCTGGCATTTTTATTATAAATATGTGATCTTTTTGTGTCAGTGAAATACTTATGTATTCTTTAAATTTTTTCATAACATCTTTCTGTAAAAATCTAAGTGAAATGTACTATAAAAAGAAATAGAAGTTATAATATTGTGTCATTTGGCAGTGTGGAGCTTACACCATTTAATTTAGATCAAGAGATTTACCACTAGCCTGAGAGGTTTTGAAATTGGCTTATTCATCAGCTTTATTTTCTGTCAAATTGTAATCATTATCTTTTTTTTTTCTAATGGTAGTTCCCAAACAGTATTGACTGTCTTAGCTATTAAGTATACAGAAAATCTCCCACTCTCTTGCTGACTGGACCATTTTTAAAGAATATGGATTCCTTGGGAGACATAGCGTTTTCACACAGGACTTTATAAAATTTCTTTATGCACTCTCTGTCTTTGAGATCTTTTCAGTTTGACATTTTATAGCCGGATGAGGACTTTGTCTATTTTTCTCATCTATGTAGTGTTATATACCGCATTTCAGGGTACAGTGGTCTTCACTAAAAAGCAACGGGGATTGATGTTTACATTTCTAAAAAAGTACCTCTTACTAATGTATCAGGAATGTACTAAATAGGGTTTTTTTTTTTTGGAAATCATAAATAAAGTCATCTATAAAATATGGGAAGCCTATGTGGAAACGAAACCAAGGATGAAAATTATAGCACAATTTTGATGCAGAAATGTTCTAGTTAGAATATGGTAGCTATTGATGACTGCTGAAAAGGCCCTTCCCTGGTTCTGAGTCCTATACACTCACTTGAACAGTTCCAGGCCAGGCATGGTGGCTCATGCCTATAATCCCAGCAGTTTGAGAGGCCAAGGTGGGTGGATCACGAGGTCAGGAGATCGAGACCATATGGTATTTTACTGTCTGTTTCTGAGTTATTTCACTTAGAATAATGGCCTCCAGTGCCATCCAGGTTGCTGCAAAGGAGTCATTTTATTATTTTTTGTGGCCGCATAATGTATCAGTCTGTTCTCACGCTGCTATTCAGAAATATCTGAGGCTGGGTAATTTATAAAGGAAAAAGATTTAATTTACTCACAGTTTTCCAGGGTTGGGGAGGCCTCAGGAAACTTACAATTATGGCAGAAGGGGAAGCAAACATGTCCTTTTTCACATGGTGAAGTGCCGATCAAAAGGGGAAAAAGTCTCTTATAAAACCATCAGATCTTGTGAAAACTCACTTGAGAACAACATAGAGGTAACTGCCCTCATGACTCCATTGAATTTAGTTTTTTGATAATTTTTAAATTACTGTGAATTGTATCATATAATAGTCAAAATTAATTGCTTCCCATATATAGCTAGTTACATCAGCAAATTTCAAAGAAAAGGTGTTTTTACCCCACTGAAAATTACTTAAAAATATTTTTATTGTATTCTGACTTTTTGTTGCCTTTGATATAAAGTTAGCCAATATTTGTACTGTTATTTCTTTAAAGGTAATTAAATTTTGTTTATCTGGTTGCTTTTAGGATTTCACTTCTTTGTTTAGCTTCTTATGCTTGTTCTTAACCAAAAGACTGAGAAGTGATATTTTGCTTTTTAAGATGTGTGTGTGTGTGAGTTTGTGTATGTGTGCACACACGTGTGCATGTGTGAATTTATTTACGTTTTTAATCTGTGGGTTGATGCCTTTCATGAGTTTTGAAAAATTTGTGACTATTTCTCAAATATTTTTCTGCCTCATAGTATATATCCTTTGCTTCCAGGACTCCAACTGCATGTGCTTTAGATCATTTGAAATTGTCCAGCCATTCTCAAATAACGTTAAGGTTTTTTTTCTTTTTTCATCTCTTCTTTAGGTTGTATAATTTCTGTTATCCTTTTCTTCAAATGAGCTTAAACAATCCATATCTATTCCCCATTAAATGCAGTGATGAATCCTTTATTTCAGATATTGTATTTTCTGTCCTAATTCATATTTAATTATGTGGTTATTTTATAATTAGTCTAAAATATAAAATCAGTTTTAACACACTTTTTAACCTTGTTCCTGTACATGTACCAAGTTAATTATGAAGATTATTTTAAAGTTGTATCTGCCAATTCAGACATTATGGTCATATATGAGTTGGATTGATCTTTTCCTTTTTTTCATTGTGAGGTATTTTTTAAACATTTATAAGGTTACTTATTTGCTTTTATTATTTTTTATGTCAGTTATTGTGTATTGAAGAACAGTAGAAGTTGAAATAGTTTTTATTTCTCCTCCTCCTTTTTTAAAAGTTGCTGAGGTAGGAGCTGATGGCTTCATTGCAAATCTTCATTTAACTTAGGCCTGGTTTGTGTTTTCTTTTTAGATTTTTTAATGCCATCAGGTTCAACTATTTCAATGGCAAAATTAGAGCTCTGCTTTCTCTAGAGGTTGGAGGACTCAGGAGAGCTCCCTCTCTCTACCTGTCTTCTTTACAATTCAGTTACAGTTTAGTTACCTGTGTTTGATGCTTCTGGACAGCTCTTTCCTCTCCAGCCTAGCTCTTAGTTTGTGTGTCTTGGAAGATTGATTCTTTTTCTTTTGCTCTCCTTCCAGTCTTTGGGCAGCATCACCATTCTCTTTTGAAGGCTCCATGGGGTATATTTTGTAGACTGATATGCCAAGGTGATCTAGGTAATCTTTCTTTGATCTCTTCTCTGGCCACCAGACTTCATTTTGTACCTTCCCTATGCTCTCTTGCGAGCAAATGAGAATTCTGTTACTCAGCTCCTGAGGATTCTAACCTGTCCAATCAGCCCAGGTAAGACTCTAAAGTTTAACTTATTTCCTCCTCTTAGGTTTAAATCCTCCTACTTATGTTATTTCTTTGTTTTTGTTTTTTTTCCACCTGGGCTGCTTTAAGGATTAAAGTAGCTTGGGTCCCTATTCTCCTAGGAAAAGTTTGTTTCACTGAGGAATTCAGCTCACTTAAGATTTTACTACTTCAGCAATTAAATAGATTTCTAAACATGATTTTGTTGCTCTTTTATATAATGTATATAAGTATATATATAATATATATAAACATTTTTAGTTTATTCAGAGACAGAATTTCAAGAGAATAGACTATTTGGTAAGGTATGTTAACATTTGAATTTGACTTGTTCATACTCACAATGCAGTATTAGAAAAAAGAAAAATAGGCCGGGCACGGTGGCTCAGCCTGTAATCCTAGCAATTTGGGAGGCTGAGGCGGGCAGATCACCTGAGGTCAGGAGTTAGAGACCATCCTGGCCAACATGGCGAAACCCCGTGTCTACTAAAAGCACATAAATTAGCTGGGCATGGTGCTGGGTGCCTATAATCCCAGCTACTCAGGAGGCTGAGGCAGGAGTATCGCTTGAACCCAGGAGGCGGAGGTTGCAGTGAGCCGAGATCGTGCCACTGCATTCCAGCCTGGGCAACAGAGCAAGACTCCATCTCAAAAAAAAAAAAATCTTTCTGACTTATTTGAGCCAACCTTATTTTAATTTACAATGGAATAATTCCTTCTGTTCATGATCATTGAAAAATATGGCACAGTAAACATGTAAGATCTGGAATATTTTGATTCTCAACCAATGAGTTTTGTGTTAAACATCTAATGATAAATATAGCACCAAATGCAAGGTTTTCCTACTCAAAAGTTATATAATAATTTTTATAATTGTTTTCTTATTTTATGTTTAATCTTTTGCTTTTTAACTTTTATTTTAAGTTCAGGATTATATATGCCAGTTTGTTACATATGTAAACTTGGGTCACGGGGCTTTGTTGTACAGATTATTTCATCACCCAGGTATTAAGCTTGGTACACATTAGTTAGCTTCCCTGATCCTCTCCCTCCTCCTGCCTTCTACCCTCCAATAGGCCCCCGTGTGTGTTGTTCCCCTCTATGTGTCCATGTGTTCTCATCATTGAGCTCCAACTTATAAGTGAGAACATGTGGTATTTCATTTTCTGCTCCTGCGTTAGTTTGCAAAGGATAATGGCCTCCGACACTATCCATGTCCCTGCGAAGGACATGATCTTGTTATTTTTTATGGCTTCATAGTACTCGATGGTGTATATGTGCCATATTTTCTTTATCCAGTCTATCATTGATGAACTTTCAGATTGATTCCATGTCTTTGCTATTGTGAACAGTGCTGCAATAAACCATGTGTACATATAGCATTATAATAGAATAATTTATATTCCTTTGCTTATATACCCAGTAATGAGATTGCTGGGTCAAATAGCATTTCTGTTTTTAGATCTTTGAGAAAATGCCTTCATTTTGTTTGTGCTGGTGTCAGAACTGCAAATAAAAATGCAACAATGTTCATGTAGAACATCTTGAAGAATTTTAATTCATCAATCTGGTAGGAAGACATAGTATCCCATTTTATATCTTCAACAGTTATATTTAACTTTGTAAAATTTACCAGTTGTACATGTAAGTAAAAAATAAAACTATTTGAGTCCCATCTATATAAACATGCAAATATGATCACTATTTAGTGGTAACGAACAGTCATAAGTTATGAGTGGAAGCAGTTTTAATATCATTTATTTCTCACTTGAGAAGACTTGATAGAATTAGTACCTGTGTCTAATCTGATATTCTTATTTTAGTTATTAAAACATGATAAAACCTAAGAAAACAGACCTTCTTTACAAACTTATCTTCCCTGTGGAATGTAATTTATTTATTTTATAAAAAAATTCTTTTTAAAAATGTGGTAATATAACAAATATAAATTCTAATTATGGATTTCTTGTGTATTTAGTATGTAAACAGTAGATATTTTGTTTGATATAATCCTTAATGATATAGATATTAACTATCTCACAATTTTTAAATAAATGAAAGAACCTCAAAAAGTTACAAGCATTATATGCTCTTCTAATGAGCTATAGCAAGAAAAAATTAATGTGGTAAAATTAAAATTTAGCTTAGATTTCCTGGTGCCCAATACATTAGTCTGGTCTCCATATTCAGTATTGGAGTTTATGAATATATTTACATTTACAATATATGTAATATATTGTACTATATTATTTGTACATATATGTACAAATATATTATATGTACATATAATATATATGTAATATATTACAATATATGTAATATATTTGTACATGTAATATAAACATACATAGTTTAATAAGCATTAAACTATATATATAGCTTAATAATTATATATATTATTAAACATTATAATATATAATGGTCCAATGTACAGGCAAATATGTTTTTTGATAAATCTTACTCAGATTTGATACATTTTAAATTTATCTTCTGGTCAAAATATAGATAGGCTTAATTTATAGCCATGGTGGTCACTAAATATCTCTTTAGAATACCTTAGGAACATAGATTAAAAAAATCCACATTGAAGTATTATTTGCAATATGGATTTAAAATGTTTGAGGTTCTTGATGCATTTAAAATAGGTTTGTAATTCCAAATATAAATATCCTCAAACTATATCTGTAACTAAAAACAATAATAATAGTATAATATGCTTAATTTTTCCTCAGTTTTCTGTTGATTCTTACATTTGAAGAATTAATAGCTATAGATTAGTTCATATTTCCAGTGACTAGATTTTTGATGTTTTAAAGAAGGCTGGTAATTTTAGAACATTCTACTGAGCATAATAAAGGAACTTGTGACTTAAGGTTCCACCTTTTGCATAGAGAGTTATATGAAAACAAGTAGCAAGTCCAGGTAGACACATTGTGAATAAGGTAGATATGAAGTTATCCGTCACAGGACTGAAAGTTCACTAAAAGACCCAAACAGATAAAGGAAAACATGCAAATACAGTGGGAAAATGCTATGAAAATGTTAGTACAGGACACTATGGAAACATTAGAATATATCTGGAATTAAAGTATGCATATGTTAAAATGTGTCAGACCAGTAATGATTATGTGTATTTGTGTATGTGCATGTGTGTACATATGTGTTAATGTAGTTTTTCACTCTGTCAGAGCAAATACAGCAAATACACATAAAGTTCTGAACTTAAAAGATTACATTATATATCAGAACTACAAAGGACTCAAAGAGTTTCAATATATTTATAGCATAAAATGTGACATACTGATGGGGAAGGCAGAAAGAAATGAGTTAGGAGAGAGAAAAAAATAATGTATTGATGGAAGCCTTTGTAAACTGCGTTAAGTACTATACTCTTTCTTTTCCTAAGGGTATTGAATATCTGTGAAATAAATTGCTTGTTGAAAATTATTACTTAAGTGTTGGTAGAAAGTGCTAAAATGCTTTAAATTTTAGGTGAACATACATGAGTTTGACTAAAATCGTGAAAATACGGTATTTGTAGAATACGGGTATCTTTTAACTACAGGAAACAGAAAAACAAAGCCCACTTGATTGGTCCATACAATATAAGCCTCAAGAGGTGTGAGATTTTATTTTCTACTGTCTTTATTACTGCTCTCTAATATAAAACCATAGCACTTGATATATAGGCGCACCATAAAATTTTGGATAATGTAATGAAAATGGGTGTTGCTCATAGTTTCATAATATTAAAATATCCAAGGTCTAGTTCTTTAGATTGAAAGGAAGTTGGTTAAGATTAGAGCATTTATTAAGATTTTAAATAAAATTTAAAGGATGAAAGAAAGGATATTGCCAAATAAGGAATGTTGATATGAATATAAAATACCTTAGTGTCTTCTATAGGGAGATTATGATTTGCAAGCATAATAAGCATATAGGGGTACACAAAAATAGAGATGGAGAACCGTAATCAGGGTAAATAAATAAGATTTCTCTAGAATACTCAAAGTTGAATATAAAATTTGGTTATAAACAAAATTTCCCACTAATTCACAATTTCTGTATGTATTACAATAAGCACAGAAAATCCTAAAGCAACATTTTATGCAGTGGTATTTTCTCTATTTCTGCAACGTCTTTATCTCTCTTCTTTTAAGTTCCTTCCATAATATGAGCAGTACATTCAATTTTCAAAAGAAAAAATAGCTTTTATCTGTTCATTCAGTTATTTATCATTGCCAACCTGGTAAATACAGCATTTGTAGAATTTTCAAATGAATATTGTTCTCTGGCAAAGAATAGGAGTCACATTTGTAATCCCTTTGTTTCAGATCCTCATGGAAAGTAGATGGTATTTAAAGTATATGGTACTTAATTTATTATTTTACAAATCTATAAAAATGTTTAAAATGCATCTCTTTAATAATAATAATGTAATATAAATTACATTGAGAATATTAATAATGTAATATAAATTACATTGAGAATATTAAAGTCCCAGAGATTAAGATAGACTATGTTTTTGATAAAATGTGGCCATGTGAATGGGTATCATCATTAATGTGGATCATATCTTTCACTGTAAAAAATTTGTTCTCATTGGCAATTTTTCTGTAGAATCAAATCTCTGATTGTCTATGTAAAACTCTTTGGTGATAGCCAAGTTCTTCTGCCCTTTGTGTCTTTAACTGGAGTCATAAAGTATACCAGTGTTTCTAGGGCTGTCCCTGCTTGTGTTTTGTCATACAATAATAATGATTAGTATTGTTCCACATTTTGCCCTAAATCTCCCAGTTTTAACTGTAAGCTTATAAAATATATTCTGATCCCATCCTGAATCTTAGACAAATAATCTTCCTGAGATGCTCTTATTTAGAGAGACGGAGAGAGAGGGGGAGAGAGAGCGAGAGTGAGAATGAGGGAGAGAGAGGGAGAGAGAGAGAGAATATAAAGAAATTAAATTCAAATAAAGGAAAGTAATAATAAAACTCAATGCTTTACTAAGATTATTGAATCAGAAATCTTGTTACATCACAACTTTCTAGAAAAAAACTCTGAGAAGGTATTCATTAGAATGGAATAATCAAGGTAACACTTAATATGTAAGTAATTAAAGTAGGTCAAATAACTAGATAACATGATGACAAATCCAGTATTCTTTCTACTAATCTACTGAGTAAATTTGACTGTAATTAAGACATTAAAGACTTACTATTTCTTGTTTATCTGCTTGTTTGAGATGGAGTCTTGCTCTGTTGCCCAGGCTGGAGTGCAGAGGCGTGATCTCGGCTCACTACCACCTCGCCTCCCGGGTTCAAGCGATTCTCCCACCTCTGCCTCCCAAGTAGCTGGGATTACAGGCACCTGTCATCATGCCTGGCTAATGTTTGTATTTTTGTAGAGACAGGGTTTTGCCATATTGGCCAAGCTGGTCTTGAACTCCTGACCTCAAGTGATCAGTCTGCCTCGGCCTCCCAAAGTGCCTGGGATTACAAGCGTGAGCCACCACGCCCAGCCCTTACTATCTCTATTCTATGTTTATTTGTTTATGAATGTGTCTCTAAATCATTTGATCATAAGGTACTCTGAGGTACCTTTTAAGAAAGAAAGAGTGACATCAGCAAGATGGCCAACTAGAATTACCTGTTTCTCATTCTCCCCACAGAAAGGGAGCAGAACAACAAATAAACAACTATATTTAAACTGGAGTGATGGAAGAGCACCAGGGGAGCAGTGAAATCCATGTAGAGCATGGAAGCCCAGGATAGATCCACAGAGAGGAAAACAGCATCCTACCTCTGCCACTGTTTCCCCTGCTATGTTTGGCTTGGAGCCAAGAGGAACTTTTTTATAGAATAAAAAAAAAATAAGCTGGAGGCCCTCAATAGTTTACATTGCTGTTTAAAATGCAAACATTCTTCTACGGGAGGGTTTCTCAGTCCTCACAGCCCTAGAATCCAGCTTGTACAATTAAGAGTCCAAATGACTGCATTTTGTCACAGAGTAGAAACCCTCTTTGCAGTCGCCACCCTGGCAACCTAAGCTTCTTTGGCATGGTGCCCTTTACAAACAAGAGCCGCAGCTGGAGTGCATTTTGCTGAGGTAGCCAGTAGCCACTGAACACCTCCATCTCTGAGGTCCCGTCATCATTCTACTGTGTTCAGAGGGGTGCCTGCAACACCACTACCGAGGCCTCCCAGAGCCTAGCCCCAAAGAACAACTGAGACACTGGCACCCTATCCAAAAGGAAAACAGGTGAACCTGCACAGTGATATCTAACAGCCACCCTGGCCTCCACATGCTTGTTTCTACAGCCAGTCTTATAGATGCCCCGGTGGCAACTCTGCCTCCAAAGACAGAACGACGCATGGCAGCCTGGCTCAAATGTTCTCATGCCTGGCGTAAGAGCTATTCTGGTGGCAGCCCTGCCACCTTAAAGAGACTGCTAGCTCTCATGTCCTCAGAGCAGCAACCAACCTGGTGACCCTACCCCAGCAAAATCATGACACCATGGCCTTATATAAAATGTTTAGAGTACTGCTATAACTGGAAACAGAATAATATATATTATGAAAACACATGAAAGTATAAAACTCATCAGTATAAATTCATAATTATTCTCAGAATGTCCCAGAGCTGAAATGGTGCTCTGTAACACTTTCAAACCTCTAGTATAAAAATTTAACGTCAAAATGGCCCCCCCTCAAAAAAATAGCTACAGTCAGTGACTAAGAAACACACTATAGATGAAAATGTAAATTAGGGCAACAAGAATATAAGTGATCTGCGTGGGAGAAAAGTCTAAAGTATTTTTTTTTGCAACCAAAATTAAGTTGTTTTCAGCTTAGTCTATTAAAACAACAAGACGTTTTGTATTAGCCACATGGTAACCACAAAGAAAATAACAGCAAATATACAAATGAGGAAAAGAAAGCAGTTTAGCACTGCAGGAAACTACAAAATCATAGAGGAAATCTACAAGAGAGGAAGAAAAGAACAAATGATCTACAATCAGAAAACAATTTTTGGAATGTCAGTAGTAAGTCCTTACCTACTAATATAACTTTGAAAATAAGTAAATTAAATTATGTAACGAAAAGATACAGTGTGGGTGAGTGAATTTTTTAAAAAAGACTTAGTTTTATACTGCCCACAAAAAACTCACCTCACTGTAAAAGACAAACATAAACTAAAAGCAAAGAGATGAAAAAAGATATTTCATGCAAGTGAAAACCGAATACAAGCAGTAGCTATAGTTATGTCAGATAAAGAGGACTTTAAGTCAAAAACTGTAAAAAGGGACAAGAAAGGCTATTACATAATGATAAAAGAATCAATTCAACAAGAAGATATAACAATTAAAAAAATATGCACACCAAACCAGAGCACCCACATATATAAAGCAAATTTTACTAGATTTAACATGAGAGTTAGACTGCAAATACAGTAATAGTAGAAACTTTCAACACCTCACTTTCAACAATGGACAGATTATCTAGACAGCAAATCAGTATAAAGGAACATAAAACTGCACCACAGACCAAATGGACCTAACAGATGTGTACAGAACATTTTATCCTATAGCTTCAGGATACACATTCTTCTTAATTGCACACAAAACATTTCCCAGGATAGGTCATATATTAGGTCATAAAACAAATCTTAACAAATTTAAGAAGATACACATCATATCAAATGTCTTTCCAATCACAAAGTATAAAACTAAAAATCAAGAAGAAAATCTTTGGAAACCTTAGAAATACATGAACATTTAACAATATGCTCCTATATAACCAATGGGTTAATGAAAAAATTAAAAATGAAATTTAAAAATTATTTGAGACAAATGAGAATGGAAACACAATATACTAAAACTTATGGGACACAGTAAAATCAGTTCTATGAACAGGAAAGTTCACAGCACTAAATGCCTAGATCAAAAAGAACGATTTCCAATAAATAACTTAACCCTGCACTTCAAGAAACTAGAAAAATGAGAACAAACTAAACCGAATACTGACAGAAGAAAGAAAAAAATCTGAGAGCAGAAATAAGCAAAATAGAGACTAAAAAAAAGATCAACAAAACAAAGTGTTGGTCTTTGAAAAGATAAATAAAATAGACAAAACTTTAGCTAGACTAACATAAAAAGAGAAAAGACTGAAATAACTAAAATTTGAGATGAAAAAGGGATACTATTACTGATATCAAAGAGATACAGAAGATTATAAGAGATTATTATGAATGACAATATGCCAACAAATTTGAAAACAAAGAAAATTGATAAATTTCTGGACACATATAACCTACCAAGATTAAATTATAAGTGAACAGAAATTTCTGATCAAATTAATGAGTATGGAAATTAAATCAGTATTCCATTATAGAAAAGTCCAGGAGCTGATGGCTTTACTGCTGAATTCTACCAAACATTTAAAGGTTAATATCATTTTTTTCTCAAATTATTTCTTTTATATATATATATTTTTTTATTATACTTTAAGTTCTAGGGTACATGTGCACAACGTGCAGATTTGTTAAATATTTATACGTGTGCCATGTTGGTGTGCTGCACCCAATAACTCCTCATTTACATTAGGTATATCTCCTAATGCTATCCTTCCCCCCTCCCCCCACCGCACACAACAGGCCCCGGTGTGTGATGTTCCCCTTCCTGTGTCCCAGACCTAAAACCGTAAAAACCCTAGAAGAAAACCTAGGCAATACCATTCTCAAACTATTTCAAAAAAATTGAAATGAAGGAAATACTTCCAAACTCATTTTATGAAGCCAGCATTTTCCTGATGTGAAAACAAGACAAGGACATGGCTGAAACAGAAAACCACAGACCAACATCCTTGATGAACATAGATGCAAAAATCCTCACATTAGCAGCAAACTGAATTCAACAGCACATTAAAAAGATCATTCACTATGATCAAGTGGGATTCATTTTCATGATGTAAGGATAGGACTTGCACTTTGCACAACCTACACTTTTATTAAAAAAACCTCTCATTAAAAGAAATAAAAATTAAAAACATGATTTTTTCAATAGATACAGAAAATTCATTTGACAAAATCCAATATCCTTTCTTAAAAAATTCTAACAAAATAGGTATACAAGGTGTGTAACTCAGCACCATAAAAGCCGATATATGACAAACCCACAGCTCATAGCATACTGAAAAGCTAAAAGCATTTCTTCTAATATCAGAAACAAGACAAAGGTGTTCATTTTCACCAGTCCTATTGATCATGGTACTGAAAATCTTAGCCAAAGCAAGTAGGCAAGTGAAAGTAATAAAATGCTTCCAAATAAAAAATGCTCAACTTTGCCAGTCATGGGGAAATGCAAGTCAAAACCATAATGAGTTATTACATCACTCCAGTTAGAATGGCTATTATCAAAAATATAAAAGTAAACAAATATTGGTGAGGATGTGGAGAAAGGGGAATATTTACACTCTGTTGGTGGGATTGTAAATTAGTAAAACCATTATGGAAAACAATATGAGGATTCTTCAAAAACTTAAAACTGCTATATCCAGCAATTCCACTACTATATACATATATATATTTCAAAGAAATTAAATCCATGTGTGGAAGGAATAGCTTCCCTCTCATGTTTATTGCAGCATTATTTACAGAAGTGTCCAAAAATGGATGAATGAAATACACTGTGGAATACTATTCAGCCATAAAAAGAAAAAAAATACTATCCTTTATGATAACACAAATACACCTGGAGGACGTCAAGATAAGTGGAATATGCCAAGCAAAGAAATACAAATATCACAGGATCTCATTCATATGTGGAATCTTAAAATAGTTTGTGTATATGTGTGTGTGTGTCTGTGTGTGTCTGTGTGTGTGTGTGAGAGAGAGAGAGAGAGAGAGAGTTGATATCATAGAATCATAGAAGCTGAGAATAGATCAAGCCTTGGAGAGGAAGGGGGTAGAATGGGGAGAGGTTGGTTGGTGGTCAATGGGAAGGAAGTTAAAATCATATAGCAGGAATAAGTTTTAGTGTTCTAACACAGAGAAGGATGAGAATGGTTTATAGTAACGCTTTTTATATTACAAAATAACTAGAAGAAAATCTATTGAATGCTCTTACTACAAAAATATGATAAAAACATGAGCTAATAGATATACTAACTAGGCAGGGCATGGTGGCTCACGTCTGTAATCCCAGCACTTTGGGAGGCCGAGGTGGGTGGATTATGAGGTCAGGAGGTTGAGACCATCCTGGCTAACACGGTGAAACCCCGTCTCTAATAAAAATATAAAAATTTAGCTGGGCGTGGTGGGCGGGCGCCTGTAGTCCCAGCTACTCGGGAGGCTGAGGCAGGAGAATGGTGTGAACCTGGGAGGCGGAGCTTTCAGTGAACTGAGATCGCGCCACTGTTCTCCAGCCTGGGCTACAGAGACAGACTCCGTATCAAAAAAAAAAAAAAAAAAAAAATGCTAAATATGCTGATTTGAGCATTACACAATACATATATGTACCTAAACATCAAATTACACTCTGTATAATGTGTCAATTTAAATACAAGGGGGATAAATTATGTGTGCTGTAACATTACTTAAATTCTATCTAGAAATTTATATATTTTTTCCAGATTTATTTTTAGCACCGTACTTAGTGTTGAAAGCCAGTCACTATAAAGAAAATGTGTTGGAATGCCATTAATGATTTTTACAAATTGTTTAAAAGTGCTAGTGTTCTTTCATTTGCTTCCATGTATGTTTTATATGACTTTTATATATCTATGTCAGTTAATTTTTTTAACTGTTAAAAAATATTAGGTAGGAAAAAAAGGCACACATACACACTCACACACACATAAGTTATGGGATATGTAGTTTATTTTCTTTAGTTATTCTATAAGCTGTTTCTTCAATTACTTTTCTATATCTTATTTATTGGTCTCACTTATTACAATTGTTTTAATAAGGAATAAATAATTATCATAAAAGGCTAATTCCAATTGAATTTTTTTTAAAAAAAGGGCAAGAAAATATGCTTTGTGTATTGTGTACATTTTTATACCTTAGGTTATGAGTCTTGAGAACTTAGGGTAGTAAGTTTTACATTTCTATTCTCCGGTACTTATATACTATTTAATAGAAATGCAAAAAAAAAAAAAAAGTCTGTCATCCTAGTAGCCATATTCACAGAAAAACAAGTATTTGACAAAGTGAACTCCATGGGCTATTTTTTTTCTTTCAAGATTCTCTTTTATCTTTGGGGATTAATTATTTAGGATTTTTCTAGTTTTCGTGTTTATTTGCAGGTGGTTCTAGCATCTTTCCTTTTTTTTCCCTCTGTGAAAACAGGATACATTTGTATGAAGAACCCTGTAATTTTGTGTTTAAGGAAAACTGTGTCTTATTTTGGATATGTTAAAATTCAATCACATGCAAGTATTTTAGCACATCATGTTTTTATTTGTGGTGTGAATTTTTTAAAACCTGCCACAGAGTAACATCTAACGTTTGAGAGTCTGATGTTACAGATTTAAGTTCTTTCATCTGTCACATTGTTAATCCTTGCAGAGTTAAAGCAAAATTAATAGGTTTACAATTCAGCCAAATCCATAAAATCTAATGAACCAAATTTTATAATCTATAAGTTTATAAAAGTGAGTAATTCAATCAAATTGACATGTAATACAAAATAAATGGTTTAGGGTTAATCAGTTGGGCGAAAAGACTTTTTCTGTGTGCATCATGCATCAGAATGATCAGCGAGCACATTTAAAAATTCATGTTACTCAAAAGATCTGGAAGCAGAAACACCATTCGACCTAGCACTCCTATTAATAGGTATATACCCAAAGGAATATAAATCATTCTATTATAAAGATATATACATGCCTATGTTCATTACAGCACTATCCACAATAGCAAAGATATGGAATCAACATAAATATCCATCAATAATAGACTGGGTAAAACAAAATATGTTACATACACACCATGGAATACTATGCAACCATAGAAAGGAATGAGATCATGTCCTTTTCAGGGACGTGGATGGGACTGGAAGACATTATCCTCAGCAAATTACGCAAGGAACAGAAAACCAAACACAGCATGTTCTCATTTATAAGTGGGAGCTGAACAATTAGAACACATGGACACGTTGTGGGGAACAACAAACACTGGGGCCTATCAGCAGCGGTGGGGTGGGGATGGAGGGAAGGAGAGCATCAGGAATAAGAGCTAATGGATATTGGGCTTACTACCTAGACAATGGGTTGATCTGTGCAGCAAACCACCATGGCACACATGTACCTGTGTAACAAACCTGCGCATCCTGAACATGTACCCTGGAACTAAAAATAAAAGTTGATGAAAAATAATTCATATTACTCTAGAATATTGAGGGAGAAGCAATATTTGCTAGGGATTTTTCAGCAACTTCATACAAGAGAATGGCCCAAAGCAACTTATAACTTGCCTCTTCCTTGAAAGGGTGCTGAAATTATCACAGTTTGTCCATGTATTTAAAATGTCATTATTTATAAAGTACATGTGTTCAGATAATTACAAACCCTTTGCCATTTAGGCCAGTTTATATCAATTATTTTGTAATTTGTTTGTACACTATATTGCTCTGAACAGAGCAGTATATATTAATTTATGTAACTCTTGTGAATTTTAGCAGTTTTATATAATCTTATTAACTCTCATTTTTCATTATTGACTTTAAATATAAATCTTTAATATTTTCTATTTCTTTTTAGGGCCTACATAGTGAGGCCACACTTTTTAAGCCACTGTTTATTCTTAATATAATTATTTTCTAAATTTCAATGTTAGTATAATGCCCAATGAAGGCAAAGAACTATTTCTGAAGACTGAGAAAATGCAAGCATAATACTTGCAAATAATTACCTCAGAATATGTTAAAATTCTCAAAAATCAAAAAGGAAGTACAAACATATGAATGGCATTATTTGTTGAAATATGAATTATACATAATCTCTGATAAAGCTTTATATTCTCCAGAAATAACTGGAAGAATACACAGAGAGTCATATACAAGTACGTAATTAAAGCACTGTTTATAACAACTAAACATTTGAAAATATCTTATGGAATTTGTAAGTAATAGTGGGCTGTATTGATATGTTACAGTAAATCTATTCCATAGAATAATATGCAACTTGAAAAAGGATGAGGCAGAGAAATATACAATGATGAGAGAAAGTATCCAAGAGATTGCTAATTAAAAAAATAAGTTTATCTAATATATATTTGTGTGTGTAAATAAGCACACAATTAATGACTAATGATAGTTTTATACATGATTACTCAGAGAGTTAGAAAGAATATGGGTGGAATATTGAGCTTGTAGTTTTTTTCTAATTTGAAACTTTTAATAATACAACATGAATTAATGTGTAACCCAATTATTATAATTTTAAGTAATAATTAGTGGCAATCTAGAAAACTAGAAAATACAGATAAATATAAAAGAAAAATGATAATCGCTCATAATATAATCATCCAGAGATAAGTGTTTTTGACATAACTCTTTGCAGGACTCTCTAGATATATAAATTGATCCATAAGTATATAATTTACATGTATATACATTTTACTGTATTCATATTTTATTGTATTGTTTGAATATTATTAGTTTGCATATTTCAGTATTAATATTTTTTCTTCAAGAGCAATGCCAGAATTATAACCTTTTCTATTTGTTTTGCAAGTTTGAATTACAAAATCATGACCTGATTTTTACATCTACTGCAGAAAATGAGTGCCCTCATCAAAGCCTGTTTACCAAAATGTGTGCATTTTAATTTGTTTCAAATCACTACTTTGATAACATTGAACATTTTATTTTAACTTTGAATTACACCTGGGAATGACTGTTTTGCAGGACATCACTTCTCCACCAAACTCTCCTCCTAACAACTGGTTTCTTTATTAAAAATATTTTTATTCTTATTTAGTCATTCTTTCATTACTTTTCAATGATATCCACAATTTCAAATGTTTGACACAAAGGTAAAGAATAAAATCATATTAGGAGACATACTTGTCACTATAACACAAAACTTCAAATTTTTGTTTCATAACAGTGAGATTAATACATATCAAATAGATATCAGAATCTCTATGCTTAAATAAAGCTTCTGGGTAGAAAATGCTGCAAAACTGAGAAGTCTGTATAAAACTGACATTTCATAAACAATATTTTTATTAAAAACCCCAGAAAGTTTTGCCCCAAAAGACATTAAAATTGTGCAGAAATATGTGATAAAAAATGGGAACAAAAAATAATAAAAGTTGTGCCTGTGGTATATTTTATTTCAACGAAAAACTGTTTTTTCTTTTTTTTTGTCTCAAGCAAAAGTAGATGATCAAAAGAAAGTTCCATGTAAAAAATTATTTAGGATGCTCTTGAACTCAAGTGAAACATGCAGCTCAGTTCATGTTCCTGATCTACTTACACTTCATCAGTTGGCCAAAATACTGAAACAATATTTTAAAAATAAATTCCTTTTTAAAGAATACCATGGAAAGAGAACAAAATGAGCATGACAATTTCCTATAATTTCATTTAAGTATTCACTTCAAGTGTTTCATGTTACCTTCTTTAATTAGTCCTTTCTATAAAGGAAAATCATGCTTTCTTCAATGAAGGACAATGACTCAATTACTCAACAATACCAGGTCATACTCTGTGGGCTCTAAGTAAGAATCAAGCCCCATTCTGCAAGGAATTCAATGTGCCGCTTATCAGTTTATTAATCAGTACGATTTTATATGGTAACCTTTTTTCTCTCTTGGATTATTTGTCAAGTGACTGACCTTGGTTTGCTCTTATTTGGCTTTATCTGACGTGGAGTTGATAAGTTTATCTTTTTCATTTAGGATGCCTAAAAGTAAATTTGAACAATAACTTTATGCTTCTGATCCAACACCTTAATTTATAAACATTTAATCATTAACAATACTGAATTTGTAAATTTTACATAATCTATCTTGTATCACACCACATATTTTTAGGAAACAGTTGAGATTCAATCATGCTTCAAAGATACAGGATACTTAGTTAAAAACCCTATCTCCGTATTTTTAGACAATATAAAGATTTTGTTGTATACGTAACAGAAAAATATATTTCTGCCATTGATTATTTAACACTTGAATTTTAATTTATGTTGTGAGTCATAAAAATTATATTTGATATTTTTAATATGTAAAATATTACTCAACATGTAAAATACAATAATTATACATATTTAAAGCAGATTACAAATATATTTTTTCAGTCCTTGCCCAAGTAACTATTGAATTCTGATTTGAAAACCTGTAATCTATGTTATTTCTTCTTTACACATATCTACATTTAAAAATCCTATGAAGATTTATTATAGTTTTTATTGCTATTATTTTATCATTATTTAGCTTTTCCTTTAAGCAGCATTATATTTCCTCTTGAAGTAAATATTTGTATTTTATCTTCCCATGAAATTTATTCATTTTATAATGATATCAAAACCTAATTTGATAAATAACACTATTATATCTGTTTTGGTAAAAGTATAATAGAATGAATAATCAATTTCTAAGTAATTGCATTGTGCCTCCTTTTGCTTGAAGACAGTGCAAATAAAAATGTATTTTGTGGAACTCTGCTCTCTGCAGATGCTCCAAAAACATGAGAGGAGAGGGACAGAGCCAGGAAAAAAATGGGAAGGAGGCAAAGAGTAAGGAACAGAGAGTTAAGTTTTATTATCAAATAATTTGAAAATTATGCATAAGGTCTTATTTTCAATCTCTTAATTTGCCTTAAATTTAAGGGCTTTAAACAATCTAAAACAACTGTGGTAATCTACAATATTCTTCTATAGATTGCTATAATTCTTTTATATTGCTCAGACATATTATTCCAAATTTATTTGGCTATTGAGCAGAGCCAGAATTAAAGGGATAATCCAATGTAAAGATTGACTTTGAATAATAACACAAATTAGGTTTGTACTTTTTTTTGTTTGTTCATTTGTTTTTTCCCCTCTGTTCATCGAAAGCCAGGAATTAGCCCATGAAAAGCTGATAAACAAAGCTGAAACTAGGGGAAGGCTACTAATATATTTCAAAGCACAGATATTGAGACTGGGCGGTGGATGATATCCTTATATCCTCACTGGCATAGGAGGCTACACAATGGAGACTCAGTACACATAGCAGAGAAACAGTAGCTCAAGTGTTCCTATGATAACATGGGAAGTACATGTTCCTAAATGATTTATGGGTTTGGGTGAAATGGTTTCAAAACATAATGTCAGTTGTTGGAATGGGTTGTTTCTAGAATAAAAAAAAAAAAAAAAAAAAGATGAGCTCACAAAATTACTGGCCAGATTGGCAAGATAATTGATTAAGAAAAAAAAACACACACATGCCAGAAATTTCAAGGCAGGTATATTTGGGGAATAAAATGTTTTCTTAATAATCCAGTGATGCCTTTATTAAGACCTAACTGCAGACCACACACAAATAAAGATTTGTTAAAATTTGAGAAAGAATTGGTGACTACTGCTAAATCCTTTTAGGTGCAGAAAATGTACCTAGAAAGGAAACTAATGGTGTGGTCATATGGTCACCTGACAAGATCAAAATTAAGTCTAATTACACGGGCATGGGTAGTGAAACAATTTTCCATAAAAAACCTGAAGATACTAATGCACTGTATCTTTCACACAGTATTACTGAGTAGTAAGAGAATTTCAACATAATCCATTATACAAGTGTTTTCTTTCTTTTACTCTGATGCATTTTAGCTATTTCTCTCTTAGATAAACTGAAGATTCTTTAAATGGATTTAAATGTGAATGTTACATTATTATACTTCTTCTTTGCCGCCCTGCTTTTTAAGCCATGATCTGATCTTCTCATCTCTTTATCTGAAAACAACTTCACTTTCTCAGTTGTTGGAAATATTCAGCCATTATTTCTTTCAAATTTTTTTTCTTCTTTTCCCTCTATTTCCTCGGTGCTTCAATTAGAAAGAATTTTGTTAATTCTGGATCTATAACCCTTGTGTCACTTCTTTCTTAATTTCCCCATCATTGCTTTTTCTACTGGACCTTTCATCTCATTAACGTTGCTTCAGTTTTGTGCAGACTATAATTGGAGGCTCTGTTGTATGTATTTTATTTTAACAATCAAATTTTGCTTCATTATCCAAGCCTCTAAATTGGTATGAACATTGCTTCATAATACATCACATGTGGGCAATATAAAATGATGATTTAAAATCTAGGAAAAATCATTTGATATATATTAGTGCTTCATTTCATTTTGCACATACAGATTCAGAAATCATTGACACATTTAATACTAAGCTAATTAGTTAATATAAATAATATTTGCTTCTGGTGATTTTAATGACTAATATGTTTAGTTAAATCAATTAAGTGTATTTCTATTTTCATCTTAATTCTTATTCAAATAAATAGCAATTAATTTTTCAATTTTGTTAGATTTCAGCGATTTATATATCAGATTCATGTTGTTAAACCTCACTAGATTTTTTGATCATTTCTTTCTATAACAGTGGCTGTTCTTTATTTATGTGACAATGAAAAAAAAGCATACCTTCACACTTTAAGGGACTGAAGAAAACACTGGTGGATATTTGGCAGAACTTCTGGTTTTCTGTTTCCATAGCACTGCAATGCGAAGGTAGCTGTGCTAGCATTTAACTATAGACAGCATAAGGGAGTGTGTTAGAAATGTATAATTTCAGGCCCCACTTCATATGTAGTGATTCAGAGTCTTTTTACCATGATTCATATATACGATGAAGTCTGAGAAGCTAGGGAATTTCCAAATGATTTTTCACCCTTGATCAAAGTGATTCTGAGATGGAAACACTTGGTATACATGCTTCATTTTTTCTTCAGAGGTATATTAATTTTCTAATGCCAAAACGCTCCATAGTTCAGTGGCTTAAAACAGTAATCATTTACCATCTCATGAGTCTGCAGATCACCTGTGTAGTTCTGATCTGGCTGGACTCATTCAGGCTCTCCAGTCCTGGCTTGCCTGGTCTAGGGTGGCTTGTGATGACTCTGTTTCCCACAGCCAGGATGACTGGGGCTTCCTCCACATGCTCCCTTATCCCTCAGCATACTGCCCAGGCTTCTTCACATAGTGATAGCTAAAGTGCATTCAAGTGCCGCAAGGAAAGCAAGCCTCACTATGCAAACGTTATTCAAGCTTCCACTTGTATCAGATGTGCTGCTATCTCCCTGTCCAAACTCAGATTCAATGTGAGAATATAGATGGATATCAGAAAGCACGACATCACTGGCCCATTCTACAACATTCCACTATAATGATGTCATTAATGGATAATAACAGAATCCAAATAAATAAATTATGGGAAGAAAATGCCTTGCAACCAAACTTCCCTGTAATCTCTAAAAGTTGTCTCTTTGTTGCTCAGAAAATTAGGGAAAACTAAGCTACCTCATCATATTCACAGCACCTTGATGCTGCTGTTTATCTCACCTTTATGCTGTGAAATTCTTGGGATGATATGACCCTAGGGCTAGAATCCAATAAAAGTGTAAGTGGAAATGTTGTCTTTTTCATTACCTTAACACCTATTTACAGCTTGTCAGCAGCAACCGTGTTGCTGTCTGAATGGAGACTGCATTGCTCACACTGAGTCCTATCACAGGCCAGCTCTGCTTTCTTGGAGCTGCTTGTTATCAACTTTCATATGTGAAAAAAATCTATGAAAATGATAAATATTATAACTTCTACTTCATAAATTAACCACATAGCTGGTTGTCAAACACAAGGGCAGCTTGTGTCTGAGTAAGAAGAGATATTAACAAATACAGGAGATTCAAAATCTATAGGCACAAAATGATCATTGCTATTATAAATAATCAGACTCTAATTTGTTTTTACTTTGGTTTCTATTCAATCTATTGAAAATTAAAAATACACACACACACACACACACACACACACACACCCCTTCTTTGTTGTCCTCATGGCCATATCAGAAACTACATATATGGGAAAGAATAGAGTAACAGAGCAAAAACATAGATCCAGTTAGTTCCAGTTCTGAGATGCACATGACTGCTTCCCTGGGCCTACCAGGTCGTAATTATGAACTGGCACAATGCCTGTTTATGCCATCTGCTGTTTCCAAGACTGCTGCCTTATCTATTGCAGAGTATCCATAAGCAAACGAGGCTCAGCATTGTCTCCTCTGCATACAGAAGACTTCTCAGCTTAGGAACAGGTCAAGGAGAGATCCACTAGCATTTACCTAAAAGGCCATCTGTTATAGAGAGAAGCTGAGTCCACTATCAAAACAAGAGAGGAAATAATAATTCCTTTTACATCATTAGGGGTTTTCAAGGTCTTTTATGACCTCTGAGGGCAAGTAACCATTTTGTCATCCTTCTGGTCACTTTCTTCCTCTTTTTAAACAGAGCCAAATGGAGCAGCAGTTGTCAAGCTTTCTATCTTTCTCTGTTAAAAATGAATAAAAACTACATTTAATAAGACCTTATACTTCTCTTTAATTAGCACAACTAAAGTATCATATTTAAACAAGATTGCAAAAGATAAACATCTTAATATAATACTCCATGCTTTTTTGACACTCTTTTCATACTGTATTAGTAAATCTCTAAAATAGAAACTTTACTCCATTTCAATATTTAATGTTCATGTATGTGTGTGTATGTGATTTTACTTTTCCTTAATCGACAGGCATTTGGAAACAGGTTGTCTGGTAAAAGGTTACAATGAACTGGAAGTAGCCTAGTTAGCTTGAGTATACCAAACAGCCACTCTTCAAATGTTTAAATATGAAGATGCAAAGTAAATGAGTTAGAAGGTAATAAAACATCAACATATAAACTCAATTTTTATCAGTGTTTACTTTTCTCTGTTTTCAACTTTCGAATTTTTTAGATGAGTAGTTCTCAGTTGTGAGCTAGTTAAAATGTCATGCATTATTTTAGTTGTGGGGATAACACAGTGAACAAGACAAAGTTCTTGCCATCATGAAGGTTTATGCTAATAAGGACACAACCAGATTTTCTAAATCAGTGGTTTGAGAAAGGCACTATGAGAAATTCACTGTATGTACTATTTTTCTTTTATTAACTCTAAAGGAAATTATTTTATTGCAGTTTCAGCTATGGATTGTTACTCAGAAAAGAATGCTAAAAAGATATTTAATAATAGAAACTGCAAATAGAAATAAATAACAAAACATTTTAATCTAAGGATGTCTAACAGTGAAATAGTAATTGTCTGGAAAGCAGAGTGCTCCAAAGTCAAATGGAAAAAAACTACAATATAATACAGTAGTATCACCCCTTTGCCAACAAGTATCTGCTCATGGCACTTATCTTTGTTTAAATAAAATTTTCTTTTTTATGTTAATAAAGTGGAAATTCTCTCATTTCCCTTGCATTCAGTATACATCTTTTACTTCTAATATTGTTTTTTAAAAAAAACAAGTTTTGACTGTAATCTCATATCATCCAGAGTTATGTCTCTGTTAGAAGCTGCTTGGAAATTAAAATTACATTTAAAATAACAAGGAATAATGACAATTATCTTATTGGTTTGCTTCTTTAATCACTTTTAACAGCCATTTGATTTCTTAGAATAACAATACTAAACTAACATTAACTAATACTAATATTAGTTAGTTAACTAACACTAAATTTAGTTACTAGGAATTTTGACTTCCTGAATAAAGAATAGAGTAGAAAAAATATAGTGCAAAGTGAAAATATATGCAAACGTGGGTCAGATGCCTCATATCGCCTAGAATTACTATCATTTAATTTTGATTAGGCTTGATTACACAAGCCTATATCTAGAACAACTACTTATATCAGAAAATCTCCTATTAAAGTAATTAGCATATTAGAATGCTATATTTTAAGATATTGTTTATGTACAAAAGGTCATCTTTATTAGCATCAAGGAAAAAATTTTTGTCTGAGCCAAGTGCAGATAAGAGTGTTTTTTTTTCCAAGATACGAGTTTGTCTTTGCACTCTGCATATTAGGAATGCTTTTATTGGCCAGATATGTTCTTTTTAGTTTTACAAACTTATTTTCAGTGTTGCTTAACATTAGATCAGCACTCAACTTTATCAATATGAGAAGATAGATTTCAGTAAAAATGTGAAATTCTAATTTTGGAGATGACTCTCAGGAAATATAATAGACTCTAATTTCTATCACAAAGGTAGCAATAATATATAGTTGTAAGTTTTTTAAAGAATATCTCTGGATTGATGTTATTCTGACATTTGATTTTTCTTTTTTTCATAACTTAAATTATATATAGTATATGTCTATAAAGAATACACAGTATATGTATACATGTTTATGTATAGTATACGTATACTTTACTATTACTTTAAACTCTTTTTAAAATTGTTTAGCATGTTATTTAATTAAGATTAAATTAGAATATGAGCATAGGAAACAACAACAACGTAGGTCCAAACAGCGGTAGATTAAGAAAATAATGGTTTATATTTCTGTTGAATGAACACAGGCGTGCCTTCCAGGCTGGTATGGGGCTGTGCAGGTTTACAGACTCAATCTCCTTCTAATTTGTCACTCTGTCAACTCACAAGGACTCTGAAAATTTTAGTTTTACTTTACGAAGGGATGAGTTCAGCTAACATTGGAGTGTTCTAATACAGAGGAAATAACAGAAGAACTGACACTGAAGTTCAAACATCATTGCCTATTCATTGTCCTTGGCCACTCAAATATTCAAATGCACTGTCTCCCCCCATTTCCCTGAGTCTCAGAGTCCCATCTAGAACTTATAACTGAGTTATATTCCAGATTATCAAGATGATGTCTAGTCCTCTCCCTGAGGCCTAGATATACAAGGAAGATTACCTGTGTGAGCAACTGTACATCAATATCACTGAGAATTTCTGGGAACAGTATACAACATGGCTTAGACTTGAGTTTGAGAATGAGAAAGCTGGATTACTTATCCTTCAGTTTCCGTCTGCCATTTGGTTGAGGGCTATCTGAAGGGACATTAACTCTGTGACATTTCTGGACCATCCCTTGTGGCTGACAGAATGCATGCATGAAGGAGAATGACAGAGGTTAACAGTGGGACATAAGGGGTAAGTATTGAAATGGGGTATGCTGAGAACATATAGGTTTGACACTAAGAGGGCATATTACAGAAAGAGCGAGCATGAGGAGGGGCTAGAGGAGGAAACAAGAGTACTAGATAGAGTACTCCATTTTGGCTTAAAAGAATATTTTTTAAGTAGGTTATATACAAACTAAAATGATGTCTTGAATAGTTCTCTCTCTAAATTGACTGTTGATCCTAACTCTGCTTTCCCCCCTCACTTTGTTCTGTCTCCTGTCATCTAAAAAGCAGAACATTTTTGCCCAATACCATGGCAGTTCAAACATAGGCACACTGGGCATCCACCAAATAACACTGAGTGAGAAAATGTTACTGTGTATATAATCTACAAAATGTAATGTATTTAATATTCTGTGATATTTTCTCTGTCATTCATCACTCTAATATGAGAAATCCTATGATTTCAATGAAGTGTTATAACATTACCCCTTCTGCTTACATACTGCCCCTGGGAAAGAGTAAACACTTATTATCTATTCCCTAGAAATGTTCAATAAGCCTCATTTAATCCCACTGATCCCATTATGCTCCCTCAGTTGTCCGTTATTTAATTTTAACCTGTAAGACCTACATAAAATAATAAATGACAAAAATTCCATAGCTTTGCAGACAAGAAATGTTGATCCCAATTCCTTTATGACTATTCAAGCAATACTTTCTGCAGAGAATTTGATGAATTATCCTCACCTCGCATTATTATCTAATTTACTAGACTTCCTTATACCCTTTTGGTGCCTGTCTCCTGTGGTACCCTATTACTGTTTCCCTATATAAGAAATGATGATATAAATAATAATTGCCACTTGGGGTTATGATAAGATTGAAATAGGATAATCTGCAAATATTCTTAAAATCTACCTGACACATACTAATGACTCAATATTTTACATCATCATCAATATTATAGCTCTTTAAAAGTAGAGTTGTTATTTTATATTTGTTTGCATGATACTTAATACATAGCTCAGTTCATGTTCATCAAATCAAATATTGTGCATTAAGATTGTTAAGCTTTCCAAATTTCCAGAAGAGAATCAGCAACACCAGATTGAACAACTACCCATACAAAAAAGCAGCTTCATAAGAATCAAAAATTAGGTAAGCAATCACAGTACCTGGTTTTAACATCATATTAAGGAAAGAGGTACTGAAGAAGGTAGGAAAGACAATCCTGAATTGCCAATGCAGCCCTTCTCCTATCTCCTGGAACTGTCAGCATGGAGTGGCGAGAGAATCTGTGTGCCTGAGCAAGAGAAAGCACAGTGACTGTGGCACTTTGCATTAGAACTCAGTGCTGTTCTCTCACAAGGAAAGTAACATGGGACAGAGCTCAGCTGGCACCCAAAGAGGGAACTTTAAGACTAGCCATAGCCAAAGGGAAATTATCTAGCTTCATGGTCAGAACTTGAGTTTTGGCTAGCCCCACAACAGCAGGTTAAAGGGCTCTGGGGTCCTAAATTAACCTGAAAGGCAGTCTAGGCCACAAGTCTGAAATTCTCAGGCAAGTCTTGGTGCTATGGTGGTATCAGAACCAGGAGACTTGGGGTTCATAAAACACAGTGAGATAAAAAGTAGGAAAACTTCAAATAAATAATCTAATAATACTTTTTAAAGGATGAGAAAGACAAGAGCAAACCAAACCCAAAGTTAGTAGAAGAAAATAAATAATAAAGATTAGAGTAGAAATAAATGAAAATGAAACAAAAAATACAACAGATCAACAAAACAAAAAGTTATTTACTTGAAAGATAAAGGAAATCAACAAATCTTTAGCCAGACTAAAAAAGACCCAAATAAATAAAACCATAGTTAAAAACGGAGATATTACAATCAATACTTCAGAAATTAAAAAGATTATTAGACACTACCATAAGAAACTATATACGAATAATTGGATAGTCCTAGACACATAAAACATACTAAGATTGAACTGTAAAGCAGTTCAAAACCCGAATAGACTAATGACAAGGAATGAGATGGAAGCCATAATAAAAAGTCTTCCAGCAGAGGAAAACCTGGGACACAACGGCTTCACTGCTGCATTTTACCAAACATTTAAAAAAGAACTAATATCAATCCTACTTAAAATATTCCAAAATCAATAAATAAAGGAAAATGAAATACTTCCAGGTTCATTCTATGAGACTAGTATTATCCTGATACCAAAACCAGACAAAGACATATGAAAAAAGAAAACTACGGCCTGGCGCGGTGGCTCACGCCTGTAATGCCAGCACTTTGCGAGGCCGAGGTGGGCGGATCACGAGGTCAGGAGATCTAGACCATACGGGCTAACACGGTGAAACCCCGTCTCTACTAAAAAATAAAAAATTACCAGGGCGTCGTGGCAGCACCTGTAGTCCCAGCTACTCAGGAGGCTGAGGCAGGAGAATGGCGTGAGCCCAGGAGGCGGAGCTTGCAGTGAGCCAAGATGGCGCCACTGCGCTCCAGCCTGGGTGACAGAGCGAGACTCCGTCTCAAAAAAAAAAAAAGAAAGAAAGAAAAAGAAAACTACTAGCTGCTCTCTCTGATTAACATTGGTACAAAAATCCTCAACACAATATCAGCAAAGGAATCCAACAGTGCATTAAAAACATTATTCATTATGACCAATTGATATTTATCCCAGTGATGCAAGAATAGTTTATCATACACAAATCAATAAGTGTAATAAATTATATCAACAAAATAAAGGATAAAAGCTATATGATCATTTCAATTGATGCTGAAAAAGCCTTTGTTAAAATTCATTATTCCTTCATAATAAAAACCTACAAAAAACGATATAGAAGGGACATATCTAAATGCAATAAAAGTCATATATGACAGAAACACAGCTGGTGTCATATTGAATGAGAAGAAACTGAGAACCTTTTCTCTAATATCTGGAACAAGACAGGCATGCCAGCTTTGGCCACTTTCAAATATAGTATTGAAATTACTAGCTAGACCCATCAGACAAAACAAATAAAGGACATACAAAAAGACAAGGAAGAAGTCAAATGAGTCCTGTTTACAGATCATATAATCTTACATTTGGAAAAACCTGAAGAATACAAAAAAACCTACTAGAACTAATAAGCAAATTCAGTGAAGTTACAAAATTCAAAATCAACATACAAAAATCAGTAGCATTTCTATGTGCCAACAGTGAACAATCTGTAAGGAAGTAGAGAAAGTAATCTCATTTACAATGGCTACAAATTAAAGATACCTAGGAATTAACTTAACCAAAGAAAGGAAAGATCCCTACAATGAAAACTATAGCACATTGATGCAAGAAATTGAAGAGGACACAAACTAATGGAAAAGTGTTTCATGTTTGTGAATTGGAAGAATTAATATTGTTAAAATGTCCATACTACCCAAAGTAATCTATAGATTCAATGTAATCCCTATAAAAATACCAATGTCATTGTTCAAAGAAATATAAAATATAATCTGATACGGGTTGGCTCTGTGTCCCCACCCAAATCTCATCTTAAATTGTACTCCCATATTTCCCACATGTCGTGGGAGGGACCTGGTGGGAGATAATTTGAATCATTGGGGAAGTTTCCTCCACACTGTTCTCGTGGTAGTGAATAAATCTCACGATATTTGATGGTTTTATCAAGAGTTTCCACTTTTGCATCTTCCATATTTTCTCTTGCCGTTGCCATGTAAGAAGTGCCTTTCCCCTCTTGCCATGATTCTGAGGCCGCCCCAAACATACAAAACTGTTAAGTCCAATTAAACATCTTTTTCTTCTCAATCTCGGTTATGTCTTTATCAGTAGCATGGAAATTGACTAATACAGTAAATTAGTACTAGTATTGGTGTGTTGTTGAAAAGATACACAAAAATGTGGAAGTGACTTTGGAACTGGTAACAGGCAGAGGTTGGAACAGTTCAGAGGGCTCAGAAGAAGACAGGAAAATGTGGGAAAGTTTGGTATTTCCTAGTGGCTTATTGAATGGCTTCGACAAAAATGATAATAGTGACATGAAAAATAAAGTCCAGACTAAGGTGGTCTCAGATGGAGAAGAGTAACTTGTTGGGAACTGGAGCAAAGGTGACTCTTGTTATGTTTTAGTAAAGAGACTGGCATCATTTTGCCTCAGCCCTAGAGATTTGTGGAACTTTGAACTTGAGAGAGATGAATTAGGGTATCTGGCAGAAGAAATTTCTGAGCAGCAAAGCATTCAAAATGTGACCTGGGTACTGTTAAATGTATTCCACTGTAATAGGGAAATGGAACATAAAAATTCAGAAAACTTGCAGCCTGACAATGCAGTAGAAAAGAAAAACACATTTTTAAAGGAGAAATTCAAGCTGGCAGCGGAAATTTGTATAAGTAACAAAGAGCCAAATGTTAATCCCAAAGACATTGGGGAAAATGTCTCCTAGGCATGTCGTAGGTTTTCATGGCAGACCCTCCCATCACAGACCCAAAAGCCCAGGAGGAAAAAATGGTTTCGTGGGTTGAGCCCAGGGTCCTCATCCTGTGTGCAGCCTAGGGACTTGGTGCCCAGTGTCCCAGCCTCTCCAGCCATTACTAAAAGGGGCCAAGGTACAGTTTGGTGCATGGTTTCAGAGGGTGCAAACCCCAAACCTTGGCAGCTTCCACGTATGTTGAGCTGCGGGTGCACAGAAGTCATGAATTGAGGTTTGGGAATCTCCACCTAGATTTCAGAAGCTCTACGGAAATGCCTGGATGCCCAGGCAAAAGTTTGCTGCTGGGGCAGGGCCCTCATTAAGAACCTCTTCTTGGGCAGTGCAGAAGGGAAATGTGGGGTCAGAGACCCCACACAGAGTCCCTACTGGGGCACTGCTTAGTGCAGCTGTAAGAAGACAGCCACCGTCCTCCAGACCCCAGAATGGTAGATCCACTGGCAGTTTGAACTGTGCGCTTGCAAAAGCCACAGGGAGTCTATGTCAGCCTGTGAAAGCAGCCAGGTGCAGGGCTATACCCGTCAAAGCCAAAGAGGCAGAGCTGCCCAAGGCTATGGGAACCTACCTCTTTTATCAGCATGACCTGGATGTGAAACATGGAGTCAAAGGAAATCATTTTGGAGCTTAGAATTTGACTGCCGTGCTGGATTTCGGACTTGTATGGGTCTTGTACCCTCTTTGTTTTGGCCAATTTTTCCCATTTGTAGTGATTGTATTTACCCAATACCTGTACCTCCCTTGTATCTAGGAAGTAACTAGCTTGCTTTTGATTTTACAGGCTCATAGGCAGAAGGGACTTGCCTTGTCTCAGATGAGACTTTGGACTGTGGATTTTTGGGTAAGTGCTGAAATGAGTTAAGGCTTTGGGGGACAGTTGGGAAGGCACAGTTGGTTTTGAAATGTGAGTACATGGAATTTGGAGGGCCCAAGGGTGGATGATATGGTTTGGCTCTGTGTCTCCATCCAAATCTTATCTTGAATTGTACTCCCATATTTCCCACATGTTGTGGGAGAGACCCTGTGGGATATAATTTAAATTATGGGACAGTTTTCCCCATACTGTTCTTGTGGAAGTGAATAAGTCTCATGAGATCTGATGGTTTTATCAGGGGTTTCCACTTTTGCATCTTTCTCATTTTCTCTTGCTGCCACCATGTAAGACGTGCCTTTCACCTCTTGCCGTGATTTTGAGGCCTCCCCAGACACGTGGAATGTAACTCCAATTAAACCTCTTTTTTTTCCAAAAGAAATTCAAGCTGTCTTTAGGATTAACATTTGGCTCCTTGTTACTTATACAGATTTCTGCCACCAGCTTGAATTTCTTTGGTATGTCTTTATCTGTAGTGTGAAAACACAATAATACATAATCCTGAAATTTATGAAATTTTAATTTATATGGAACTAAAAGCTATTCTGAGTGAAAAAAATAAAAAAAGAGGAATCACATTACCAGACTTCAAGTTATACTGCAGAGCTATAGTAAACCAAACATCATGGTACTGGCAGAAAAACAGACCCATAGACCAATGGAACAGAATAGAGAACCAAGAAATAAATCCATACATCTAGAATAAACTCATTTACAATAATGGTGCCAAGAACATACATTGGGGAAAGGACAGTCCCTTCAATAAATGGTACTGGGAAACTGGACATCCATATACAAAAGAATAAAACTAGACTCCTATCTCTCACTGTATGCAAAAATCAAGACAAAGTGCATTGAAAAGTTAAATCTAAGACCTCAAACTATGAAACTATTACAATAAAACACTGGGGAAACTCTCTAAGACTTTATTCTAGGCAAAGATTTTTTGAGTAATGCCCCAGACTCATAGGAAACCAAACCAAAAATGGACACATAAAAAGCTTCAGTACGTGAAAGGAAATAATCAACAAAGTGAAGAGACAACCCATGGAATGTGAGAAAATATTTACAGACTATTCATGTTACAAGGCATTAATAACCAGAACATATATATATACACACACACATATATATACACATATATATACATATATACACATATATACACATATATATACATATATACACATACATATACATATATACACATATATATACATACATATGATCAAACAACTCTATAAAAAATCTAAGATTCTAATTCAAAAATTGGCAAATATCTGAGTATACACTTCTCAAAAGAAGACATAGAAATGGTAAACAGATAAATAAGAAGGTGTTCAACATAACTGATCATCAGAGAAATGCAAATGAAAACCAAAATGAGATATTATCTCACTCCAGTTAAAATCACTTTTATCAAAAAGACAGCCAATAACAAATGCTGACAAGGATGTGGAGAACCCTCATACACTGTTGGTGGAAATGTAAATTAGTGTAAGCACTAGGCAGAACAATTTGAAGTTGCTCAAAAAACTCAAAACACAGCTACCGTATGATCAAGCAAATCCACTCCTAGTTATACACCTAAAAGAAAGGAAATCAGTATATTGAAGAGATATCTGCACTCCAATGTTTATTGCAGCACTATTCGAATAGTCAAGATTTGGAAGCAACTTAACTGCCTATGAATAAATAAAATGTGGTACATATTTACAATGGAGTACTATTCAGCCATAGAAAAGAATGAGGTTCTGTCATTTACAACAATATGGATGGAACTAGAGAATATTATATTTAGTGAAATAAGCCAGGCACAGAAAGACAAACATTGTATGTTCTTACTTATTTGTGGGAGATAAAAATTAAAACAATTGAACTCATGGAAACAGATTGAAAAATAATGGTTGCCAAAGGCTGGGAAGGGTAGTTTGGGAGGTGAGTGGGGATTGTTAATGGGTACAAAAATACAATTAAATAGAATAAATTACATCCCATATTTAATAGCATAACAAGGTGACTACAGTCAACAATAATTGACTGTACATTTCAAAATAACTAAAAGAAAATAACTGGAACATTTGTAACAGAAGGAAATTATAAGTGCTTGAGGTGATAGAAACCCCATTTACCCTGAAGCGATTGTTATCTATTGTATGCTTGTATCAAAATATCTTATGTATCCCACAAATATATACACTTAGTATGTACCCATAACAATTTTTTAAAAAAGTAAAATTGAATATAAAATATTACTCCTTGTGTTGGTGCCACTTTGAAAACTTATAACAGTATTTTTAGTAGAAATCATAATTGATCTGAAATGAATTCTAACAAACATTTCTGTCAGCCCCAAATTTGCTATTATTTTTTATATTTTCATATAAACCTTTCTTCACTCTACTTACCTCCATTTAGTGCCATATTTCAAATATCTATAACATCAGCATGAAAACATTTTTCTTGATTCCTGGGATACCATATGAGAAATCATATTCCATATAGCTAACTTAATGCTGTTCTTCTGCTCTAGCTTATTACATATCACTCTCATATCTCTCATATTTATGTTAAACTTTTTCAGTTTATTTTTAAATTAATGGTTCATGTTTATATAAGACAATTGCAAATCTGAATTGAGAAACTCATCATTGAGACGTCATAATTTAGTGTATGCACAAGACATACTTGTATGAAGAGGTAGATATACAGTAACCAAAATAAAGTTCTCAAAAGAACTCATAAAGGCCTAGTACTTATAGACAATCAATAGTTTTTTTGACAAAATAAATACAGCTGTAGGTCATGTATTTGTCCAATATTCATTCTTTATGCATTTATTGGTTACTTATTATACTTTTTATTATAGATTAAAGTAATTATAATTTTGTCTTTACTGTACTATACTTCACAATATGTGTGTGTGTGTGTGTGTGTGTATACACATATATTTTAATTAACTTGTATCATTACTTTTTTTTAATATTCTCCTCTAAACTGTATAGGATGAAATCCCAGAATGCTGAAAGCCTGGTGTAGGAACTTCGTTTCCCAGAGAACCTTGCCAAAAGAATTCTGGTTTAATTAGAGTTTTCTTTGAGCTAGATTAGAAATTTAAATTTTAGTCTCAGTGAAAGGAGAAACCATTGTATAGTTTTAATTAGTGATACAATATAATAAAATGTACATTTTCCAAAGTATTGCTGGCTGCTAATGAGAAATGATTTTACATAGTAAGTGTAGAAGCAAAGAGAGCTATTAGAAAGTTCTTGTAGTAGTTGAGGTAAGATAGAATGTTGGCTTGGTCTATTACAGTAGAAGTAAATACAGAGAGAAATTATGTGCTTTGATTTATATTTTGGGCTAACGCAACTAGTGTACAACCATAAAATATCACTGGCTTAACACCAGAAATATTTTTTCACATAATAGGCCAACAGGCATCGTCTAAGCTAGAAGACACAGTTTCACACAATCATTAAGAGCCTGTCTGGAATAGGACTCTACGGTCTTCCAAAACCTTGTCTTCTTGAGTAAGCAGAGTATGGGAAAAGAAAGCCTGAAGAATCACCATTGCAAGTTGCCTTTAAAAAAAAAATGGGCCTTGCTGGGAACTAATTTATTTTTATTTCTGCTTCCTTCCATTGCTCAGAATTTAGTCACATGGCCTCAGCTACCAGCAGAGAAGGCACAGAAAATGTAATTTATCCGAATGCCCAGGAGAAAATGGAATTGGGTGGTTCAAAAATTTTAGCCTTTGTCATAAGAAGAGAATAAAATACACTGAGCTTTGCATATATTGAGTAGTTTATGTAAAATTATCTACTAGTCAGTTTGATAATGGCTAGAGGGTCTTTATTAATCCATAGAGAAACTTGGGTTCCACTTAGAGTTTGAGAAAATTTGGAAAAAAATACTTTATGAACAAGATAGAAATAAAGGTAGATTTATTTAAACCTAGGAAGACTTTAAAGTTTATAAAGTTTATAGTTTTGAAGGTCAAGATATTCCACAGAATATAAAATTGTCAAAAGTGAATATAAAATGGCTGTAAGTGCAGATTGTATTTAAGTAATAATGACTTTATCATTTTGATAAGTAATACAATATGAGATGAATTTGGAAGGCCCAACTTTAAAAATAGTTTGCATCACATTATAGGTTCCTTGAATGCCAAATTGAGGAGTATAATCTTTCTCATAAGCAATTGGAATATATTGACAGCCTTAGTGAAGCAGTATGACAAGATGACAATGTTTTGAGTAGGTTACTATGGAAACATGGGGCAGAATTTATTGAAGTCAAAAGTCTGCTTTCAGAGAGCCATTTAAATATAATAAATGAAATAAATGATAACGTACTTTTAGACAGTAAGGAGCACTTATGAGAAACATGAAGGCAATACAAAGAGAACGATTGGTGGAAAGAAATGACTCTAAGTAGGAGAACCTGGATAAGAAAAAAATAAAAAATAATAATTAACTTCCAATGTAATCAAGACCAGTGTCAGAAAATGGTAAGTTATAAGGTCAAGTTATATGGGCATATCAAAGTTAAAATAGTAGATCTCCAAAAAGTTATCTTCAATGATTTCTGGGAGGTGGGCAGAATACAAATGTATTCCAAATTTCTAAAGTAATTTATCAAAAATTAGGTAGATTATAAAGTTATATATCTATATATAACTTTAATAAATATGTATATCATATATCTATCAAAGTGCCTTATGGAAAATATATATATCATATATATCAACATATATATAATATATATCAACATATATATCATATGATATAGATATATACACACACACATATATGTATCTCAAAGTGCCCCATTATGGAAAAACTATATATATATTTTATATATATATATATTTTATATATATATATATATATCCTATATATCTCTCTGTCTATATATATGTATATCAAAGTGCCCTACTATGGAAAAACTATCCTTGGGTCTTTGAGAAATATTTGCATAACCTTTTAATTGCACAGAAATAAAGTGCTCAACATAACTGATCATTCTCAACATAACTGATCACATTTTGTAGAATGTGATGCATACTTCTCATCATCTCTCTTAGACCACGCTTTCCTTGGACCACATCATTCTTCCTTCTTGGTGGTGAAAATTTTCTATATCCCATGAAATAGTGAATATGGTTATTTGGCTAAAAATAAAAATAAGTGGTTTATGTTACTTTCATTGTGAATTCCTTGATTACATGTGGGCCAAATTCTTTCTTTGCTTTATTTTATGATGCAATGTGCACACTATGATAAAACTTGTCTTTCTGTATTGTGGTAAAGGACTACTCGTCTCCAATTGCCCTTTCTGAAACCATGAACTTAGGTTTTATTTGCAGAGGAGGAAGAAAGGATTCCTATTTTAGATTTTGATCCAAGTTTTTATTTCAAACACAGCTTTAACAAATAAATGATAATTAATTTCTATCTGGCTCCATGTCTAGCAAAAATTTGTCTGAGAACATGTAGGAGCAGTGGATGATTAACTGGCAATATGTTTTTTCCATCCAATCCACACACATCACACAGAGACACAAGGTATACTCAGTATGTGAAGAAATGACTTGAAAGTTAGAAAGAGAAAGTGACATTTTGGAAAAAAGAAACTTTCAATCTATTCTGTTTGCAATGGACATTGTCCTCAGGTATAGCTGTAAGGTTCAACTGATATGAGTAATGCTAACCAGGGGGCTTTCAGTTACATGTGACTGGTATTTTAAATCATGAGGCTAGGGCTGGATTTAGTTGATAAAGAATGGAGTTTAGTAGTTAAGACAGCATTGGCTGGGACTTCAAACTAAAGAAACTAAAGCAATTTTTATTTAGAATTCAGAAAAGGTTTATTTACTATAAAACCTCTGAAAGACAACCTAAGCAATACCATCCTGGACATATGAACAGGAAAAGATTTCATGACAAAGACACCAAAAGCAATGGAAACAAAAGCAAAAAAAATGACAAATGGGATCTGGTTATACTTAAGAGCTTCTGCATGGCAAAAGACATTATCAACAGGGTAAACAGAAAACCTAGAGAATGAGAGAAAATATTTGCAAACTATGCATCTGACAAAGGTCTATTATACAGATCTACAAGAAACAAATTTACAAGAAATAAAACAAACCACCCTATTAAAAAATGAGCAAAGGACATGAACAGACGCTTTTCAAAAGAAGACATAGATGTGACCAACAAGCATATGAGAAAAGCTGAATATCATTGATCATTAGAAAAATGCAAATCAAAACTGCAATGAGACATCATCTCACACCCATCAAATGGCTATTATTAAAAAGTAAAAAAATAACAGATGCGGTGAGGTTGCAGAGAAAAGGGATCACTTATACAGTGTTGGTGGGAATGTAAATTTGTTCATCCACTGGGGAAAGTAGTGTGGTGATTTCTTGAAGAGCTAAAAGCAGAACTACCTTTCCACTCAGTAATCCCATTACTGGATATATACTCAGAGGAATATAAATCATTCTACCATGAACACACATGCATGTGAATGTTCACTGCAGCACTATTCACAATAGTAAAGTCATGGAATCAACCTAAATGCCCACCAATGACAGACTGAATAAAGAAAATGTGGTATGCCATAAAAAAGAATGAGATCATGTCTTTTGAAGGAACATGGATGGAGCTGGAGGCTGTTACCCTTAGCAAGCTAATGCAGAAACAGAAAATCAAAAACCCATGTTCTCATTTATAAGTGGGAGCTAAATGATGAGAACTCATGAACACAAAGAGGGGAACAATCAAGCACCGAGGTCTACTTAAGGGTGAAGAGTGGGAGGAGGGAGAGGAGCAGAAAAGATAACTATTGGGTACTGGGCTTAACACCTGGGTGATGAAATAATCTCTAGAAAAAACCTCTGTGCACACACATTTGTTATATAACAAACCTTCACATTTAACCCTGAACCTAAAATAAAAGTTAAAAAGAAATATGTCTATTTAGAGTGAAGAAATGACTTTCTGTGTTGAGGAATTTCAGAGTCATATATAAGCAGCATAAAACCCTTTCAAGGACCAATAAAACTTATATAAAAACAAGCAAAGTGTCAAAATGCAAGTTTTGTGAACATAGGTAGGTGGATTTTTTTTCAGTGTGTATCAGAGTGAATAGAAAACTTAGAGCAGAAAAAGAGAGTGGATTGCCAAGGCTATAGCAGAAAATTTACAGTGTACAGGTCAATTTTCAGAGGAGAAAGCAAAAGAAACAAAACATAACAAAAATTCAATGGGATAATTTCAAAAATAATCTTAGAGTCAAGATTGCAAAGAGGCTCAAGTAAGGAAGGAATGAAAACAAAACAACAAAATTCTTACATAAGTGTAAAGGGAATAAAATATAGAAGAGAATTAAGAAAGCAGATTGATTCAACTAATTGCTGAAACAAGTGTCTTTAAAGGAAGATCTGAGGAATTGTGTAGCCCATATTTCATTGATCCTACAAGAATGGACTGGAAATAGTCTGGGCTGGGAACAGTCCATCAAAAGATCTTTATCTTTGGGATCCTAGGGAAGAAAAATTATTCAAAACACTGTTCAGTACTGCAGTAAAAAAATAACTACGTGGCTTTAATAATACAAATCTTACTTATTGATTTTTTACTTATTTTTACTGATAAATCAATAAATAGAGACAAAAATATATTATTTGAAGTGATGGAATTAAAACGTTAGTAGAACCAAAAGAGAAAAATATTTTTAATGGTAGCCTTTGGGAATGTAAATAAGGATATATTACTCTCTGTGATTTCTAAATTCTGCACTTGCATTACAATTATTATATTATGACATGTATTTAATAAAATGAAATAAAATTAAATGTTGGAGTATTTCATGTGTTGTACAAAAAATATTCTAGTCCTTCTCATAAATATGCAGGTAAGTGATGATTGTTTATTTTAAAGTACTCCAATAAATAAAACAAACACGAAATATTATGTTTATTTACTAATCATACTTTGAAACGCTAATATATTGATTAATATGAATGTATTTTTTCTCTTTCTCTCTCTGTTGCATATATACCCACAACCTCATACTTACAATTGCCATTTTTGCCTACAGAATAAACTCCTAGATGCTTTAGACTATAATTCAATATTATCTCTTATATGCTCTAAAAATCTGCTGCCATATATTAATTTTATCACAGATAGTATATGCCGGAAGTTTTCTTACTGGTGGACATTTTTTTCATCATCTCCTCTCTGCCAGCCAAGAAGATTCATGATACCCTCTCTCTGTTCTGCCTGTCAATGAGCCTCTGGGCTAAGTGTCTCAAACTTCCCTGAATGGGAAAGGCTGCTGCACGTATGGTTCGGCAAATCTACCAGTTGTAGATAGTTGGAATAGGTGGAATACCCTACATAGGTGGTTTCGGTTTCGGGGTCTAAACTGAGATTCTTTCCACCACTCAATGCCACATTTAAAATTATCTTATAAATATATAGTCCTTGAAGGACTAGTTTCTGTCATTTAGATCAGGCTCATTTTTCCAAATTCACAGGATTAAGCACAGCTCATCCACAGGAAGATGAGAGGAGACTCATGGGTACTGGTGTACTAAGTGATACAGACAGTGCACAGTGTTTGCATAACATTTGCCCCTGTTATGAACTATTAACTTCCTGTTTTGTGCATTCTAAAGGCATTACATGTTGCTGGTTACTATAAAAATTATATTTACTTAGAGCTGACATTTTAAGAAGTTCAGAATTATATATTTACTTGGCTACACAGCATCATCACTTAAATGTCTCACCTAGTCCTCAACACTAAGACATCTAGAAGTGAACTTTTGACCTTCCACAGAAATCTTCTCATAGTTAAAGAGTATAATTTATCTCAGCAAAGGTAACATGCTCTACTTGCTTGAGCCAGAAAATAAATCATTTTGTGATTCCTCCTTCTTCCTTACTCCTAAATCATGTATTCTATTTTGTCTTGTCAATTTGGCCTCTGTAATTTTTTTGAATTTTTGTACCATCATCTTTCACTTAGACTATTACAATTTCCTTTCCTTTGGTATCCATACATTTTAGTGATAATTCAAGCCAGTTTTCCACATAGCTATCTGAATATTCTTTAAAACATATATAAATGAAATATAACGTTTCCCTTTTGAAACTCTTTAACGGCCTCTCTTTTCACATAGGATACTATATGTACTAGTCTGTTCTCACACTGCTGATAAAGACATACCTGAGACTGGGTAATTTATAAAGGAAAGGGGAAAGAGGTTGACTTACAGTTCCACATGGCTAGGGAGGCCTCACAATCATGGTGGAAGAGCAAGGGATGTCTTACACCGCAGCAGGCAAGAGAGAAAAATGAGAACCAAGCAAACAGGTATACTCCTTATAAAACCACTCAGATCTTGTAAGAGTTATTCACTACCATGAGAACAGTATGGGGAAAACTGCCCCCATGATTTAATTATCTCCCACTGGGTCCCTGCCACAAGATGTGGTAACCACGGGAGCTACAATTCAAGATGAGATTTGGGTGGGGACACAGCCAAACCATATCACTATATAACTTTTGTATATTGATTATGGATCTCTAAAGTTTCTGATTTTTGCATGCTTTTTAATTTTTTTATTTCTTCACTTTAGGTATGATATGTTTCTTTACACTGTTTGTACAAATTGAATATTTTTCCAAATAAGTTTTTAAAAACAGTAGTTAATTTTCTGCTCCAGTCTTCTAATTCTATAGTAGGTAACTCATTTTTGCCATTCAAGTCTAACTCTAAAGCTCATTTCCTCATAGAAATCCTTCATAACTGTTATTTATGTTCCATTGATATTAATCTATTTCTTTGATTCTAATATGTCCTTTTCATTTTTCCATATCTTATATAAATTTATAATTATATGAGTACATACGTATTAACTTATTTGTTAAATTTCTGTTTTCTCTATCATTCTATAATGGGCTGCCCTCTCCAAAATATCCAAGATAATTTTTATGTCTTTTTTTTGGAAGAAAACAACTCCATTTTCAGGTAGATAACACCATTGAATGATCATAATTTCCTGCCCAATTTTTTTTTAATTCACTCTAGGCTAATTTAGTAAAATACAATTTTAAAATAGATTTCCATAGGTATAAAAATTATATATTAACTGGAGTTTAAGCTAAGCAAAACAATGAACTCTTTAGAAAGCAGCTAATGAAAGACTCAGACGCGGAGGACTTAATGACTTTGGAAGACAGCTAAATTATATCCACTTGGACATTATAATATATGAGCTTTGGCTTTTATAGATATAATCACATAATAAATTTCATTATTTTTGAGTCCTTAGCAAATATTCAAATTAATAAAAACGTGCAAAATTGTAATGTCCAAATCAAAAAGGCAAAAAAACTTTCATATTTATTTTTAGAAATTGTCTTTATTTTTAAATGCCCTTGTTTATTTTTAATTTATAATAGAAATATGGATGAGCAAGATGCATGTGGTAGAATGTTACATCAGAAATTACTGTAGCAATTTCTCAGTTTTATTCCAAACTTCCACTATTAACCTAATTCACTTTTACAGTGCATAATAAGTCAATTGAGTACTGATTACTAAGTTAAATATTCTTGATTTTCAAGAATTAAATGAAAGAAATGATAAAGATGGTATTGTTAAAAACTTGTTTTAAAAATAGCTGAAATGAACTCCTACTACTTGAGGACAATCTCACATCTTACAACAAAAACACTGCAATTGACAGTTATCCAAATAAATTGGAAATGAAGGAAACAACATAGTACTGTATTATTCTAATGACTACTATCAGTTTGTGCTGCAATAACAAAATATGTTAGATTGGGTAATTTAAAAACAACAGAAATGTATTGCCAATAGTTCTGGAGCTCAGGAATTCCAAGATCAAGGTGCAACAGATTTGATTTCTGGTGAAGGCTCTCTGTTTCATAGATGGTGCCTTATTGCTACATCCTAACATAGTAAAAGGAGAAAGGAAGCTCACTCAAGTCTCTTTTATAAGGGCACTAATCTCATTCATGAGGGTGGAATCCCTATGTTGTAATAACTTCCCAAAGGCTCTTAATACTACCACACTAGGTGTTCAATACCATCTTATGAATGTGGGATGATGCTAACATTCTGTCCATAGCAACTAGTACAAAAATTCTTATTATATTCAACTTGTCTTTTGATTATGTATTAAATTATGAATATTTCTTAATTTTTCTCAATATATATTTATATGTAGAGATATATAGATATATAAATATCTATATAGAGAAAGCTGTATTTGGAATTTAAATTAAATATATTTTAATTTGCTAGTAAAAAAAAGCAAAATTGAATTTTTTTTCTTGTAGAGAAAAGTGAGTGCCACAATAATGTAATAAAGTGATGAAATAAGTGTCATGATAAGTAACTAAAAATATAAGACAAAAAAGCATTTTTCAGCAAGTAGTATGAGGAATCCTAGCTCGTAAAATAAAACTGGCTTTTTAAACTTTAGTATGTCTTGAACATTCAGATGTAAAATATATTTTCATTGCTCTTATTTCATTTTAATTCTTTTTAGTATCAACATTTAGCTGTAGTTTGATATAAAATTCTTTATCTAAAAATTTGAAAGTAGTTATTCTGCATATAACATTTGACAAATTTTAAAATATGTATTAAGATAGATCATAAGCAAAATAAGAACAAGCATATCAAGTTAAAAAAGCATACTTAGGGCCAGACGCGGTGGCTCACGCCTGTAATCCTAGCACTTTGGGAGGCCAAGGCGGGTGGATCATGAGGTCAGGAGATCGAGACCATCCTGGCTAACACGGTGAAACCCCGTCTCTACTAAAAATACACAAAATTAGCTGTGTTTGGTGGCGGGCGCCTGTAATCCCAGCTACTCCGGAGGCTGAGGCAGGAGAATGACGTGAACCCAGGAGGCGGAGCTTGCAGTGAGCCGAGATAGAGCCACTGTACTCCAGCCTGGGCGACAAAGAGAGACTCCACCTCAAAAAAAAAAGCATACTTGGAAATAAATTATCCCATTTAGATATTTTTCACCTATTAAGTACATATTTGACACATTTAAAAATAGAAAATATATAATTTTGAAAGGCAATTTTACTTTTCTAAGCAATTAATAGATACTTATAAAAGTAGCTATTGAGTTCCTCAACAGTAAATCCATAATTAAATCATAATACATATATATTTAATATAATATACAAATACTGAATATATTACTATTGCTATAACATATAAATATATAGTTTTGAAAGTTAAGTTCTTTTCCAAGCAAATAACAGTTACAAAATATATAGAGTGTCTAAAGTATTATATATTATATACACATATACTATATATATGGAGCAGTATCCAGATAACTAAATCATATCTGTTTGGGAAATTGTTCCAAAAAAACTTTTTTAGAAACAACTCCAAAAGCAGCAAAAATGATTTCCTCCTTAGCTTAAAAAGTCACAATTACTATATTTTCTGGGCCAGATAATACCATCCAAGGAACACAAGTTTTGATAAGGTTAGCCTTTTTTGTCAAATTCCACTTGGTACCATCTCAGAAAATGACATTTTTTTTTAATTTCCCTTGGGTGAGTTTCTTGAATATGAAAAGACAAAATAAATGAAAGTGCTACTTGCATTGAAGTTTAAATACCTAAAATTATTGTTGCTCCTTAAAGACAGCACACTAACTGATCATTGTTAAATTTAAATTCTTCTGTTTTCTTATTTTCTTTTTAAGAGTAAAGTGAAAGGAAGTTCATTAGGAAAGTAAAGGAATGGCTACTCCACAGGCAGAGCAGTATTGAGGGTTGCTGGTTGGCTTATAAATTTCTTAGGGAGTACACATACACACACTCATACAGAAACACACAGCTTCCACTTAACAATTATTAAAATAACTGTTATTGGGCCTATACCCAATAATAAATGTACCTAGAGTTGTTTTAAATATTTACATTAACTTAAGTAATCACAATTTTGAGGTTTATTATTATTATTACTTTCACTTTACAGATGTAGTCTACAAAGAAATCTGAGGCACAGGGAGGTTATGTCAATTGCCAAATATAAGAGGGTATAACTAGCAAGTATTAGTTTTTGGTTTTGAAACCAGACTTTCAGCTCTTCCTATACTATACTCTTATTTTTTAATTAATTTATTTCCTTTGACTAATCTCTTAGCCAGAAATGGAACACCTGCATAGTTTCTGTGGAGATTCTACTCATACTTTGTTGTAAACGATGAATAGGTATTGTAAAACTAAGACATTGTATATGCCTAGCAATTGTGATTGTTTCAGAAATTAACATATTATTGCATTTGGGCAAATAATGTTGGTTCAGGGCTTTGGTTCAAACTTCGGGGGAAAAAGAACTCTTGCCAGTCAAATTTGAGCCTGAAGCATGTGAGAATAAATATAATCACATTAGCAACTTGACACCATGGGACACCCATATAGAGAGGTTGAGAGCCAATTTGAGTGGTAGAGCTCTAGACTGAATCTTTATCACATCATTTGAGACTGAATAAAGCAGTATCCAAAGGCTACTTCTTAGGTCCTGGAGAAAATAAATTCCTGTGTTGTTTAATGTAGTTGGAGTTGGGCCTTGGCCACTTCGAATAATCATTGTTCTACCTATATAAGGAGCTTACAAATGTAACAAAACTTTTGCTTCCTTGAAGCTGTCTTTCATTTTTTTTATATTAACTGAAATTTCCTTTAACAATGATAATGTCATACCTACTGAAAGTCATCTTTTGAGGGTAGGAAATTAGTGTGATTTTGCCACATCCATAGTATCTATGATGCTATCTGGAAAATCAAATGTATTAGTAATCAATAACAATTTTAGAATTAAAATACGTGTTTGAGAAATGAGTATCATGGAAAACATTGGGGATATTAATGTTCATATATGAGTGTTTAACTGCAAATCTTTTGTAAGCATGATTCATTTATTCCTCATCAATGAAATACTAAAAGATACAATGATATCCAAATAGATAACTAAATAATTGCATTGAACTGAGTTGAAGCCAAAGTGTTGCACCACAGATTTATGGTTTATTTTTAGTATTTTTAGTATTAATACAATCTGAATTTTATGCCCTTTTTCTTTTCAATTCTTACAAAAAAATACAAAGTAATATTTTTTTGACCAGCTGTAGTTAAAACATTTTGGTAATGGCATCATAGTCAGTAAGTTAGAAATGTGATAATATTTATTTCCTCTTTTTTCATAAGTATAGATTAGAAAGATTGCTGCAGTTTTTCATCTCAAACCCCTTCCATTCAAACTGCATTCACAAAGAATCTAATGCTTTATAAAAATATATCTAATGTTGTGTAAATGATTTCAGTCCCTAGAAGTGCATTTATATAAAGAACAGTTATATATGTATGTGTTTGTATGTGTGTGTGTGTATATGTGTGTGTATATATATATATATATATATATATATAATTTATTTGGGTGTAAATGGTATATTTAAATAGGATATGAAGAAACAAGAAAAGTTAAAAACAATTCTTAGATAAATGTGAAAACCTGAAATCAATAAAAGTTATGATTTAGAGCTGAAGTATGACATTTTAACATTCTAATATACATATTTTATTTCAATACCACATAACCTTTTAAACTGAAATTTTAAGAACAAAATGACTAGTGAAATATAACTTTAATGAACATTTTTATGTAAAATTTAAGAATACAGCTTCTTCTTATGTTTCAATTGGAAAGATGATATTAGTGGTAGAATATACATTTATTCTGTATTCTATCCCTTACTGATATTCTTGCAAATGGTACAATATTTTTGGGAGGTAAGAATTCTACCAGTGAACCACCAGTGCTTCCTGATGGCACAATAATTTTTAATAAAAGTAGGTTCAAAATTATTTTGCAATCAATTTGCTAAATATATTGACTTTTTGGAAAGGCAAGGGAAGTCTATATCTGAGTTCATGGCAAGGGTTTCAGTGAACTAAATTGACCCACATAATGAAGTTGAATTCTTGTGTGTGTGTGTTTTGGATACTTGTTTGTCTTTCAAGGTATTTGTTTTCTTTATTCTTTTTAATGAACATAGGCCTTCAAAGTAAACAGCAGAAAGAAACCAGGGAATTGGCAGAATGCTAATTACAAAAGGACATTTTATTAACTAAGATGACATAGTTAATTCTTTTATAACATTTTTCTCATTTAGAAACACTACCATCTTCCAAAATCTTCAGTGATGTGTGACTAAAGGAAATAATTTTGATATATTTTCATTTGTGCGTGTTTGGGGTGTGTGTGTGTGTGTGTGTGTATGTGTGTGTATACCATTGAAAATATATATAATATATTGACTGTTTACCTGAATCAACATAATTATGATATGTGGTGTTATGTGCAGGACTTAAAGATACCCAAGAAACTAAACCATTAAAGAGGAGCAGATCTCACTAGACAAAGAGGATTAGGAAAATCACAAGTCATGGTGTGTAATTCTCATATGATTTCCAGAACAATTGATATTCGGGTGCAACTTCCAGGCCATAGGGAAGTAGTATAAAACAAATTCTTACAAGTTTCAAAAGACAGAGTACATTTGAATTACATATTGCATTATACTATTTTGAATTGTTTTAAAAGGTCGTCTATAATAACACTCAGATACTCTAATGTTATAATTTTCTTGAGTAAGCAAAGTAAATTGTAAAATAGAGGTGTCACAGACGAATGCTGGCTGGCTAGTTTCAACTCCATGCTCTGGTATTTATCTTTAAAAGAGTTAAGTTGAGTAATATTAATAATTGTTCTAAGAAAATAGTTTTCTGGGATTTTTGCAATTTGGGACATATTGTAATTGAATTATTACCAGACTGATCAAAATATTCATCCCTGTTTCTGTCTTAACATTTAAATCAGGGATAATTAACTGCCTAGACTAAGTTAGCATTTAAGGCTCTTGAAAAATTATCATGGCAAGTTCTAAACAAAATTTATCTACTATTATAGACAAGTGGGGGCTGATGTGATTAACTGGAGCTAAAAAATAAATAATAGATGAGAGAACATTTTCTTTAGAAGGAGGTGCTAGTATATTTATTTTGTGATCTACATTTGTATACATTTAAATCGGTTACATCATGATTTCTTAAGCAATTATAAATTAATTTAATCTGTTTATTTTAATCTATTAACTGTTAGCTATAATGTACACACATTTATAAATTTCACCTCAAAAGTAGATGGTGATTGGATGCAAATTTAAATTGTGCTTAACATTTAGAAAATCCACTTTAATATCCAAATCTTATATACTTAAACCATTTGCCACTATCGAAAAGACACGATTTTACTGCCACAAAAAGCCTGTGATTCTTAAAAAATTGTTTGTTACCCTCTAAACCTCTAAACTGTACTCATGCTAAAAACATATGGGTTTTATTAAGGGAATTTTTTTCTTAATTATTCTAAGAAATTGCCAATTAAAATGTAATTATAGGATGTTTAAAATGAATTGTCTCAAAGGAATATCCAGATGGCCATGAGAAATAGCAATAAACGAAACTTAAAAAATATAGTTCCTCATCTGTTCTTGATGGAGATGTGACACCAAATTATTTTAATAATGTAATTTTCTAATGTTAATCCAGAAATGTGTTGTCAGTACAAATATCTGGTCATAAAATTTTGTTATGCATGAAATATGACTTTTTTTGTAACAACACAATTTTTAAAAAATTTAAATCACTAATTCTCTGGATGATGAACAAATGCATCCCTGAGAATTCTTTCTGGTGGTGGAAACCACAAGTTGCGTCACAATATCCCTGTCATACTTGTATAATAATGTAACCTTGAAACATGGCTATACAGAACAGATGAGATTTTTGTGTCTGTGTCTCTTTTATAGTCAGGTGATTTAGTTCTGCCAAATAGATGTAAGAAAAAGTGATGTGACTAGAAATTGAGAAGGCTTTCATTTTTATAGAAAACACCCACTTCTCCTGGCTTTTATACTTCTCTATAATTCTAAAGCAGACATAATTACTGGACCTTGATTTGCTACTTTAGACCATCTGATGACCCCAGACCCATGGCTTTGTATAGTAGAGCAACAAGACAAAGGGAGCCTCAAATTCTGACACCATGCATCAGAGACTCACAAAGCCCTGGGCAAATTCATTTTGGCTGCTGTTTAGATGAGAGAGGAGTAATCTTTCATCTTGATGAAGCTACCATTATTTGGAGTTAGACATCACTAGCAGCTAATCTAATTTTAACCAGTCAAAGCATAGCCATTTTATTTTTCCACTTCTGTATTGGGATTTCCATCATGATTATGTCACTGTAACTGGAAGGAACAACCAATCCTTGCTCAGGGTTGCTGTGCACTGTCCTCAGCTGCAAGGCATTTCATACCCTCTAGTCCCTAAATGCATCAGGAGGTATGTCATCATCTTTACCATAAGAAAAATGTCTAAACTTTTCTCAAGAATCACATTTCCTCTTCCTTCCAAACTAGTGAATACTTATTATTCTCTAAGGCAGAAAAATAACATTCTTTTTTCATCCAGGCTTTCAAATTTATGGTCTTGAGTACTTCAGGGCTTAGCATTTTCCACCTCAAAATCATTGAGTCATAAGCTTAAAGATTTGGCTTCCAAATGCAAAATATTTTCTCATGTTTTTGCTGTGACACAAGAGATTTAAATGAAATGACAATAGCACATGAAAAAGTGGAGAGAAGAAATGAAAACTTTAATGTTCATCACAAAGTGTTATTCTACCACACATATCAAAAATATTCTGTAGACATGTGTGCTTACAGGTTTAAGTGTTTGTGTGCCTATATCTCTCTAAGCATATTTTATCCTCCCCTTCCCTGAAAATTAATTACAGGGATTTCACTTTTTAAAGAAACTCTGTATTTTTATGTTAGTTTCAAATACTTCTAGAGGAATACTAACAACAACAAAAAAACCTTTCATAGCATATAGATGTTAAATCCGATGAGTACTAGTTTTACTAATTGTAAATTTAGTTGAATATTGTGAAATGTACATATTTGCTCCAGTAGAAGGTGTTATAGCTTGGCATGTATCACTAGATGGTCAGTTTAGTGTCTATGTACATTAGAGTGTTGGAAAAAAAGCAGCTTTTGAACTTAAGAAAATTTAATTTTAAATTTTAAATTGCAGATTTACCAATCATTAAATGTATGCTCCTGGGAAAGCTATTGAGATTGTTAACACCATATTTTCTTCATGAACATAAGAAGAGCACTTGTAATATCAAGTGATTACTGTGTGAATAAGATACAGGGTTTTACATAAAGTAAATAGAAATGCCTACATATATTAAGCCCACATTAAATAATATATTTTTCTCTCTTCTCATGTTTTGTATTACCAGTATAGAATTATGTGGAGAAGTTTGTGTATAATTTGTTCAAATTGGTTCATGCTTAATTAACAATTAAAATAAAGTAGACCTATCTATGGACTTGGTCTGAATTGTGATGTGCAGGTGGCAGCATGCTTCAATATGGCCTATCAATTTTAATATTTATGGAGAACTAAGTGTTTGAAAAGTAAGCAACTTCAGTCAAAGCAAAATACAGGCATCTAATTCAAAGGTATATTTAAGTTAAGGTAGTGTATTTTCCTGAAATAGACTGTGAATATGTAATCCATTTCCATGAGGAAAAATAAAGTGTAGGAAATATTTGGTAGAGTCACGTACAGCAGGACTTAACTGCAAATAAAACTTGCCAAATGTATGGTTTGGCTGTGGCCCCACACAAATCCCACCTTGAGTTGTAGTTCCCAAAATCCCCATGTGACATGGGAGGGATCCAGCAGGAAGTAATTTAATCATGGGAGCAGTTACCCCCATGCTGCTGTTCTTGTCACAGTCATTGAGTTCTCATGAGATCTCACGGTTTTATAAGGGGCTTTTCCCCCTTTGCTCAGCACTTCTCCTTGCTGTCTCTATGTGAAGAAGTATGTATTTGCTGCCCCTTCCACCATGATTGTAAGTTTCCTGAGGCCTACCCAGCCATGCTGAAGTTTATTTATAATGGGAAGAGGTCAATTAAACCTCTTTCCTTTCCTAGTCAAATATTACATCTTTGAATACTGAGGAGGAAAAAAAATGGAAACTTTAAAAAACTATTATTTCAGCAGTATTACAGGAAAAAGTTTAGGAGAGAAGTGACCAGCAAATAAGAATTATCACATACATTTCAATAGGATAGTTGCAAAATATAAATAGCCTTTGAGGTATATTGCACTAGGTAAAGAAGATACTTAAGAATAAACTGTTGGGAAAAATTAGTTGAATGTTTTTCCATACTATATCATCACAATGAGTGATTTGATTGCCAAATTTAGAAGTGCATTTATTTCAGAATAAAAAGGTAAACCTCAATATTCATCTTCTTTGTTGATTTTCTATGCTTTTCCCCATGGCTAGGAACTATCATGTTGTTCATTTATTTTGTATTTATCATTATTATAATACTATGAATATTTTAAATAATAACTAAAGTTTAACACTTGGTATAGAGAATGCTATATATACACATTACTTTGTCTTATATACCCCGGGCCCATATTTTTAGTGAAAATGCTGAGACAACCAGTTGTGCACAGATTAATCTGAGAAAGGGGCTAACCTGGAAATGTAAGGGAGCTGACACTCCAATGGGAAATAGAAGTTTGTCACTTATTGTACCCTTCTTTCATGTCTCAGATAATTCTAAAACTCACTCTACAAGGGGATCCTTCATCAACACAAAACAATAGTGGCTTCAGGAAAATTAAACTCCAATTGCACACAGGGACAGAGTCACTCTGCAGTCCGTGATTAAAAAAAAAAATCTCAAATTAGCCAGTACAAAGTCAAAGCATATTGTCAAAGTAAAAATACCTCAGTGGGAGTATTTAAAAAGACGCAACCTACTGTAAGCAGAAGGAAGACTCTCCCGGAAATCAAGCCAAGATGTAATCCTAAAGGTATCCAAAATATACAAATGGGACAGAATATGTAATCTCAGGAGCTCTCCTCAACAAACTCCTGGAGAGGGAACGGCTGCAAACTGAGGACTTTAGAATCTCCAGTGATAATTAAGTGGAAGAGCCTGAGAATCTTGAAGATACAAATTTCTTTTAGCCTTTTAAAAAAGCAGAAACAACTTCTTTACCCTCAATAGAGGAAGAAGAAATCAGCTACCCTTCAAGTAAAAGCCCTGCAAACTTTTCAGCCAAAGCCATTATATGCCTCACATTATGTTGGAGTGGATTTTGAAAGGGTTGATCCGGGGAGTGAAAACTATAGAAGTTGGTAGGGGATAGTTTACTGAAATGAGAGTGTTTACCTGTATTTTATACATAACGTCTTGAGAAAGATGCTCTGCACTCTTTTAAAATGCTCTAGCTACATGAAGTTTGGAAATAAGAATTATTATAGTCAATGGGGCAGGGTTCAGGTAGCTCTGAAACACACTTCTAAGGGAGACCACAAAATTTACCACCTAATTATGTTCCCCAGGAGGATCCAGAAGATACCCTTCAATGAAAGGTAAGTAACAAATAAGAATAAACATTCTTTTTATGAAAAGAATGCAAAGGTGAGGAGCACCAGCAAGTTTGAAAGGCTCAGTTCTGGTTGCTTTTGTAAACCAAAGTTAACAGTAGGAGATGTCACCTTGGAAATATTCTCCCTAATTTCATTGGAATTAATAAGGATTCTGAAATTTGGGAAACCTTCGGGTTCCAATTAACTGACAAAATAAGAAGAGTGTAATAACCTTAATGGGCAACAAGGCTGGAGTGGCACCCTGGGTGCCTTGACCTACAGGGATCAGTAGTAATGCTAAAAGACCATGGTCTCCCTAGGTGCAAGATACTTCTACTAGTTCTCTACTAATTTATGGGGAATTGAAAAACTGAGAGCTGAGAGTAGAAGACTGGCACCAGCTGCTACAATCACATTCCCTAAGTAGTTTTCAAATCTAAGTCAAATAAAGAAAATATATTCCAAAACCCCTGAAATGCTATAGTAAATATCTGAGACAGGGATTTTTCCAATACTTTCCTAAAAGGGTCTATTGCTATTAACCAAAAGAGTAGAAGCAAATGAACAACTTTACCTTTCAAGGCTGTTAGTATCAGGTAGGTTTTGAGGTCGAAATGGCACCATGGGACCCACAAAATACCATAATGGTGCTCCATCTAGATATGAATTTATGGAGTTCAAGCGATATATGGAATTATGACCCTTATCCATCTCAAGTGGTTACAATGGTCTGTGGACCCACTCTCTGTTTCCTTCATTGTCTTACAATGCATAATTAGAAACGATAGAGTTAGCTGCTATCACTAAATGGTATATATGGTAGGAAGAACCAAGTATAACGTTCCCACCCCAACACACACACACACACACTATCTAAGATAGAAAATAATATCAATATTGTACCAAAATGTACCTGCAGAGATTAGCACTAGCATCAAAAACATTATGTGATGGTGCTCTCCATAGTATTCACCATTGTGGTTTTCAAAATAAGCAGATGGGTCTTGGGGAATAATGGATAAGTACTATGAAATTAACCATTTCCAATGCCAGCCGTTATGTAAGGAGTAGTATCTTCATGGACATTATTAAAAGAGCTTCTGGGATTCGTTATGTGGCTATACATCATGGAAATGCATTTTTCTCCATATCTGTCATTAAAGACAATAAAAATATTTTATGTATGAAAGACAGCAATACATATTTACTATATTTTCCCAAAGCTTTTAATTGCACTTTTTTTTGTTAAATTATAGGCCTAAAGGATCTTGATATTCTTGATATTTCATAGACATCATGATGGTTCAATTTTATTAATCACATTATGCTAAATGAACCACATGAGGAGGAAGTAGCAGGTGACCTGGTTACCCTAGTAAGACATGTGCATGCTGAAAGTGTGAAATGAACCCCACAGACATTTTGGTTATGCTATACAGATAAACTGTTTAGCAGCCCATTGACTGAAAGCATGGTAGACATATTCTCTAAAATTAAGGAAGAATTGTTGCAGTTTCCAACCCTCCAAATTAAAAATAGACACAGTATTCAATGGACTTTTTTGCATTCTGAAGATAGAATATACCACTCTTGTAAACTTGGCATTCCTCTGAATCAGATGACCCAGAATGTGGCCAGTTCTGAGGGGAGCTCAGAGTATAGAAAAACTCTACAACAGCTCCTGGGTGTGATTTCAGTCTTAATTTCCAGCATGTATGAAGTAATTAGAAGTAACCATAATGAATAATATTGTCAAAAAGAGTCTATTCCAGAATACATAAACTGATTCTTACTTATTGAAAGGGGATCCTTCATCAACACAAAACAACGAATCTGCCTTACAGTGGAAGATACATACAAGTGATATGCAAATTGGAAACATATCAGAGGTTTGCCTAATACAATCTCAAGTAAATTGCTAACTGAGGGACAAGGTAATGTGAGACTGAGGCTCTGTCAATCAAGGAGTGGGAAATGCAGCGAACCAATTGCTGATTTGTGATGAGGAATAATTAGAATAAGTGAGTCTGGAAACCAAGGCCAAAATATAACATTACACCTTTTCACCATCACTTGGCAGCAACTCATCTGTGAAGATTGTGTCTCCCATTCCATCAACCTCATGTTCAAGGCTTGAAGCCTTGAATCTCAAGACAGGAGGAGGCAGTAGTATGCCTATCAAGTGGCATAGTAAATATTTTATTTGATCTGAGGTTTTGACTAACCCTGATCTTCCGTATCTTCTTACACTAGTGAATCAGACTAAGAAAGGATTTACCATAGTAGTAGGGGGCACTGAGCTTCATAAAGAATAAGAGACTGGTTTGCTCTTATGAAATAAAAAAGGAACACATAAGTGAAAGACAAGGGATTTCATAAGAAGTCTGTTGGTGCTTTCATGTCCAGTAATTGTGAATGGCCAATTTTATGAACTCTGACCTTACAAGAGAAAAATGACTCAAGAACCTAATGTTTTGAGAGAAAAATTTAGTCACCTAGCCACAGGAAAAGAGAATCTAAAAGAAATATGGGAGAAGTGATAGCCTTGTGACAAATTCCTCTAGTGGGGAATTTAGCCAGAACTTTTACCTTTCCTATAAGGGTAGCATTTCTCTTACAAAACAACAGCGTTTCTTACAAAAGAACTGTGTGATTTATTGTGTTTAGTGCAAATTGCAAGCTTATTTTTGTTTGTAGGGGGTGTTTCAGACACCTCTTGACATCCTCTGGGTTTTTTTGTGTGTGTTTTGTTTTGTTTTTGTTTTTTTCTGTAGCCAGAGCTATGGCAACTGGCTGGATACACTTTTAAACTGACAGGACCTTAACTCAGTTACAATGTATTGTACATATCTCTCATTTCCTGCCTTAAGTCTTCTCTGTGGCCACTGAATGATTCGCTTGCAAGAAGCAATTTAGCTATTCTTATGCACATCCAAACACAGAAATTATGGTTATTTGTTATACTGTATAAACTATTAAACACATCCAACATAAATGGGTCAGAGTAAAATTCTTCTCTCATAGTGAAAATTATGAGACGAAAGTTGTGGAAATATTTCTCTAATGCATGACGGTGAATAATTTAGAAATAACCATTTCTGTCAAATTATTCTTTAAAACTCTTGTTCACCATATTATCAGGAATTGTGATAAAAAGTAAATGTATTTTATTAACATTTTATCCTGAGTATTTAGTACTAAGCTGAAGATATTTTTGTAACATGAAATTCCTAAGTTTAAATTTGATAGTATTTTGTTTATAAGCCTCTTTAAGTAAATTATCCTTTATTTTTATATCATTTGAGTTATAATCATAGAATATATTAATACTTTCTAAAACTTTAAATGTTTATAAAGAAAAGCATTAAAATAGTATTTGTTAATACATTCACTTTAGTATATATAAGTGACATGGATGTATGTTCCAAAGTATAAATTATAGTGAAGCAACATATGATTTGACAGTATGAGAATCAAATGCACGGAAGCAGGAAGCCTTTTGTGCTTCAGTGCAGATATTAAAAGTAGTGCAATAAAAGATTATGAGACCTTTTTAGTTGCCTGAGTGAACAGATTTGAACTCCTGAGACGTGCCCTTGGGTGGCATTATAGATTTCTATGCTTCATTATGAACTGTAGATTTTGACCTATGGAGAACTGTATTAATTGTCTGTCTAGGGTCGTTTAAACAAATGATATAATAGTGTTGGAGGCCATTACTCTAACTTACCATGCCATTGTAAAGAGAGTAGATGAGGCAATTAGCCATAAACAAGAGAGTGGAGTGTTACCAGCTGTGGGTGGATCAATAAGGGTTAGTATCTAAGCACACATTAGCCAATGATACCCTATAAACAATTGAGAAGGCAGATCAGGATGAGTTCATATTGCCAAAATATGAATTAATTATACCTTAAAATTTTCCTTGGCATTTAATGTATTTTATTTTTCGATTTATTCAAATATTGAATGACAGATACTAATTAATTGCAATTGTGTTTTAGAGCAAAAATTTTAGACAATACTTATAGTATATTGGGACAGAAAGAAACCAGACTATTTTAAAGATGGTTAATGCAAAGCTAAAGTTACTCTTGGCACCATTAGCCTGGTTTTAAATGATATTTCTAATACCTCTCACAGTGAGTCAAAATTCATAATTATTGTAAACTGATGCTTGGTATTATATACCTAGTTTTCATTGAAGTCATTCACCTCAGTTTCCTTGATTTTAAATGCAGTGATCCATCCACTAAATCTCATGGTCTTTTATGAGGCATAAAAGTATAAAAAATATCACAAATGAAATATTCTTTTCTTGTAAATTTGTTTGAGTTCATTGTAGATTCTGGATATTAGCCCTTTGTCAGATGAGTAGGTTGCGAAAATTTTCTCCCATTTTGTAGGTTGCCTGTTCACTCTGATGGTAGTTTCTTTTGCTGTGCAGAAGCTCTTTAGTTTAATTAGATCCCATTTGTCAATTTTGTCTTTTGTTGCCATTGTTTTTGGTGTTTTAGACATGAAGTCCTTGCCCATGCCTATGTCCTGAATGGTAATGCCTAGGTTTTCTTCTAGGGTTTTTATGGTTTTAGGTCTAACGTTTAAGTCTTTAATCCGTCTTGAATTGATTTTTGTATAAGGTGTAAGGAAGGGATCCAGTTTCAGCTTTCTACATATGGCTAGCCAGTTTTCCCAGCACCATTTATTAAACAGGGAATCCTTTCCCCATTTCTTGTTTTTCTCAGGTTTGTCAAAGATCAGATAGTTGTAGATATGCGGCGTTAAGTGTGGCGATTCCTCAGGGATCTAGAACTAGAAATACCATTTGACCCAGCCATCCCATTACTGGGTATATACCAAAAGGACTATAAATCATGCTGCTATAAAGACACATGCACACGTATGTTTATTGCGGCATTATTCACAATAGCAAAGACTTGGAACCAACCCAAATGTCCAACAATGATAGACTGGATTAAGAAAATGTGGCACATATACACCATGGAATACTATGCAGCCATAAAAAATGATGAGTTCATGTCCTTTGTAGGGACATGGATGAAATTGGAAATCATCATTCTCAGTAAACTATCGCAAGAACAAAAAACCAAACACTGCATATTCTCACTCATAGGTGGGAATTGAACAATGAGATCACATGGACACAGGAAGGGGAATATCACACTCTGGGGACTGTTGTGGGGTGGGGGGAGGGGGGAGGGATAGCATCGGGAGATATACCTAATGCTAGATGACGAGTTAGTGGGTGCAGTGCACCAACATGGCACATGTATACATATGTAACTAACCTGCACAATGTGCACATGTACCCTAAAACTTAAAGTGTAATTAAAAAAAAATAAATATATATAAAAAAAGAAATATTCTACAAACAGGTTTCAGTCTCTTTTTGAGTAAATAATTCATTCTTTCTTTTTCTTCTTGCTTACATTCTGAAGTTCTGCCTAGTAGTGGAAGGTGGCAGAATGCTGTGGGTCATAGGAGTTGAGAGTTATTTATAGGAATGAAGGAGAATAAATCTTGAAATACAGAGTAAGAATTTTGATATTAGATGCCACCAACATTGACAAATGTATCGTATATGCATCTTTATATTTAACTTTTAAAAGCATAGTATTAGTGGATTTTTCTCCATAATTTAAATAGGCTGGGTAAATATCCTATGCAATTCTCTACACTGCCACACTTCTATTAGTATTATGTGTGTTTAAAACATGTACACACACATATACATGATCTCAATAGGATATTTGCTATTGGACACTAATAACTGGTGTTCAAATATCTAATTCCAAGTTCCAAATAAATGTTTGGCTTTCAAAGATCTAGCTATACATTCCAACCACTCACTTACAGTATATTCTCATATAGAGATTTTAAGATGAAAATTGCATCATAAAATTTCTGCCCATTATAATATTTCTGCTAAACAATTCACAAAATTCTAGTATGGTAAATCTGAAAGAAAGAAAATGCCATGTGGTTGTAGACACAATAGTAATTTTATAACTGTGCAAGGATGTATGTGCATACCTCTCTGTATTATATAGGTATAAATATGCATATAGATAATTTTTATCGTATTTAATATAAAGAAATGTTTATATTAAGAACCGAAATGTCCAAAATATTGAATGAGAAATAGAACAAAAGAAAATTAAAATAGGGTCCTTTACATATCCCAACACTAGATTTACTCTACTGATATCTATCTGTGCCATTGTGGAAAGTCAATTTCCCTACAAACTTTGTGGAAATAACTACACCAATTTTCCCTTGGTTTGGTGACTGTCTCACTGTGGCTTTCACTCCATTTAATAAAGCAACACAATACTGATTTCTGTTCCTTTGACTGACTTTTACTAATGTCATATCTAATTTTCTCAGTAATATTTCAGACTACCTATTTTTTTGCTGCCTGGATTGCCATTCTGCTTCTCATATTTGAATACTGACAGCATGAAGATTTACCCCACATCTAATAAAGCTGGCTTGACTAATGGTTAAAGGACAACATAAAAGAAGCACTAGTTGTTTTATCCAGTAATCAATGTCTATGTTAAATCTTAGATGGTAAAGTGACAATTTTACCAACTTAACTTTGCAGTTAGCCAATAAGTGACGGTTTTATTTTGTGATGATAGAAGCATATGGAGTGTACAGGTAGTTTCTTAAATTTGATGCTTGATTAGACCTGATTACTATATCTCTTATAAAAGTGAGTGATATGAATATATAATATTATGTGTATATAATGTATATGCACACATTATACAACTAATATGTGTATGTCTATATATGTGTGCATGTGTGTGTGTGTGTGTGTGTGTGTGTGTGTGTGTGGGGCAAGACTTTTTAAAGGTAATTCACATGCTAAAGCAAAACTCAGTGAGTTTTATTCTTTGATTCAAAGCAGATTTTCTGTCTCTCTTTACTCAATTCTGATTTCAGGGTCTATTTAAATTTTGTGTGATAGACTTCTGCATTTGAAATAAACTTTTAAGCTTCTTTACTGTAGATTTTCCAGTTCCTTGCATGTAATCTTTATAGGATATTTGTTATTGGCTACAAATGGTTGGCTTTCAAAGATCCAGCTTTAAGTTCCAGCTAAATAAAAGTGAATTTATTGAAGAGGAAAACAAGGCCTATAGTGCTTGTCCTAAACATCACCTAGAAAACTAACAGACAAAAACAAATTGTACTTACACAATTGAGAAATCATATTTACATTTTACAGGTAATATAAAACATTTTTTACTGTTACATGAAACAACATTTGCCTAAATTCTTAACAAAACATTATATATAGTTTGTTTTAGTCAGTTTATTCTGTAACCATGTAGTATATTTTTGTTGAAAAAACTTTCCTGTAGTCCTTGTTACTCCACGTAATTTTCCTAGCCCAAACCAAATAGTACTTTCTGGCATATTTTAAAAGTTTAGCATTATGAGACTATCCATTGAAAAAGCAAATATAACAAAAAGGAGTATAAGAATCTTAATATACTTAACTTTACAAATATTGGATATTATTTCTTAAAAAGTCTGAGCTTGTACATATGCATTTTTTTTCCTGAATTTGATATTGGACTTCTATCACATTTATAAAGAATCATGAGATGTCTGTTGATGATATAAGCAAGATCACTGCATCTGAAAACTTTTAATACACACACACACACACACACACACACACACACACACACTCTACTTGAAATTGTGCGGGTATAGAGGTTAACCTAACTTAAAGATAAGTACTTCTTAATATTATATTATTTTTCTAAATAAAACATGTTTATTAGGTATGTCACCTTAATAAAAAGCATTTATGCAACAGCTTTTAAAATAAATTGAACAGACCAACGCTCTGAATGTACCAAATATTTTTTTTCAAAATAAATGTTAGGTGGAAACTCAGTGGCATTTTCTTTTGTACGGAAGATTAAATCATAGATATTACATTGACATGACATTTTACATCCTGACCTGCCATGCTTTACTATTTATATAAGTTAAATTCAGTGAAAGTGATTTCTCTTTGTAGCTTCCTCATGAATCATAATGCAATTGAATGTCCTTGGATGCAATATTAGATTGATTATCCAGAACTGGTTAGAATCATTCAGGTATGGAAGACCTTTAGCCTTCCAGATTCCTAGGAAATTTCTAATTAAAAATTGTGGTTCTTTTATTTACAGTGCATTTCAAAATGTTGGCCTAGAATGAAGGTAGACAAACCTTTAAATTACCAAACTTCCTTCATTTTATAATTAGAATTTCTAAAATTTCAAAGCTCAGATTCTTTCTAATGTGTAGATTCCATCTAAAACAACTCTGAAATGTCCTCCTATTATCCAGTGAATCAATATTGTAAGTAAATACGAATATATCTTCTGAAAGACTAATGTTGAGCATTTAAATAAAAAAATTGAAAAATATTTGAGAAATAGACCAACGACTATTAGCAAACCTTGAGAAAACAATTCCATCCTTATATCTATAATAGGAGAATCAAATGATATCCCTATGGAAGGGGGCTTTGGCAAGATCTAATAAATGTGTATGCATTTATATAATTTTTATATACACACATATATATGTATATCACATTTGTTATCAACTAATTTATTCCACTTCAAGGAATATTAATAATATCACAATCTTGGTTGTGACATCTTAATAAGATGGTTTTCTTATCATTATCTTAATAAAATAATTAAATTAAGAACGTTTTCTTTTTTATATATGGGTATATGTGTAGAAACAGACTTACATGTAGACACACACTTATATTTGCAAAAGCAAATTGCAATGGGAATAGAGGCAGCAATGAAAGCAGCTTGGAGCAAATATGGAGGGGAGTAAAATTCTCTGGGAATAAGTTTTTCAATATTTTATATTTTGAATAAGTAAAGGTTTACATATAAAAACAATATAATTAAAGCAAGTAGAAAAAAAATCTGTTAAATTGAACAGAAAAAAACACAAAATAATTAATCTATACAACACATCAAAATAATAAAAAATATTAAATGTTACCCATAATTTTTGCTACCAGTAATATTGATAATGCAATTTAAAGCTGTTTTGTAAAATATTATATGAAAAAACATATGAGCAAATATATTGATATTTTAAGAAGTATGACTCTCACTGTAACAGATATAATGATTGAATAAAACAGGCCAAGAAAAGTTGTAGTATTAAATTTGAAGCACAAATAGTAGTATAAAGTGTTATGTATGTGTGCATGTAATTATGTTACTTCATAGGAAGAGCATATATAGCTAATCTCATTCTAATTACAAACTGTGCACTGAGTAATCAGTAATCAGAATATACGTTTAAATTACCCTTGTTCATGCTCACTAGTGGGATGCAAGTCTTCTTTGAAGAAAATAATTTCTTTTCAAGTTCTGATAAGGGGAAGCACCAGGTGGGAAATACTGTTTTTAGAAGTTTCTTGGGACTACTAGCATAATTTCAAAATGATAAAAATATTCTGAATAAATGGGCTTTCAGTGGTCAAATTTGACCTGTAATCAACAAAATGGTGATCATAATTGACTATAAAACAATGAATTTTAAAAAAATCCTTTAGAGAAATGAGAAAAGTGAAAAGTGATAACAACCCTTCTTTACAGGATAACTCCAGATAATTAGTGAGACAATAATAATGCACCTGCAAAATCACCGTTTGAAACCTTCCCTGAAATAAATGGTTCATGTGAGGAATATCAATGTGTGCTAAAATTATTGAATGACACTTTTTTGGAATTAGAATATTAATGGTGTCAAAAAGCATCTCTGCAAAGATAAATTACCTAATCACAAAAGGAAAAATGTGCTTATATATTGGAAAGATCTGGCAGTTACCATCTGTATCAGCTGTTCAAATTTATTTTCCTTAATATCAATATAGCAATCATTATGTTCCTCCAAATGAAAAGTATTCATAATCAACTAGAAATGAATGCAGTAATTTATGAGACATATATTCTATCTTTTAGAAGAAGGCATGGGTATGTTTCCTATTGTACAAGATATACATTTACTGTATTCACTGAAAGCACTGGTTGTTTTATTATTATCGTTGCTCAGAGGTTTAAACATAGGTGAAAGAACGTGTAATAACTCTGCACTGACCAGAAAATTGCATAGCATCACTGCTATACAGTTGCACGCATTATAGGTGGGAAACTGGAAACTTGCTCAGAATACATTTCTCCATGTGGTTTGCATTAAGAACTATTCCAAGATCTCTCAATGACACTGAAAGAAAACGAAGTGAAGAAGAAACCTTCTTCTGTGAAGGAAGTTACAGGCAAATTTGAGCAGAGTCAAGATTTTTGGATTTTTGGTGTTTTCAATCAACAGCACTGGCACAGCAGACTGCTAAAATTGGTAACAATGCGCAATTCAATTGCTGAGATTTACTCAAGCTTCCAAGAAAGCTGCTGAAAAATCTCTGTGGTGGCAGCTTCTGATAAGATTGCTGAAATTCACTGTGGCTTCTAGGTGATCTCCTGTGAATCACCAATTTCTGACATCTTTCTGTGATTTAAGCTCCCCTTGACTTACCAACAGTTTTATTATCTGTAATTTCCTATGATAAACCTTGTTCTAGGGTATACCTAGAACAGACATATTTTGCTCTTCTGACCATATTCTCACTCATTAAATGACTTGTCTATATTATATTTTAAGGGATTAATTTTTAGATAAATTTAGTTTCTCAGTTTTGAAATATATATCAAGGAAACACAAGTTAAATCATGACATGCTATTACAATTTATGTCTGACGTAAGTTGGGAAGTATCCTGAGGTAAGGAACTCTCATATATTGAAAGTTGGAACTGAAAAAATAAAATGGAAAACTTATAGGCATTAATTAGGAAATAAGAAAAGGTGCATAATTCTGACCCACCAATTTTACTCCTGCTTAAGTACCCTACAGCAATGTTTACACCTGTTCACATCTGACATGTACAAAAATGCTCATAGTAGCAGTTTTCATTGTTTTTTAAAAGTCTATATGCAATCCAAGTATCTATCAGCCAAAGAGGACGGACAAATAATTGTGGTATATTAATATGTAAACCACACAATAATTTAAATGAAATATAGATATGGCAGCAAGAAGGGTGAAACATGAAAACTCAATAGTAAGCAAAGATGCAACACAAAAAGAAACACTGAGATAATACATTGATTTATATAAGTAAAAAAACAATGCTCTACTTTTTTGTAGATATCCATATAAGAGCAAAGGACATAAAAAATGATAATTACAAAGCTAAAGATAATGGTTGCTTCACAGATAGAGAAAGGGTTCTGATAAGTGAAGGTAAACATGGAACTTTGGGTGTTATGTAAATATGCTATTATTTGGCACCTGTGTGATTACATTGGCTTGTGATTTATAATATTTTTTCTTTAAGTGTTTCTCTGTGTTTGTGTGTGTCTGTCGGCCTTCTTTCCATATAAAATATCACAGTTTTTTTAAAGTTTCCTATAAAAAAACAAAACAAAAACAAAGAAACAAACAACAAATCAACAAACAAAAAAGGCAGAGCAGGAGTGATCAAGATTAGCAAGATTACTCAGCCAACTGCAGATTACTTTCTACAATGTCAAAGCCATTATAAATATTTCACTGATTATTATTCCACTGATCATACAAATACTGTATTTATTCTTATAATAAGAGAATAAAGAAATTTACCAACAAAATGACTGAATCAAATATGCCCAGAAAAATATACATTACTCATGTTGGAAATTATAATTGTTAAAGCTATGCATATACTTGTGACTTTTCCCATTTTAACATATTTACATAGGAGGATATAAAATTAGCCATGAATCTCAATTTGCTGAGAAATTCTGCATCTCCAACATTTATTCTTCTAGGCTTGCTAGGTTATGTGTAAACAGGTGATCATAGGTTTGGGTTTTGGAGAAAAATACATTTTCTTAACCATAGCAGCTATCACCCTCATATTAGGTAAACATGACCTTACTTTTCAGTCATTAAAAGTGTATTTATTGTGTGAGTTGCTTTATTAAAACATCTCTTGCCTTTAGTAAGAATAATGTTTTAATTAGAGTTACTCTCTTTCCCTCTAACGGTTAATCTTTCTCATTCTCTTCATAATTATGGTTGGAATATTGGCTAATAAAAGTCTCTACCAGACTTCTTCAAAAAGCAAGTATAAAGCAAAGGAACATACCATTTTCATATCTGAACTCTTTTTTGTAATGGAGTTGAAATTGTTTTAACTATTGAGCTCAATATTCAATACTTTGACCTTTTTTAAAAAAGCTTAAATTTATTTATTTTTGTATTAGAAGAATTAACCACACAAACAGTCTGTAATGCTTTAAAGCATATCCTAAATACCATTGATTTAATCTGGCTCTAAATAAAATCGGAAGCCATTCAATGTTTTTGAAGTGAGTAGTGATAAAATTTAACCTATAATGTCGTATGTTCAAACTGGACACATAAAATTCATATATACTATATCTATCCTTAACTCAACCAAAACTTACCTTATAATGTGAGGAGAATTTCTTTCATTTTTTAACCTTGTGACTGATCCAGAATTTATTCATTTTGAATTACTTCTCAATACTGAAGATAACATTGATTTTTTTCTAATTAGGTAACATTTTGCCAACTCATAGGATTTGAGTACGTTATAATTTACCCAGTGTTTTCCAACGAGCAGAAAGCTACTTTTTGTTTCAAAATCTCTTGCCAATTGAGAAACAAATTTTTGAATTCTTGGTGTATTGATTCATTGTGACTTGTTATATTCTACAAAAACATTGCCCTTAGATGATTAAAGACAATAAAATAATTTTTTTCATAAATATATTTGACAATTGTTTGAGAAAGTTGCATTACCTAAAGGGCAACTTTTTTGTTGTTTAAAAACATCTTAAAAAATGAGAATGATCTACTTTAGAAGGTTATACAATTAAGGGATTTATGTATAAAATCTGTTTATTGTTCTAATAAGAAATTAGCAGTGTCAAACAATTGCAACTGCATCTGAACAAATGCTTTTCCTTCTATTTATTAAAGAAATGAAAAATTTGAGCACTTGTATCAAAACTGAAATACAGGAAAGGAAATCACGTAACAACCATATTTTTTAGAATATTTGATGACATATTACAGGTGAAATAAGATTGATATGCCATACCACTTTTGTTTGCTGAGTAATATGGTTTTCAGCAATTTTCCTTCATATCTTCAAAGGCGGAATAGTGTCATGTTTTTTAAACTGTTAAACAACATAGGAAATTAGAAAACTTCTTAGTTCAGTTTAACTAGGTATTACAATTGGTATTTAAAATGCATTGCAAATCAATACTGAAGACCACTCTCATTTTCCAATATAACTGCAAAATTACCAACTAAAGTATTAGGACATTAAGCTAGCAGTTTTGAGTATTTGCAACAGAAAAAAGTTTGCCAATCCTTCATCTAGACAATCAAAAAAACAATAAATCAAAAACTGAAATGTGTCACTTTCCATTGCATACTCTCATCATGGTCCATTTTAAGGTAAAAATTGGATATCATTAAACACGGTTAGAAAGAAATACACATGTGATTCTATAGCATTTCTACTATACAAATGCAATAGGCATATATAACCTCAAAGTCATGTACAATAATTAAATTTAGTGAAATAATTAGGAAGAAGTGGTAACTTTTGAGTATTTGTTATCTTTCTTTTAATATAATTTATTTAATTGTAACATATAATTTCACATGTAAAAACTCTCTATTTAGCAACCAATGTAAAAAATTCCTAAGTATTTAATAGTAGGCTCCTGTGAGCTCATACAAGTTAGCTCTGGCATATCACTGCATTCATTCATTTATTTATACATACATCTTTTTTATATATCTAAGTATGTAATTATCCAAACAAACATTAAGCAGTTTGTGGAAGCCCTGCATTATACCAATATATCCATTTTGCCTTCTGTCGAGAACATAAAATTCAACTTTGATTATGTTTAGGAGCAAAGATATCTTCCATGGTATAGATTTTTTTAAAATAGAGTCAGAAAAATTATTTATAAGTCCCTGTCCATAAAGAGGTATTGTTTTAATCATATATTTAAGGAAAATATTTAATGGGAGTTTACATTATAGTTTTCAGTATCTCTTCATACATCCGACTACCCACACAAAATAGTAATAAAATAAAAATCACAAAAATATATACGTCTCTAGAGAAAAAAACAAAATCCTCTTATGTATGAGACAACCACAAGGAAAAAGTAATGTTTGTATAAAATGTATTATACAAGATGATATTATACAAGATGTATTATAAAGATGATACAAACGTAAATGTTTCTAATTTGGCATAAAATATTAATTGGTTGAAATTCTATAAATAGGCTTCATTTCATATTGTTTCAGAAAATTAGTTTTTTATGGGATATCATTTTTATTTTAAAGATGAAGAATCTGCAGTGCAGAGAAACTTTGACACTTCAAAGTCAAGAGAAGTGCCACTGGTAGACAGAAAATGAAAGAGAAAGGATGCAAGTTTAAGCTCGAAACCACAGTGCTCTCTGATGTCTTTCACGATTACAGTGAAGAAACTCAAAGACCTGGCAAAGGAGATAGAGTATTATACTTACTCCCATTTTCAGAAGGTAGAATTAAAGCTCAAGTGGCTGTGACTTGCCCCAAACAACAAAGTTAGTAGCAGATTCTGGGGCAAAGGCAGTTATGCAAATATGACTCTCATAAGACCTTCAGATTCAATGCCATCTCTGACTTTTCTTTCTATTCTTTTTTTTTTTTTCCAAATTTTATTTTAGGTTCAGGAATACATTGCAGTTTGTTATATAGGTAAAATTGTGTCATGGGAGTTTGCTATACGGATTATTTTGTCACCCAGGTACTAAGCCTGGTACCAAATAATTATTTTTTCTTTTCCTCTCTCTCCTCCCAACCTCCACTTTCAAGAAGGCAACAGTGTCTGTTGTTCCCCATTTTTCATGTGTACTCATCATTTATCTCTCACTTTTAAATGAGAACAGGTGGTATTTTGTTTTCTGTTCCTGTGTTAGTTTGTTAAGGATGATGGTCTCCAGTTTTTGTTGTTGTTGTCATTGTTTTTGAGACAGAGTTTTACTCTTGTCACTCGGGCTGGAGTGCACTGTTGGGATCTCAGCTCACTGCGATTTCTGCCTCCTGGGTTCAAGTGATTCTCTCGTCTCAGCCTCCCAAGTAGCTGGGATTACAGGTGCTTGCCACCATGCCCAGCTAATTTTTGTATTTTTAGTAGAGACGGGGTTTCACCATGTTGGCCAGGCTGGTCTCGAACTCCTAACCTCAGGTGATCCATCAGCCTCAGCCTCCCAAAGTTTACAAGTGTGAGCCACCATGCTCGGCCAGTCTCCAGTTTTATACATGTTCCTGCAAAGGACATAACCTTGTTCTCTTTTATGGCTGCATAGTATTCCATGGTGTATATGTACTATATTTTATTTATCCAGTCTATCATTGGTGGGCATTTAGGTTGATTTCATATCTGAGATATTGTGAACAATGCTGCAATGAATACACATGTGAATGTGTCTTTATCATAAGATTATTCATTTTATTTGGATATTTACCCAGTAGTGGGACTGCTGGGTCAAATGGTAGTTCTGTTTTTAGATCTTTGAGGAATTTCCACACTGCTTTCCCCAATGGTTGAGCTAGTTTGCACTCCCACCAACAATGTATGAGTGTTCCCTTTTCTCCATAACCTTACCAGCATATTTTCATCATAGTCATTCTGCCTGGTGTGAGATGTTATCTCATTGTGGTTCTGATTTTTAATTCTCTAATGCAGTGATATTAAACTTTTCATATTTTTTTTGGTTGCACATATGTCTTCTTTTGAGAAGAGTCTGCTCAAGTCCTTTGCCCATTTTTTAATGAGGTTGTTTGTTTCTTTCTTATAAATGTGTTTAAATTCGTTACATATGCTGGATATTGGACCTTTGTCATATGCATAGTTTTGCAAATATGTTCTCCCAATATGTAGGTTGTTTTTATTCTGTTGATAGTTTCTTTTGCTGTGCAGAAACTATTAAGTTTGATTATAGTTTTGAGTTTTACATTTAAGTCTTTAATCGATCTTGAGTTGATTTTTCTATACGGTGTAAGAAAGGGATCTAGATTTAGTCTTTTGCATATGGCTTGCCTATTGTCTCAGCACTATGTATTTAGTAGCGAGTCCTTTCCCCACTGGTTGTTTTTGTCAACTTTGTCAATGATCATATGGTTGTATATGTGCAGCCTTATTTCTGGGCTGTCTATTCTGTTCCATTGGTCTATGTATCTATGTATGTTTTTGTACCAGTACCACGCTGTTTTGGTTACTGTAGCCTTGTGTAATAGTTTGAAGTCAGGGAGAATGATGCCTCCCACTTTGTCGTTTTTGCTTAGAATTGCCTTGGTTATTCAGCCTCTATTTTTGATTCTATTTTAATTATAAGAGGTTTTTTATAGTTCTGTGAAGAATGTAATTGGTAGTTCGATGGGCACAGCATTGAATCTATAAATCATTTTGGGAAATATGTCCATTTTAATAATATTGCTTTTTGTGATCCATAAGCATGGAATGTTTTTTCCACTTGTTTGTATCTTCTCTGATTTATTTAAGCATTGTTTTGTACCTCCTATTTTAGAGATCATTCACCTCCCTGGTTACCTGTATTCCTAATTATTTTATTCTTTTTGGCAATTGGGATTGGGGTTGGATTCCTGATTTCGATCTCAGCTTCACTGTTGTTGGTATGTAAAAATGCTAGTAACTTTTGTACACTAATTTTATATCCTAACACTTTGCTGAAGTTGTTTATCAGCTGAATGAGCTTATGAGCTGAGACTATAGGATTTTCTAGATACAGGATTGTGTCATCTTCCAACAGGGATAGTTTGACTTCCTCTCTTCCTATTTGGAGGCCCTTTATTTCCTTCTGTTGACTGATATTTCTCGTCAGGATTTCCAATACTTTGTTGAATAGGAGTGGTGAGAGAAGGCAACCTTGCCTTGTGCTGGTTTTCAAGGGAAATGCTTCCAGCTTTTGCCCATTCAGTATGATGTTGGCTGCAGGTTTGTCATAGATAGCTCTTACTATTTTGAAGCATGTTCCTTCATTGCCTAGTATATTGAGCGTTTTTAACATAAATCCATTTTGAATTTTATCTAAAGCCTTTTCTGAATCAGTTGAGATAATCCTGTGTTTTTTATATTTAATCTTGTTTATGTGATGAATCACATTTGTTGATTTCCATATGTTGAACCAATCTTGCATACCAGGGTAAAAGCCTACTGGTTCATGATGGATTAGCTTTCTGATATACTGCTGCATTCGGTTCGCCAGTATTTTGTTGAGGATTTTTGCATCAATGTTCATTAAGGATATTGGCTTGAAGTTTTTTTGTTGTTATTGTTGTGTCACTGCCAGGTTTTTGTATGAGGATGATGCTGGATTCATAGAATGAGTTGAGGAGAGGTTCCCATTCCTCAATTTTTTTGGTATAGTTTTAGAAGGAATGATACTAACTCTTCTTTGTACTTACTTATGGTAGAGTTTGGCTATGAATCCATCTGGTCCTCTGCTTTATTTTGGTTGGTAGGCTATTTATTACTAATTCAATTTTGGAGCTCTTTAATGGATAAGCAAATGAATTTCTTCCTGGTTCAGTCTTAGGAAGATGCATGTGTCCAGAAATTTATACATCTATTCCAGGTTTTCTGGTTTGTGTGCATAGAGGTGTTTGCAGTAGACTCTGGTGGTTATTTTTATTTCTGTGGAGTCAGGGGTAACATCCCTTTGCTTTCTTCTTACTGTATTTACTTGGATTTTCTCTCTTTTCTTCTTTATTAATCTAGCTACTGGCTTATTGGTTTTTTTTTTTTTTTTTCAAAAAACAACTTGAATTTGTTGATATTTTGAATGGTTTCTTGGAACTCTATCTCCTTCAGATTAGCTCTGATTTTAGTTATTTCTTGTCATCTGCTCAATTTGGGGTTGGTTTGCTCTTCTCTAGTTATTTTAGTTGTGATGTTAGATTGCTAATTTGAGATCTTTCTAAAATTTTTATATAGTCAGTTAGTGCTATGAATTTCCCTCTTATCACTGTCTTAGCAGTGTTCCAGAGATTCTGGTAAGTTGTATCTTTGTTCTCATTAGCCCCTAATAACTTCTTGATTTCTTCCTTAATTTCATGATTTACCCAAAAGTCATTCAATAGCAGGTTGTTTAATTTGCATGTGATTGTATGTTTTGTTTTTGAGACAGAGGTTCACTCTTGTCCCCCAGGCTGGAGTGCAATGGCATGACCTTGGCTCACTGCAACTTCTGCCTCCCAGGTTCAAGCAATTCTCCAGCCTCAGCCTCTCAAGTAGCTGAGATTACAGGTGCCTGCCACCACACCTGGCTAATTTTTGTATTTTTAATAGAGACGGGTTTCCCCATATTGGCCAAGCTGCTCTGGAACTCCTGACCTCAGGTGATGTATCTGCCTCAGCCTCCTAAAGTGCTGAGATTGCAGGCATGAACCACCATGCCCAGCCAACTGCATGGTTTTGAGTGATTTTTTTAAATCTTAATTTCTATTTTTTATTCCATTGTGGTCCAAGAGTGTGTTTGGTATGATTTTGTTTTTTATGCATTTGCCAAAGATTGTTTTATGTCCAATTGTATGGTTGATTTTAGAGTATGTGCCATACGGAGATTAAAATAATGCATATTATCTTGTTTGAGGGTGGAGAGTTCTGTAGAGGTCTATCAGATCCATTTTGTCCAATGTTGAGTTCAGGTCCTGAATAGCTTAGTTAATTTTCTGCCTCAGTGATCTGTCTAATACTGTAAGTGGTTTGTTGAAGTCTCCCACTATTATTTTGCTGGCATCTAAGTATTTTTGTAGGTCTGTAAGAATTTGCTTTATGAATCCGAGTGACCCTGTGTTGGAGATGGAGATATATATATATATATATATATATATATATATATATATATATACACACACACACATATATGTATATGGAACAGTTAGATCTTCTTGTTGAATTGAACCCTTTTAATACTATGTAATGCCCTTCTTTATATTTTTTGATCTTTGTTTGAAGTCTGTTTTTTCTGAAATTAGAATTGCAACTTCTGCTTTTTTCTTATTTCTGTTTGCTTGGTAAATTTTCCTCCATCCCTTTATTTTGAGGCTATGGATGTCATTGCATGTCAGATGGGTCTTTTGGAGACAGCATACAATTTGGTCTTGCTTTTTAATCTAGCTTGCCACTCTCTGCCTTTTAAATAAGGCATTTAGCCCATTTACATTCAAGATTAGTATTGATATGTGTGGATTTGATCCTGTCATTGTGTTGTTAGTTGGTTATTATGCTGGCTTGTTTGTGTGGTTGGTTTATAGTGTCACTGGACTGTGTACATAAGTGTATTTTGTAATGGCTTGTAATAGTCTTTCCTTTTCATATTTAGTGCTCTGTTCAAGATCTATTTTAACGTGGGTCTGGTGGTAAAGAACTCTTTTGGTATTTGCTTATCTGAAAATAATCTTATTTCTTCTTTGCTGAGTAAGCTTAGTTTGGCTAGATATAAAATTATTGATTGAAGATTTTTTTTTTTAGGATGCTGAATATAGGCCCCCAATATCTTCTGAGTTGTAAGGTTTCTGCTGAGAATTCCACTGTTAGCCTAATGGGGTTGGTTCCCTTTGCATGTGACCAGCCCTTACTCTTTAGTTGCCTTCAGCATTTTTTTTTCATTTTAACCTTGGAAAATCTGATGATTTTGTGTCTTTGGGATGATCTTCTTGTAGAGAATCTTGCAGAAGTTCTCTGTATTTCCTGAATTTGAGTGTTGTCCTCTCTAACAAGATTAGTAATTTTTTCTCAGTTTCTTGCTTTCTTCTCATCCCTTTCAGGGATGCCAATTATTTATAGATTTGGCTTCCTTACATAATCCCATGTATCTCAGAGGTTTTGTTCATTCCTTTTTATTCATTTTTCTTTATTTTTGTCTGACTGTCTTGTTTCAGAGAACCAGTCTTCAAGTCCTGAGATTCTTTCCTGACCTTGGTCTATTCTACTGCTAATACTTGTGAATGTATCGTGAAATTCTTGTAGTATGTTTTTCAGCTCTATCAGATCAGCTAAGTTTTTATCCTTGCTATTTAGTACATCAGCTTCTGTATCATTTTATTGTGATTTTTAGTTTCCTTGGATTGGGTTTTCCCATTCTCCTGAATCTCGATGATCGTTATTCCTATCCATATTCTGGATTCTGTTTTTGCCATTTTAGCTAACAAAGCCTGGTTAAGAACCCATGTTGTGGAACTAGTGTAGTCATTTGAAGGACATAAGACACTGGCCTTTTGAGTTGCTGGAGTCCTTACACTGATTCTTCCTCAGCTGTCTGTGTGGGTATTGCTTTAACTGCTGTGCTACCTCTGATTGAAGTGGTCAGGTGAGGGCCAGGGTGGTTGTCCTGGAGTCCCAGACCAGGCATTCCTCTCCAGTGAGGAAAAGTGAGGACCAGCACCTGTGTGCCTGTGTGGAGAACAGTTTGGCCACATTTCCATTAGGTGAATGCTTTGTGCTAGGGGTCTCGACCAGCCCCTGCTCCTGTGGACTCTCCAAAGCCTTGAGACAATAAGGGTGAGGGCTGTGAGACAGCAAAGATGGCAAGTTGCCATCCCACTGTGAGTTTTGTTCCAGGGAGTTGCTGAACTGCTACTGGCTCAATAGTCCCAGCAGGGGTTGGCTGGAGAAGTGTATTTTTCTCATCGACCTCAGTAAATGGGGTATTACATTTCTCACTGTACATTTTATATAGATATTTTTAAGTCAGTATGAATTATTAAATCTTCTACTCAATAAAAATGTTTATCCAGTATGAATATAAGAAGCTCCCTCTATTTGTTTTTATGTCATCAGTCTCAGACTGTTAATGAGAAGTAGATGAATGTTGACATATTTACAGTAGTCCCCTTTTATCTGCAGGGAATAAGTTTCAACAACCCCAGTGGATACCTGAAACAACATACAGTAGTGAACCTTATATACTCTCTACTGTTTTGTTTTGTATAGATACATTTATATGATAACATTTAATTTACAAATTAGGCACAGTAAGAGATTAACAACAATAACTAGTAATAGAAAACTTTAACAACAATAGTTATGTGAATGTGACCTCTCTCTCAAAATTTTTTATTTTACAATACCCTTCTTGTGATGATGTATGATAATAAAATGCCTACATGATTAAACAAAGTGAAGTGAATAATGTAGGCATTGTGATAGAACATTAGGCTAATGTTGACTTTGAACACAAGTCTCAGGATACCACTACAGTTGATCTGATAACTGAAAAATCTTCTAAGTGATTAATGTGCTGATGACATATATAGCATAGACACACTGGAGAAAAGGTTGATTCATATTCTGATGTTCTGGATTGGATGGAAGGGATGGTGTAAGATTTCATCACACTACTCAGAACCGTGTGCAATTAAAAACTTACAAATTGTTTGTTTTTGGAATTTTCCACTTAATATTTTTGAACTGCAGTAGACCATGAATAACAAATCATGGAAGGTGAAACCATAAATAAGGGGGGACAATAGTACTTCCATGAAATGTTCCCCATGGATTAAGTGCTAGGTATTACCTTAGGGTATCTTTAGCAGAAGAATATGACTGCAGGGAAAAGTCTACATTATTATTGAAACAACTGTTGCAGATAAATGATATTTTGCATTATAATAAGAGTATCTTAATGAAAGAACTTAAGAAAAACCTTGTGACTTATTATAACTAAAAATATTTTGGGAGATTTAGACTTTGTTTATCTTGATGCCAGGTGTCTTAGCTTGTTTGTTCTGCTATAACAGAATATCCAAGTCTGGGTAACTGATAGACAATAGAAATATAGTTTTCAAGGTGGGAAAAGCAAGACAAGGTGCTGCAGGTTTGATTGTCTGGTGAGGGTTGCTTCGAAGGTGACACCTTTAAACCACAGCACAATTTATTTTTTTTAATTTTATCTGTAAGGGAAGTAAACTTATTTATTTTATTAAGAGTAAATTGTATATTGTGACAATAATTAGATATGTATCTAAAGATCAACTCATTGCCTGAAATGTCATTGTCTTGCTTCTTTGACTTGAGACAACACATTCATATAAACATTTGATGCTCTTTGGAAATATATGCATTTATTTTGTTTGGGAGTTACAGTAATCCCTTGCTTCTCTAGAACTTTAGTTTTTCAAAATTAATCAATAACTAGGATGAATATAAAGATAGATGTAGATGTAGATGATATAGATAGACATAGATACAGGTAGATATACAGGCACATATAACGGAATTTCAGAATTTGTGTTTTTCCAATTAGTCAAGCTTTGCTGATTGTTCCTTTGATATTTGCTGACATTATCTGATTTTCTTCAAGTGAACACTCCTGCTATGTATTTCTTATTTCACCTCTCATGACACAAAAGAAGGAAAAACATGTTTAACTGCCAAGCACAGGCCCCACTTCTAACAAAGGGTCATATATAAGGTCAGCAATCGGAACTTAGTTGACTAATGAATGACTAAATAATTGTATGCATGCTCAGACTTTATTATTTACTACCACTGAGTTACTCTATTTTTTAAATCAATAAATAGAGCATTATTTATTGAATATGTGCACAGCATACATAATTCTACTAGCCTATATAATTGCAGCTAAATATGGATTTCTTATTTAGCAGCTTACCAATTAAGATATAATTCAGTTTTGAAGTTTTGAATCAAAATATCTGAAGGAAATATCAAAGTTACACATGTGTATTACTTAATATATTTGTTATACAATATTAGATATTCACCTTTTTAAAGAAACTATTATTATATTTAGTAATGGCATCAAAGTGTTAATTCACTTTAAAAACCTTCAGAAAATAAAGAACTGTCTCAAATGACAAGCTTTGTAGATCAGTCAATGTAAAGTAACTTTTTTCCCCACAATTTTACATAAGTAAAAACAATAAAAAACCCTGAAGATTTCAAAAGTCCATTAACAATGACAAGTGTCTTAGAAATAAAGTTTGATTAAAATGTAGAAAGTTAGAGGTCTTTTTTAAAAGAAACAATGGATCAGTTTAAAAGTATCAGGTAAAATAATGAGATTTTAAAAGGCAGTGCAAAAATGCAGTTCCCATTTTGCCTCTGGGTCTCTTTCCCGCATCTCTTAACCAGAAAAAAAAAAAAATAAGTAGAATGTTTTTTAACATGATGGCAAAATTATAATTTTCATAAATTGAGATCACAGAGGTAGAGTGCAATAAACTTTAAGAACTCATAGGAATATCAAGTGGTAATTACAATTATTTTTATTATTATTTCACCTCTCCCACCTTCCTGTAGAACAGAATGCTTTATGTAATTATTTTATTCATGTCTCAAAAATGTCTTACTCCATTAAAGATCAAAAATGTATTACCTTTCCCAGTCAAGTTCTAAACATAGTATTTTACTTGAAACATCAAATTTTGAAGAGCTTAACAAATGTATATTACCCTTGAGATAGGTCTTTTTCTAACATGCAAAATAAAGAGTTAAAGATAGTGTTCTATATTCAGGCTGTTGCAAATCAATGGGGTGTAAAGAGAGTAAAAGGTGATTTGACATATTAAGGGATATTATCTGTAGGTTGCTATTGGAACACAGAAATTGTTTCAAATAGCTTGAAAATCACTTCCCTTGTCTTACATAACAAGATATACTTATTTTCAATCTTTTAATATTGGATATATTGATATTAGAGACATGATATAATAAACGAAGCAGTGTTTCATATTATATCATATTAGAGTTTTAACACATTATTTGGGTGCTAAACATTTAATTATCCAATAAACATAAAATATTTTTGTATAATACATTTTATCACTTTGTATAAACCATCCAATATGAACAGTGGGTGGTTATAGAATAATTTCTGACTGGGTCTTTTGTGATAATTCAATGGGAAAAGCAGGTGATATGTGAGGAATCACAAGTTCACATTACTGGATGGTAAAATATGAGCCTTCAAGGATCCAAAGTGGAGAAGGAAAACATAGGCAGAAGCCAGTTACTAGAGCTCCTCATACAGTTTAGAAATTCAGTTTTTTCTGTAAGTGATAGAAATATTCAGTACATACTAAATTGAATTATATGATTAGTTTGAATATTAGAAAGTTTTCTCTTCTGGAAGAGGGAAGAATGGATTTAGGCATAGAAATTGTTTGGGTATTAATACCTAGAAACTATGATAAGGATCTACTTGTGATTGTTCAAAAGGTAGATGCAGAGACATGTGACTGGGGTGGTTATATTTCCAACAAAGATATTTGCTTCTCCTTTTTACAGTGTAGACTTGCTCTTTAGTCAGAATGGTTAGCCAGGGACTATATTTCTTGAACTCCCTTAGATCCCAGTAGGACTTTGGCATAGTACAATGTAAATTAATGTTATTTTGGCCCTGTTGCTGACTGCTGGATGGATACAGAACAATTAAGGAGCTGACACATTTGCAAGGAAAAAAAAAGTTGCAAGGAGCCTCAAGTTCTGAATTAGCACACATAGGGAAGTCTTTGGACAAGCAAGGTGTTTTTATTGGGAAAGTTTATGTTTTCTTATATTACATAAATTATTTTATCCTAAATAATACAGGATTTAAAATCAGCAGAACTTAGGGGCTGATTCAATGTGAACATGTGTTCTTGTCATGGGGGAGGGAGTTACTGTATTAGATATTATTTGCAGGTGAAACTGAGGGAAAAAAGGTCCTGATTAATTTTTTTAAAGCCCTGAGCTTACTTTTCTATCCTGATTCATTTTTAATTTTTGTTGACTGGCCTAGGAATAAAACATTAGTACTACAATTAATAACGGCATTGACTTTCATCTTTATTTTTTAGAAATACTTTTTTAAAATATAATGTCAAGTTTCTTTTTCTAGTTGATTATACAGCTTGAAGCATACTGATGTTAAGTCCAAAACTATGAAAGGTCTGTTTGAGATTTTTACCTTACTTAAAAGCCAGCAAGTTAGCTTGCCTCGGTATCATATGAATACACTTACAAAGACACAAGAACTCATGTCAGAGACAAAGATGGTTTATTACTTATTGTAAAAGCAGAAACTGGATCCAGTCATTGCCAGTTCCCCATTCGCCAAACTCCATGACAGATGAGGGTCACCTGTTTACGTGTATATATAGTGGATTCGCATCACTGAAAAAGAACCCCAAACTTAACGGATTCTAAATTTTTATGAGCTGCTGGTTTATCTTTTCACGCTCCCTTTCAGAGATAGAGATTATTAATTACCTTGGAAGTTAAGCAACTGTCCATAAGATAAGATGGAGGAAACTTTATCTTCATGAATCATAGGATGTTTCTGGGGTCTGTATCTTTAAGAGAGTGCTTTCTCTAACTTCTAAGGCATCTTTGCTGTTTAAGTATGCTTGTTTCCTGGAATGCATGGATCATGCAGGAAACATAAAATATCTAGGATAAATTTTCTCCCAACACATTTATATATACAATATAGAAACAGATGTAGATATAAATATAATATAGACATAAACATAAGTGTAAACATAGACTATATATAAATATAGATATTTAGATACATACACACATCATACAAATATGTAGTTGATTCTCATTATTTGCAGATTTCACATTAACAAATTCATCTATTTGCTAAAAATTATTTATAAACCCCAAATCAATACTGTACTTTTTCCAGAGGATGTTTATGATAGGTGTAGTGAAATGTAATGCAAAGAGCTCTGGATCTAAGGCCTTTTGGATGGGTTTGAATCCCAATTTGGGCACCTATTAGATTCACCTGTTAGTGGGGCAGATTCAGGCAAGTCACTTAATACTCTTAAGCATTATTTTTTCTTTTGTGAGATAAAGAAAACAGAATATATGGGTTGTTTTAATTTTTGTTAAATTATAACATATGCCACATATATATATATATACACCATAGAAACAATTATTCAGTACTCACTAATTCAGAGTTTGAGGTGACATAATATAGCCACTGCAATACTGAGAACCAATCTGTGTGTGTGTGTTTGTGTGTGTGTGTGTGTGTGTGTGTGTTGCATGTATAAATGCAATATACAAAAAAAAAAAGCCCTTGTTGCATTCTTTCTTTTCTTTCTTCTTTCATAAAACATTCAGTCCAAAAGTTATCAGGTGAGGCTGAGTAAGGTAGGGCTCTGTACTAGTTGGGTGGTAGCAGCAATGACCTGAGTGGGTATCAGAGCCTGCGTGGACTGACAAGAACATCCATGGCTCCTGGTATGGACTGTCAGAGCCCAGGCTTGGTGAGAAAGATGATGTTCATGTGGAAAGTGAGAAGCAGTGCCAGTTGCCCATGTGGAGATGCCTGGTCAAGGATTTCAAAGCACAAGGAATATGAAGAGTACAACTGTAAACAGAGTGCTGTGGTATGAAGGTTCACGTTCTCTTAAAATTCACATGGTGAATCCTAGGCCCCTACGTGATAATATTAGGAGGTGGAGCCTTTGGGAGGTGATTAGGCGTGAGATCCCTCATGAATAGGATTAGTGCTCTTATAAAAGAAGTCCCAGAGAGTTGCCCTACTTCTTCAACCATGTGAGGTTACAGTGAGAAGATATCTGTCATCAGAAGAAGCAGGCCATCATTACTAGACAGTTTCCAAATGTCTTTATTAGATTCACTTTAAATATTATTGGCAAAAATATCACAGAATGATTATCTGCTCCTTCAATTACATTTCATGAGGTAATAGCTAATGTAGATTTGCCCCACCACCTGTGACATTAACTATGCTATTTATAGGACCCCAAGGGCTTCTTGGAGACATGGCTGGTTTCAAGGTTGGGGAAAATACATTTTTGTGACAGAAGTTATAAATTGCTCAACGAATAATGGGAATATGTCAAAAGGACAAGGAAAGGACTCCCATGTGAGAATCAATGTAGAATATAATAGTAAAAGATTATAATTCTATTGTATATGTTTTACTGATACAAATAAGCTGAATGAATATATTGGACCACTAGGGAGGTATAGTTTATGTAATAATGCCAACTAGTAATTTTGAAGTAAAAAAGAAATTAGATAAATTACTATTTTGCAACCCTCATAGTTACAGTTAATTGAGGCAAGAAACATCAATAATTGCTAACAATAGTACATAATATTTAGGTAAGGAAGAATAGTTATGGAATGTCAAAGTATGGTCCCATGAAATATTATTAACAATAAGAGAAAAGTAAGAATACCTCTGCAGTGGAGAAATAGCACCTTTTTCAAATGATCAAAATTAACATCACAAATGGTAGGACAATTCTACACTGGGTAATACCTTATGGGATGCAGTAAGAAAAGAAGAAGATTCTTCTGTGATATCTTAGCTAAAATTATATCACCTAAATTTAATATATGAAAATATTAGATGTACCCAAATGGAAGGGCAAATTACAAAATAACTGGCCTGTAAACATTTAAAGTGTTAAGAACAGAGATTTCAAGAAAAAACTAAGAAAACATTCCAGATGGAAAAGGACTAAATAGATGAATGACAAATAAAATGAGCAATACTGGATTAAATTATCTTTCTATAAAAGACATTACTGAGCTAATTGTCAAAATCAGTGCGGGTACTGAGAATTACATGGTATTATTGTATTAGTGTTAATTTTCTAATTTATATGGTTATAATACCAAAATATGAACCTTGCTTGTAGGCAATATATACTGCAGCATTTAGTAATAATGAAGAATCATGTCAAAAGGGACTTCTCAATAAAAATAGTTTATTATATAATTCTTTTGGTATTTCTGTATGTTTAATATTTTCAACTTCAAAAAAATTGTATTTGTAGTATGGAATAAATTTTAGTATATTTACCCTTTTAAATACATACTCTACTTTGTAAAGATACATGTATGTAAAACACACTTTTAAAATGATTACAGTACATATTTTCAGGGTATCATTAGCTTTAGGTAATCTTTCTTTGCAGACTTGCTTATACATCATATTAATCATATTAAAACATCGGTCAAGAATATTAAACTTGATATAAATCTAAGTTTATTATATTAAATTGATTTATATTGTGTTGCCCTGATGAGTAGAAATCATGTTAGATATATTGTGAAAAATGAATCATTTTTTATAGCTTTCATCTGATATTTTTGAAGAATCAAATATGATTATAATATTTGAAAATAATTCGTCACTAGGCACTGTTTATTTGCTGATGTAATTTTTTTATGCCATACAAATGTAGGTAATGAGGCAAACTATAAAGATGAACCTTATCAAAAGGATAATCTGTATCAGATCATCAGGTGACTACTAAAATAAATGGTTCAGAAATTTTCAAAATATATTGTTTTGTATTTAGTACATTTAATTTTGCATAATGGTTTCCAGGGCTTTAAAACACTAGATATTTGCAAATTAATATTTCTCTTATCATTTATATTATTCTGATATTTTATATTTAAGGCTGAACCTTGCTTTACTAGGCTGTTTTTAACATTCTTTAACACGATGAAATTAGGTATGATTTAGTCAGCTAGAGGAAAATTGCTTTTAAGCAGGTCTAAGGAGAGGAAAATTCATCTTATATGACTGCATTTTCAAAAACAATGGCTGTATAAAGCAAAGAGACTTTTATACTTCATTACTTACGGGCCCACATTGACCCAAGGAAGATTCATGAAAAGCAAGTACCTGAAGCTGATCATGCTGATTGAACAACTTTGGTGCATTCCCAGGATTTTCTGAAAGTCTGTTTCATCTGTGGGTTTTGCATTTTAGGCCATTTAAAAGCAATAAATGTGTTTCTTTTTATATTTGGAATCAATTCTGTTAAGCTTCAGTGTTCTATCTATATCCACCTCTTGCACTCTATTTCCTAAATAACCTCCCTGCTCATTAGCAATGCTTCTTAAATGCTGAAGGCAATGAAGTACGCTCATATAATTCGTGTTCAAATTGTAAAAATGACCTCAAAGGTACAGAATTATTGTGTGATTCTTCCACCTTTGAAGTCATTACTGCTTAATTTTTCACTGTTGCCTAAGTGCCACAGAAACATTAGTAGTGGATTTATGGTTACTAATAGGGTACTTAAAGTCCAAATGTAAAGACCTCATCAAACTCTTGGTATTTGCATATACAGTGCAGATAATTAAGTGGCTGATTGGCAATGCTTCCTCCTTGCTGCCGTTGGGGTATTCAAAGATGACAGGCTATTTAAAATAATATGTTTCTCAGAATTAACTCTGTGTTAAGAATGTCCAGGCCTATATATTTCAGGGTTTATGGAACTTCATTTGCAATACTGCTGTGTTACGCTTTACATTAAGGTTAACATAAAATAGTTACATTTCATATAAAACCTATAAGTTGTGGGCATAAAGTAATTCTTTGTTTTGCTTTGCTTTAGTAAATTTTATGGTCTCTTTTTATCAACCTGAGTTGGTAGCATTTGCTTAAGAATAGCTAGAGAATCTATACTGTTTACAATATTTATTTTATAAAATAATTAGCAATATGTGAAGATAAAATGCAACAAGTTGATGAGGACACTTATTTTGTTCTAAAGTTGGCATAAATATTTTCTTAATTAGATTTAGTTTGCTTGCTCTCCTTCATTTACTTTAATCTTTGAAAACAGTAACTCTAAATATTTATTTTAATGTTTCAGAGTTTACAATGTATTTGGAAAGGCATTATCTAATTTGATACTCACAATAGATCTATAAGCTGAATAACTAATATCTAGATTTTCAGCTACAAAACCTTGTTATTTAAAATCAAATGAGATAAGCACAGTCTATTTTTGTTTTCCATTTACATATATCAAGCATGTTTTATATAATTCCAACTCAAATTGTGTATGGAATCTGAAACAGCAGATAATAATTATTTTCATAGTCTTGATACTGCTTTATCAATTGCATGCCTCTTAAATAGCAAAAACCTCTTCCTTCTATTCTAAATAAAAAATGTGGTAATAGAAATGTACTCTGTAGTTTTGGAATTAAATAACTATTCTAAATATTTGTTTAAGTCTTTTCTGAAATGACAAATTTTATTCAACAGTTGTTTATTGAGCTCTTATTTTGAAACAGCTGAAGGGAATAAAAACATAGCCCATGAGTATATTATTGTTCTTTTTTATTACAGGGTACTTTTTGAAAACACATTTAACTTAATGATAAATGGGAAACAGGGTTATAGGATCTTATGGTAAACTGTACAATTTTAAGGATTGTGGAAGCACAGAGTTACATGTGTTTTTCAAGGATTGGACGCTAAGGCATGCCACAAAATTAATAATCTTATACAGAATATTGGGAGGGATTTAGGGGAAAATACTGTATTTGTAAGTTAGTAACTAGATTTAGAATAAAACTTTGTGTTCAATAAGAAGTAGAATCTGGACAAACATCACACAAATATTGTGTTGCAAAAGACTTCATTTCTAGCAGAAGTAGAATGGAAGCTATTGGCATATAACTAGGAGGACAGTTTTTCAACAATTTCAAAAATTTCAACAATTTACAACTCAATATTTTCCTAATAATACATCTAAATTCCTCACATTGCAATTTAAAATTATACCCTTCCTCAGTTGATTGAAAATAACCAAAACCAATCAAATAAATATAAATATCACCATCACCACTGCCACTAACACCACAAAACAACAATACCAACAAAACACCAAGAAAGAAAACAAAGAAAATTTACATTTTCTTCTTCCAGTATTTGAGGTCTCCAAATTTTGAGATTTCCCCCATTTGTCTGTGAAAATATTGCCTCTCTTTGACATACTTATTTTCCCACCTTTTTCGTAGCTAGGGCAAAGGCTGTGGCCAAAGATACATCAATTCAAAGAGTCCTGACCAGAGTTTGACTGATGTCTTGGAGTCATAACAGTAGCTATGAAGAAAACATACATAAGTAATACCTGCAAACAAAAGGTAATATGGTGCAGGGGGTACTACTGCATGTAGCAAATTCAAGTTCCTGACACAGAAATGCTAATAGTACAAATTGCAGAGCGTAGTGCACAGTGGTAGTGGGAGAGATTTCCTCTTTTTTCTGGCAATATTTTAGACATAAATCTAACAGTGCAGCTTTGAGAGTAATTATTCATCTCTGCTTGTGCTACCTTGATTGGCTCAAAGTTCAGCTATCAAAACAAAACCCAAAGCACATCCATATAATATTTGATTACAGAATCAAGGTATAAAGCTTATTATTGATTCATTTTTCCTTCTGTGAACTTGGTTAATTGTTTCCAAACTTTATTTCACATGTGAGGCTCAAATTATCTGTCATATTACATTATAGGTCATTATTTTAATTTGAGTAGCTTCTATAAGATCACAATGTAGTATTATCTAAACTCTGAACTGCCAGAAATGAATATAAGAAAAAATAGAATTAAAATGAAACACAAAAAATATTATTTGAAATTAAGTGACATTTTTCAGGCTATCCTTGTGTTACCACAATTGTCTAAGCTTAAAAATTATTTCAAGATAACTGAGAAATTAAAGGTGTGAAGTAAATTTTTTGTACATTTTGCTGCATACCCAGTAATAATGATTTTTTTTGTTTGTTTGGGTTTTATTTTTCCCCCTGAACTGAAAAAGAGAGGAATTATTTTGCGTGCTTTTCTTTCTCATTTTAAAACTTTCCACCAGGTCAAAAGATCATGATTTTCTTTTTATCTTGCTATGTCATGTACTTTCAAATTTGACAAAACCAACAGGGAAATAGTGGTCATTTAACATTCTCAGCAACCTTGAAGAACATATGTTCTATAGTCATTTAATATCAATTTATAGAGAAATTTCTATGACAAATATATTTATGACAATCAGTCCTTGACAACCCCTGGGTACTGTCTTTAAACTATGACATTTGTAGATGTTAGATGTCTTTCTTACTGCTGCAAAACCTAGCAAGATGTATAGTAAACAGAAAGATGCTGTATTCTTTCAAGAATACAAAGAGTTAGACTACCAGTAGAAGATATATTAATGATTAGCTGAATGAAGACTGACATCATGCCATCAAGTAATTATATATTCAGTATATTGTTCTCTATGCAGAAAAATAATACATTAATTTTTATCTGACATCTGTCCATTCACTTTTCTACCTTTATAAGTGCTTTGCCAATTTGATTTGGAAGATTTCTGCTTGATATGCTGATTTCATATAATGACGTCCTCTTAAAACTGTTTAGACAAATTCATACTAATATTCTGTTACAGATTGTCTCCCGCCTTAAAATGAGAAATTCTCTTATCTCTTCATGTGAGAAGGAGAATTACTGTGTCATGAAATCTTCAGTTTGGAAGGACAAGTTCCATGAAGAGTAGGAATCTACAAAAGACCTTCCACTACATGAAGTAAAATCTTTGTATTATTATTTCAAACCACCCCATTCCTGTTTAGTTATAACAAAACACCACTCTTTGTTATGCTCACTTCATTAACTGGAATAGGACATTCAAGAGACATTGAAATCTTTACACCAGCCCCTCCACCACATAAAAGGAGCAACTCTTCAGTGTATTCTAGAAAATTCATCATTTATTTCTGTAACACCTAACGTTATAAGTACTACACACAAATGACTCAAATTCACATCGTCTTTTAGATGCTCAGCAACTACGGCATAACATTTAAGAGATAATTGGACTAGATTTTTTTTTTTTAAATTTTACTGTCTAAATATATTATCCATGTTCCCCACTGTATCAACGGACTGAATCAACAAATTCCCTTACTTAGTATCTTCTAGCTGGGTTGTGCCAATAGGAGAGACTAGGAGGAAATTGGAGGATTGTGAAGGAAAAAAGACACTATTTATTTTCCTCACTCTCCCCTGCCAAGTTACTGAAATGCGGTTTTCTTATTATACCATATAGCTTCACTACTGTCGGTATGCCCTTTCTTAGAACTACATTTTACTCATCCTGTTAAAATTTTCTTACAGTTTCCCCTTTGGATAGCCATATCATAGTTCTTTGGGTATTTTATCATCCACACTGCTGGCCCTCCTAAACGCTGCACATGACACTTTCAATGGTCCTACATTATGCTTTCTTTAATTAAACATATTGATATAAATGTTTTATCTCAAAAAGATTCCGACTCATACACAAATCTCAATGTTTCCTCCTTACAAAATTAAAGAAAAATATAGTGTGTTCTTGAAACCCAGGGCCCTGGTGGTATAGGCACACGAGGGAATCTCCTGGTATGCGGGTTGCAAAAACCGTGGGAAAAGCATAGTATCCAGGCGGGATAGCACAGTCCCTCATGGCTTCCCTTGACTGGGAAAGGGAGGCTCCTCCGCTCCTTGCACTTCCCAGGTGAGGCGATGCCCCACCCTGTTACTGCTCACCCTCTGTGGACTGCACCCACTGCCTAATCAGTCCCAATGAGATTAACAGGGTACCTTAGTTGGAAATGCAGAAATCATCCACCTCCTGAGTTGTTCTCGCTGGAGAGCTGCAGACGGGACTGTTCCTATTCGGCCATCTTGCTAGCAGCCTAATGAATGTAGAATAAATAGATTATTTCCTAGGATGATATAATAATTCTAAATTGTATGCACATAATAAGATAGCTTTAAGTATATAGAGCAAATGACAGAATTACAAAGTAATATAGATATTTCTACAATCATAGTGGAGAATATGAACACATTTATTCTAAAATATCATAGGAAAGGCAACCAAAATATAAACAAGAATATAGATCTTAAGTATATTGTTAACCAGTTTAACGTAATTGACAAATATAAAACACTGTATGCAATGAGAGAATATACACTATTTTAAGTGCGCTTGAAACATTTAACATAACTAATCATAATGTGTTATAGAGCACAGACAATTCTCTCATGGAGTTTAGTTATAATACAATGCCAAAATACATAGAAACATCATCTAAATTGTTAAAATTTAAAATGGGATTTAAAATTAAGTATTAAAATTGGTAAAGTAGAAAATCACAATAGAAAAACAGAATGGAATTTAAACTAAAGTACAAGGAAAATGTGAAATTCAAAAATTTGTTGGATATATCCATAGCAATCATTAGAAGGAAATTATGTAACTTAAATGAATATATTATAAAAAGAGTGTGACAAACAGCGGCTTAAGTATTCATCTCAAGAATGTAGAAAAGAAAAAGTAAATCATACCTAAAGGAAATAGAAGAAAGGAAGAACAAAATTTAATGACATTATAAGATTCATAATAAATTGACAAAGTCAAATATTAGTTTCTTGCAAATGAATACACACACACACACACACACACAAAATTACCCTGAGATAAGCACAAAAAAAAAAATTAAGCAATATGTGTGAAAGATCATAACTGAAAATCTTATACATATTGAAAAATGAGGATGTAACATTTTGTTAATTAACTTAAAATTTTAGATAAAAAGCTAACCTAGCCAAATTAAAGCAAGAAAAATATATATAGGCTGAATACACTTACATCTACTAAAAAATAGAATTTATAAAACATTATGACAAGTTGGCCGGGTACGGTGGCTCACACCTGTAATCCCAGCACTTTGGGAGGTCGAGGTGGGCAAATCATGAGGTCAGGAGATCGAGACCATCCTGGCCAACATGGTGAAACCCCGTCTCTACTAAAAATAGGAAAAGATTAGCCGGGCGTGGTGGCGGGCGCCCGGGCGCCTGCAGTCCCAGCTACTACGGAGGCTGAGGCCGGAGAATGGCGTGAACTCGGGAGGCGGAGCTTGCAGTGAGCTGAGATCGCGCCACTGCACTCCAGCCTAGGCGACAGAGCGAGGCTCCGTCTCAAAAACAAAAACAAAAACAAAAACAAAACATTATGACAAGTTGGTATCAATAGTGTATGTATTTATATACATGTATATAAAATAGTGTTTATGTGTATAAATATAAACATGTATATATTACACACTCACATACACTAAGGATTTACAAGAAATGAAAATTCCAGTGTAATGAGTATATTGCAGATACTAAACCAAGTATTAGCAAATATGATCTAGAGATCATATGAAATTATAATGCATTATAAACAAGGTACATTTGTTGTAGTTTAAGCCTAATTGAATATTCAAAATTCAATTAACTTAATATGCTATATTAATATGATATAGGAGAATTGTAACATGATCATCTCAATAGATACCATAATACCATTTCATTAAATACAGCTCTCATTTATGTTGCAAATACTTAGCAATATGAGAAAATTTACTAATCCTGATAAAAATATCTTCAAAAAAACATAAAATACAAATATGTAATTAAGAATTATTAAAATATTGGTACCAAGAAGATATCCTCTATTAACACTGCTATTTACCATTATACAGAATTTTTCAATAAGGCAAAAAGAAAAAAATAATTATGGTATATAAAATGTAAGAGGCTAAATTGCAAGTATTTTCAGAATATTGATATGGTTTGGCAGGGTCCCCACCCAAATCTCATCTTGAATTGTATCTCCCATAATTCTCATGTGTTGTAGGAGAGACCTGGTGGAAGATAATTGAATCATGGGGACAATTTCCCCCATACTGTGCTTGTCATACTGAAAACATTTCACAAGAGCTGATGGTTTTATAAGGAACAACTCCAATTCATTTGGATATCATTCTCTCTCTTGCTTGCCACCATGTAAGATGTGCCTTTTGCCTTCTGCCATGATTGTGAGGCTTCTCCAGGCACATGGAACAGTGAGTCCATTTAACCTCTTTTTCTTTATAAATAACCCAGTCTCGGGTATGTCTTTATCAGCAGCATGAGAACAGACTAATGCAAATATATAATTGCATGCATATAAAATTTAAGAACATATAGATAATTTAATCTGTTAATAAGTGGATATAGTGAGGTCTCTGTATGAAAGTCATTTTACTAAAATTAGTTGTATTCCAATATATCAACAATCAAATAGTAAAAACAAAATATATAAAGGATACCATTTACGATAGCACCCAAAAACTGAGAAATAATTTAGTAAAAAATTAATTTATATACAGGCTTGTGATATTGTTTCAAAATAGTAAAGTAAAAACTACTCTACCCTGGATAACCTTTAGGTTTCTGGTTTAAGGTTAGCTACAAGATGAGATTGTGAAACATTTTGGAGATAGAAGTGAAGCTGCGGTTATTATGCTCTGAAAATTGATGTAGGTCTGCAAGCTCTGTTGCATCTTAGGAACAACATCACTCACCTACTGGCTTTACTTGCTGTAGAAGAGGACTATGTTTGTATGCTGCCACAAGCATGAAAAGTATTAGCTTCTCCTCCAGATAATCTTCATTGTAGATTTTGGAGGCAATGAGAGACAAGGGTAAACTATTTTTTTTTCTCATGTGTTCTATATTGCCCTTGCTCTATGTGACTCTAATCCAACTTTTCTTCCAAACTGTTGATCCTACTGACCTATAGGGATTTCATGGCCACCAACCAAAGCATATGCAATAAGTTAATAAAGTCTTCTTCATCAATTCTCAAAATTGAATTATGTCTAATTCTGGTATATTTTTGATTCTATATAACTGGATGAGTGCTGCTTCTCTGAATAGTTTAATGGAAAATAAAAAGGCACTATAAATAATTTCCAAAATAAAATCTTTAAAATTTCCAAAACAAAAACAAAAACTTAAAAACTCTGAATTGATTATGTGTTAGACTTAAATCTTAATGGCCCTATGGCAAGTACCTTTATTTTCCCTCAATATTTCAGCCATATGTACAAACTGTAGACTTGTAGCATTTCTTACTCACTGACAAGATTCTATATAGCATTGCTTCTGAAAAAAAATCTTATTTTACAAAAAATGAACTGCAGCTATTGACTTATGATCACAGAATTAGCAGTGGTAGCAAGTTCATCATCATGCTGAAGTAGACTCTCTGATAGAATAATAGATGATGTTTTAAAGATTTATTGAATTGGCAGTTAAATTACTCTAAAGTGTCCACAAAATTAGCACCACAATTCCATCATTGACATGGGGATTGTGATATTTATTTGAATATATAAATGACCAGTGTACCCAAAATGATGAGAAAGAACCAAGCTGAAAGACTATTCCCACACATAAAGACTTTTAAAGCTACATCAATTAAAACAACAGGATGCTGGTTAGACCATTGGAACAGAAGCAAATACACACTTGCACAGATGTAGTAATTCTGATTTATGACAAAAGAAACCCTATATGGTGACGAAGAATATTAATAGGTCAATGGGATGTATTTGATGTATTTATGTAAACATAAACTTGATTATATGTTGTGTCATAAACAGTAAAGAAATCCAGGTGGATTATGGATCTAAATATGAAAATTAAAACAACAAAGATTCTACAGTTCATGTGTCAGCTTAGGCACGTAATAAGTTGGAAGTTGTTACTTTTATCCTCACAACAAGTAAAAGCTGAACAAACTGATAATCAATCCTTACTTAGACTGATCAGAGAACTGAGGTTGTAGGGCAAAGCTCTACCTCAAAATTTGGAGAGTTAGGAGAACCTAGAGAATCACATCTGAGATCTGCTTACTTGGAGCAGGAGCTACTAGAACCCTAAACTGGTAGGAACATTCAACTGGAAAGTTTGACAAATTAACTAGAGGCTGAGTATAGACTAGAGTGAAACTTAGAAACTCCCCAGACATGTGAATTTAGTGGATCCACAAACTTTGCTTTTTATTTTTGGTTTTATTTCCAGGACCCTTACTAGGTTCTAGTAGTGAAGAGCGAGAGAGATATTCTTGTGGCTCTGATAAATGGAAGGGATGGGTAACCGTTTGTAAAATACACTCGGAGTATTCTCCATAAAAAGGCCTAGTCTAGTAGTGGGAGAGACTTAGGCAGAGCTTTATTCTACCTCAGGGATGGGCATCTCTCCTACTCTAGCCCTCTCTAGCTTTCCTGACTCACCTAAGGAAATGGAAAAGTAAGAAACGCTTTTGAAGGTCATAGCCCAGGGATACAGGGCTCACTCAAAGACAGATTTAATTGCAAGATTACAGAATGCTTTCCATCCCCCACACCTTTATCTCCCCACCAAGAGGGTTCTTGCACAGTAAATGCATAACAAGAGAAAGAGCTTCCAAATATATATTCTCTAAAGAGTACTTTGAGAATCCTAGTGTCAACAAGAGAGATAAAAATAAGGAGACTGATAGGGTTTGGCTCTGTGTCCCCACCCAAATCTCATGTTGAATTGTAATCACCCAGTGTTGGAAGTGAGGCCTGCTGGGAGGTGATTTGATCATGGGGGTGGTTTCTAATGCTTTAGCACCATCCCCTTAGTGCTGTTTCATGATAGAGTTCTTATGAGATCTAGTTGTTTCAAAGTGTGTACCACTTCACCTTTCTCTCTCTCTCTCTCTCTCTCTCTCTCAGTAAGATGTGCTTACTTCCTCTTTGCCTTCCACTGTAATTGCAAGTTTCCTGAGGACTCCCAGACATGTTTCCAGTTATACTATGTGGAACTGTGAGTCAATTAAACTTGTTTTCTTCATAAATTACCCAGTATCAGGTAGTTCCTTATAGCAGGGTGAAAATGGACTAAACAGAAAATTGGTACCAAAGAAGTATGGCATTGTATAAAGTAACCTCAAAATACAGAAGCAGCTTTGGAAATGGGTAACCGGCAGAGGTTAGAACAGTTTGGAGGGCTCAAAGAAAACATAAAGATAAAGGAAACTTTAGAACTTCCTAAAGACTTGTTGAATGGTTGTGACCAGAATGCTTATGTAATTTGGACAATGAAGCCCAGGCTGAGGTGGTCTCAGATGGAGATGAGGAACTTATTGGGATCTGAGGTGAAGGTCACTCTTACTATGCTTTATCAAAGAGATTGGTGGCATTATGCCCCTGTGCTAGAGATCGGTGGAACTCTGAACTTGAGAGAGATGATTTAAGGTATCTGGTGCAAGAAATCTTAAGCAACAGTGTTCAAGATGTGACTTAGCTGCTTCTAAAAGCCTATGCTCATTTGCATCAACAAAGAAATTATCTGAAACTGGAACTTACATTTAAAAAGGAAGCAGAGCATAAATGTTTGGAAAATTTGCAGCCTCACCATATCATATAAAAGAAAAACCCATTTTCAAGAGAGAAATTCAAGCTGATTGCAGAGATTTGCATAAGTAAAAAGGAGCAGAAGGTTAATAGCAAAGAGAATGGGAAAAGTGCCCTGAAGGCATTTCAGAGACCTTTGCAGCAGCCACTCCATCACAGACCTGGGGTCCTAGGAGGAAAAAATAGTTTTGTAGGCCATGCCCAGGGCCCTGCTGCTCTTTGCAGCCTCAGGACATGGAACTCTGTGTCCAATCCACTCCAGCTTTAGCCATAGCTGAAAGGAGCCAAGGTACAGCTGGGGCTGTTGCTCTACAGAGTGCAAGCCCCAAGCCTGTCAATATTGGGCCTGTTGATGCACAGAACAGAAGAGTTGAGGCTTTGCTCCTCTGCCTAGATTTCAGAGGACATATGAAAACACCTGGATGCCCAGGCAGAAGTCTGTTGCAGGGGGGGAGCCCTCATGGAGAACCTCTACAAGGGCAGTGAGGAGGGGAAACATGGGGTTGGAGCCCCCAAACAGAGTCCTTACAGGGGCACTGCCTAGTGGAGCTGTGAGAAGAGGGCTACCCATTCTCCAGATCCCAGAACGGTAGATCCACTGACAGTTTGCACCATGCACCTGGAAAAACCATAGGCTGTTTTACTCAACAAGAGCTTGTGAAAGCAGCTGAGCAGGCTGTACCCTGCAGAGCCACAGGGTGGAGCTTCCCAAGGCCTTGGGAGCCCACACCTTGCATCAGTGTGGTCTGGATGTCAGACACAGACTGAAAGATTATTTTGAAGTTCTAAGATGTAATGTCTGCCCTGCTGAATTTTAGACTTGCCAACTTGCCTGGGACCTGTATCCACTTTGTTTTGGCCAACTTTTCTCTTTTGGAATAGAAACATTTACCCTATGTCTGTACCCCCCATTTTATCTTGGAAGTAAATAACTTTTTTTTTTCTTTTACAGGCTCTTAGGCAGAAGGGACTTGCCTTGTCTCAGATAATACTTCAGACTTGGACTTTTGAGTTAATGCTGAAATGAGTTAGGACTTAGTGAAACTCTTGGGAAGGTATTAATGTGTTGTGAAATGTGAGAAGGACCTGAAATTTGGAAGTGGCCAGGGTAGAATGATATGGTTTGGTTCTGTGTCCTCACTCAATTTTCATATTGAGCTGTAATCCCCCAAGTTTGGAGGTGGGGCCTAGTGGAAGGTGACTGGAACATGGGAGTGGATTCTATTGGTTTAGGACCATTGCTCTAGTGCTGTCTCATGAAAGAGTTCTCATGAGATCTGGTTGTTTAAAAGTGTGTAGCACTTCCCCCTTCAGTGTCTCTCTGAACCTCTCCTGCTCTGTCATGGTAAGAGGTGCTAGCTTCCCCTTTGTCTTCTGCCGTGATTGTAAATTTCCTGAGGCCTTTCACACATGCTGCCTATACAGCTTGTGGAACTGTGAGTTAATTAAACCTCTTTTCATAAATTACTCTGTCTCATGTAGTTCTTTCTAGCAATGTGAGAATGGACTAATACAGATACTATGGGAATTTGAAGACTCTGACACCTACAACTATAACTAACACATTGTCTAATTAGATATAAATTACAATTTATCTCCTAGCCAGTTTGACAAGACACACACACACACACACACACACACACACACACACACACACTAAGGCCTTTATAATTCAGTGTTTAATATCTAATACCTAATTTCTGGGTTTACACAAAGAATTATAAGGCATGCTAAAAGGCAAGAAAAACAAAACACAGTTTAAAGAGACAAAGCAAGCATCAAAACCGGATTTAGACATGACATTGATATCAGAATTTGCAGACAAAGAAATTAAAATACTTACGATAAATATGATGGGGGTAATGAAAAAGTAAAAGAACTTTAAAAAACAGATGTGTAATGTGAGCAAACAGATGGAAATGCTAAGAAATGAACAAAAGGAAATGTTAGAAATCAAAAACAAATCACTTTAACAGAAAGACAGAGTGTCTTTATTGGGCTCATAATGACAAAGCTGAGGGAAAAAAACAAAACAAAACAGTGAGCTTGAAGATTGGTCAATAAAAATTTCCCAAACTGAAATGCAAAAAGAAAAACAAACAATAAAAACAGAACACCAATACTCCAAGAACTTAAGAACAATTTCGAAATGTGAAAAATATGCATAATTGAAATACCAGTAGAAGAGAGAACAGAGTATAAAAATGTATTTTAAACAATAACAAACTAGAAATTTTCAATATTAATGATAGACAACAAACCAGAGTTAGCAGCTCAGGGAATACCAAGCGTGATCAATAGCTTAAAATCTCCCCTAGTCATGTCATACCAAAACTACAGAAAACTAAAGAGAAAGGGAAAAATGAAAGAAACTAAGTTTAATTAGGTATATTAGTCCATTTTCATGCTGCTGATAAAGACATACTCAAGACTGGGCAATTTACAAAAGAAAGAGGTTTATTGGACTTACAGTTCTACATGGCTGGGGAGACCTCACAATTATGGCGGAAGGCAAGGAGGAGAGCATCACATCTTACATGGATGGCAGCAAGGAAAAAAAAAAGCATGTGCAGGGAAATTCCTGTTATAAAAACCATCAGATCTTATGAGACTCATTCACTATCACAAGAACAGCGCAGGAAAAACCTGTTGCCGTAATACAATCTCCCTCCACTGGGTCCCTCCCACAACACATGGGAATGGTGGGAGTTACAAGTCAAGATGAGATTTGGGTGGCGACACAGCCGAGCTATATCAGTAGGGCTCTTTACATATAAGAATGTTAGAAATTACAGCAGTCTTATCATCTGAAATAATTCCAATTAGAAGAAAGAAAAGTGAAATAATTTAAGGGTAAGAGGAATCAAAATTATCATCTAAAATTTTATAGAGAGATAAATTTTCCTTCAAAACTTAAAAGATAAACAAGACTTCCTCAAACAAAAACCAACTGAATTCATTGACTGTAGAACTGCCCTTCAGGAAATACTAAAAGATGTTCTTCAGGGAGAAAAAAAATAATACAAGTCAGAAACACAAATCTACTTAGAAAAGAACAGTAAGGGTATAATTGAAGATAGGATCATTTATATTTCTTATCTGTAATCTAAAATAAAAGTTTAAAAAACTAATTATAATACCAATGTACAGGGCTGATTATAGAATATGCGTAAGGAGAGAGAAATTAGGAACCTTTGGTTATAAGGCATTGGCACTATATTTGCAGTGCCATAGGGATATTTAAAGATAGACTTGGAATAATTATAAATGTGTATTGTAAGCTCTAGGGAAATCACTAAAACAGAAAAGAGGCAGAAAATCAATAAACAAAGGAAAAAATACAACAAAGAGAAAACATGGTAGATATTAATCCAACTATGTCTATAAACATTTTAAATGTAAATAGACAAATTACACAATTATATAAAACAGAGATTGCCAAACTATATATAAGAAGACCCAACTCTTTGTTTTCTACGAGAAATACACGTTAAGTATAAAGATTTAGAGAAATTAACATAATGGAAAGGAGAAGGATATACTACCACTAATACAAGAAATCTGGAGTAGTCATAGTAATTTCAAATGCAGCAGACTTAGAACTAGGCAAAGTATCAGGGATAAAGAGATGCATCAAACAATAGTAAAGCAGTCAGTTACCTGTAAGATAAAATGATCGTAAACATGTATGAACCAAGCAACAGTGCATGAATATTGAACTGGTAGAACTGTAAGAGAAAATAAATGAATTCACTTTACAGTTGAAAACTTCAGCAGACTTTTTTTCAATAACTAAAGGGGCAAGCAAGCAGAGTATCAGTAACAACGTAGTTGACCTGAACAGTACTATTTAGCAGCTGAGTTTAGTTTATATTTCTAGACTACTCCATTCAACAAAAACAGACTATACAATCTCAACGTTAAATGGAACATTCACCAAGATAGACTACATTCTGTGTCTTAAGACATAAATTCAAAATTATGTAAATCTTACAAAGTATAATCTGACCAAATTAAAATTAAGGTACAAATTAATAAAAGATGGATAAGTGTAAAATTCCAAATATTTGGGGAGTAAAGTATTTTTCAAAAACATATGAGTCTGAAAATGTCTCAATAGAAACTGGAAAAAACAGTATTTTGGAGTAAATAAAATAAAAATGAAACTTATCAAAATGTGCACAATATAGTGAAAATGATATGTAGTAGGAAATGAATATTGATAAATGGATATATTAGAAAAAAATTGCAAGATCAATAAAAGCTTGTACCTTAAGAAAGTAGAGAAAGGATGCATTTTAAACCTAAAGCAAATAGAAGAAAAGAAATAATGATAAGAAATAGAGTACAATAATAAAATTGAGAACAGGAAGATGAAAGAAAAAAAATTAACCCCTCAACCAGATTTGTTGAAAAGACACATTTATTTTAAAAAGTATAAAAATTCTTTAGGCATCTTAAAGAAAAATGTGAGAAGCCACAATTTACTAAGAATTAAGAGGGAAGAGAAAATATTTTTCCTGTTTAAAATTTTCACTCTGGCTAACGTGAAGAGAATGGCTTGTAGAGTGGCAAGACTGGAAGTAGGAAGATAGATAAGAAGTTGATAGTCCTTGTGAGATATCAAAGTTGTTTGCGCCAAGATTTTAAAAGTAATAGAATGACAGGACATAACTCAGGCATTACGAAATAGAAAATCACTTGATTACTTGGACATGATATTAGTCATGTTTCTCCAGAGAAACAGAATCCACAGGGAACATATAGAGAAAATAATTTGAAGTTGTTTCACCTTCTGTATGCAAGCTGGGGGCCCAGAAAAGCCAGACTTGGCATGAGAAGCAGGAAGCCTATCACAGAGGAACATAGGATGCATTGTTCCAGCTCAAATAGTAAGTCAGAAAAATAGAGACCAATACATCCTTCCTCTGCCTTTTGTTCTACTAAGGCCATCAAAAATTGGGTGATGCACACCCACATTGAGGAGGGCAATCTACTTTATTAAGTGCACTGAGTCAAATCCTAACTTTATCTGGAAACACACTCAAATACATACTCAGAAATAATGTTTAATGTGGGCTCCCCATAGCCTAGTCAAGATGACATAAAAAATTAATCATTGCAGACATGTATGATAAAAAAATAAAATCAAGAATGCTTCATAGACTGACTGAGCAACTAGATAGATAGAAGTGTCATCAACTGAGGCTTGGAAATCAGGGGAAGAAGTAGAAAATTTATTTCAGATATATTCTGTTTTAGATTCTTTTTAGACAACTAATGGAATACCAATTGGCCTCACAGGATTATTCGTTGATGGATGAAGTGAAGCTATAGATTTGAACTTAATATAGAGATGACATTTAAATTCATGGTACAAGACACATTAGGAGAGATCCAAAGGGAAAAATATTTAGAAGCTACAAGAGGGTTTTCCAAGACCAACCCTTCAGCATTCCAAAATATAGAGCATGAGCAAAAAATCACCAGTCAGCAAAGAGACTTCTGAGAACCCTAAAAGTCAGTAACAACTGTTAATTTCTTACATCATTCATAATATACCCTTATATTTCATAGTTTTGCAAATTTACTCTTAAATCTCTTTCTACCTAAAAAGACCTTTCCCACATTTTGCCCTGTAAAAATATTGATTATTCGATGCTAATAATATAGGTCAGTTCCTTCAAGCTAACATTAGTTTTGAATTCTCCTTCTCCTCATTGAAGAATATTTGATGTATATTTTTTCTGTATTTTAGTTTTAAAGTTTCATCAAATTTACTTTCATTTCTTACTATTCCTCTTTGAAAACTTTGTCATAGTCTTTGCCTAGTACCAGACTCATGGCTCAGGCACTGTTACATAATACATACTTTGTAAATATTGCTTATTGAATTAATTATTATCCCTTTATTACCCTAGAGGGAGAAGCACACACATTGATAATAAAATTTTATCTCTAAGATAGAATTAAATAGATATTAAATATCTTTAAATGTATTTTCATAAAATGACTATTTTTATATAATGCAAAGCATATAGTTTTGCGTTTTAATCTAGACTGCAAATAAAAGTGGACATGCTTTTAATTCATTTGTTTGAAATCATAATTTGTCTTATTAAATAAATCATCTGCATAATCAGAAGAGAAATCACATTATTTGATCAACATATTAGTTTGACATTATTCTTTGGAGGTGTTTACATTTTGTTATTTATAACACATATACGTAGTTCATTTTGGAGAGGGGAGAATGAGATTGTTGTGCTTCTGTATTTAATATAAAAGAAGGTAGATAAAGGGAAAAAAGGTACAAGGAGAAATTCAAATGTATAAAAGGATATAAATGTGTAAAGGTAGATAAAAGGAAAAAAGGTACAAGGAGAAATTCAAACTCAAATCAAATTCAGTATGTATGCTGATACTCAATTCTGATATTGATCCTGGGTTTACTATCAGTAATTAGGTTTATTCTTCATTCTGATCAAGTCAATTAACTCTTTGCAGAAGTAAAAATATTTCTAATCAGAGGATGCAATTTCTACTGAAGCTAATCTGTGACATGGGAAAGTTTATTCATCTAAAACTGTGTAACACACCTTTCTAACACACAATTTACAGATTTTTTTCCCCTAAATAACTTCTCAACTCATCTCTTTCTGGCTTGTTGGCTGAGTTCTTATTTTATACTGAATATTTGTTTATATACATCAAGGAGAAAACAAAATGAGCTAAGAATGATGTGTTTTTTATCATTCTACTTTTAATTTTGCTATGAAGGAAATACCAAGTTGCTTACTCTTCTTTAGCTTATGAAGAGAAGTAAGCGCCATGGAAAATTACTGCATACCTACTAAAAACAATAAGCTACAAAAAAAGTTTTATTTTGAAAGAGCAGAAAATAAAAAGAACAAGCTCAAAAATGTTAAATAGCAAAATGATGAATGGCAATGAATATGAAAAAAGTAGCAAATTTGAAAGAAATTAAAACTTTGATCATTAAACTAAACATAAGATTTAGTTTTAAACTATCGTATATAGTTTTAAACTATCGTATATAGTTTTAAACTATCGTATATAGTTTTCAATTAAATATAAATGCATATGTTTCAATAAAAATCTATAACACTTCTGGAAAGACCCTTCCAATAGCACTCAAACTTTAAAATTTAGTTTTAAATATATTAGGATATTTGTGGTATATGAGCCATATGAAATGACAATTTTGAGTATGTATTGTATTTATGCGAAGTATAAGATAAAGCTGCCTTTCTCTGATGATAAAGTTTCCAGTAATGCCCTTACATTCCTATGGTATCTGGCATATATAGAATGGATATTACTTGTTCGATTATTTGTGAGGCATCATGATTTTTATCATCTGTTAATATATCTTTATCTGTTAGGGCTTATAAGCAAAATCATTAGAATCTTTGTAGCAGACAGTTTCTACGATGTCAATATGGAATGAAAGGAGAATGAGTTAACCCATGAAGGTAATTCTTTGGTTACTGCTGTGCACTTTTCTTAATTAGAGCCCATGTCATTATTATTGGTTTACTGAAATTATATATTATTTAAACTCATTATATTTTTAAAGGATGTTCAATCTTATTAGCAATCTAACTTATTAGTTATTAAATTATGAAGACAAATATAATTAACCATTTCTTTTTCTCCTTGAGCTAATATTCTTACTCTGTATTCACTTTTAAGCCAGATTCAGTTTTTAAGACATCATCAGATCCTCTAATAAAGATTATAAGAGAGATGGGGAAGAAAAGTCACATCACAGACAACACAGAAGCTTTTTATAATCTCTTGTTCAAAGCTTCAGGTTTTGCCAGCTACCTGTCTTGTTTTTCCCCGCTTCTTTTCCTCCTAAAAGGATATGGACCTCTTTCAATTAACCACAGCGTTTTAGTTTAACTTACCCTTTCTTCAAAGCAAATGCCCTGCAGTTGACTAAGCATAGCATTTGAATACCAATTCGACTGTTATTCAAGAATGCCTCATACTTGCAATTTTTTCTCATCTAGCTACCCCTCCACTACCTCCCTCATGCAAATTACCTAGGAGATTAAAATCAAAAATGAATTCTAATGCAAAGTGAATAAAACATTTCATTTTTCTACATACTATATAAATACAACTAATATTTATTGAGCACCTATTATGTGGCATGCACAATTCCAGGTATCAAATCGACAGTGGTAAAACTTACAAAGCGTTAAAGTCTATAAGAATAAAAAGCAATTAACCAAAATGGAAATATATTTGTGCCATAAAATCATAGTGATTTAATAATTAACAAAATATTACTTTCTGAGCAGCCAAAGAAAATTGAATCATAATATATTAGCTTGTACAAGAATATAAATTTAACCCAATTCTATATAAAAAAAGAAAATATTATCTTTGCAAAGAAGTTTTTTAACAATTAGGTGCAAGAAATATCTTTCATGAGATGTAAAAGTAACCTTTTTGTCTTATTGGCAAATATGCAGTGATAGAAGGACACAAAGTTGTTCCTACGAAAGAAAAAACAAAGATATTATGAAAAATAGTATCTGGGAATAGTATAGTAAGCTTTCTCTTCTATTGAAATGAAAACAAATTCTAATTATTGTGAACCACTTTGATGAAGGTTTTCTTCCTTTCTTTTCTGAAGACAATTCAACAATGTAGGAGGTTGTCACAGTAAGAGATTAAGAAAAAACTGTGTGAGAGAACTTGACATTTAGATACTGTTTTCAATCTTTTGATAGCCTTTTTCTTATTAAGAAAGTCGATGAAAATAATTTGTTGGTTACTGGATAAATGGGTTCTGAGCAAGGTAATTTATTAACCCTTCTAGATTTCCTCTGTTACTAGAATGTTTTTAACGGTCATTTAAATAATTCATGCCACTCTGTATATTTCTGATATTTCCTTTTTTAATCAAAGAGAAGAGCAAAGCACCCGGTGGCCATCAAGCAGACCATCCAGAGGCAACACTCCTTATTTGAGAAATTGTCAGAGGCGTTCGGACCAGACTGACTCCATCTTGAGTGATGGCTAGGAAAATGAGGCTGGGACTTGCTGGGCTGCATTCCCAGAAAGTCAGGAACTCCTAGCCTCTGGATGTTTATGGTTAAGGGAAAAAATTAATAATGTTTACTAAACAAACCCAGATTTGGGAGTGTCCAGATATCCTGATATCTGGAGAACAAAGACATTCCTAATATTGCTTTAAAGATAATAATATTGATTATTGAAAAATATAGTAAATAATAAAATTAATCCTTTATCACAAACCCTTGTAACAAAGCACATCTCCCCATACATACAAGCATTGTACCTAGGGCGGATGTGTTCCTCGGACGGATGTGTTCCTCCGCTTACTCTCAGGAACGCCCTGCTCTGTCTATGGAGTAGCTGTTCTTTCACTACTTTACTTTCTTAATAAACTTGTTTTTACTTTGCACTGTGGACTCACCCTGAATTCTTTCTTGCACAAGATCCAAAAACCTTCTCTTGGAGTCTGGATCTGGACCCCTTTCCTATAACAATTAGACTTTCCTATTCTCTAAAGCTGGCATCTAGTACCAGGCTTCTTTCCCAAACATTAATTAAGAGATACTAATAGGTAACTAGAATTTCTGTACATCTCTGGAATGCATGCATGTCGAAATTCTTATGCAACTTTTGCTGACATCAAGACACCGAAATGTCTACAAATGTAATCATTTATCATCATCTACTTGACTAATATGGTCCAAATTACCCTTAAGCTCCCATTTTAAGGTCCATAAATATCCCTAAGGAAAAATCCATCCTTTTGTGCACAGTCCTCTCTTGCTGAAGTGCCCCACTGCACACTTCTGCACTGTTCTTTATGTCTAAATAAAACATACCTTTGTATAACTATACAGCTGTGGGTAAATTCTTCTTACTACCCACGAGCAAATTGCTTTCCATTGCTGGGGCTCTGACACCTCGCCTGGCAGGCAATTTCCTGTATTAAAATATCAATATTTAAATGTAGGATAAAATTTATTTGAGACCATTGATTAATTTAAATTCTATAAATTGCAGAATTTTTAAACAAAATTAAAAATACAATATTACTTGTAGAAAATTACGAACATCATAACAATTCAGATATAAATGGATTTTTTTTGAGACAGGGTCTTATTCTGTCATCTAGTCTAGAGTGCATTGATACAAATATGACTCACAGCAGCCTCGACCTCTCACACTTAAGCCATTTTCCTGCCTTAGCCTCCCGAGTAGCTACAAGCCAATAGTAAAAAAATAAGATTCTGTACTAATACTTCCAGTTAACCATTGCAATTTTTACAATACAGTTTCTAAAGGGAAAAACAGATATTGTGTAAAAAAATCACAATGCAGAAATAGTTCCCATTAGATATTCTAGAGAAAACAGAAAACAAAAAAATACAGAATTTCAAGTTACACATTTAAATCTAGAAAATAAAGAATACAAACTAAATAAATGTCTTTTGTAATTTTCCTGGAATTATAATAAATTCCTTAAATTGATAATGTTTATAGAATGAAAGCACTTATTAAACAGCTTTCTCTTATATTTATAAAATTATTGAATTTATGTTTAGAATACATTGCAAGATAATTAAGAGTATTGATATATTTTATGTAGTATTTCTTTACATAAGACCATACAGGTTTTCTTTTTACATTTTTGGTCAAATTTTAATTTCAGCATAGTTTTAGATTTACTGAAAAATTATACATAAAGTACAGATTATCTTATATAACGAATAAAGTTTATCTTCTATAATGAATACCCAATTTCTCCTGTTGCTAATGTATTACTTCTGCATGGCAATGTCTCACAATTAATGAACAAATATTGATACATTATTATTAATGAAAATTCATACTTTTTAACGATATTTTTTATTTTTTACTTAATGCCTTTGTGTTTGTTACAGATCCCATTCAGGATGTGACATTACATTTACTCATCACATCTCTTTAGATTCCTTTTGGTTTTGACAAAAAACTTTGAAAATTATTATAGTAATTGACTTGAAGAAATTTCTAATGCAGAAATTGAAAAGGTAATTGGTTTATATCTATTGTGAAATGGGAAATTTAAGAAAAATATTAGAAGGTATATACTGTGAAATAACTACCTGAATAACAATAACCAAAAATCCTTCAACACTTTTTATATTGCTGTCACCTGGAACGTAGAAATCAAGGAGTTTTATTTGTGCTTAATATACATTTAACATTACTTAAAATCACGGTAGCAGATTTTTTTAGCTGTTTACCAAAAATTGGTGCCCACATCTCTCTGGGCACAGCCAAATCAGGTTTTGTAGCATATCAGAATAAGATGTATCTTTGCAATAGTAGTTACTTCTTACGAACAAAAATAGGCAGGAACGGTGTGTGTTATTTCTTATCTAAACCTTTTAAGAAACTTTTTTTTCTTGCACATGGTTGTGATGGAGATTTCCATGGTAACTATAGAAACCAAACATTAAAGAGGATTGCATTTCTATCAGCCTTTTTAACGGTAGAGAGCCACCCTACAATGATTTAATATGCCAAGGATGGTTGGATTGAGGCAGAATATGTTGTTAGTCTAGCACAGCCCACTTTGATGAATAGACTTATTTAAGTTATATTATAAGCTTTTATTAAAGCACTTGAAAATTATAACTTCTAACTACAATAAAGGTTCACCTTTCTGGGTAGAGCTGAAAATAAAATGATTTAGAAAATTGAGTTTAGACCTAAAGTCAGAAAATCAAGTTTGAAATAAAGGCAAATAAATTATAGTGAAGATGAGGATATAATGATTAAACAGATATTTAATGTAGAAATGATGCAGGATTTTTTCCTTGACCTCTTTGTTGAACTAGCGATGAGTGCCTCTATACTCAGCCCACTACACTTAACCCCTCAAGGGAGGGAGCATGTGAGCAAACAAGTGACGGACCTGGCCAGCGGCTTTCGTGCCAGTAGGAGTAAACTCCATGCAGGCCCTGTAGCAGCATCCAGTCGGGGATGCCTGCAACCCCAAGGTCCCAGAGGGCAAGTTAAATGCTCTCTTAGGTCCAGTGTCTAAGCTGTGGACAGCAGTGTGTTGTCAGCTCAGTGAGCCCTTGGCCTCATTGTGTGGGGTGGCTGCCTTCTGCCAGCGAGAACAAAGGACCAGTGTGACACTTGGTAGGTCCTGAACCCTTGTCCAGTGCCCAAGAATAATGAGATCACGTGGACGAATTGAGGGATGGTGAATGCGGATAATTTTTTTTTTTTTTTTTTTTTTTTTTTGAGACGGAGTCTGGCTCTTGTCACCCAAGTTGGAGTGCAGTGCAGTGTCACGATCTCGGCTGACTGCAATCTCTGCCTCCTGGGTTCATGATTCTCCTGCCTCAGTCTCACGAGTAGCTGGGATTACAGGCACAGGTCACCATGCCCGGCTAATTTTTTGTATTTGTAGTAGAGACGGGGTTTCACCATGTTAGCCAGATGGTGTCGATATCCTGACCTCGTGGTCCACCCACCTCGGCCTCCCAAAGTGCTGGGATTACAGACGTGAGCCACCGCCCACAGTGATTGCGGAGAATTTTACTGAGTAATGAAAGGAGCTCTCAGTGTAGAGTGGAGCGGGAAAGGGAATGGGAAAGGCAGGCCACTCTCCCCTGAAGGCTAGTTGCCTCTCTGCCTTTCTCTTCTAAAGTCAAGTTGCCTCTCACTGACATCCAGCTGCTTCTTCGCTTCTACTGGAAGAGTCTGGGGTCTTGATAGGCACAGAATGAGGGGTGGTGGAGGGCAAGCCATAGGTAGTTTTTGAAAAGGCAACATTTGATTGGTAAAAATACATTATTCAGAAAGAACCAATAGGGAGAGAATGGATAAACAGGGATGGAAGTACTCACTTTGGACCACGGGTTTGAGGCTTTTAGCTTGAAGGTGGGGTTTTGCCATGGACCCACCCCTGTCTGCCTACAGTTTCTCTGCCTCCTTCCCCTATCAGAAGTATTTTTGAGTCACATGAGTGGCTAAGACTTGGTGTACTATAAGAATTATGAAAATTAATTTTATTATAATGGTAAAAAAGAGAGAAATCAGTGAAAATATGTTATATGTATTGATATCATGAAGAATTTAAATACCTGAGATAGGTACTTGGAGACATATCTAGTGATTTGGTAATAATTATGATTTTCTCTGTCTTAATTATACTTCATTTACCATTGCAAATATTTTAGTTAACTATTGGTATGAACAAACCATCTCACATCTTAAATGCACAAAACAACCCTGATGTATTTCATTTTCTGATTGTGTGTATTTTTGTGTGTTTGGTGGAGGGGGGTGATTCTTCCGCAATCAATTGACATCCTAACTCTTCATCTAGTTTCTGAAAGATTCTCACAGGCATGTCCAGCAGTAGTGCGGATTTTCATGTGGAGAACTTTGGTTCTCCTTTAGTAGTTTAGACTAGTTCTCTTTCATTGGGAATTATGATGACTCAAAACAAAAGTCTACTGGAAAAAAACTGGAACCCAGAAGCCATATAAATTTACTGAGGGCATCCATGCTCTCCCACTTTATATTTGTGTGAATTCTCTGATTATCAATTTCCCCATTTAAAAAGAATAGAAATAATAATTGTGTGCTTCCCACTAGGCCACTGCATAAGCAAATCACTGAACAGGTATGAATACACTAAACAAAGTAATTACTTACTTATTGCATTTTTATAATTTTAACTATATTATTATTAGACTTCAGTGTAATATACTCCAATTACTGGGGTTACATCAAGGAAAAACAACACAAAACTAACATCCATTTCATGAAGTTTACATATCAGTGATGAAAATAAACAAGGAACATGTAAATAGGCAGTATACCCTGAAGAACAAGTAAAATGTCAGAAAATAAGGTTGATTTGTTTCTGTTGGGTGAAGGTGTCTATTTTATAGTGGGTGGTCAGGTAAGGTCTCACTCATTAGGTGACTTCAATTAGAAATCTGAAAGAACTAAAAAAGTAGATCTTATAAACATCTGGGGAAATATGTTCCAGAAAGATGAAAAAGCAGGTTGTAGAAAATTATATCAGCAAATTACAGCAGCTTTAGATGGTGTAGAACATCATAGGTCCTAATAAGACCTATGACTTTTTTAATACATTGATAATAAAAGACATTATATAGTTGTAAACAGAAATGGGACATAATATGTCTTAAATTTTATGAGTTCTTCTGGTTATTTGACAGAAAAGATGCCTGAGGAATAATCGTAGAAGTAGAATAACCAGATGGTAAGTCACTGCAATTTTTTGGCACAACATGACAATTATGTGGATCAGCATTAAAAAAAGAGAAGGTGGTAAGTGGAAGTAAGAATAGGGATATGTTTGAAGGTTTAACCTGAAGGATGTTTTGACAGAAAGGATGTGAGGTCAGAAAAAAGAGAGAGAGAGAGAGAGAGAATGTTAAGGATAACTGCAAGATTTTTAAATAAGTAATTGGAATGATAAGAACTGCCCCTTAAAGAGATGTGAAGAAAATTACATTAGATTCGCTAAGGGAAAATGAATATATAAGTTGTATATATATACCCATTGAAGAATAAGACTTTCTAACTATTAAGCAGAGAAAGGAAAGATATCAGCTGAACTCCAGAATACTCAGTGGTTGGAGAGAGGAGGAGAAAAAATATATTAAAACAAGAAGAAACAGCCAATGAGGTAATGGAAGAACCATAGGTGAGTGATAGCTCTGAAACAAAAGGAAGAAAGTTTATATATATATTCAATTGTTTCTTCCTACTTAAACATGTCAGATGTTTTATATATGGGTCTGTGTAGCATTTGGTTTGCTAACTCCTTAATAAAAGTATTTAATTATTATGCTATGATGAATATAGGTAAAATCTGCACAAAGATAAACTATGGCTATGTTAGTTGGATAACACTTCCATAACAAAGTGCCAAAGAGTGAGTGGCTTGGGCAACAAAAATTTATTGTCTCAAAATTTTGGAGGCTAAAAGTGGAAAGTCAAAGTGTGCCTATGGTTGGTTCCTTCTGAGGCCTGTTAGGGCAGGAACTGTTGAATGAATGCCCTTTGGCTTTTAGATGGCAGTCTTCACCCCATGTTTATTAACATTGTCTTTCCCTTATGCATCTCTGTATCAGTGTTCAAATTTCCCCCTCCCCTTTTTCAAAGACATCAGACATATTAGACTAGAGCTCACGTTAATGTCTTCATTTTAGCTCAATCACTTTTTAAAGACCCATATTTCCAAATAAGGTCATATTCTATGGTGATGGGTATTAAGACTCCAGCATATCTTTCTGAGGAGCACATAATTCAACGCATAATAATAGCCTACTAAAAAAATAGTTTGGGGTATTGACCAACAAGTTTATGAAAATAATTATAATTTACCTGTTTTCTAAAAATTATTAAAATAAATGGTTATTGCATATCCACCATCAATGCACTTTACTAAAGGGCCAGATATTTTTGTCCAAATTATTTTACAATTCTGAATTCTAATTGACATGTAATAATCATAAAGTTTAAAAAGTATTGAGACACTTTCTACTCAACTGAAACACACACTATCTTGGCTGAATGACAGCTTTGGCAGCTTTGGAGCTTTGGTGATAGTGGATGTAGTAATTGATAGAAGGGTAAGAGATGTTTCACAGTGACTTGATTTTTCTGGTTTTATTCTTTTTCTATGCAGTTTAGCTAGATCCATATAGAAGCAGAAAGATAGAGATAATTCTGAGATTACATATAAACAAGATGCAGTTGGTCTATGAGGCTTAAGATAAAACAGGCTTATATTTGATTCATTTATTTGTCTGTTTAATTAATAAAGTTTATTTTTTAGAGTAGTTTTGCATTCACAGTCAAGTTGAGCAAGAAGTACAGAGTTTCCACACGTACTCTGCCCCACCACACACACAGCTTTCTCAATTATAAATGCACATTGGTATCCCAAACCACAGTGGTACATTTATTACCATTAATAAACCCACATTGACACATCATTATCATGCAAATGTATTCATTTACATTAGGCTTCACTTTTGGTATTGTATATTCTATAGGTTTTCACAAATGTAAAATTTCATGTAACCACTGTAGTATCATACAGAATAATTTCAGTAGCTGGTATAATTCCTTCCATCTATGATAGATTTTTGTTTTTCTCTGGTGATATTTCCATTAAATGAGGTTTCTAGGCTAAATGTCTGTAAATGGATGTTGAAGGTGTTCAAGAGGCTTTTACTGTTTTAAATTTCAACTTTAACCTATTGATTACAAAGTTGAGTATACTGCATAAATCCTCTATCCTCTGCAATATCTATCCATATCTTTTTGGAGAAGTTAGATTCAAGAATTGTAGTACTGGCTCCTAATCTCGTGAGTCTCTCTGTGACAAGCTCATAAACAGAAAATCAAATGGATTAGTAGTCATAAGGGTTAAAAGCACCAACTTAGTCTCTGAATTCAAATATAAGCTTCTTCTTTAGGTAATAAGCCTGCCATCACTAGAACCTATTTTAATCTCTGGGATGGAGGCAATTGAATGGTATGCACGTGCAAAATCTCAAAAGGCTTTTGAAGCTCAGTTTCCTGTCTCTGCTCCACCTTTAAAGGATTCTTTGATTATTATGTTTTTGATCCTTAGGGAATGTACTAAAAACAATCTCAAATATTCACTTGATGTTCCCATACCTCGAATATTTACTTGGTGTAAGTAATCTTTGCTTTGATGGCATGTAATATTTTTGCCAGATTCTTGTCCAGATGACTTAGTGTCTTCAGAGATAATCAGATTTTGGTGGTTCTGGTGTCTTAAGAGACTGTATTAGTCAGGGTTCTCTAGAGGGACAGAACCAATGGGATATATATATACACACACACACACATATATATACACACACATATACACACACATACACATATGTATACATATATACACATGTGTGTGTGTGTGTATATATATATATATATATGTTTGGGAGTTTATTAAGTTTAAGTATTAAACTCACATGATCACAAGGTTCCACAATTGGCTATCTGCAAGCTGAGTAGGAAGGAAGCCAGTCCAAGTCCCAAAACTGAAGTCCTTGAAGTTCAATATTCAAGGGCAGGAAGCACCCAGCACAGGAGATAGATGTAGACTGAGAGGCTAAGCCAGTCTAACCTTTCCACATTTTTTCTGACTTCTTTATATTCTAGCCACAATTGCAGCTGATTAGATGGTGCCCACCCAGATTAAAGGTGGGTCTGCCTTTCCTGGCCCACTGACTCAAATGTTAATCTCCTTTGGCAACATCCTCACAGACACACCCAGGATTAATACTTTGCATTCTTCAATCCAATCAAGTTGACACTCAGTATTAACCATCAAAGAGATGATCATATTTTTCAGAACATTCTGAATTTTGCCAGTGAACTTATTCCATCTCTGAAGATTGTTACTTGAAGCTAATTAAAACATGGACAAAATCAATGGGCAAATGAGTTTGAATTTTTTAATGGGGCATTGAAGGATTTGGTTCACTGCAGCTTATTTAGCATAGCAGTCAGCTAGACAGCTAAAACTGTTTCTGATGGTTTTAAAGACTTGTTGCTTTCTATGTAAACTTATTTTAATCGCAACTCTTCCATTAGAAATGGTAATGGTATGATGTAATTTCTATTAAATTCCATTTCTGGGGGGATACGGGCTTTCATTAGTAGTTAAAAACCTTCTCTGCTTCTATAACTCAAAAATCATGTGCCATAATGAACACATACTCACGCTCACTATAGACGTTGACCATATGATTCTTTGAAGATTTGACATGTTCCAGTAAGAGCTATTAGTAGGACCATTTGTGTTAATATCTACAAGACCATTTAATTTTTAAATCTATTGGAATTAAGTAATAATATATCCAGCTTGATATTTTTCCTGCTCCGTTTGAGGTAGAAATCATCTATAAAGAGAATCAAAATGGGAAAGGCAAATGTTGCTTTGAAAATACCAATTTGTGGCTGGGCGCGGTGGCTCATGCCTGTAATCCCGGCACTTTGGAAGGCCGAGAAGAGTGGATCACCTGAAGTCAGGGATTCAAGACCAGCCTGGCCAACATGGTGAAAACCGATCTCTCCTAAAAATACAAAAATTTGCCAGGTGTGGTGGTGCACACCTGTAATCCCAGCTACTTGGGAGGCTGAGGCAAGAGAATCACCTGAACCCAGGAGGCAGAGGTTGCTGTGAGCCATGATCGCGCCATTGCACTCTAGCCTGCGTGACAGGGTGAGACTCCGTCTCAAAATAAATAAATAAATAAATAAATAAAATATCAATTTGTGATAAATGACTTCACAAACAGCCAACTGACAGTTACCTGATATTATTTCATGAGGAATTTGCATTAGTGTGGGAGAAATCAAGCTGTTGCATCAGGGTAGAGTTGAATGAAAAGGTCAGTGTCTTCCATATCATATGAGGATAATAAATGGGCAGAACAAATTATATATACTATCACTTATATAAGTAAGGTTTGAAGAGCATAATGCAGTAACAAATTTATTTTCCAGAATAATATTGGCCAGTTTCTAGTAACTGTATGGAAATGTCTAGAGAGTAGATACCCCCTAACTATAGCACCCCAAATTACTCTGTAGTATGCTAGCATCTATTATATTGTTTTGTTTTTGAGTGGGTAATGCTGAAGCATTTTTAAATCTTTTATGTATAAGGGAAAGGATGTATGATCACCAGAAAGCCCTAGAGCGATGAATAATAAGAGAAAACTTAGTGATGCCAAAGAAATGTACATTATGAGTAGAGTTCTGGCTTTCCAGAGCCTCAGCTTTGAAAAGGCTAGTTCAGAAAAATGATTACCAATTGATGACTATATCTCACAATTTAAAAAATTTCCTAAATTCTTTCTCAGTGGCGGATTGGAAAAAGTTCTCAGTGACCCATCAACAGTCAGTTCAGAGCTACCTGCTTTGCAGATGTCACGCAGCAGATGATATATGGGCAATTAGCAAATTTTCAATTTATCTTTTGAGATATAGTGACTCTTCAGTAAGTTTCTTAAGAAGATAAGGAGATTATTCTACTACAACTTCCTTAGAAGATGAACAAAGTACTTAATCACCCACATTTTGAAGAAGAATAGTATGTCCCTCAAATGAAAGATAGTCTATACAGACACTGAGAGAAGCATAAAGGTCCATCCCTGTGACATGACTGTCCAAGTATGTTGCTGATTTTCTCAACTGAAGGCAAACAGAAAGTAAATATGGACTTAAAAAATGTACAGCTATAGTAAATAAAGATGAAAAAGGTTCTATCACTGTACAATAAATAGCATCTGAAAGAATACAGGCAAAAATAATCTTTAGACTAGAAACAACCAGAAAATTACGTATAATAATCATGTCCAGTATCCTGAACAAAATCACAGCCTTGCCATGAGATTTCTTAACTACAAGTACAGGACCTATAAATGTTCAGATCAAACTTCTCTGCACTGAGTTCTTTCTCTTATTGTTTTAGAGCAAATTTAAGGAGTTTAAATAGAGATTTTCTAGGGTCAATTTAAACTTAGATGTTAGCACAGGGAATGGAGAAAAATGGCCTTATTTTGTACTCCACAGGATAAAGAATTATTCTAATACCTCTGCCAAATTCATTGAAGCAATCTAAGGCCTAAGTAATTAAATCTAAGAAGCATTTTGTAGTAAATTAGCCTTAGATCCTTAAGAAAGGAAAATGCAAGAAACTTCTAGCATGTTCTAACTTCACTGAGGAACCTGATCTAGGCATGATGGTAATCTAATGCTCAATCCAAGTCACAGCCCCATATTCTGGAAAGGAGCATTTAGTAAGAGACTGCAACGTGTGTTCAAACTTTTCTTTACAACATACTCAGCTAAGGAGGTAGCTTCAGGAATGAACTACTCTGCTGCCTGCAGGGGTGAAGGGCTTATATCAGGTCATAGGGTACTTGAGGTTTATCAGAGATCAGAGCCTAAGTGTAGTTTCACATGTTCCAGGTCAGAGAGTATATGCAGTTTCATATATACAGATGAAGGAGAATTCTCACAATGAATAAGAGCAGAACGCAGTATCTGGGTCTAAAGGTCAGTCACACTCAGGTTTAATTGATTTAAGGTGTACGGGGAATTCTCCAGGGAATTGAACAGCAGACATCAAAATTAAAAACCTTCATTGAAAAAATAATTTATTATTATCCCAAAACTCATTCATGATGAACACCTAAAAATATAATGCCTATAACTTTATTTTTTAATTACTTAAAAAATATAATATCTCTATTTAGATTATACATTTAAAGATTCAATGAATTTCTTTATGTATGATAAGCCTATACTGAAAAGAATTGAGGCATAAAGTTTTGTCTTTCAAATGTAATAAATTACCTTACACCCAATGAATCAATGTGGCTATTGCTTTAAGCAGTTTTCTAGCAATAGTGAAAATAATCTACCACCTGTTATGTAACATGTTAGATTATTTTTTAATTTAATGCATTTAAATTTAAAATTTGATGCATAAATTTATTATAATAGTGATACTATCCCTATTATAAATTGTGTGCTATAACTGCAAACAGTTCTAGACCTATGCATTATTATTTGTCCCTGAGTTTCTATACCAATCTTATTTTAACTTTAAAACATATTTAGTATCCTAAATCATTGTAATTTACCTTTATATTTTACATTTCTTATGTGCTAAATACCAAATTTACTTCATGACCAAATCTCTCTTCACAGTGCCATTTGAAACTGTTGGATAATTAAATGGTACTTGCCTCTTGGTATACAAAGTTAACAATTTAAAAACTAAGTCTCATAAAATTAAAAAATTAAAACATTTTGTAATTTGAAAGTTTCCCTAGTCACACTCTATGTATTAGAGATAAAGAAAAAAATCTTCCATTGCCTTCCAAAACCTAATCTATGTATTTATATTATTGGTGGTTTTATAATTAATTTAAACTAAATTTGGATTGTCAATGAACACTATTTTGTATTTTACCTTATGGTTTGCTTTATTATCCACAAAAATTGTTTACAATACTTGAATGAATATTTGTGTTCACAAACAGACTATTCTGAACAACAAAGAAATGGTATTGCAGAAAGAAAAAAAGCATGAATGTGCAAACACAAAAAGATTAGAAAAGGAAAGATATCAGAAAGAAAGATCTCTGAATGGTGTATAGAGGCACAAAATAGTGACAAGAATAAGCTGAAAGCTTACAATCTGCAGATCTAAAAGCCAAGAAGCAAGTCAGTCTGTGCCAGAGAGCTGAGGATTAAAAATACTAGGTCTTCCTGAACACGAGAGTTTGGGCATGGATTTGTTAAAAGTCTTTACAAAAGAAGAGTTTAAATCTAGATCCATTATGACAACTGGAGTTGACATCCTTTCCTTCTCCTGGAAGAAGATAGTAAATATATTGTCTGCAAGTGTGCATAAGAGACCTCTTAGATTCAGGCAATATCTGCCTAGCTGATGGTTAGGGTCCCATATTGAAAACTGAAGAATTAACTAAATGTTAATTTGAGTCCTCCAACTACATTTAACAATGAGTCCTCCGACTACATTTAACACTGAGAATGCTGCCTGGAATGTTGATGGCTGCTGCTTCCTCATGTTCCTCAGGTTGGAGATTGAAAGCTTCTTTTCTGAAGTAACTAACCAGCTCAAAATAAAGACCTATAAATACTAACAGTAAGAATTTCTCCAATGAAATGACTAGACCTTGTCAAAAAACAGTAAAGTCTAACATACAACCAAGTGCCTCTCAGAGCCTAGAATTTATAATCAGCTTTTCAGTGCTTTACTCTTAAGTATGATTAGGCAACCAAGGATTGCCAGGTATTTGAAGAAAGAGTCTATAATGATGATTTATTAAAGAAGATTATTATCTCATATAAGGCGGGGATGGGGATGTTTAAAGAGAGTGGATGAGACATTAAATAATTCTTTATTTAACATAAGAGTGAATTTACCTGATAAATTTGCTAATATCCCAAGCTTTGTTAATAGTTATTTTAGTGTTTACTAGCTGAATTTACTAATATTCCTAGCATTGTTAACAATTACTTTCAATTGCTGATGAAGAATTTGTAGTGCTATCCAAATTGAATGATTTATTCTCTAGAAAAACCCACCTACTGAGCAGTAAGTTGGAATAGTTTATTTATGATTGTCATTGAGATACTTTACATATTATTAATGAATATTTTCTATATTGTTATAGTTTAATTAAATTATACTCTCCAAATAAAAAATTAAACTATAATATTTGTCTTATATTCACTATAGCTATAGGTCTTATAAATATTCAGTATTTTCAGTGATATTTATTCATTTACTCCTCATTAATAAAAAACCCAATTTTCTCCACATATATACTGTGCATCATAGAAAAGTCATAGGTGTTGTGTGTTGAATTGTATCTTCCAAGAAGATATACATAAATCCTTACTTCTAGTACTTGTGACTATGACCTAGTTGGAAAATAGGGCCCTAGAATGAGGTCATACTAGATTAGGGTAAGCCCCTAAATCCAATGACTGGTGTCCTCATTAGAAAGAAATATAGAGAAACAACATACACAGAGAACGCCATGTGTCGATAGAGGCAGAGATTGGAGTGATGTTTCTACATGCCAAGGAGCAATAAGGACTACTGGCAACTACCACAAGCTAGGAGGAGGCAAAAACAAACCTTTAGAGCCTTCAGAAAGAGGATTGACCTAATCTCAGCTTGATTTTGAACTTCTAATGTCCATAAGTGTGATATCATAAATTTCTACCATTTTAAGTAACCCTCTTTGTGGTACTTTTTATGATATCCCTAGGAAACGAATACAGTAGGCTTTCATAACTTTGGTTTGCATCAGTTGGTTTATTCTGAATTCCATCTCAGTGTCAAAAACTGTGAATGTGTCCCTTGCCCGAGTGAGTCTGAGTCTGAAATATAATTTTTAGGTCCACCATTGCCCTAACAACTTTTCCTTTCCACTGTTCTATTACCCAATCCCATGCTTTAAGTGTTTTTTCTTTTATTTTTTCATCAGCATTGGAGGATTACAGAGATTTGTACTTGGGAGTGGGATTTAGTACATCATTCCTATACATTATTCAGAGTATTTGTTTTCAATAATTTAAAGGGATTTTGCAAGGAAGCATTGTACCTAAAACCAAAGATTCTGGAATTGTAATGCTTTCGTGTGTATTACTGCCCTGATAATTACTAGCTGTGCAATTTACCTAATGCTTCTAATCTCAGTTTTATCTTCTGTAAAATAAACATAATAACAGTAACTATTCCATAAAGTTATGAGACTCATATGACTTTATAACTGAAGTGAACAACCTTGAAAAAAACTTCAAAGAGCCCCAAGATACACAATCAGTTAATAAAATTTAGTTTTATTTTTAAAAAAGGCACTTTCATTTCTTCAGATGTCTCTCTTTTACATTAAGTGACATACAAACATGTTGGCATTTATTTTATGATGTAATAAATAAATTAGGGAAAACTATTTAGTAATGAAACCTTTTTAAGGTTGCACTATAGTGAGGTTTCTAATTTTAAAATAACAGGCAAATAAATCCCATTACAGTTCTTGGTAATTTTTTAAAATAAAATTTATATTTAAATAAGAGGCCTTGATAGATATGCCTTTTATAGTAATTCAAGAAATCATTGATAATTTGGAGCCCATTTAATGACCTATGGTGGATTAAATAATAAAGTTGGAGAAGTTTACTCTGAAATAGTAAATGTAACCCAGCTCTCTATCTCACAAAATGTTCTTGTCACTAGAAGAACAAAAAGAAACTGAAATATTTCAGAAAATTCATTTCTGTTGCTTATCATGTACTTAAATAATAAAGATATAGATCTTTTTCATTTCACCAATTTTGTACTTTGTTCAGTGAACCACAATGTTTCTGATACATTAATAGTTATAGATTATTTATTACATTTCTCAAATGGGCTGTCTCAAATATGACTGGGCACTTTGATATCAATTTCAAGTTTAAATTTACAAGATTAAATCTGTAATTTCTCCAAGTAGAAGAAATTTGAGTACATTATACTAATATGAATTTTAAAGGTGAGAATATTACAAGTGTATAAAATTTAATTTAGATAAATGGACTCAGCCTGGCAGAAGTATTCCCAAGAAGAAAAGTAAATTAAATGTTTTAAATAGCATGAAAGCTAGGATTAGTAGCATGAATTATGTTTCTAAGTATTATTAAAATTATTATTGTCATTTAAGCATGATCTACGTATTACATGTATAATTAACAGAAAAAATAAAATGTAAAGAGCTCAGTTATTTTTAAATGGAAAGATAACTGACTGAACAATATGTTTCTATCTCATAAGCCTTGATTCCAGAGTAAATTTGTGAGACTATTTTAAAACAATTTTATTTAAACAATATTTTAGAGTAAAAATAGTGTTTTATTTAAATTACTTTGATTGTTTAGTAGACATTTTCATAATCTATTATGTGCCTGATTGAAATAATCAAGTATAATTAAGACAATGCAGTGTATTCATAAACATTTTAACAGTTGTAAAACTCTGAAAGATATATTTTCTTTGTTAAATGTAGGAGTACAAGAGGATCAATTATGCAAACTATAGATTTGAATGTAATAAATCTGATTTAATGACAAGCAAGGTAGGAGGAAGAAAATTAGTCCCTTCATTTACATGTATATATTTTATTGCAAAAATTAAACTTAGCTAAAATAGCAGTTGAACAGTATCTGCTCTTTGAAAAATAGTAAATGTAATTAGCCTAGAACAGTATAAGACACAATAATGCCTAATCTCCATCTCTCTTTAAGAGCAAGAAAGACTAGTCAACTTAACTTTTTATGAACACAGTTTTATTCTAGTAGTAATGTAATTTTATACTTTAATTGTAATCTACAGCTTTGAGAGGGATTTGACTTTCAAGCAGTATCACATTTAATGCAATACAATGAAGATAATTAAACCGAGATTTAGAAGTATCAGAGTAAATTTTCAGAACAATTGAATATCAATATAGACCTTAGACTATTGGTTCAATATTCTTTCCAACATTATGTTAGGCCATTCTTGCATTGCTATAAAGAAATACCTGAGATTGGATAATTTAAAAGGAAAGAAGCTAATTGGCTCATGGTTGTGCAGGCTGTACAGGAAGTGTGATGCTGGCATGGGCTTGGCTAGTGAAAAAGCCTCAGAAAACTTACAATCATTGCAAAGGGCAAAGGGGAAGCAGGCACTTTACATGGTCAGAGCAGGAGCAACAGAGTGGTGTAACAGGTGCTACACACATTAAACTGACCAAATCTCAGAGAACACATTCACTATCATGAGGACAGCACCAAGAGGATGATACTAAACCATTCATGAGAAATCTGCCCTCATAATTTAATTATGTCTCACCAGACCCTAACTCTAACGTTGGGAATTACATTTTGACATGAGATTTGGGCAGGGATGATATCCTAAGTATATCATTGCATCCCTGGCCCCTCCCAAATCACATGTCTCTTCCACCTATGAGCCTGTTAAAAAAAAAAAGAGAAAAAAGAGAAAAGAAAAACTTCCAATCTGGAGGACAGTGGCCCTCTTCTCACAGCTCCATTAGGCAGTGCACCAGTGAAGACTCTGTATGGGGGCTCTAACCCCATATTTTCTTTATACACTGCACTAGCAGAGGTTTTCTGTGAGGACTCTACCCCTGAAACAGGTTTCTGCCTGGACACCCAGGCTTTTTGATGCATCCTCTCAAATCTACACATAGGCTTCCCAGCTTCATTCACTCTTGCATTCTGTGCACATGCAGACTTAACACCATACCTTGTAGAAGCTGCCAAGGCTTACGGCTTGCACCCTCTGGAGCTGTGGCTCAAGCTGTGCCTGGGCCCTTTGAGCCACAGCTGAAGCTGGAAGATAGGGATGCAGGGAGCCATGATCCCAGACTGCACTGAGCAGCAGGACCTTGGGCCTAGCCCAGGAGACCATTGTGTCCTCATAGGCCTCAAGGCCTGTGAAGAGAGGGGCTGCCTCTTAAATCTCTGAAAACAACCTTTAAGGCAGTTTTCCCATTGTCTCAGCTATTAGCACTTGTCTTCTTATTTTTATGTGAATTTCTTTAGCAAGTTGTTCAGCAGCCTTGTTGAATTCTTTTTTTTATTTAACCACATAACCAGCCAGCAAATTTTTCAAACTTTTATGTTCTGCTTCCCTTTTAAATATAAACTCCAGCTTTAAGTAAGTTATTTTCTCTTTTATATGTGTAGGTTGTCAGAAACTGCCAGGCCACGTCTTGAACGTTTTGCGGCTTAGAAATTTCTTCTACCAGATACCCTAAATTATCACTCTCAAGTGCAAATTTCCACATAGCCCTACGGCATGGACACAGTCCATCCAAGCTCTTGGCTAAGGCATTATACATGTGACATTTGTTCCAGTTCCCAATACATTCCTCATTTTCATCTGAGACCTCATCGGACTAGATTTTACTGTTCATATCATTATCACCATTTTGGTCGCAATCATTTAACCAGTCTCTAAGAAGTTTCAAACTTTACCTCATCTTCTTGTCTTATCTGCACCCTTCACACTCTTCCAATCTGTTCCTGTTACTGACTTTCAAAGCTGCTTCCGCATTTTCAGGTATCTTTATAGCAATGACCCACTCCATGGTACCAATTTTCTGTGTTAGGCTGTTCTTGCATTGCTAAAAAGGCATACCTGAGACTGGGTAATTAAAAACAAAGGAGGTTTAATTGGCTCCTAGTTCTGCAGGCTGTAAAGGGAGCATCATGCTTGTGTCTCCTTAGCTTTTGGAGAAGCCTTTGGGAAACTTACAATCATGACAGAAGACTGAAGGGAAAGCAGGCATTTCACATGGCCAAAGTAGAAGCAAGAGAGTGATAGGGAGTGGGGACACACTTTAAAATGACCGGATTTCAGAGAACTCACAATCATGAGGACAGTACCAAGGGGATGATACTAAACCATTCATGAGAACTCTTCCCCCATGATCCAATGACCTCCCATCCAGGCCCCATCTGCAGCACTGGAGATTACATTTTGACATAAGATTAGGGGAGGGACAATATGCAATCTATATCAAACATACTGGCTTTCAGATAAATAAGTAAGAGCAGAGGCTATTTTTGTTTATCTCAACATCTGATGTTATCAGTCATCAAAACTAGAGTTATGCTTTTAAAAAATATCTAAAATTATAGGAAATACAAATTATATTGTATGTGCTACATATTATATTATTAATTAAATTGTTAGTGATGTCAAAGTTTTCTTTCTGTTTCTTTTCTCTTTGTGTTTACAAATAATAATGAAACACTAAATTGCCTTTAATTATTTAATCATTATTTGCTTATTTACATATTGAATAAACATTTATGAGACATGTAAATATTAACAAAAATCTTACCTCCTTTCCAAATACAGAATACTACAAGACTATTTTAAAGATTTGATAATTTCTTTTAGTCATGTCTATATTTAACAGATATCATGATATAATAAGCTGTTATAACTATAATAACATTTTCAGTAAACATGTTTTGAAAACTTATGCCTCAATGTTTTAATTCCCAAAATAACAATTTATTCTACAAATTTTGAAAATCTCAAGCAGACACATACACAGAAACAGGCACCCACAGGCACAAATAAAGTAATTTATAGTCCCACACACCACAGAGTATCAACATTAGGATTTTGGTGGATACTAATTTCAGTCTTTATTTCTCTCCATTAAGAAATATAGTTCATTTTGAAGATGAAGTGATTCATGATAAGTAGCAAAATTGTAATTAGAATCAGGAGCTCTTGAGCTACACAGTATTAAGCCAGCTCTTCTACTTTCTACCTTAGAAATCTGTGGACTTAACCCTGGTTTCTATTTAACATCTTTGTATTTAATTTTCTCAACTGAAAAATGGAGAAAATAATAGAATTAATCATGCATAATTTTATAAAGAGTCAATTAATCAAAATATAGAACATACCAAGAAAAGTTCCTTACAAATAGTAATCAGAATTAACCATTATGCTCATTAATGTATTATTTAGTAATCAGACTTTTACTTCATAGTTGACAATGATTCTCTACTTCATTTCAGTTACTGAATATAGTATTAGTGTATAAAATAAAATTGATTAACTGAACTCACGATACTGATGCAATGGTTAGGTCATTATAGTTTAAACAGTCTTCAACTTTGAACCCCTAATCACTACGAATGCCAGCCCCATATTTTCCTATACTTGTCAATGTTTTTATTTGTTAATAATAAAAAAAAAAACCTAACTTGCGGTTCATTGTCCGAAATCATCAAGCAACAGAAAAAGTAGTGTTGTAGCCTTTGAGAGAACTATAAATTTAAAAGGCTTTGCATACTATCTTCTCTCTATATCTGTCTCTTTCTCTCTCTCTCTTGCTTCTCTTCTGTCTCTGTTTCTTTTATGCTTTTATTTTCTTCTTTTTTTTTTAATTTCTGTTTTTTCCAAATAGTTTAAGTTTATGACCACAGTGGAAACAAAATTAGAATTAATTGTCTTCCAACACTGTATACCAAACCACGGAATATGGGAATAATGCCAAAATGCTGCCAAATTGGGTTAGTCAGTTTTTTTGTATTTAAATTTTAAAGTCATAAACTTTATCCAATTTCTCTCCCTTTTTCTACACAGCGAAGTAAGCATAACCTGCCATCTGGTGGATGTAAGGTGAATGATTTCTGGAAGAAGCAATGGATGTTTACACAAGGAGATGCTTATCAGAAACATGGAGGGAAATAAGTAAGGTGAACAAGTGCATGCTGGAATGGGGAAATTGCAAACCATATATATTGTCAGAGGTAATGACTCTGTTTGTTGTTGCCTTGTATTGCTGCACATTACCTTTTCAAGAGAAGCTTGAAATGTAAAACATAATGAGACATCTTATTTCGATGAAGGCATCTACTTGAAGTTACTGGAAAAAAAAAAAGAATATGAATGTCAAATTCAGTCTAGGGAACACAACTTTTGCTTTCTATTCTTAAGAAGGAGACTTTCAAAATAAAGTCACTAATAACAATTCTAAATGTTCCAAAATGCATTTATTGAGATGATCAAGTACCCAAAGTTGGATTTAGATCTTTACTTGTTTTTTCTTCTATCATAGTGTAATGTTGTCAAGATTTTAAATCTCATGTCTTTCATACAAACTTACAACCTAATATCTGCTTTACCGATTTTAAGGGTAGATTGGAATAATGCATATAGAGCACCTAAACAGGATGTCGATATACATCAGTATATATTCCTAACACGTAATTTCCCTAAAAAATGTGTCACAAAACATGATGTTTTAAAAAAAGAAAGAAAACTTGGGACATTATTGTCTCTTAAATATTTTTTAATATGTTAAAATCAAAAATATAATTGTATAAAAAGTAATACCTACCAATTGATAATTCTGAAAAAACAATATTTGTAAAGCTTCTAGGAAGCAACAAAGTCTAATTACAATTAAACAATGGTATAATCAACATGGGCACTTCAGTATGACTCTCAAGCAGTACAAAAGATAAAAATGAAACATAAAAAATAAAAAATGATAAATGTTGACCTGATAATTCGTGATAATTTTTTTTTGAGCACAATTGAAAACCAATGCTTTGGTATAAATTCATTTGAAATCTTTAATTCTGCATTTCTAGTTTAATAAAACCAGCCATGTTTGATTCCAAACACTCTGCAAATTTTAAGAGAAACTTTGCAGAGCAAATCAACATCATAAGCATTATGGCAACCACAATATTTGTTAAACTAGGTTCAGGGGGAGCATTTATTCCTTTGGTTATTTCAACTAAACTGCATTTCTGCCTCGAAAGTGTTTCATGAGACTCCAGTGGATGAGGAGCAGTTGTGATTCATTTTAGTACCAGAATATTCCAGAATAATTAGCTTTTAGTGAAGAGCTGCCATCATGAGCCAAGTTTTAAAATATGCTGTTTTCCTCAGTTTTGTGCCCATGAAGGGATACTTTGAAAGTACATTAGATTGGCATGTACTGCTACTAAAATGTAATTTTCCATTTATTAGTCAGGAAAGGATCTTTTTATAATATAATATAGATAACAGCACAGCCCTAGACAGATTTTTTTCCCATATCCTTGTCCACTACAGAGCTATTAAACCATGCATTATACATATGACATTTTAAAAAAATGACATTATTAGGGTTTTAAAATTAGTTATCTAAAATTCATTTATAATATTTTATTATGGCTTTAAATTAATGATAGAGAAATTCCATGGCCAAAGTCATGACCGTGACATTGACATGCCAGAAATAATTAAATATACCATATATGGGCACAAAAACAAACAAACATGCAAGCGAAGTTGAGATCTTAATTTAAAACAAATTATCAAGTTACATCCTCAATCTGGGGGAGTACCTATATGAAAGGACTGGGTACATGAGTAATATGTAGTGATTTAATTCAAAAAAAGTAGAGATACATTTTTTTGAAAATGTAAAAAGATCATAAAAAAGTAATCAATATGCACTTCCAAAATGCTGCATTTACATTATTTGTTTTTAATGCCTTGATTTTATGATTGCTTAATAGTGTGAATGCGTCTCAAGATTCATTTTATTTAATAAGCTCAAGAATTAGACCTGGGTGGAGAAATAGATTCAATGGTAATAATTTATTTAAATTGAAGAAGAACAAACAATAAAAATTTACAAAACAATATGATAACTATTGTGGTAGAGATATTCCCAGGATATGGATATGTGGGAGTTCAGAGAAACAAAACAAACAAATTGGTAAGAATAGTAGTAGAAGAAATTATTTTTCTGGTAGAGTTAATAATCAAGCTACATTTCGAAAGAATAAAAAAGTTTTATTGACATAGATAAGAGTTAGTCTTCTCATTGCCTACCAAAATACAAGACACCTAATAGTTCTTAATAATTGGTGGAAGAATGAATTGCTGGTACAATAACAACATTTACAAAGGCTATGAACAAGACACCATAGCTCACTTAAGAAATTACAGGTATTTTGGCAGGACTGATAAATTTAGGATAAAACACCAGGGACAAAGGATGAACCTGATAAACAATTAAGAAAAAGCGTTACATATTCCATGAAGAGAAGTGGTTTACATGCTGATGATAGCACAGATAATCTGGTTTGGCTCTGTGTCCCCACCCAAATCTTATCTCAAATTGTAATCCCCAGGTGTCAAGGGAGGGACCTGTAACACCCACATGTCCAGGGAGTGAGGTGATTAGATCATGGGAGCAGTTTTCCCCATGCTGTTCTCGTGATAGTGAATTCTCACAAAATCTGATGGTTTTATAAGTGTCTGGTATTTTCCCTGCTTGCACGTCTCTCTCTTGCTGCCATGTGAAAAAGGTCTTTGGTTCCTCTTCACCTTTCACCATGATTGCAAGTTTCCTGAGGCCTTCCCAGTCCTGTGGAACTGTGTCAGCTAAACCTAATTTCTTTATAAATTACCCACTCTTGGATGATTTTTTTGGTGTCTTTATATAAGTGTGAGAAAGGACTAATAAAACAGATTACTAAAATAAGTAAATGCTTACATTTTTATAAATAATACACATTAGCAGTATTGAGGTTGGCCTGAGGGAGACAAGTCTGGAGATTGATACCAATTAAAAGACTTCCAGTAGGGTTTATATAATGTTATGAAATTTTAATGTATTGGTAGTAGGAGTAAAGAGATGGATTATACAATATTAAATCAATAAGACTCGATGAGTAGGTGGATATAGAAGTAAGAGAAAAGGCTACTAGAATGACTTCTGTTTTTGAATCTGTATCAATTGGGAGACTGGAGCTTTCAACATAGAAAAACAATTCTAGATCAGTATCAAGGCTGCGGGTAAGAAGATTCAATACTAAAAATATTAAATTTAAAATTCCTGTCCAAAACTCAGAAGAATGTCTAAATTGTGTATTCAATGACTGTTGTGTGAGAAGAGTTATGCTAACTATTGAGAAACTTTAGGTTTTTTAAGGGCAGATAGATGCTAATAAATTCAAACATGTATACACATATCATTGCTAAATATATAATATGAGAGAAACAGAAATCTTCAATATGCCTTCTTTGTCATGGATGCACACTTTCACAGAGATAAAAATGCCACATGGAGAAGGAATGTATCTGGTTTCCTGAGTGATCACATATACTTTGTGTGATGCAATCAGAAAGTGCAAGGCAACAGAGTAAGCATATCTTACTCTATTTTTGCATTATGATAAAGAAATACCTGTGGCTGGATAATTTATAAGAAAAGAGGTTTAATTGGCTTATGGTTCTGCAGGCTATATAGGAAGCATAGTGCCAGCATCTGCTCAGCTTCTGCTGAGACCTCAGGGAAATTTTACTCATGACAGAAGGTGAAGCGTGAACAAGTACCTCAGACGGTGAGTGAGAGAGCAAGAGAGAGAAAGGGGATGTCTCAGACTCATTTAAACAACCAGATTTATTGTGAACTAATTGAGTTAGAACTCACTTATCACCAAGGGGATGGTGCTAAGCCATTAGTGAAGGATGTGCCCCTCTGAACTAATCACCTTCCACCAGGCACCACTTTCAACATTGAGGATTATATTTTAACATGAGATTTGGTAGGGACAAACATCCAAACTACATCATAACTTTCTGTGGAAAAAAAAAATTTCTTGATCTATGGCAATTAAACACTTAAGTAAGAATAATAAATCTCATTTGAGTTCATCTTTCTTGTATGGTCCTACAGGTTGCTCCTTTTTGGTAACTTGTTAAAACTCGTCTCAAAAAAGAGAGAGTATATTGACATTGACTGAAAATAAACTAAAATAGAGTTTCCAAGAAGGTCCCTTGGCGAGTATTAAAAAGTGATTATTAGGTTGGCCTAAGGTCTAAGACTACAGCTCTAGTTCAGTATAGTTATTACATTAATTTTATCTATGTAAATTAAATAATAATTTATAATACAAAGAAAATTCAAAAAGTGCATGTAAGATGCTTATTATGAAAAAAAATCTGTCGATGGATTTCAAAATTTTCTTGTAACAAACTCATACTAATTTATTAAAACATGTCTGAACTGAATCCAGATTGAAGCACTAAGAATGATAAGACAGCAGCTTGAAAAAAAACTCCTGTCAGGTCAACATGAATTCTGCTAAAATTAAAGCAAGAACAAATATGAAATTTATACGAAGATTGAGTAGAATAACAGTAAAACCACTGATGTTTTATAAAAAGTTTATTAGTGAAATCTCCCAAAGAAATTATTAGTTTACAAATGGATAACTCATTTTAAGAAGGGACAAGATGATGCTGAAGATGAAGCCCACAGTGGCAGACCATCTGCATCAATTTGCAAGGAAATAAATGTATCTTGTTTGTGCCCTAATTTGAGAGGACTGATAATAAATAGCAGAAACAATAGCCAAAAACTGTAAACATCTCAATTTGTCCAGCTTACGGAATTCTGACTGAAGAATTAAAGTTGACCAAACCTTCCAGCTGAAGGGTACCAAAACTGTTCTCAGATCAGCCACAGATAAAAGAACTTTCAATGGAAATTTTAAACAAATGTGGTCAAGATCCGGAAGTATTCATTTGAATAATTTTAACAAGAGTTGGAACATAGCTTTGCCAATATGATTGTTAAGGCAAAGCCCAATGAAAGCAATGGCTATCAACAGGGTGGATGTGATCAGGTCAAAGCAAAAGATGACAAGTCAATAGGTAAGATCATGACAACAGTTTTTTGAATTGTTTAAGGCTCTTTGCGTGCTGACTTTCTGTAGGGCCAAATAACAATAACAGCTACTTATTATGAGAGTGTTTTGAGGCGTTAGTCTAAGCTTTAACAGAAAATTGCCCAGGAAAGCTTCACTAGAGAGTTCTTTTCCACCACAGCTGTGCATCTGCTTATCCCTCTCTTCAAATGAGAGCAATTTTGTGAGAGTTTTGGTGAGAGACCATTATGCATACACCTTACAGTCCTAATTTGACTCCTTCTAACTTCTTTTTTTCATAATCTTAAAAATATCAGTAAAAGGCAACACTTTTTCTTTAATTAATAAGGTAAAAAAATATTGCATTGACACATTTAAATTCCTGAGACCTCAATTATTTAGGGATAGACTAAATGGCTGCTATCATTATGGTATGAAAGTGTCTTAAACTTGATGGAGCATATGTTGAGAAATAAAGGTTATATTTTTTATTTTTATCTTTTAATTTTATTTTCCATGGACTTTTTGAAATCCCCTCATATTAAATGTGAGCTATAATTAATGTTAATTTAATATTATAATAAAAGTTGGCTATTAATATTAGTTTAATGTTAATTGATATTAAATGTTAAATAGTTCAAAGTATATTTCATATTAGTCATATTTTAAACTTTATAAATTTATATGACATATTATTTCCCTATCATTACTTATTTTTCAAGAACTTAGTTTTTAAAAGTAAAAAATATCTCGTTATGAATATTTCACGTCAAGTTTAACTAATGCTATTTTGACTATCTTCCAATTTCTGTTTTAATAAAATTATAATTAGCATGTTTTACGTCAATATTTTTGGATATTTTAAATAATTCAGCTAAGATAACTTACTAAAACTGAAAATAAAAACTAAGAGGTCCTTAAAAATATATTTAAATTGCTTTCTAGAAAAACTTTATCAACTATTTTAAACAGAAATATGAGTAAAGGAATGAAACTATGTTCCTCAAACATTTTCAACATTAGATATTGCTATTAAAACACTCTGGTCAATTTGTCAACTGATGTGAATGTTGGTATTTTATTTTAGAAGTTAATAAAAAATTTTTGAATACATCTTGACCTTTGGTTTTCTTTGTTTCTAAATGTTTATATTGCTTTGTTTAAAATATAATTTTTGTTTTATACTAAAGCTGCTATTTAAAAATACGCAATTAAAATGTCACATTTGTGGTATAACTTTTATATCCTAATACAAATAAATTAAATTTCACCAATATGTGCTACAGAATTTTAAATGCACAAAAATATAATTATCATCAAGTGATTCCTAAAATGTGTTTTTGTTTACATGTGAACCAAGGAAGTTATGTGTTTAACGCAAGATTTTTCTGCTTTACTAGAGTCAACATTCAGTTAAAAGCTAATCTCCCATTGTGTATTAGACTGAAGCAAATTGTCTGTTGTTAAATAATTTTTACTAATATATGACTATATAAATTAATGGATAAAGAGTTAACTTGCTTTTGGAAGATGTTAGTATGTGCATATGTTGCAGTAGCAAATTAAATAGTGGTTTACTTAATTATTTAATAAGAAATTTATAATTACATGATGATAAACTTACATATTTTATATCACTGTAATAGTCTCATAATGTTGCTATAACAAATTACCACAAACTTAATGGCTATGACAATACAAAAGTATTATTATATTATAGTTCTGGAGGTCAAATCCTGAAGTCAATTTTTTGTCAGGGTTACAGTCTTCTGGAGATAATCGAAGATAATAGGTTGCAGAGAGAATCCATTTCTTTGCCTTTTTCAGTTTCTAAAGGCAATCTGTATTCCATGGCTTATGGCCTCTTACATTTTCAAAACCAGCACATAACATCTTCATATTTCAGTTTCTGTCTGATCTCTGCTTCTGTCACCATATCTCCTTTTTTGATTCTGATTCTCCAGGCTCCCTCTTATAAGGACCCATATGATTACATTGTATCATCCAAATAATCCATGAAAATTTTATATTTCATGATGTTTAACTTGATCACATGTGCAAAATCTCCTTTGCCATGTAAGTTAACATTTTCACAGGTTCCAAGGACTAGGATATAAACATTTTAACAATGCATTCTTCTGTCTACCACATTCCTTCCTTGGGCTTCCAAGATTTATTTCAACCCCACTTGCAAAATACATTCACTTTTTCCCAATTTTGGGGTACAGATAGGAAGAATTTCTCCAGGGGAAGCAAAAAGCCGTATGTTTTGATATATGGAAAGGGAAAATGTAAACTCTTAAATTGGATGAGTTCTCCAAGAAAATTGAAGGATGGTCCTTTAAAAGGGAAGACGTTAAGAAATGAGAATGTGTACCAAAAATTATTTTGAGAAATTAGTAGAGGAAAGAGTATTTAAACACTTGATACATTCCAGTTGATTTGTATATATATATTTTTTAGTCTTTGAGAGATTGGAAGCATCTTAAATAAATATAACTTGCAACATTTTATTGCTTTGATTAAGACAATGTTCCACATGGCATCTTAAGATTTATTCATATTACTTCAACTTGAATGAAAACTTATGTCTATCTTCTTAAAAAGTAAAGAAAAAATGGAGAAAGTCTTTGATCATGAAACTTAGAAAGATTGCCACTGTAATAAAGTCTACATCTTCTCAGCATGTCAAGAGTCGCTAATAACTATCAACTTTTATAAAGAAATGTGTAAAATTGAGAATGGGTGATTTAATCAAATCGAACATTTTATCAGATACATTTAATTACCCACTCCAGATTTGTTTTAAATATGAAAAGCTTATGCCCTTCAAATTACTTATGGCTTATGTTTAATTAAATTTATTTTTATCATTAGGAGTATATTAAACTTCAATATGAAAAACTAATTTTAAACATAGGCATCATATATGCATTAAAACAAGTACATAATCCATGGCCAATTTTAATAGATTTTAATAATGTAGCTGGTTAAAGGTGTTTCTATTTCTCATTTTTCCTTTTTCTTTGAGTTTGCTCTCAGTCTTTATTTTGCCAAATCCCATGGTCAACTTTTTCTCTATTTAAACTTTCAGTAATATTTGATCAGTTGATATTTTCCTCCTTCTTGAAATACTTTCTTCATTCAACTACCAAGACATTGTACTTGGCCCCCTTCTCAGTTTCTATCCTTTTCTTGAGGACTTATATAGTCTTGCAGATCTTTTAGAAAATATTATTATTATTTTAATTGGCATAGAAAAATTATAAATATTTGTGAGGTACATAGTAATATTTCTATACATATAATGTGAAGTAGTCAAATTTAAGTAATTAACATGTTCAAGCATTTATTATTTCTTTGTCTTGGGGACATTTACAATCTTCTGTTCTATTTGAAAATACGTAATAAATTATTGTTAACTATAGTCATCCTATATTACTGTAGAACACCAAAAGTGATTCCTCCTATTATTGATTCCTCCTGTAATATTGTATTCTTTAACCAACTTCTCCCTAACTCTCCTTACTACTACCCTTCCAAACCTCTAGTAATGACTATTTTACTCTCTACTTCTATGAGATCAACGTTTTCAGCTTCCATATTCGTGAGAATATATGGTATTTATTTGTCTTGTTTCTGACTTATTTTGCTTAACATAATGTCCTCTAGGCTTGTCCATGTTGCCATGAATAACAGGATTTCATTCACTTTTATGGATAAATAATATTCCAGTTTTTATATATGGCATATTTTCTTTATACATTTAGCTGTTGATGGACACTTAGCCTTACATTGGCTATTTTCAATATTGCTACATTAAGCATGGCGGTGCAGGTGTTTTTTCACTGTACTCATTTCCATTTTGTTTTTTGATTTTATGCCCAGTAGTAGAATTTTTGGATCATATGGTAGGATTTTTTTGTAGTTGTTTGAGGAAATTTCATACTTTTTTCCATAATGATTGTATTAATTGATATTACCACCAATAGTGCTCAATCTTTAGAAGCAGTTTTAGCTAGTTCATTGTAAATGTATAAAAATGCTACCAATTTTTTAAATCTTTAGTTTGTATTCTGCAACTTTATTGAATTTGTTTATCAGTTCTAAGTGTTTTTTGGTGACATCTTTAGGTTTTTCTACATATCCGACCATGTTGTCTGCAAATAGAGACAAATAGACCTCCTTAGTTTCTACTTGAATGCTCTTTTCTTCCTCTTGTCTAATTGTTCTAGCTAGAACTCCAAGTACTATGTTGAGTAGGAATGGTGAAACTGAGTATTATTATCCTGTTTCAGTTCATATAGTAAAACTTTCTATTTTTTTTCCTGTTCAGTATGATGTTAACTGTGGGTTTGTCAAATATGGCCATTATTGTGTTGTGGTGTGTTTCTGCTATATCTAATTTGTTGAAACTGTTTATCGTGAAGTGATGTTAAATTTTGTCAAGTGTTGTTTCTGAATATATTGAGATGATCATATAGTTTGTTTTATCTGACGTAAGTATAGTTATTCCTGCTCATTTTTGTTTCCATTTGCATGGAATATTTATTTTCATCCCTTCACTTTCAGTTTATGTGTGCCTTTCTATGTGAAGTGAGTTTCTCACTGACAAAATAAAGTTGGGTCCTGCATTTTTATCAATTTGGTCGATTTATATATTTTAACTGGGGAATTTTACTTATTTATATTCAAAGTAATATTGATAGGTAAGGACTTACTCCTGTCATTGTATTAGTTGCTTTTTGGCTGCTTTCTACATCCTTTGTTCTTTTCCTCTTTTACTGTTTCTTTTAGCTGTTTTGTGGTTTTCTGTAGTGATAAAGTTTGATTCCTTTCTCTTTCTAACTGCTCTGCCAGTGAATTTTTATAATTTATCATATTTTCATGGTGGTGGTTATCATCTATTGCTTCCAGATGTATGACTCCCTTAGGCATTTCTTCTAAGGCCCGTCTACAGGTGAATTATTTTAGTCTTTGTTTTTTTGGGAAAGAATTTGTTTTATTCATTTATTTCTGAATAGCTTTTCTGTGCATACTCTTCTTTGTGGGCAGAATTTTTTTTTTTTTTTTTTGGTTTGTCTTTTTTGTTTTTTCTATTTTCAGTACTGGAATATATTGTCCCATTCTCGCCTGAATTGTAAGGTTTCTGCTGAGAAATCTGCTATCAGTCTAATAAGGATTTCCTCACATGTGATTTGACTCTTTTGTTTTGTTCTGTTTTCCTTCTGAAACTCTCAAAATACAAACATTTTTTACTTAGTGGTGTTCCATAGTTCTGTAGTCTTTCTTCATTCTTTTTTTTTTTTTTTTTTTTTTTGAGACGGAGTCTCGCTCTGTGGCCCAGGCGGGAGTGCAGTGGCGCAATCTCGGCTCACTGCAAGCTCCGCCTCCAGGGTTCACGCCATTCTCCTGCCTCAGCCTCCCGAGTAGCTGGGACTACAGGCGCCCACCATCACGCCCGGCTAATTTTTTTTGTATTTTTAGTAGAGACGGGGTTTCACCGTGTTAGCCAGGATGGTCTCGATCTCCTGACCTCGTGATCCCCCCACCTCGGCCTCCCAAAGTGCTGGGATTACAAGCGTGAGCCACCGCGCCCGGCCCTTCATTCTTTTTTATTCTTTTGTTTTGGTTTTGCTTTCTTTATCTGACTGCACTATTTCAAAAGACCTGTCTTCAAATTCAAAAATTATTTATTCTGCTTTCTCTAGGTAGTTGCTGAAACTCTTAATGATATTTTTTTTAACTTCATTCATTAAGTTATTAAACTCCAAGATTTCTATGTGGTTCTTTTTTGGATATCTATCTCTTTGTTAAATTTGTCATTCATATAATGAATTGTTTTACTGATTTAGTTGAATTGCCTGTCTGTATTTTCCTAAATCATTCTAAACTTATTTTCTGCCATTTTGTATATTTTCTTTTTTGGTGGCCTGTTATCAGATAATTACTTTGTTCCTTTGGAGGTATCATGTTTCCTTTCTTTTTCTTGTTTCCTGTGTCTGCTGGGTTGTTTCTCGGACTGGAAGCTGGGCTAGCAGCTGCTTGAGACATCTCTGGGGGTGTTTACTGAAGGCAGATTCACTGAGCTGATTCTCAGGCCAGATATGGACCCTCTGCTGCTTGGCTGGATCACAGGCAATTTTCTTCAGAGCAAATCCATCAGACTGTGTTGGTGGGGGCACAGGAGTACAGCTGCTTGACTGGCCCTAAGAAATGACCACCAGAGGCTGGTGTGCTGGGTTGTTTCTCACCAGTGGCAGTAGTATGCAGCTGCTTGCCTGGCTCAAGGGGCAGGTTTGCTCAGGGCTTCTCTTGTCAGGAGTACACATTGGTTTAGCTGGCCCGTAATTTGCTTCCCTGATGTATGAGGCTGAAGTTATAACCCAGGGCCCAGGGCTGAGGCTTTGAGCAGCAGGGCTTTGTGTTGGCTTAGTGGAATAATGAAAGAGCCCCAAAGGTAAGATGCAAAGTAGCTACTTTTCCCCCGAGCAGAGCACATTCCAGCAGTGGCTCTGGTTTTAAGATGGTATCATGTTTCAGCATTTTGGATCATGAAGGGGGTGGATAGTGCACAACTTTTGCTCCTAATCATGTGGCAATGCAGCCACATGAAGTCCAGACAGTTTCCTAAACTAGGCCAGGACTTTGTGAATACTGTGGTACTTTCCTGTAGTAAGGACTGTAGATGTCTGCATTTGCAGTGGTGACTGATGGGGTCTTCTGCTTATATTCTACCTATAATAGGAAGATTATCTTGGTTCTGAGATAATTAGATTGGGAGAGACAAGGCAGCAGAGACCGGATGCCTAGCTCTCATCTCTATATTGTTATCCTGGGTCTTCATGCTCTGCAAGAAACTTGTCACTTTGCTGCTTCACTCTAGTGCTGTGCCTCACATATTTCAGTTGAATTTTAGTTGTTTGCTCATTGCCTTGGTCTTTTTAAGAGGGGGATAAGTGCTAGACCCCTTTAGTCAGCCACCCTGCTGACATCGCATACTTTTCATTATTTTATTAGAAGAGTTGTCTAAGTTTTTGCTTTGTGGTTACCATCAGGTTTAAAATCTTGTAGTTATAACAAGTTATTGGAAACTGCTGACAAGTTAATTTTGATCACAAATAAGAGAAACAAAGAAAGAACGAATTAAAATATAAAACTTTATACTTTAATTCCATCTCCTTTGTATTTTGAATTTTTGCGTATCAATTTATATCTTTTTATATCTATCTCTTAAGAAATTGCTATAGTTATAATTTTTATAGTGTTGTCGTTTAGTCTTCATACTAAAGATACTAAAGTACCATACTGAAGTAATGGTAGTTTATCATTACGGTATCAGAGTATTCTAAATTTGCGTACTTACTCTTACCAGTGAGTTTTACAGATGATGATGATGATAATATCTTGCTTTATGTAAGAATCTTTTATCTTTTCAGACTGAAGAACTCCCTTTAGCATTTCTTATAAGAGAAGTCTGGTGGTGATAAATTTGCTCAGCTTTTGTTTGTTTGGGAAAGTCTTTATTTATGTTGAAAGATAGCTTTTCTTGATACAGTAAAGCTTTTGGAAGTTTTTATTTTTCTTGTTCTTTTTTTTTTTTTTTTTCATCAGCACTTTGCATGTGTTATCCCATTCCCTTCTGGCCTGTAAAGTTTCTGTTGCAAAGTCTGTTGTCAGATGTATCAGAGCTCCTTTAAATGTTCTTTTCTTCTTTTCTATGCTGCTTTTAGAATACTCTTTTTGTCATCAGCCTTTGCAAGTTTAATATATTATATGCCTTTGAGTAGTCTTATTTGAGTTGAATTTGCTTGGTGATTTTTGAACTATCTGTACCTGGATATTAATGATTTCTCTAGTATTAAAAAGGTCAGTGTTATTGTTTCTTTGAATAAACTTTCTATTCCTATCTCTCTGCCCCCATTTTAAGAACAATGACTTATATTTGCCCATCTGCTTCTATTTTCTAAATCTCCCAAACATTGTTCATTTTCTATTCTTTTCTTTTTTTTCCCTCACCTCTGAGTGTGTATTTTAAAATAACCTGTCTTAAAGCTCACTGACTCTTTCTTTCTCTTGATTGATTACGCAGTTGAGACACTGTGATGCATTTTTCAGTTCATAAATTATATGTTTTACCTTCAAGATTTCTTTTTTTCGATTTCTGGAGAGGTCACACATCTACATCACTCCAGTGTCACTCACTAGTGCCTTATTTAGTCCTTATTTGGTGAGGTCATATTTTCCTGAATGTTCTTGATGATTATGGATGTTTGTTGACAAGTCTGCTAAATAAAGAATTAGTTATTTTTTCTGATCTTCACAGCCTCTCTTTGTTTGTACCCAGCCTTTCCAAAGGGCTTTCAAAAAATTCAAAGGGAATTGACTGTTGCATTCCCTGTCTGTGATCATTACAGCCAGTTTAGCACTTAAGGGCACCTAACATCCAATTATGCTCTGACCCTTTTGAATACTCTTAGATACTCAGACCTGATGTACTTGAGGGTGATCAGGGAGAATTCCCTGTGTTCCCAGGAAAAACTCACACTTATTTCCCTCTTTGCCCCACCCTCTAACCAATTGGAGAGAGTTTCTCTCCTTCCCAGCAATGTATTAAAAGGACAATACATCCATGGGCCAAGTGGTTGAATATTTATCATTTGATATTCAATTATTGTATTTCACTATATTAACAGACTTATGAAGAGAACCCATATGGTTTTTCTCCATAAAGGCAGACAAATAATTTGACACAAGACACAACTTAACACAAATGTCTTATAAAGTTAAACACACCTGTACTGCAAGACTCATCACTGCCCCTCTTAAATATTACGTAAGAGAAATAAAAATATATTTCTACACAAAAACTTGTATGCAAAAGGTCCTAGTGCTGTAGCTTTGTTTACACTAACCAAAATCTGAAAATAATTCAAATGACCATTAGCAGGGGAATGAATAAACAAATCGTAGTATACCCATAAAATTGAATACTACTCAGCAATAATAAATAACCTATGAAACAGGTAGCACATAAATGTAGCTCAGCATTCTTATGTTGTGTGAAATAAACTAGACATAAAAGAGTACACAATATATTACTTCATTTATATTAAAATATGTAAAAGACAAATATATTGTGACAGAAAGCACATCAATGGATGTCTAGGACCAGGGATGAATGGAAAATTAATTCAGAGTAAGGACACAGGAAACATTTTAGAATGATGTAAATATTCCCTATATTGATAATCTCACAATTCTATTGCATAAAGATGTAAATAAGTCAAAAGTTTTCAAATGTACATGTAAAATGGTGCACCCTAATATGTAAATTATACCTCAATAAAATTGACTTGAATTTTTTATAGTTATAATTTTTTATTATTAAATAGTCAATACACAAATTTCTCCGTTGACGGTAACTCAGAATAAGTGACTTTATAAATGATTGATTTCTTAATACTGTAATTATCCACATCCCATTTAATCCAAATTTTTAATACAGTCATGAACCACTGGATGTTCAGTTAGCAACAGACAACATATACAACTGTGGTCCCATAAGATTAGAATACTGTATGTTTACGGTGCCTTTTCTATGTTTAGATATTTAAGTATTTACTGCTGTGTTACATTTGCCTACAGTATTGAGTGCAGTAACATGTAGTACAGATTTGTAGCCTAGGAACAAGAGGCTATCCCATGTAACCTAGGTGTATAGTAGGCTCTACCATCTAGGTTTGTGCACTCTATGATGTTCCCACAACACACAATCACTGAAGGACACGTTTCTCAGTACAAGTCCCCATTGTTAAGCAACACATTACTGTGTTTTTATTTAAAAATTATTTTTTAAAAAAATAATTGCATTTGACTTGTTGACAGAAGTAAATTAATTTTTAAAAACATATTGAGAATTTTAAATTATAAGGGAAAATAATTGCAACTTTTATCCTGTTAAACTAACATTAAAAATGAAGACAAATAAAATATTTCTTAGGCTTAACGTAAGTGAGAGAGGTTTTCATTTTAAATTTGCACTAAAATATTCTAAAATAAATTTGTAAACATAATGGAAAGCAAACAAAACAAAAGAGAGTATAGAAATAAATACAGAGCAACTAAAATAAAACTTTTATGAACTGCATGAATGTTGATGATTCTAAACAATTATTGTAAAGTCTTTTAGGGTTAAGCAAATGTAGAAATAAAATAGATGACAATTACCTGAAAGATGAAAAGAGGAAAGATGGACTTAAAGTGCTAAAAATTCTAACATTATGAAGTGTAGTATATAGTTGGAAAAGTAGTCATAACTATTTCCTTCTCTAAATCCATGTCCTTTGCAATGTAATTTACATCTTCTTTCATCAAGAGGTAGCATCTACTTCCTTCCTTCTTCAACCAGGAATGACCTTATTTTGGTAATTCAATGCACCATCCAGGACAGTGTTTCTTCTAAAGATAGTGATCAATAAATTTGCACACCTCTGCTGTATCTCTTGGACTGAAAATGCCACGTGAAGAAGCTTGAGTTAGTCTGCTGGAATATAAGAAAAGGTATATCAAAGACATGACATCCTGGGTGAGGCCATTCTAGGCCAACAGGTCCATAAATCTTTTACTAGCTGACCCCAAATGCCTGAGTAAATCCAGTCAAGACTACACATCTCTGACACATAGGCTAAATAAATTGTGGCATTTTTAAGACAGTACATTTTGGTGTGCTTTATTATACAACTAAAGATACATTATTAATTTAAATCAACATAGAACAAAACAAATGGAAGTATTGATATGCTTATGTTATGAAACACTCAGTATTATACAGCAGATAATTTTTTCTTAAAAGATAATAGATTCAATGCACTGCAATAAAATCTCAGCGTTTTTTGTTATAAACAAGCTATTTTTAACATTTGTATGGAAATATAAGGAGAAAAGAATACACAAGAAAATGTTGAAGAACAAATTGGAGGACATTACTGTTCTTAAGACCTTTTGTAAGCTATCATACTGAGAATATTATTATTATTGAAAGTATAAAATGATAGAGAGCACAAACTGCAAACAAAACAAGTAAAATATTTAAACAAAAACCTCACTAAAGAGAATATCTAGAGGAAAAGAAGTACTTGAAATTTGGATCTTACTGGTCAATAGAAAATGGAATTTATGTATATCCACAATGATACATTGAAACACATATATCAGAATTCAAATGGAACTGCTATTTCAAAGGATTGGTGAGGATTTAATCAACTGAACACTATTATTCATTGCTGGATAAATGCACAATTTTGGAGACACAGTGGAAAACAGTTCGTCAAAAATTTACAAGGTTAAACACAGCCTACCATATAGTCTGGACATTTTACTTCTATATATCCACCCAATTAAATAAATACATGTCCTTACAGATACTAGGAAAAGAATAGCTCCAAACTGGAAAGCCTAATGTTGATCAACTCAAGAATGGTAAATAAAAAGTGGTTTATGCATATGATTGGAAACTTTTTAGTACTCGTAATGAATATGCTGTTGAACAAAAAATATGAATCTGTAAATTATTATACTAGGAAAAATAAGAATGACACAATATTACACACACTATAATCAAATTTATATGAAATTATTTCTCGAAAATTGTTGCTTGTGCTGGTTGAAGAATGACACAAAGGAAATGAAGGAACACTTCAACGTAATGGGATGTTCTGCAACTCGATTGTGATGGTAGTTTTAAAACTTTATGCATCATCAAACTTTATCAAACTGATCACTCAAGATGTGTGACATTATGGCATATAAAATTTACCTCACAAAAGTTTTGAAAGATTGCATAACTTTTATTAAGCATATGTATTCTAATCATGGCATAGTACCATTGCTCAAATTACGTCCCAGTATGTATGATTGTTGTCAAGTATTTTTTTTCATTTTTTTAATATCTTAGGGTACATGAAATTAATGTGATGATGATAAAGGTGATGATGATGACATGATGATGGTGTGATGATGATTGCAAACAAAATATCACACCTACTCTGGCTGGGATGGGCACATTTAATCCTTACAAGAGTCTTATGAAAAATGTATCATTCTGATGAAACTGAGGCACAAAGTGGTTCATTGCCCAAAAGTGAACAGTCACAAGTCACAGAGCTGGTATGTGTACTCAGGACACTGGATCTAGAGTCCATATTTCAGTCTAAACCACTAAGTTATTTTGCCCATTATCTAACAATGTTCCACCAAGCAAAGGGCAGGGGGAAAGTACAATGGCACAGTATTTAGACAGATGTAAGAATTACCAATAAAGGAAAGCTTATTACTTCAGAATCAAATAAATGAAGAAAGAACAGCCATATCATTATACAAGAAATCCCCCTTTCCTTGAATCTTCCTCTACTACACATCCATTGTAGTCAAATTTTTTTTCTTTTCACCTAGCAGGCGAAAATTAAATAAATATATTGGAGAAATAGTAGGAAGCCTTGTAAAAAACCTCTACCTTATCACTGACATTAAGACCTTATAACCATAAAATGATTAATAAAATAGTTTTATCATTCATATTTAATGAAGCAAAACTGTTTTATCAGTAAGGTTTAACTTTTTAATATCTGTGTATGCCAGTTGACTGCCCACGTTCTAAGTATACCGGCATAAACTTTACTTAGAAAGAAGTACATAACAGAGCAAATTAAAAATTCACCACTGACCAGGTGTGGCGGCTCAAGCCTGTAATCCCAGCACTTTGGGAGGCCGAGGTGGGGGATAACCTGAGGTCAGGAGTCCAAGACCAGCCTGGTCAACCTGATGAAACCCCATCTCTACTAATCAAAAAATTAACCATGCATGGTGGCAGGTGCCTGTAATCTCAGCAACTCAGGAGGCTGAGGTAGGAGAATCATTTGAACCCGGGGGGCGGAGGTTGCAATGAGCCGAGATTGTGCCACTGCACTCCATTCAGCCTAGGCAACAAGAGCGAAACTCCGCCTCAAAAAAAAAAATAAAAAAAAAAATATATATATATATATAGATCACTTAGTACCTATATTCTACTCAAAATTTGATAGCTTGGTCAAACATAAAAAATAATTTCAATAGATTACATGATATCATAGAATTTGCGTTTCTTAATATATTGTGAATAATAGCTTAAGGTCATAGAACTTTTAAAATGCACATTGCTTTAGGAAACTTAATTCCTGTTCTTAGACCTTCTACCAAAAATCATCAGCCAGGTTTTGATGAAATGTTTCACTTAGAATTGCATAAAATTTACATTATTAAAAAGGAAACAAATTTCAATATTGCCTTGATAACTAAATTGTCCTCATATCACAATACTCCAACAAGTAGATCTGATTTTGGGAAAAGAACAAAATATATATTTAAGTAATCCACTTTCTTTTTTGGTTTACAGTTATTAAATAACAGCTTAATTCATTTTAAAATATTTTCACTTTGTTAAGTACTAATAAAAATACATTGTATTAAGTCAATCTAAAGATTTTAATATTTAGATTATTATAAAATCAAGCAATAAACTTGATTTTATAATAATATACTTTAGAAATAGGCATAACTAAAAGCAAAATAAGCATGGAAGGCAACAGATACTCAATAGGATTGAGATTTACACTATGTAAAAAAAATATAACTTTGAAAAGTAAATGACTGTATCTAAAATATAAATTTTCTTCTTAGAAATGTTTGTTCAGAGAAACATTATTTGACATTTTTATCAATTTATAGGCCTTTAGTTGAGAGTTTTCAAAATAACATTGCATCCAAAGAAACATTAAATGAGAAGATATATCAGAAATGCTGCAGTCATAAATTTATTTCAAAATTGGCATTTTTTAATCATATTCACCAAGCGTAAAAGATACTTCAAAGTTTTATTTTGACACTATCACTGTTAAAGCCTGGGCTATAAATTCTAAATAATTGTCTTCAAAGTTTTAAGCTCACAATCATTTTCCAGGCTTCATATATCAATATGTTTTGCACGTCAGTACTGTACTTTGTGATATGTACATTATTTATGTCATCTTTGTATGCTTCTCCCGGGATTTTTATTTACTTTTTTGGTATTCTAGACATTTTTTTCCTCTATTTGTCTGCTTTTTTATTTAATTATGGAATTTACCACAATGTTTAAATTTTAACTTCCTCCATAATTCCTTTTAAAATTTAAGATCAAATATGTTCACATATATACTACAGTAGCTATTATATTGAAAACTTAATCTGTCACATTATTTAGGCAAGATATTTTATAGTAGAATTCACGAAACAGGTGGAAGATTGATTTATGTGAAACTGATGTGGTAGGTTCAGGGACCTGTGTTGTATACCACAGGCCTCTAAAATAAGAGGTTATGTAAATATTATCCTTTGAACTGTATAGTACACAGACATCTTGACCCTTAGTTTGTTACCTGTTTTTATTTAGTCTTCCTCAACTCTTTCTAAGAAAAAAAAAAAAAACATTAATCAGTGCACTGGGTAACACATTATTACTGAATCATATTAATTCTCCAAGTTAAGAAAGAGAAGATTTAGAACTTAAGTCTATAAAAAGTATGAGAAGACAAGCCAGACTGAAAGAAAATATTTGCAAAACACATATCTGATAAAAGTCTATTATTTAAAATATGCAAAGATTTCTTACAACCAAATAATAGGAAAATTTAAGAGCCAGATTTTTTTTCAAAAAATGGGCCTATGAACTTAATTGATATCTCACCATAGAAAACATTTAGATTCCAAATAAGCATATGAAAAGATGTCCCACATCAGAGTCTCAGGGAAATGAAAATTAAAACAATGACGAGGTACCGCTACACACATTAGAATGGCCAAAATCTGTAATAATAACAAGGAAAAATGTTGGCAAAGAGATGGAGTAACAAGAACTCTCATTCACTGCTGGTGAGAGTGCAAAACTATACAGCCAGTTTGAAAGAAAGACTGGCAGTTTCTTATCAATCTAAACATACTCTTAGCATATGATCCCCCAATTGTGAACCTTGGAAGTTACTCAAAGGTATTTAAAACTGATGGCCACAACAAACCTACACAAAGATGTTTATAGCAACTTTATTCATAATTGCCAAAACTTTAAAGTAATAAAATGTCTTTCAATAGGTGAATGTTCAAATTGATATATAACCATAAAACAGAATATTATTCAGCAATAACAATATATTAGCTATAGATTAATGAAAATACATAGAAGAAATTTAAGTGCATATTACTAAGTGAAAAAAAGCCAATCTTGAAACTCTACGTAACCTACGATTCCAACTATATGATACTTTGCATAAGGTAAAATCATGGAGACAATAAAAAAGATCAGTGATTTCCAGGGATTGAAGGGAGGAAGAGATGAATACGCAGATTACAATGGATTTTTAGGGCAGTTAATCTATTACATATGAAAGTATAATGGTGGATATATTCCCTTCTATTTTTCTTAAAACTCACAGCATATTTTCCACCATGAGTGAACCCTAGTGTACAGTGTAATTTGAGTGATAATGGCATGTCAGTGTAGGCTCATTGACTGTAACAAATATCATTTTGGTGAAAGATATTAGAAAGCTGTGCATATGTGCAGGAAGGCGGTATGTGAGAATTCCATACTTTCTTCTACTCAATTTTTTTTAATTATAGTTTAAGTTCTAGGGTACATGTGCACAACGTGCAGGTTTGTTACATATGTATACATGTGCCATGTTGGTGTGCTGCACCCATTAACTCCTCATTTACATTAGGGATATCTCCTACTACTATCCCTCCCCACTTCCCCCACCCCACGACAGGCCCCAGTGTGTGATGTTCCCCTTCCCATGTCCAAGTGTTCTCATTGTTCAATTCCCACCTATGAGTAAGAACATGCGGTGTTTGGTTTTTTGTCCTTCAGATAGTTTGCTGAGAATGATGGTTTCCAGCTTCATCCATGTCCCCGCAAAGGACTTGAACTCATCCTTTTTTATGGCTGCATAGTATTCCATGGTGTATATGTGCCACATTTTCTTAATCCAGTCTATCGTTGTTGGACATTTGGGTTGGTTCCATGTCTTTGCTATTGTGAATAGTGCCGCAATAAACATACATGTGCATGTGTCTTTATAGCAGCATGATTTATAATCCTTTGGGTATATACCCAGTAATGGGATGGCTGGGTCAAATGGTATTTCTAGTTCTGTATCCTTGAGGAATCGCCACACTGTCTTCCACAATGGTTGAACTAGTTTGCCATCCCACCAACAGTGTAAAAGTTTTTCTATTTCTCCACATCCTCTCCAGCACCTGTTGTTTCCTGACTTTTTAATGATTGCCATTCTAACTGGTGTGAGATGGTATCTCATTGTGGTTTAGATTTGCATTTCTCTGATGGCCAGTGATGATGAGCATTTTTTCATGTGTCTTTTGGCTGCATAAATGTCTTCTTTTGAGAAGGGTCTTTTCATATTGTTCGCCCACTTTTTGATGGGGTTGTTTGTTTTTTTCTTGAAAGTTTGTTTGAGTTCTTTGTAGAGTCTGGATATTAGCCCTTTGACAGATGAGTAGATTGCAAAAATTTTCTCCCATTCTGTAGGTTGCCTGCTCACTCTCACGGTAGTTTCTTTTGCTGTGCAGAAGAACTTTAGTTTAATTAGATCCCATTTGTCAATTTTGGCTTTTGTTACCATTGCTTTTGGTGTTTTAGACAAGAAGTCCTTGCCCATGCCTATGTCCTGAATGGTATTGCCTAGGTTTTCTTCTAGGGTTTTTATGGTTTTAGCTCTAACATTTAAGTCTTTAATCCATCTTGAATTAATTTTTGTATAAGGTGTAAGGAAGGGATCCAGTTTCAGCTTTCTACATATGGCTAGCCAGTTTTCCTAGCACCATTTATTAAATAGGGAATCCTTTCCCCATTGCTTGTTTTTGTCAGGTTTGTCAAAGAGCAGATGGTTGTAGATGTGTGATATTATTTCTGAGGGTTCTGTTCTGTTCCATTGGTCTATATCTCTGTTTTGGTACCAGCACCATGCTGTTTTGGTTACTGTAGCCTTGTAGTATAGTTTGAAGTCAGGTAGCATGATGCCTCCAGCTTTGTTCTTTTGGCTTAGGATTGTCTTGGCAATGTGGGCTCTTTTTCCATTCCATATGAACTTTAAAGTAGTTTCTTGCAATTCTGTGAAGAAAGTCATTGGTAGCTTAATGGGGATGGCATTGAATCTATAAATTACCTTGGGCAGTACGGCCATTTTCACGATATTGATTCTTCCTATCCATGAGCATGAAATGTTCTCCCATTTGTTTGTGTCCTCTTTTATTTCCTTGAGCAGTGGTTTGTAGTTCTCTTTGAAGAGGTCCTTCACATTCCTTGTATGTTGGATTCCTAGGTATTTTATTATCTTTGAAGCAATTGTGAATGGGAGTACACTAATGATTTGGCTCTCTGTTTGTCTGTTACTGATGTATAAGAATGCTTGTGATTTTTGCCCATTGATTTTGTATCCTGAGACTTTGCTGAAGTTGCTTATTAGCTTAAGGAGATTTTGGGCTGAGATGATGGTGTTTCCTAAATATACAATCATGTCATCTGCAAACAGGGACAATTTGACTTCCTCTTTTCTTAATTGAATACCCTTTATTTCTTTCTCCTGCCTGATTGCCCTGGCCAGAACTTCCAACACTATGTTGAATAGGAGTGGTGATAAAGGCATCCCTATCTTGTGCCAGTTTTCAAAGGGAATGCTTCCAGTTTTTACGCATTCAGTATGATATTGGCTGTGGGTTTGTCATAAGTAGCTCTTATTATTTTGAGATACGTCCCATCAATACCTAATTTATAGAGAGTTTTTAGCATGAAGGGCTGTTGAATTTTGTCGAAGGCCTTTTCTGCATCTATTGAGATAATCATGTGGTTTTTGTCTTTGGTTCTGTTTATATGCTGGATTACATTTATTGATTTGCATACGTTGAACCAGCCTTGCATCCCAGGGATGAAGCCCACTTGATCATGGTGAATATTCTTTTTGATGTGCTGCTGGATTTGGTTTGCCAGTATTTTATTGAAGATTTTTGCATCGATGTTCATCAGGGATATTGGTCTAAAATTCTCTTTTTTTGTTGTGTCTCTGCCAGGCTTTGATGTCAGCTACTCAATTTTTACATGAACTTAAAACTGCTCTAAAAATTAAAATCTATTTAAAAATATATTTTTAATCAAGGAAAAAATGATGTTATTAAAATTACACAAAGGCAAATGTTTAAAAACATTGACTTTATTTTGTAGATGGCTACCTCATGACATGCTTTGCTTTAAGCATTTCATGTGTGTGTATTTTCTCACTATTCTTTGCCTAATAGTGAAGAGATTCAAAAGACCCTTAAATAGGATTACAGTAAGTAATATCTTTCATTAGTGAAATATTTTCCTTCACAAAGTGATGTCAGTGAATCTTTGACCCAAAATTTCGTTTGTTAAAATATGTTGCTGATAAATGTGTTAGTTGTACCCACATTTGGTCAGTTCAAATACTATATATACATACACATGCATAAATACATGTTTATTTATGTGAACTGTTCAAATGAGTCGACTTTTATAAAAACAAAATCCAATTTCTACATTTATAAAGCTGAAACCAAACCATAGTTTGGTTGTATATTATGATTTATTTTATATTATCATTTATAATAATTACATTAAAATAATACAATTTGAAAAGATTTGATGATCTTTCAAACAGTCATTTTTAGTAATATCTAACATCATAGAATTTCATTTTTATTAATCTTTAAAGCTTTTAAATGTTTTATGAGTTTAATAATTTTTTGACTACATTGAATTGGTTCCAGTAAGTTTTTTAACACTTTTAAATTAAATTCAACAATTTTCACAAAAACTACCATGAGACAATGAGCACTATACAATACTTATATATTCCATAATTGTCTGTTAGGCACACATCCTGTAACAGGAATATTGAATGCAGTTAACAAAAAAGTTTATTTTACAAATTTCAGTGTATCAAATTACAGCAAAATATATATATATATATGTCTGTGTGCCTTTGTATACATATTTGTTTTGTTTTTCTATCTAGAAAAGAAATATAATATTACTTAAAATGCAAAGACATAAAAAAGTTCACGATTAGAGTTAATGTTAAGAACCTCTGGCCAGTATAAATGAAATAAAGAAAAGTATAATTGAGGAGTTTTAGCCCAGCCCTGCCCTCAACTCATTCACAAATAAGCTTCAGTCCTCTAAACAATGAAAAGTGCTTAAGAGAGGGAAAACATATTTTATTTTTAGATTCCTAATTAGATTACCTCTATTTGAGAATAATCTCTCTAATACTTTTTATAAACATTACATTCATTGTCAAAACTTTGGTAACCAGAAGTACCTCTATGCCCTTTATTTGAAATATATTGCATGAAATCTGGGAAGTGATTAGTAGTTCTATTCCCAAATACAAATTGATTTCTAGACACCCAAAGCAAAATAATTATTCCTGAAAGCAAGGAAATTTCTAGACTCAGCCTTTTACCTGATAAAAATATCCCATATTTTTCACAACTGTATTATCCAGGGGTAATTAAAAATTCAAGCTTATGTTTTCAGGCACATGGGCTTCCACTTATTTGAATGAAGTGATTAAAAAAGAGTAGACTGATTCTTTTAATAGTCATAATCATTACGTGGTTGAAATTCAGTCTCTTGCTGATAATATCTCCATACTTGGATTTCACTGAAATTTTGAAACTTTTTGCCTATTTTTAACAAAAGTCATCCTGAAAGTTTCCATTTGTTAATACCAGTACTTTAAGTTGATAGAGAGCAAATTGAATATCTTAGCCAAGTGGCAAATATTTGTATATTTGAAAACAACTACAAAATCTCTTCTTTGCAAAAAATATAGTGAAGTTTTTCTCAGCTTTATTATATGACCACATTCTGCATTTTCATCAGTTTAGATAAACTTAAACTTTGTTTTATATTCCGGTTAAAGTGTGATTCCCAGAACTTTTCATATCAGATAAAAATATATTGAAAAACCAAATTGAAGTTAGCAGTTCCAAAATTTTTGACTAATTAAATTGGATATTTTTCAGCATTCTAACTATATTTTGCCAATTTAAGCATCATAGACTTTCCAAAAGCTATGCAAATTGGCATGTAGGTCAAAAGTTTGGTTTACGGTCATAGTGTGAACTTTCATTGAATCATATTTACTTTAATGTGAAGATTCTGTGGCTCCAGTCCTTCTTTAAGAGAAGAAAAATATTACAGATAGGCATATAAATCTGTTTATCTTAAATGCTGCCTTCCATTAAATGTGACAGACACATTACTTTATTGAATTTTTAATCATCACATGGAGAATTGCTCAGTACATTCTGCATCTGTTAGTTTCAGACACTCCAAATCACTAGTCCTGCTAATATGATTTGCCTTTATCAGTGTCTGCATCAATAAAAGGGCAAGTGCAGTTTATGCTTGTTCTGGGTAAAAATAAGTGAGCTTCATATCATTCCTGTATTTCCTCTCAGATATTACATGCTAGTATTAATTCTGTAAGTTATGCATTTAAAAATATATTTTGCACATCTGAAGCATAAGGTTTGTAACCTATCTGTTATATAAAAATATATACTTTATTTTTGTATTGTAATTGCATACTAATCTTAAAATCTGGGTTTTGAAGTGTTGTGAACTTAAAATCTTACAAATGTATCGTAAAGTGTTATGCATTTGCAATGTTACAAATATGAAACTTTTCTGTAGCTAAAACATTGTCTAGTTAGTTGCTGGAGAAATTGCATTATTTTTGTCTGTCAGTTTCAATTACATATACCTTAGGATACCTCCATACTCATTATTATCTTAGCCTATACCATCTCTCACTCAAACCTTGTCAGTTGCCTTCAAACTGGTTTCTCTGCTTCAAATGTTGTTTCAAATATATTAATCTTTTTAAAATATAAAATCTAGCATTTTATGCTCACACATAAAATGAATCACTAAATTCCTATCTCCTAGAAGACAATTTCCTGACTTTCTAGCAGGCATCTAAAGGCCAACATGACTGCTTTCTTATCTACATTTCCAGTTCATGTAATAACATGGAATGAACAGCATTTCTTTAGATAATTCCTTATATTTCATCCTGTCGATCTAGAATAATAAGATAATTTCCATCACTATATTGCATTCATTTGCCTACCTGTTGTTTCATATTTATAACACCCCACACACATTTATACAGTATATTATAGAAAACTGGCTAGCCATAAGCAGAAAACTGAAAATGGACCCCTTTCTTATATGTTATATAAAAATTAACTCAAGATGTATTAAAGACTTAAACATAAAACCTAAAACCATAAAAACACTGCAAGAAAACTTAGGCAATGCCATTCAGGACATGGGCACGGGCAAAACTTCATGGCTAAAACACCAAAAGCATTTGCAATAAGAGCCAAAATTGACCAATGAGATCTAACTAAACTAAAGGGCTTCTGCACTGGATTAGAAACTATCATCAGACTGAACAGGCAACCTATGGAATGGGAGAAAATTTTTGCAATCTGTCCATCTGACAAAGGTCTAATATCCAGAATCTAAAGAACTTAATCAAATTTACAAGAAAAAAACAAACAACCCCATCAAAAAGTGGGCAAAGGATATGAAAAGGCACTTATCAAAAGAAGACATTTATGCATCCAACAAGCATATGAAAAAAACCTCATCTTCATTGGTCAATAGAGAATGCAAATCAAAACCAAAATGAGATACCCTCTCATGCCAGTTAGAATGGCAATCATTAAAATGTCAGGAAACAACAGATGCTGGCGAAGATGTAGAGAAATAGGAAAGCGTTTACACTGTTGGTGGGGGGTGTAAATTAGTTCAACCATTGTGGAAGACAGTGCAGCCATTCCTCAAGGATCTAGAACCACGAATACCTCTTGACCCAGCATTCTCAGCAAACTAACACAGGAACAGAAAACCAAACCCTGCATGTTCTCACTCGTAAGTGGGAGTTGAACAAAAAGAACACATGGACACAGGGAAGGGAACAACACACACTGGGGCCTGCTGGCGGAGGGGCGGGTGGGAGGCAAGGGGAGGAAGAGCATTAGGACAAATACCTAATGCATGTGGGCATACAACCTAGATGACAAGTTGATGGGTGCACAAACCACCATAGTACATGTACACCTGTGTAACAAACGTGCATATTCTGCACATGTATCCCAGAACTTAAAGTAAAATTAAATTAAATTTAATTTAATTTAAAAAAAACTGAAGGAATAACAATTTGAAGCACTAGCACCTGCACCAAATTTCCTGCACATTATAACACACCCAGTTGAACATAGTGTGTAATACACACACACACATGCAAACACATTATATATTTAAATATCTATATTTATGTATCTATATGTTTCTGTCTATAGAGTATGATGAATGTAGGTTTTCATTAGGTCAAATGTCTGCTGTGTTAGATTAATTTTATTTACTTACATGTCAAGTTTTCTTGGTATATTTATAAATCATAAAAGATTAAAGTGTTGTTTTAATTTTTAAACTTTTTTATTTACTCAATTTTAACTAACTTATATCCCCCCAAATTAAATAAGAAAGTTGAGATACAAAGAAATTCTAAATTTTCTTAAATACTTAAGAGATGTAATACTGAAGTAATTTTGCTTTTCACTAAAACAGTTCATAATTTCCAAAAAACACACAGTGCCAATTATCATTATTATTTGACATCTAAATATCACACAGCAATATTTTGCCCTTCACAGATATTATAAAATGTAAGAATCCACTTGATTTACTTTCACAGAGTCAATTTAAAGTGCCAAAATAAGGTAGTGAGAAAAATGTGGGAAATATACAATCTCAAACACCACAGCAAATGATAGACAAACAAAATGTCATTTAATTGTATAATTTAAATATATACTGTAAAAATTATTTAAGATCCAAATGAGAGAAATTATGGTCCTTTGGCTAGCTCATATCTCAAACAAATATATAAAATCAGCAGCAAAATACACAATTACAAAAGAATACTCAAAACAAAGACCATCTTTCTGTGACTAAGGTCCTGAGACTGATGTGACAATGTCAGCATTCTGCCATATTCTATTAAGAACAAAAAAGGTTGGGTGCGGTGGCTCATGCCTGTAATCCCAGCACTTTGGGAGGCCATGGCAGGCTGATCATTTGTGGTCAGGAGTTTGAGACCAGCCTGGCCAACACGGTGAAACTCTGTCTCTACTAAAAATACAAAAATTAGCTGTGCGTGGTGGCATGCACCTGTAATCCCAGCTACTCGGGAAGCTGAGGCATGAGAATCACTTGAACCCAGGAGGTGAAGGTTGCAGTAAGCCGAGATTGCGTCACTGCACTCCAGCCTGGGCAACAGAGCCAGGCTCCATCTCTAAAAAACAAAAAAAGATAAAAAAGGACTAAAAAAAAAAAAAAAAAAACCTAAACATAATAGGCTTTTTCTAGACAATTTTGTATGTAGACCATCTCATTATTTCACTCTGTCTCCATGATGTTAAGACAAAGGAACAAAAAAATCATTTAATAATAGAATAATACTTCATTGATGTTCTTTATTCTCTTCATATAAAAACTTATTATGAATAAATGCAGGTTTAAAAGAAAGAAGACTTTATTGCATTTAAATCAAATAGCTCCAATGTTCTTGTTTCGCTACTACTCTCCAGGTTTATAGCCTTTAGCAGGTCAAATTGACTTATATTTATCAAGCAGCAAGTTACTAATTCACATTTAATTGTTTACATTGTTAGATAAATTGTAAACCTCAGATAGTTCATAATTGTATGAATTTCAAATAATGGTAGTCTTCATGCATTATAACCAACACTCATATACAAGTATTTTATTCATATGTAAAATGGTTTGTCATAAATGACATTTTAAATAATGTCATTCAGAGATGAGAGTTTTGGTGATATCTCTTGTTTATATTATGGAAATGATATTTAATGCCCTCTTATAAAAAATATTGTAAACAATGAAATTATGCTCCAGTTTGTATAATATGATTAGGGAGCAGGAAAAAAAGAGATAGATACAATTACCAATTTAAATATCTTTCCTAGAATTGTGGATATGATAAATACTATGTTTCTATAGAGGAAGTAGAAAACATTTTTATTCCAAAATAGCAGATCTTGTGCAACAGAGAAACATTATAAATTTTAGAACATATTGTTTTCTGTTTTAAAGGATGTTTTAAAATATTCAACATTTTCGTTTGTGGCTAAAAATTGTAATATCTATCCTTTCAGTTTGAATTTTGTGACTAAGTGACAATGTAAAGCTAGATAACTTTGAGCAGCAGTAGCAACAAAATTTATATTGTTACATAAGACTATTGCCTTGATCTAAGTTACATGTGTGTCCTTCAAAAGTCTGTTCTAATAATTTTGTAAAAGAGAAGACATTAGAAAAATGACTTTAATCTGATACCAAAGTTAGGGAATACTCTCTTTAATAACTAGAAATAATAAATAAATTATACCATTATCATCTTTTATGTAAATTATAAACATAATTTATTATTTCAATAAATTTAATCATTTACATTTTATAACATTTTATAAATGATAAATCTGTTTTATAGAGTACTTTACAAAGTTGTTCTAATTCCACCATAATATCAAATCACAAAACAGCCTCATAAATTAGATAGTGAATATTATTTCTACATAAAATACAACAATACTGTATCAAGAAATTTGAAGAATATGCAACTTTATTCTACTTGCAAGGTAGCCTACTACAGTTTTATAGGTGCTGGAAGAATACACAGGACACTTCTGTCAAAGACTAAGGATTCTATTACATATTATACAGCAGTAGCATGAGTTAAAGGATTGTGTTGTTCCCCTTCTCCCGTTAAGTTCCATGTTGGAAATGCAGATTTGTCCATGGGGATTTGTACACACAGTTTGGGTCACAGCTGAGGAACTCCAAGCTTAGGCAACCCTGATCATATAAAGAATCTGCTAACATACCTGCCAAAACCTTGTCCCTCAGGGAGACATTAACTTTATCATCCTGGTTAGAAAACTAATTTGCCTCTGTACTATCTTAATCTTTATTTTCCATGGCTATTTGCTATATAAAATATATTTTAAAAGATAGTCTCAGACAGCAGCTGCTATAAAATGTTTTGAAAAGCCATTGAAAAGTTATTTGTTGTTGTTGTTTTTGTGTTTTGTTTTGTTTTCTGTTTTGAGACAGAGTCTCGCTCTCTCTGTCGCCCAGGCTGGAGTGCAGTGGCGCGATCTGGGCTCACTGCGACCTCTGCCTTCCGGGTTCAAGTGATTCTCCCTGCCTCATCCTCCCGAGTAGCTGGGATTACAGGTGCCCACCACCATGCCCAGATAATTTTCATATTTTTAGTAGAGACCGGGTTTCACCAGGTTGGCCAGGATGGTCTCAAACTCCTGACCTCAGGTGATCCATCCGCCTCGGCCTCGTAAAGTGCTGGGATTACAGGCATGAGCCACCACACCCGGCCGAAAAGTTCCACATCCCAATACGCTCAGATTTAAAAATGAAGGGCTTGTTAGAGGTCAATGAATTATTGTTTTTTACCATTCTCCAATGAAATCAATAATTACTTACATGTCTAGATGTGAGAGGCATTTTGTTAAAGTAGCATTTACAAAAAGTTATATATAAATATATATATATGATTCGATATATCTATGTAATATGATATAATATGGTTTGTTACTTAAATAGAGACAATAATTTTTGAAACTAATTCTAGAATATATAACATTTGAAAAAGACTATGAGGAGGCTTCTTAAAAATTTGATAATGTACATATTAAAATTAAATAACTAATTTTTTGTGGCTTTTAGTTTAGCCTAAAAATCTAATTTTAAATCTAGCAAAGTATAATAATTTGAAGAGAGATATGGATACAATATTTGTTTTGATGTTAATTGTCAAACAGTTCTATACTCTAAATATTTTGGCATTAAAAGATATATAGTCATTTGAGAAAATGATATAATGTCTCAACTTAAGTTACTCTTTTATCATAAAGTTGGAAAATGTCAAAGCAACTAAAAAAAAACCACTCGTCTCCCCACACACCAAATTTTACTCATTATTTTTGGAATAAAATGAGATACAGACACCAAGAGTATTTCTTTCCAAAGAAGCCTAGTTCTTTACATAGTGCTTCATAATAGCCCCATTCTCTCATATTGAAGTATTTTGTTAAAAAAAAAAAAGTATGTACAAGGAACATAGTTTTCAGAAGAAGCTGTTTAGGTTTTAAGTGCTTCCTGGTTTTAAACATACAGATAGAAAATTACTGTATTTCTAATTTCTAATTTCTGTTCTCCAATAAGCTGTGCCTCATGACCTTAAATTCAAAGTTTATTCATTGACCATGTACCAGTCAGTAAGTAAATGCTAAAGATTTTTTTTTTTTTTTTTTTTTTTTGATACGGAGTCTCACTGTCGCCCAGGCTGGAGTGCAGTGGCCGGATCTCGGCTCACTGCAAGCTCTGCCTCCCGGGTTCACGCCATTCTCCTGCCTCAGCCTCCCCAGTAGCTGGGACTACAGGCAACTGCCACTATTTTTAGTAGAGACGGGGTTTCACCGTGTTAGCCAGGATGGTCTCGATCTCCTGACCTCATGATCCACACCCCTCGGCCTCCCAAAGTGCTGGGATAACAGTAAATATTTTTTTAAAAGGGTTCACGGCTATCTTTCTGCTGATAAATACATTACCGTATAGACTGAGGCCTAGTCAAGGTTTTTAGCAAGTTTACCCAGAGATCTTAGAGACTATGTTCTCTTTGTGTTGGCTGATAACTCATTCCTTTTTGTCACCACTATTTATGAACTTAAGTGAGCTGTCAGTGTGGCCAGTTGAGACTACTTAATTCTGAATAACACTGAGGTGGGAAATATTTGGCTTGGTGATTAACCAGTATTAGTCATATTTTAGTGTTAAGAATGAATCTCTGACAATCACAATATTGAAGAAAATTTAACTGAGGATATGACAGCTTTGCATTTCCAGTATAAAATATGAAATTAGACAAACTGATTTATCATGACTGTTGAGAATGCATAAATATTATGCAGAAGGAGATATTTTTGGATTATTAAATTCACTATATTTATTTTATTATAGTGACATGAAATATTTAGCTTTAGCAAAAATGTCCATCACTTCTAGACAAATTATAGAAGGAAAACAGATATATTTATAAATGAAGATTAATATATTTGATGGTGTTAAATTAAATGTCTAGTACACATATAAATATATAACTAATACAATCATTACCAAGATCTACAAAATATTATAGTACTCTGCTCCCCAAAACCCTTTTCTTCTTTGCAAAAATAAGCATTACTCTGATATCAGATATCACAGATTATTTTTGCTGACTTTTAAACATTATGTAAATAGAATCAGGTAGCAGGTACTATTTTGTTCAGCATCTTCGCTCAATATTATAGACGTAAGATTTTTCCACTTTGTTACACAAAACAGTCCCAAGTTCATTGTCATTGTTAGGTAGCATTTTATCTCATGAATATACAACAAATTATTTACCCATCTACTATTAATAGTTATTTAGCTTAGCTTTTTAAAGGTCTTTGACTATTGTAAATAATGCATTAACATTCTTTTACTTTTTAAAATAAATACACTCAAATACTTCTGTTGAATATATACCAAGATGTAAAATCACTGAATTATACATAGGATATTTTTACCTTCAGCGATAATGAAGGTGATCAGGTTTTTTTAGTAACTTCTGTTTTAGGCTAGTTGTGTTAATGCTATTTAGTTATAATTTAGATTAAAATTGAAAAGTTAAATGCTTTTTCATATTTACATGTCCTTTTTTTGTAATTTTCCTGTTTAAGCCTTTGCATATTTTTAAATCGTGACTTTCAATTTCTTATTGATATATAGGATATATTTTAGACACTTGATTTGTTATAATTATGAATATATCACAATCACTTGGCAAATTGATATTTTTTCTCTTACTGGTGAATTTTGATTAATAGAATTTACTCATTTTAATAATCAACAACAAAAAACTTTGTGGTTTGTTGATCCTTTGTATGGATTTTGGTGTCTCAATTTCATTCAGTACTGCTCTGATTGTAGTTATTTATTTTCTTCTACTAACTTTGGGGTTAGTTTGTAGAAATCTCAGCTGCTTACATCTTCAGAAAGGGTGAGGCCGGGCGCAGTGGCTCATGTTTGTAATCCCAGCACTTTGGGAGGCCGAGTCGGGCGGATCATGAGGTTGGGAGATCGAGACCATCCTGGTTAACCCCGTGAAACCCCGTCTCTACTAAACAAAATACAAAAAATTAGCCGGGCCTGGTGGCGGGCGCCTGTAGTCCTAGCTCCTCGAGAGGCTGAGGCAGGAGAATGGCGTGAACCCGGGAGGAGGAGCTTGCAGTGAGCCAAGATCGTGCCACGGCACTACAGCCTGGGCGACACAGCGATACTCCGTGTCAAAAGAAAAAAAACGGGTGAGACACAGGACCTCTCCCAATTCATTATAAAATGCATGTGTACCCTATACCCACAGGTCTGCCTGCCACCGTAATGTGTTCTTCTTCTTTTCTGCTTTTTATTAATTTTTCAGGTACTGCTTATTAGTAGCTAGTCTAACCTAGTTGCTCACTAATAAAAGACTCCAGATAAGTAAATTCCGAGGGTTCTTTCTGATTTTCAGGATAGTGTGTGGAATAAAGTCTATCCTGACCATCAGTGATCCAGTATAGCCCTATAACCTTTTCTAGTTTTCTCTTCTGCAGAGCTGAGATGAACCACTGGAAGCCATCTTACGCCAATGCTAGAAGAGGGCCTATAACGCGTCCACATTTTTGATTTTGTCTTTTTCTAAATGACAAAAACATCTCCTCTCAAGTAAATAGAGAAAATATTCCCTCCTGTTTTACTGCTTTGGCCACAATTAAGTGAAAAAAAAAAATGTGTTTCAAAAGGAAAGTCTAAAAGACCATCTTTTCATGTGTAATTTCTCATCATATTTCCTTTATTACTGAAATTAGAAGCACGATGTCCTACTGTGGTGATGAGTTGTGCAATTGAAATAGATACTACTCTTTATTCCCAATCAAAATGAAGAGACTTGAGAAAGCTTTGTGCATCTTCATGGTCTTTATCTTTCCTACACACATACACACACGTGCGCACCCACACAACTCATTCATTTACAATGCCCACAAATAGTCACACACACAAATGCACAGGCATAGGGCAGAGACACATGAACATGCTTATATAGCATGAATGTATTTTTTTGTAATATTAATGAGGTTTATTTTGGGAAACAGTAAAAATGAACCAATACTTTCCAAGTTTTCAAATTATAAATTAAAACAATATTATTTATGTGGAGTATTTTACTCCTGCTTTTTAGTTTCCAAAATAAAATTGAAATTCAACCAAGTAAAATTTATTTTTGTGAACATGCTTAAGAAATGAATATATTTTGCACGTTATCTGCTTTGAACTTAAAGGTCCATGAAAAGAAAACCCAATTTTGGTTTTCAAATATAAGTTTAAAAATGGTACCAATAAGAGTTTCAAATTGTCCATTTACAGAATACATTGAATTTTTTTTAATGGTATAGCCATACATATGATGCGTAATAAAATCTTCCCTAACCTGTGGTCGTCTTAATTGCATAAAAACTTAAGCTGATATCTATTAATGTATTGATATCTGAATTGATGTCTAAACAATACTTGCCTAAGTCATATTTTGATTCAGTTATAATGGTGACTCTATAATTGACACCAGAAACTTTAAACTCTAAAAATTTCTTCTGCATTAATCAATATTTAAGATTTTCATGAAAAATTGAACTCAGAGCCAACATTTTTCAAAGTAAGTCATTTCGACCACTGTATATAAATGGAATTATATAGTATTCAAACTTTTCAGGTGGGATTTTTCTCACTTAACATAATGTCTTGAAGATTCCTCTAGATTATTGCATGTCAATGTGTTTGTATTGCTGCAGTATTGTGTGCAACAGTTTTAATCATCCTTTACTTTTTGATAGATACCTAGAATTCTAGTTTTAGGCTATGATGAATACAGGTGCTATGTAAACATTCATGCACAGGTGTTTTTGTGAGCATACATTTTTGTTTCTCAGAGACAAATTCTAGTATACATTGATGTGCCATTAGAGTGTGATTTCTGGATTATATGATATTTGCATGCTTAGTTTGTAAGATGCTTCAAAATTGTTTTCTAGAGTGGTTGTACCATTTTAATTCCACCAGCAATTTAAAAGTAATACAGATTCTTCCAATTCTTGCCAGCATTTGGTGTCATTTTAAATTTTATATTTGAATGAGTGTGCTGGGATGTATCATCATGGTTTTAATTCATACTTCTCTAATGTTTAATGATATTGAAGATCTTTTCATACGTTATTCATTTACCATCTATATGTCCTCTTCAAAGAAGTGTCACTTTATTTCTTTTACTCATTTTCTAACTAGATTTGTTTGTATATTTGTCTTTACTGCTGAGTTTTGAGAGCTTGTTTTATGTTCTAGATTCTAAAACGTTGTCAAATATGTGATTTGTTAGTATTTCCTCCCACCCTGTAGCTTTTACTTTCTACTTCATAAGGGTCTATTACAGAACAAAAGTGTTATATTTTAGTAAAATTTACTTACCAGTTTTCCCTTTTATGAGTTGTGTTTTGGTATTAAATGTAAGTACTATTTTCCTTGCCCTATATCCGAAAGATTTTTTTCTTTTTTTCCTGAAAATTTTATAGTTCTACCTTCTAAATTAAAATCTGTCATTATAACTTTTGAGTGAATTTTTTGTATAAGGAACAAGATTTAGATTGAAGTGAAATTTTTAACTTATGAGTATCTAATTTCTTTTATGAAAAGGTGGGTGACTTTTTTCCTCCACTGAGTTGCTGTTGAACATTTGTCAAATATAGGTTAGGGATTTTTGTGTGGATCTATTTATGAGTTCTCTGTTCTGTTCCCTGGATCAATATGTCTATCACTCCATCTATGTTATTGGCTTCTTTAGCAAGCAGTCTCTGATATATGAGTCAAAACGAAATTCCAGGAAATTCACAATCATGGTGCTCTTCAAATCTTGAGATCTGGGGTCCATAGTTCACTTCCCTCTGTCTTTCACCTTTCAAAATATTATGTCTGTTTTCTGTGTAAGATCCAAGGTTTTGGGTTGTACTTAGTGACTGTAGTAGGAAAAGGAATGTCTACTTCATCTTTCAGAAAGATAAATCATTTCCATTTCTTTTGGAGAAACATGCATTCATTTAAAAAATTTTAAAGAGGGTATGTCATCCTCGTAGAGAAACAGGACTCTTACATGAAGGTGTAAAAAACTTATGTTTGATCATTAGTTTACTTATAAAATTTTTAAAATAACAATTATACACTCAACTCAAAATGAAATTTATTTGTTGAGAAAAAATAAATCTAAGGCAAAACTGCAGGTAAATATTAGGTGATTTTTAGTTTAATGATATTTCGCTTATTTATTTTTGCTTTTGTTTCTGAACTTTGAATGTGATATCCAAAATATCATTGCTAAGGCCAATTTCAAGGAGATTTTTGCCTATGTTTTCTGTTAGAATTTTTACAGATTCAGATCTTATGCTTACGTTTTGTTTCCATTTTGGATGCATTTTTGCCTATAGTAAAAGATAGGAATCTAACTTTAGTCTTTTGCAAATGAATACCCAGTTTTTTTGAAATATGATTTATTGAAAAGACTATCTTTTTTTCATTGTGTTTTCTTGGTGCCTTGTTCAAGAATTAGTTGACTGTATATGCATAGGCTTATTTCTGGGTATTCTATTATATTCCATTGATCTATGTATCTGTTTTTATGTGAGCATCATAATGTTTTGATTACTATAACTATGTAAGATAATTTGAAATCAGAAAGTATGATGGCTCCAGCTCTATTCTTTTTTTTTTTAAGATTCTTTTAGCTATTGGGATCTTTTGTAGTTTCATGCAAATTTTGAGATTTTTAAAATATTTTTGTGAAAACTGCAATTGGAATTTTGACAAGGATTTTGTTGAATTTATGTATCATTTTGGGTGATATGAACATTTTAACAATACTAATTCATTTAATTCATGAACATGGGATATTTTCTTATTTATTTGTGACTTTTCCAATTTCTTGTATTGATGTCTTGCAGTATTCAGTAAATCTTTTATCTCCTTGATTAAATTTATTCCCAGGTATTTTATCCTTTTTTATGCTATCAAAAAAAGGCTTTTTTAATTTCTTTTTCACATAAATTGTTTTGGTGTTAAGAAATATAACTAATATTTTATGTTAATCTTTCATTGTATAACTTTACTGAATTCATTCATTAGTTCTAACAGCTTATTCATTAAGTCCTTAGATTTTTCTACGTGTAGGATCATGTCATTTGCAAATGGATAAAAATTTTACTTCAAGAAAAAAATAATCAACAAAAATGAAACGATAATGGAATGGAAAAAATATTTTCAAACTATATGTCTGATAAGGAGTTAATTTCCATATATATGAGGAACTCATACAACTAAAAAGCAAATAAAAACAAAACAAAAAATCAAACAGCTTAATTAAAAAACAGGCAAAAGGTCTGAGTAAACATTTCTTCAAAAAAGGCCAACAGGTTTATAGAAAGTTTCTCAACATCACTGGTCATCAGAAAAAAGAAAATCAAAGCCACAATGAGATGTCATCTCTCACCTGTTAGGATGGCTATTAACAAAAAGACAAAAGATAACAAGTGTTGTCCAGGTTGTGGAGAAAAGGGAACACTTGTACACTGTTTGTGGAAATCTAAATTGTTATAGCCATTATGGAAAACAATATAGAGATTTCTGAGAAAATAGAAATAACAGTACATATGATTCAGCAGTCTCTTTTCTGGGCATATACCAATAGGAAATGAATCAGCACCTCAGAGATATCCATGGTCCCATGTTCATGATAGCATTATTTACAATAGACAGTGCAGTGGCTCATGCCTGTAATCCCAACACTTTGGGAGGCCAAAGAGGGTGGATCACCTGAGGTCAGGAGTTCAAGACCAGCCTGGCCAACATGACAAAACCTTGTCTCTACTAAAACTACATAAATCAGCTGGAGGTGGTGGCACATGCCTGTGTTCCCAGCTACTTGGGAGGCTGAGGCAGGAGAATCGCTTGAACCTGGGAGGCTGAGGTTTCAGTGATCTGAGATCACACCACTGCATTCCAGTCTGGGCGACAGAGAGAGGCTCCATCTCAAAGTAAAAAGAAAAATAGACAAGATGGGTAATAATTAAAAAGTCAGGAAACAACAGGTGCTGGAGAGGATGTGGAGAAATAGGAACACTTTTACACTGTTGGTGGGACTGTAAACTAGTTCAACCATTGTGGAAGTCAGAGTGGTGATTCCTCTGGGATCTAGAACTGGAAATACCATTTGACCCAGCAATCCCATTACTGGGTATATACCCAAAGGACTATAAATCATGCTGCTATAAAGACACATGCACATGTATGTTTATTGCGGCACTATTCACAATAGCAAAGACTTGGAACCAACCCAAATGTCCAACAACGATAGACTGGATTGAGAAAATGTGGCACATATACACCATGGAATACTATGCAGCCATAAAAAATGATGAGTTCATGTCCTTTGTAGGGACATGGATGAAATTGGAAATCATCATTCTCAGTAAACTACCACAAGAACAAAAAACCAAACACCGCATATTCTCACTCATAGTTGGGAATTGAACAATGAGAACACATGGACACAGGAAGGGGAACATCACACTCTGGGGACTGTTGTGGGGTGGGAGGAGGGGGGAGGGATAGCTTTATGAGATATACCTAATGCTAAATGACGAGTTAATGAGTGCAGCACAGCAGCATGGCACATGTATACATCTGTAACTAACCTGCACATTGTGCACATGTACCCTAAAACTTAAAGTATAATAATAATAATAATAATAATAAATTTAAAAAAAGATATCATAATTGATGAATAAAAAAAAAAGATGTAGAATCAACCTAGGTGTCCATTGATGGGTAAATGGATGAATAAACTTTAGACTTTAGTGTATGTACATACACACACACACACACACACACAAAATCTTTGATGTCACAGGTGAATCTAGAAGACATTATATTAAGTGAAATAAGCCACACACAGAAAGAGAAATACTGCAAATTTGCATTTATATGTAAAATCTGAACAAAGCTCAATACAAAAAAAGGAAGTAGAAAGGTGATCATCAGTGGAAGGATGGGGAGAAATGGGGAGATGTAAGTCATAGCATACAAAATTACAGTCATATTAGGATAAGTCTAAAGATGTATAGAATAAGGACTATAGTTAATAATATTATATTATATTCTGAAAATTTGCTGAAGTAGAGATTTTAGGTGATCTTACCATTTTTTTTTAAAAGGTAAGTATGTGAAGTGATGGATAAATTTTTGTGGATTGTAATCACTTAACTATTATATGTGTATCAAAACATGTTGTATACCTCAAATATATATGATAAAAGCCATTGAATTGTTTAAAAATATCCAATTAAAATTTTGTATTAAAATATTATGCCAAGATTTAACACATATGTGTATATAATATTAAATAAGATGTTATCTAAATTTATTATTAATTTTTAGGACAAAAAGCTAATGGACATTCAGTAATATGAGTGCTATATTGAATTCTACTCAATAAGCTCAGCTTCAGAAATTTAAGCCTTATTTGCCACAGGCACTGTGCCAGGCACTGGCTTTATTAACCTAATGGGTGTTCTGATAATAGTCTCTAGAGGCAAAACCAAAAAATTCTAGGAAGAAAAAAAAAGCCATCTAATTAACTTATCATTAGTGGTAATGCCACACCTATATTTTCAAATATAATTACATGCATACTTACAGCTGTTAAAATTCCTTTCTAAAATTTATATAAAAATTATTTGCTGAGATATATATATGTATATATATACACTAATGAAATGTCCTAGTAATTTTTTATTTCATTTTTATTGAATCTTTTTTAGCATACTGAGGGGAAATTGTCACATATAAGGTTAGTTCTAAGCTCTATCAGTAGAGTCACGTATCAATCAGTTCGTCTTTAAAATGGAATCCCAGTGCAAGGTATCTTGGTAAATAGCTTTCTGTCTGGTAAAAAGAGAGATTAAGTGACTCATTTACGTTTAGAAAATTGACTGATTTTACTCAGACTGAGTAACTGGAAAGAAAAATATGCCATAAGCAGAGATGAAAGCTTATCATTTTGTGCATTTCTTTCCCCCAGAGAACTTGATTGTGTGTAAGAGGCCAGCGTTTCTCTTTGTCTTGCATTCTGTTCTCACACATTATGCCAACCTGTCTTTTGAACATATCATCTCACTGTGCAGCCAAGTTGTAAGACCATCTGGTGCAGTTAGCATTCCAGAAAACTGTGAGATTCTGAGAAGCAGTGATTTTAAAGTGCTTGAATGAGACACTCTCACCTAAGTTAATAACTTGACAATTGTATGTTCATCTAAATGTAGATCATTACATCTAATATTTGACTTCAGGTTCTGTGTCACGTATGTGTGTGTTTTTCTATGTCTTTGTGTTTATTACAATTAACAATTTGAATACTGAGTGTCTAGTCCACAAATTATATATATTATATATATATATAAACATACATTTTGAGAAATCAATTTCTCCTCAAGAAAATGCTCATAATTAAATATAGGAAAAACTACTCTTGATATCCCACCTCCAAATATGTCCTTTATTAAGTCTTCTTAATTTCTGCAACTTATCTTCGTCTAATCTTTAGGGTAAAATCTTAGTCTGATTTCTTGCCAAAACCTTAAGGTCATACTCATTTCCTCTATTTCTTATATATTCTACATTCATTTGTCAGCAAAATCTTTCAGTTCTAATTTTTATACATACTATGTCATCACTTAAACATTCTATTTGATACTTTAGAAAAGAGACCTTACATACATGTGTGTGTGTATATGTATATACGTATGTGTATATATATGTATGTATATATATTTGTATACCCACTAATTCTTAGACTTTGTCTGTTACAACATTCCCCTGTAATTACTCTCTGTAAAGTTTTATTTCTTGCATCACCTGGCCAGTCACATTCCTGCCTCAAATGTTGTTGATTTATCTACCTAAAATAATTCTTTCTTATACCTTCAATCCACAGCTCAAAGAACATACTAGTAAAGGTGTTTTTACATGACTTGTATAAAATAGTAATCCCCATCCTCTGCTTTTCTAAAACTGCTTTGCCTAATTTAATTTTTGCTCATAGCACTTATAATATTATTATTATCCGACATATTACTTACCTAGATTTATTAAATTTAAGACATCATTAAATATAAGACATACCATTAGTTCATATATTACTAAGAGTGACAAAAAGAGCTTACAGTTAAACTATAATGTATAAGTTTGCCATCACTTAAACATTCTATGTTATACTGTTGGAAAATAGGCTCTCTCTCTGTGTGTGTATATATATATGTATATATACAATTATCTATTTATCTTGTGCATATGTTAATAGGAAAATAAACTGGCCAATGAATTCATTAAAATGTTCATATTCAGAGATATATTTTACTGAAATATTTACTGATTCAGCTTCTTTGATTGCTACATATCACTATTCAATGACATATTTTGTGACATTACATTTGGTTATATATGCAGAGGTGAGATTGCTCAATCATATGGTAATTCAATTTTTATTTTTTTGAGGAATCTCCATACGGTTTTCCATAATGGCTGTACCAATTTTCATTTTTGCAAATAGTGTACAAATGTTTTCTTTTCTCCACATTCTCTCAATTATTTGTTAACTTTTTTTATAATTGCTATCCTACCTGGTATAAGGCATTATCATCACTTCTATCCCTTTTATTAAATATATACATTTATTTATGAATCTATCACTTTAGTCACTAAACTACATGAGAACTAGCTTTTCAAAAAGGCATGGTGGTTAAAAGTACAGTCTTCAGAGCTTGACTGCTTGGGGTTCAAATCTCAGCTCCACCATTTACTAGCTATGTGACATTGGTACATTTCCTAAGTTCTTTGTGCCTTCATTTCTCATAGAATTATTGTGAGGATAAAAATAATTAATCCATGCAAATAACTTAGAACAATGCCTGGCACATATTGAGGGGTCATAAGTGCTGTTTATTATTAGTGTATACTGTCTCTGCAACCAAAATATGTGAGACAATTAAGAATCTGATATTACTTACGTTTACATCCCAAGTTGGGTGCAGTGTCATGCATGGCTCAGTGTTTGCTACATGAATAAGGGAATGTCTCAGCACCCCATGCATCTCACAAGCCTCCCATCCTGATTCTAGCACAGCCTTTTCTCCTGTCTCTTTATTTCCATAAGATTATTTGCCAGTGAAAAACAAATGTGCTATCCAATTGGATCCTGTTTTTCATATTTTATTGTACTGCCAATGACCTGAATGCTTAATTTGCAAATAATTTGGAGCACTTGCTTTGCATTAGTCCTCAGCTAGGCACAGGGAAGGGATATGGACATGAATGAGACACCAATGCCTCTCCTACAAGTAATTTGGTGTATAATAATGAAAGTGTATTCTGTCTTTGTGTCAGGCTTTAGGGATACAAAAAATATTTTTTCTTTCACACTTTTTATCAGCTATGAGTACCTCCAAGATGACAGGTGACTTTCTGATTTTCCCTATTAAATCTTTTCTTCATGAATACAGACATAACTCAATCTCAGATCAATTGGAATTATGCTCATCATTTACCTGGCCCATAGTATTAAGGCCAGATGTCTGTGATGATGTCCAGCTTCAAGATTTCTATATTTTTACAATTTTTGCATGATTACTATATGCCCTGGACTATCTTCGGCATATGATATTTTATTTAATTCTATAATCTTATGAGGTCAATATGTCTTCCCCATTTTATAGAGAGGAAACAACATTTCAAAGAAGCAAGTTACCTGCCAAAATTTACAAGTAAAATCTGTTGTTACCATCCAAGAAGGGAAATGCTGATCTTACCTGTTAGTTCTCTGTAAGAATTTAGGAAGTATTTTAACTGAAGTACTAGGGGAATTGAAAATCTTTCCGGAGTGAATAATTGCGTACCTAAGGAATGCTCCATTATAATGTTGAATATATGTGGTTCAAGTGTTCGGGTGTCTTGTTCACTGTCCTAAGAATGGCGTTCGAACATCAAGAAAAGTGTTATTTGTTGAATATTGAATGAATGGATATGTTGAAGAGTATTCAAGATAACCAGCAACTCTGTTTCTTTGTTTGCAAAGGTCAAACTCCCCTTTTTCTCATGTACCATGTTATGGTTTAAATTGAATAACCTCAAAATTCATATGTTGAAATCATAATTCCCAGAACCTCAGAATGTGACTTTATTAAAAGACAGGTTTTTATAGAGGTAATCACTTAAAATGAAATCATTAGATTAGGCCTTAATCCAATATTATTGGAGTCCTTATGAAAAGAGAAAATTTAAAAACAGACACATGAATACCATATGAAGACAATGTGAACAGACACAAGAAGATGGTCATCTATAAGCCAAAGAGAAAGGCCTGGAATAGAGCCTATTTTCAAGCCTTCAGAAGGAACCAGCCTACCAACATCTTGATTTTGGAATTCTAGCCTCCGGAACTGTGAGAGAATAATTTGTTTTGTTTATGTCATCCAGTCTGTGGTACAGCAGCCTTAGAAAGTCAATATAGATACTACATCCTATTGTCACCACCATTGAAATACATTTGGTATCTTGTCACTCCTAATCTCTCTTCCTCTCCCACACTGGTCCAAGCCACCATCATCTCTTTACAAAATTATTTAACTATCTCCTAACTCATCTCCAACTATCTGCCCTTATATTTATATTTTTCACAAAGTAGTCATGTTGTTCCTTTGAATACATATCAGATTCCTGTCCTCACCCATCCCTGGGCTCTGCTCCTCAGACAATGGCCTCCTGGTTCTTCTTTTAATGGGATAGTTCTTGTATCTGTATGTTCCTCTGGCTTTATATTTATTGTTCCCTCTTCCTGGAATGCTCTTTCCAAAGATGCCAGAATAGCTCTTCTCCTAACTTCCTTCAAGTACCTGCTCAAATATTTTAACAGTTGCATCTTTCAGTCAAGTCTCTATTGATCATACTCTAGAAAATGGCCTCTCATCATTCTCCACTTCACTCACCTAAATGTATTTCTTCTCTCCATTAGCACTTATCACTCTCTGACATAGTATATAAAGATTTAAATAGCTCATAAAGAAATAAGCAATAATTTAAGGTGATATATGTTAGTTTATCACATGTGAATTGCAGGCATGATTAAATTTAAAAGGAAAAATGAATATTTATGTGCCATTTCTTCTGCTAAATACTGGGGGTTTCTAGTTTTTACAAAGATTAAATAAAACTCACCTTCTGCCACCAGGAATCTTAAGATCAAGGAGGAGATTGTGGTTATAAATGTCTGATGGCATCTCTACATCTCAGGTGAAGCATGGAGGATTTCACAGATGAAGTGAGTGATACCTGAATAGCTATTGGAGAATATGTAAAAGGTCAGTGTGGATAAAGGAAAAAGGGCATTTTAATTGAAGGATCAACATGTGCAGAATCAAAGAACAGTGAAAGATGATGGCAGGCTGAGTAACTGATTGGCTAAGACAAAAAGAAGAAGCTAGGTGGCTAATATTTTTTGTCTCACTTCTCTGGATTTAAAATATGGAAAGTTTTTTAAAAGTACATTTTATCCCTTTTCAAATAATTATTGCAGAACAGTATAACTATGTAAAAATACTACCAAACAATGTTTTAAGTGGGTTTGATTTTGAAACACTAATTTGAGTATCTTTATAGAATATCTTCACACCTTCCCTTCTTCCTTTGAGCATACCACATACAGTTAATCTAACACATACGGATAATCTCTGAGTTATGATGGTTTCACTTAACAGTTTTTTTATTTTATGATGATGCAAAAGCAATATACATTCAATACACTCCTCTACTTACAATGAGGTTATGTCTAGATAAAACTATCATATTTTAAAATGTAGTATGTTTTAAAAGCAGTCTTGACTTATGATATATTCAACTTGGATAGGTTTATCAGAATGCGACCCCATCATAATTTAAAGAGCATCTATATTTAGTTTTGTTTCATTCTCCATAGGTGGTCATTTTGTAGTAAATATAAAATTATGTTTTAAAAAATTAATGAGCTGAAAAGCCTATTACTATTTGGAAATTAAATATAGCATGCTACTTTACTTTTTTCCCAAGTATAAAGGAATAAACAAGTCCAAATGAACTTTTAGAGTTTTAAACATTTTTGCTAATAATTCATACTTTGAATTCTATCTGTTTAAATCATGTGATCTTTTATTTTATTTCTATAATCTGTTACATTAAATCATTTCATTTTGAGCATAGAATTCTCAAATATGCATAATCTCCTGCAATGCAGCATAAAAAGCTAAGGCTGTAATGCATTTATTTTGAAATTAAGTAACCTAGAAAATATCAAGGTATTCTTGAATAAAAGCTTTACACACAACAATCTTATCAATTCAATAACTTCAAAAATTATTTAATGTTAATGACTTCTTAAGCATTAAATTGTCTAGTATAAATTAAATTGGCTCTTTCTGCATTTTAATCTAAAATAAATGACTAAAATAAGCTAACTCAGATCTGTTCACTATAGCATGTTAACGAAGTGTTCGTTAAATTTTGTTTTTGTTTTGGTTTAAAGGATGGTTTTAATTTACAATCCGTAGTATTACATCTCATCGTATATCTAATTTTGCATGACTATTGATTCATGTATTAGACTCTGAAAATCTTAACCAGAATTTTAATTGGCCTGTTCTGGTAATTTAAGAAAAGAAAATTCACTGAAAGTTTATTTTTTAGTGATTCAGAATTGAAACAATTGCATTTTGTTAAAATCGTATACTGTTCTATCTTTTGTATGACACATGTAAAACACAATGCTTATACTATCTTACTCCATCACATGGAATTTTAAATAGTATTAGTATAATCTGTGTTGTTATGATATTTTTATTTTGTAGCTGGTTTGACTCCAATTGCTTTGGAAATAGCTTTAGGGCATATAAAAAAGTTCAAGTACAAGAGTGATGCCAGCTAAAGTTGGATAGCTCTCAATACTTTGGAAGGTAAATTAAAATACAATCCTAAAGGTAGTGCTTCTGAAAGTCAAAGCGTATACATTATTTTTTGCACAATATTTAGCCAAACACCTCTGTGTTTGGCTAAATATTTTCAGAGTCTAATACATGAATCAATAGTCATGTATTAGAATCAATAGTATTAGAATCAATAGTCATGCAAAATTAGATATATGATGAGATGTAATATTACAGATTGTAAATGAAAACCATCCTTTAAATTTTCTAAAATTTTTCTGTTTTTGCATTAATCTTTTTATTCTGTTTTGACATTTCGTGGTTGTCTTACTCCATTTTTCTGCTTCTACAGGAGAATACCACATTTCCAAGTGTTTGTTATAGCAACAACCCCATTATCAGTACCCATGTTCTATCCTAGTTTGTTTTGTGCTTCCTTGACAGAACAAGTGAAACTAGGTAGCTTATAATGAACAGAAATTTATTTAGCAAGAGCGTGGCACCTGCATCTGATGAGAGTCATCCCATGGCAGAAGAGTAGAAGGCAGAAGTGAGTACACAAGACAGAGAGACAACAGGGGCCAAACTTATCTTTTTCTCAGAACCCACTTCTGGAATAACTAGCCAACTCTCATGATAATGACGTTAATTCAGCCACAGGGGAACAACTCTCATGACTTAGTCACCTTATAAAGGATCCAGCTGTTAAAATGGTTATAATGACAGTTAAATTTCAACATGTGTTTAGGAGGGGACAAACATTCAAACCATAGCGGTGGTTCCGTTACATTTAAGACAAGGCTTCCTGCATACATTTGAAATGCAAATAAAAATTTATTTTAAGAATACACAAAGTACTTTAAAAAACATCTAGAATCCAGTCACCATCTTTGAAAAGACATTATTCAAGGTGGCCATTAGGCAACTCTCTAAAGAGAAGATTTGGGAGCACTTCAATTTCTCTAGAAAAATTTATATCTCCTGCCTGGGGAATGGTAAATTAATGTTTTATTTTGTTTCCCTTTAGAGAGGGAAGCTGGTTTTCTCAACAGTCTGAAATTTAATTTTTCCAGAGAATAAGCTTTGATTCTTACTGAACATTTTCAGCTATTTTTTTTTCTTCATTGTGCTCTGTTTTTGGAAAAATGATATTCTACATATATGACATATATGCATTTTTTGCAGTATAAATTTTAAGACTATTTTTTCACTTTCTCCCTTGCCTGTTATTATGACCTTCTGCTCTGCCAGAGACACCTAATATTTTCTAAGCTATCACCTCTTAAAACTGGCATTATCTATCTCTTACTATTGATATGCTACTTGATCTTTTTGAGACTATTTTGTGACAATGGTTATAACTACAATTAGCTTTGTACATTCCAAATGTGTTGAAATAATTTATCTGCTAATTTTCCCTCTACATTTCTGTTTGCCAGTGTTGGCTTTTATCATTAGTTTTGTTTGAAGTTCTTTTCAGTGTTTCAGAAGAATGTAGGTGGTACAATACACAGATGTGTGTATATAATTATTATTTATAACATGATACAATGGATATTTTATAGCATCTATTGAGTTTCATGGATAACAAATTTAATTATATGGATTTTTATATTATTTTACTTTAATTTGTTATCACAATAGCTAAAGCCTCTAAGGTAATATTAAAGATATTTGAGGTATTCAACATTATTTCTTCTTCAATTTAAACAACTTATTATCATTTAGTTTGATGTTTTCAGAGTTTTCTGATGGTCTTTACTACGCTAAATTATCTTATATAATCATTTGGTTATCAGTGTTTATATATATATTTTACATATTTCTACTATCATTTTAAATTGCTTGTTTTAAAAATATGAACATGGGAGGGCTTTTTGTGCTTGAGTCTTCTCTACAGATCACACTATCATTTGTTTTTAAAAAACTATATTTCAAGAAGATCGCTATTTTCATTATGTCTCAAGATGCTATCTGTCCTGTTTTAACAATAAAATATTTATTTTCTTTTTTATAGCTGTTGAGTGTCCTGAAACAGTTTGTAATTTCTTTTGCCTCTCTGTAATTGTATTGTATCTTCCCATAGCATCTATATAGTAGGACAGCATCAGTCTCTCTGTGTAGACAATCTGCTGTAGTTGAAATAGACTGGACTTTTCCATTTGGTTAACCAATAAAGAAATGAAAAAGGGAGGAAAAAGGACATATTTAAGCCCATTTGCTAAAGCTGTTAGCTCTAGAGGCCTCTCAGGTCTCCAACCTCTTGGAGCATAAGTAGAAGAGAAGCTGTCTCTCTTTTGTAAACAATGAAAAACATATAGCCCCTATTATAGTGGAATAGGAGACTTTTTTTTTAGTCTTCCAAATATTTCAAACAACAAATGGGAATAAGAAGAGACACTTTCAGGTTACATGCTTCAATTTACAGTCTTGGTCATCTCAGGCCTTGAAATCCACCTTCAAATGCCCTAGTCCTCAAGAAATTGCAGAACTTTATTTTTGTTGCTTGTCTATCAGTGTTCACATTTATAGTTCTTTCCTTCTGGAGATTTCCAAAGAACTCAAAATGTCATATGCATACTCACTGTTTCTTCCTCTACGCTACATAGCCTCCATAACTCTATATGTATTTTTCCAAGGGAAATTAAGAGAACAAGACAGCAATGCACATTTGGAAAGCTATCTCTCTAGAATTGTTTTGTAAATTTTAAAACTGCCTTTGTGACCAAATTAAAATATATCTTCTTAAAGAAAACCCTTCTGTTATTAGATTTTTTTTTTAACCTGGACTCAGTGGTATTTCTCATCTTGCTATTTTTCTAAGTCAAGTATCTCTTACTTTGATATTAATAAACCCATTATTCTGTCAATGACACTCTTCCTTTCTTCTTCCCTTGGATAATTCTTGTTTTTTTTTTGTTTGTTTGTTTGTTTTTGTTTTCAGATGAAGTCTCACTCTTGTCGCCCAGGCTGGAGTGCAATGGCTCCATCTCGGTTCACTGCAACCTCTGCCTCCCAGGTTCAAGTGATTCTCCTGCCTCAGCCTCCTAAGTAGCTGGGATTACAGGCACTTGCCACCATGCCACGCTAATTTTTGTATTTTTAGTAGAGACGGGGTTTCACCATGTTGGCCTGTCTGGTCTTGAAATCCTGACCTCAGCTGATCTGCCCGCCTCAGCCTCCCAAAGTGCTGAGATTACATTTGTGAGCCACCACGCCCAGCCCCCCCTTGGGTAATTCTTATAGATCTTTTGGCTTTCACCTCAGTGCTACATCGCTGGGGTACATCTTCTGTCCCCTAAATTTCAGTTAGGTAACTCTTTCAAGAGCTCTCATAGCTTATGCTTCAGTATTTGACTTATCAGAGAATGGATCGCCCTACATTTAAATTCTTGGTTATTTCTCTATATATACCACTGAAGTGTAGGTTTCATAAAGTCAAGAATAATTTCTAAATTATTTATGGTTGCATCCTTATCCTTTTCTATAGCCTCCTTGCATATAATAGGTACTGATAAATTATTTGATGAAAGAAGAAAAGCATGGTCAATTATTGGAATAATGAGGTCTAATGACAAAATTTTTCAGACTCAAAATAGCTTCTAGTAAGATGCTCTAGGAACCTTTTTGGTTTCTTATTTTTGACATTAAAACTGTTACAAAGTATTATTTTATCACGTGAAATAATGTAGTAAAAAATGTATAAAAGCCAACCTAATCATGTCTTTCCATCCTCCACCTCCTTATCTCACTGTGTGTCTCCTTTGCCAATATTATTGAGTCTTATATTTACATCTCCATGTAACAAAATTATTTTGTTTGCTCATTTTACTAAAATATAATCATATTAGCATCAGTTGGCAACTTGCTTTTATCACCTCATCATATATAATCAACGTGGCTACACACCAGTGATTATACATCAAGCCTCTCAGTGGCCTTCCCTCCCCTTAAAGTTCTTTAGAAATATATTTTAGCAGAGATTGCAGCTTATCCACAATTATTCGTTTCCTCTTTCTCTATACAATACCATCTTCAAGATTTAGCTAGTGGTATGGCTTTTTTGAACCCTTTTTCACTTCCCTCACAGTTAACTATGTGTTTGTGACTAGGATTTTACAATTAGATATGGATTATTAGAATGGATATATTACAAACTGTGAATTTTTGCTTTATGTTTAAATAATTGCTTGACTTCCATTTTCTAACTTTGCACCTTGTCATGTGATAGAACATGTGATTTGGGAAGGTGTAACAGTGTGGAAAACAGCCACAACCTAGAGATGACAGAGTAATAAGATGGAAGCTACTAAGAAGTGCACCTAAACCTCTTTGACTTTGTAGACTAGAGCAAGCTCTCTGCCTTTGACCTTGTACTATTACTGGACTGCTAGGAAATAGATGAATAAGCTACACTTTTGTTTGAGCCGCTTGATTTGGGAATCTCATTATTAAGTAAGTGTAGCATATACCTTAAAAATATATTAATTTATACTTAGAAGTAGAGTGCCGTCATCAAGAAAACTAAACAAAATGGCATGATTTTGCATTCAAGCTATAGCAAGCAAAAAACAAACATTCCAGGCTGGAAAGCAGGTGCTTCCCTGTTATTCTATAGTAAATCATTTAGTAATATTCTATAACAACTTGAAAGACATATCATATAGCTATTAAGTCTATAATTCCAAAGCAAATGGTAGAAAGATTCAAATTATTGGTGCGCATATGTGTGTTCTGATGTTTTCATTTTTAGCAAGTACCAGATTAGGGAAGAGAAACAAGCACACAAGAAATAATTGGAAAATAGAGTTCTCCCAACAACAAACATTTTTGCTAGGTCTGTAATGTAAATTAACAGAGTAAGGCAGCCAATGAAATTAGTTTCCAAATTAAGACAAGAAAATATTTTTACTGAGGATCTCCTTAAATAGCTTTCTATTAAATAGTCTTGGTTAGACAGTGGGGCAGCCCAATAGCAAAATTTTGATTTGAGATTAATGCTGTAACATCCAATCTTACAATTTTGATAGCCTTAAGGTTGCCACAATTTAAATGAAGGACAAATGGACAGGTCAGACACAGAGAGCAGTAAATAAATAAGAGTCAGGAGACAAATATACTCAAGAAGGGATCTGTGGGTTTTATTAGTTCCACTTGGTAGTGTATTAAGAAAATAGACTTGAAACTTACTGTTTTATTGAGACAATGTTATTTCAAAGAAAACAACAAAAAAAAATCATTCTGTGAAAGCCTTTTTTCCAGTCCCTAAAGCAACAATTGTTGTCCACCATGTATCAGCAGAAAGCAGTCTGAGGAAACTGGCCAATAAGGAAGCTTACACTCAAACAACAACTTCAGACTCAGGTATTGAGGATAATGAGCAAGCAAGGCTCTCTCAGAGATCAAAGGCAGGAACCATGGAGAAGAAAATATAAAGGAGTTTCCAGTAGAGAATCACAGGCATCCTGATGAGATAAGCAAGGAACCGTCCACATATTTAATATATATATATATACTGTATGATCTAAGTGTAAACTGAATTTATGTTTTAAGAAGTGAAAACAATTACACTGTGAATGTTAAAAAGAATGATTAACATAACTATTAAATATTGCAAACAAAATATTGTAATTTTAGTTAGTTTTATTTATTGAGCTTTAAATTACACATTAACATTACATCTATTTACTTTTCTTCAAATTCCCAAATTGCAACAATGAGAATGCTCCCATAGTGGTGAAATTCATGAAGAAACGTTAATATTTGTGGAATATAGTTTTATTTAACTTTTCCAGAATAGGTTTTCTCAATCTTGATACTATTTACCATTGGAGCTGGAAAATTCTTTGTTGCAGGAGGCTATCCTATGCATTGCACGATACTTAACTCTTGGCTTCTACATACTAAATTCTAAGAACACCTACCTCAGTTGTGACAACCAAACATGCCTCTACACATTGCCAAATATCTCCTGGGGGACAAGATTTCTTCTGTGAAAAGCCACTCTTTTTTTTTTTTTTTTTTTTTTTTTTTTGAGACAGAATTTCATTCTTTTTGCTCAGGCTGGAGTGCAATGGCACAATCTCGGCTCACTGACACTTCTGCCTCCTGGGTTCAAGGGATTCTCCTGCCTCATCCTTCTCTCAGGCTCATGCCACCACGCCCGGCTAATTTTTGTATCTTTAGTAGAGAAGGAGAGTTCATCATGTTGGGCAGGCTGGGCTTGAACTCCTGACCTCCGGTAATCCATCCGCCTTGGCCTCCCAAAGTGCTGGGATTACAGGCGTGAGCCACTGCACCCAGCCAAAGCCACTCTTTTTTAACATTTAACCTTTTCCCAGGAGTTCTTGCAGATAGCCTTCCAGAAGTAAGAATACTGTTCATATTCTTTTCACTAAAGGGTTTTCTAACAATAATCTAGGCACTTTTGTTTTCTTTATCTGCATGATTTAAAAAATAATTTTTTTCTTTTATGACGTTTTTCTTCTCTTCACCATGATTTGAATACATGCCTCTAAAACACAGGAACCAATTAGTAAACATTTCTTTTTACCTGTGGCAGTTCTTACCACAGTATCTTTTCCAATTAAGAAGAAATGGTGAAATAAAGGAAGACAGAAGGTAAAAGAGAGGAAAATAAAAATGCCAGACTTATAGTGGGAGGTCTACCATTTGTGGTGACCTTATTAACTATATAACTGTTCTAGATGTATCTCTGTACTGGCTTGGGTTTTGTTTTTTGCATAAGTAATACAAAAACAGAAAATTGCGTTTGAAAAACAAGTAATTTATACAAATGGCCTACATTTACTATATTAAAGTATCAAATTAAACCTTTCACATTTCACCTTTTTAGTTATTGAAAAAGAGCAAATTGCATGACTCATGAGTTGGGATTCATATGAATTAAACAAAAGCAATTTGATTTTTACCTTCAAATTCTGATTTTGTAAATATATACGTAAAATAATCCCACAAAAGTGACAGATTTTCAAATATCTTGTGGAAGGAAATTTAATCCTAATGAATGAGACTCAGACACATTTCTATTTAATTATAGTTCAGAAATAAATATTGAAATCAGTGGTTATATTTACTTGTTACACATTATGTAAGAAATGAGAAAATGCAGCCATTTTGTTGTTTCTTTACATGTATAGATAACATAAAATAACAGATTGCTCATATTTACAGTATTAGTGACTAAGAAATGATGAAGGCTGAAAAAAAACAAAGAATGCTCTTCCAAAAATATTCATGCAACTGTGTTAATGAATTCTGATTAACAATATTCAAGTAACTTTATGAGCTGTAGAACGACAACTTTGACTTAGTCTGGTTCTTTGAACTGATGTGCATAGTCTTCAGAAATCAATCAATGACACTTCTGACTTTTAACTCTGTTCTTAGATTGTGCCTTACTCAATTTTTTATATCCTCTGTAAAGTCCAAAAGGCTATAAAACATGTAGTAGTTCTTCCTCATTTGATTACTTTTATTCTCTCTACTTCTTAACTGCAGTTAATCTTCCAAGCTTTGACAATAAAAATGGATTCTATGTAAGGATTTATTATCCAAAGTTAGGTAGTCACTGGAGAATGCTATTCTCCCTGGTTTTAAAAATCTATCAGTCAGTGTCATACGCTACCCACCAAACTACTCAGGTGATAGTTTTAAAGGATTTTGGGGGAAGAGATTTTACAAAAATCAATAGCTCTGTTTCAAAAGTGTTGTAAAAGTTTGGAAGATACTGCTCTGTATCTTTATTTTATTAAACATATTTACTTAGCATCTACTATGTGACAGCACTATTCCATTCTGGTAAGTTGTATGAACAGAATAGAGAGACATGAAAGAGAGTGGCAATCATGAAAACATAACTTGTAATGGGCGGTCAGACAATTCATAACAAATGAAACCATAGTAGACTGAAACAGTTTATTGATAGATATCAGGCATATACCAGTTGATAGTAAGCCATTTAAATGGAAAGCAGTTAATGGAAAAAAAATCCAAGGGAGGATTGAGATTGAAACTTTAGAAATAAAAGAAGGGGCTGGGCACAGTGGCTCACACCTGTTATCCCAGCACTTTGGGAGGCCAAGGCGGGCGGATCACGAGGTCAGGAGTTCGAGACCAGCCTCACTAACATGGTGAACTCCGTCTCTACTAAAAATACAAAAAAATAGCCGGGCGTGGCGGTGTGCACCTGTGGTCCCAGCTGCTCAGGAGGGTGAAGCAGAAGAATCGCTTGAACCCAGGAGGCAGAAGTTGCAGTGAGCCGAGATTGTGCCACTGCACTCCAACCTGGGCGACAGAGCAAGACTCTGTCCAAAAATAAAAAGAAATAAAAGAAGGATGAGGTCTTTGGCATGTAGCAGACAGTGAAAGAAACAATTAAGAAAAAAACCTAAAAATCATGAAATATGTTCAATGCTACATAGAAAATTACAATTATTACTCACTGACAAAAAAAGTAAATAAAAGATAAATCTAAATATTGCCAAAACAATATTTTAAGTACTTTTTTATGTAGTGTAACTCTTAGTAATATTTAAAGTGGCTTTTAAAATACCATAAGTTGATTCTGGAGATTATGATGAAGTATCAATAGTGAAAATGTTAGAGATTTATAGCTATGAATTTATATAGTTCAATATTTAAAACTTTTAAATTTATTTTCAACATTTTTGTTTGTTTCTTTGTTGGCTGGATATATTTGCTTTCTTTAATTTTTCCCATATCTGATTCCTCATTATCTTTGAAAGTGAGAAACAGAGCATGAATCTGAAGAAGTCATACAAACGTGAGAAAGAAGTTGAGAAAGAGATTTTCCTGCGTAAGAAAATGCTGTGTTTGAAAAGTCTGTTGAAAGGTCAGTCTGAATATAAATAGAAACTGGCAAGATGGAGTTCAAAGTGAGGCACATCAGTTAAAAGGGAACTATATGACAGAAGGGAAGGACAATGTTAAAAGATAAAGAATTAATAATATAAATTGTCTCCATCTCTTATAAAACTTTAACAAAATGTACATTGATAGCTAAATTTTCTGATATTTTAATGGAATAAATAAGCTGAAATTCTTCTTTTACAAAACCAATTAAAATTCTCGTTGAATATATATTTCGATAATGAATAAATTCCAGCTAATTTTGCAAGAATTCAAAGAAATCATCAGAGAGCAAGAAAGAAGCAAGTGCCAATATATACGGAGAATGGTGGTTCTAGTCTATATTAAAACTTTATCCAAATAACACACCGGAATCTATAAGCAAAGCTTTTGCCAAATGGTGAATTGGTTGAGATGACCATATTCCACATGACACCCACAGATTGGGCATCATCCTAAGAGAAATTGAATAAACTGCATAACAAAACTATAATAAAAATACTGTCCAACAGAGTAGAAAATAACAATATTTGTTTGGATCAAATTTGATCTGAATAAAATGGAGAAAAACATGTCCCTTTGACTTTGTAGCCATCGACTGGGTTTCACTTGGATTTGGGACCTGAGTTCATACTCTTCACATTCTCTGCAAACACACACACATACAACACACACACACACAGCACACACACACACACGTAAATTATATTACTCTATTTTATTTTTATTTTGTTAGTTTTTATTTTAAGCTTAGTGGTACATGTGCAGGTTTGTTAAACAGGTAAATTGTATGTTTTAGGGTTTGGTGTACAGAACATTTCATCATCCAGGTAATTATCATAATATCTGATAGGTAGTTTTTAGATCCTCATCTTTCCACGTGCCTCCCCCATTGAGTAGGCCCTGGCATCTGTTGTTCCTTTCTTTGTGTCAGTGTGTACTCAATATTTAGCTCTCACTTATAAGTGAGAACATACGGTATTTGGTTTTCTGCTACTGTGTCAGTTTGCTTAGGATAATGTCCTCCAGGTTTATCCACGTTGCTGTGATGGACATGATCTTTCTTTTTATGACTGCCTAGTATTCCATGATGTGTACGTACCTCATTTTTTTTTTTTTATCCAGTCTGCTGTCAATGAGCATTTAGGTTGATTCTATGTCTTTGCTGTTCTGAATAGTGCCGTGATGAACATACACATGCATGTGTCTTTATAGTATAACGATTCATTTTCTTTCAGGTATATACCCACTAGTGGGGTTGCTAGGTTGAATGGTAATTTGTTTTAAGGTTTTCTAGAATTCTCCAAACTGCCGTCCAGTGTGGCTGACCTAATTCACACCCCGACTGGAAGTGTATGTGTTGCCTTTTCTCTGCAACCTCACCAGCATTTGCTATTTTTTTGACTTTTTAATAGTACCTATTCTGACCCTTGTGCGATAGTATCTCATTGTGGTTTTTATTTGCATTTCTCTAATGATTATTGGTGTTAAGCATTTTTTTCACATGCTTGTTGTCTGTATGTATGTCTTCTTTTGAAGTGTCTACTCTTTTTTAACTGCTTTAGACATATGGCAGGGACAGAAGCCAATCTCTGCAAGATGAAAATATTCTAAATTGGGAACTTAAATAATGACAATTTCTAATGAAAAATTTGTCAAGAATCACAAAACATGGATGAAGCTGGAAACCATCGTTCTCAGCAAACTATCGCAAGGACAAAAATCCAAACACCGCATGTTCTCACTCATAGGTGAGAACTGAACAATGAGAACACATGGACGCACGAAGGGGAACATCACACACCGGGGCCTGTTGTGGGGTGGGGGGAGCGGGGAGGGACAGCATTAAGAGATATACCTAATGCTAAATGACGAGTTCATGGGTGCAGCACACCAACATGGCACATGTATACATATGTAACAAACCTGCACTTTGTGCACATGTGCCTTAGAACTTAAAGCATAATAAAATAAATAAATAAATAAAAATAAATAAATAATCACAAAACATCATACAAATTTTCTTAACAGTAGACAAAAAATTGTGTAAAATAATATCAGAATTTAAGACTTCAAAAACAAAAATCTTACATTATAGGCTATTATATCACTATAGTTGGTATTTAAAAGAAATGAAAATTTATTTAATTATCATAATACCGTTATAAATACCAGACATATTTGAAAATGATAACAAAGTCCCGAAACTCTCAAATTCAGATGATAACTTGTGAATAATGATAATATTTAAAATTAAAATTATGGGTTTAAGCAGCCAATTTGGCACAGTTGAAGAAGAAAAGTAGTGCAGAAGAAAATAGACCTGAAGAAATTAAACAAAATGCAATGCAGAGAAACAGAGATCAAAATTATGAAGAAAGAGTACAGATATTTGGAAGATATTTGGAGAAGGACCGACCTTAACATAGAAAAACTTCCAGGAGAGAATAATATTATCACAATTTTTTTTAATAAAGAAGAGTTAAGAAACATACTGTTAGATATATAAAGCACAACAAATTCTAAGATAATGAAAAAAATATAAACCTAGATACTATTTTACTTAAAAACTGACAAAGATTACTTTTATCAGTAATACTAGAACCCAGAACCAGTGAAGATTATTTTTGGGAAATATAATGGTCTACCTAAAATTCCATTAAAATGTGTGAAATAATATTTTAAAAATATAAAATGATTACATTTCCAGATTAAAAATTGAGTTTTTCACTAAATGAACTTAAAGGTAAAGAGTTTATAACACAAAGGTTTGAGAGCTACATTTTACTATGCTGTTATATTATATATATATATAATTTTTCACACCTACATGACTTTTGATTTTTCCTGAAGTTAATCATTAACCACATTTTTTCAAAAATGTGATTACCTTTATGCATATTTACTACACTTTCAATTTGTGACTTACTGCTATTTTTTATTGGTACATTCAAATGTCATCAATAATTTTCAGTTTCAGCCCTTAAAGATGAAATTTTAAATATGAAAAGTTAAACTATAAAGGTCCAATTTGAAGTCTGCAATGGACTGAAAGTTGGTATTGCCTTGAAATTCATATGTTGAAATCAAGATAGAACCCTCATGAATGGGATTAGTGCTCTCATAAAAGGGACCCCAGAGGGCTAGCTTGTTCCCTTTCCACCTAGTGAGGATAAAATGAGAAGAGAACAGTTTGCAACACAGAAGAAAGCCCTCACCAGAATTTGACCACGTTGGCCCTCTAATCTTAGACTTTCAGATTCCATTTCTATGAGAAATAAATTTCTTTTTTTTGTAAACTCTTCAATCTATGATATTTTGTAACAGTAAGTCAAACTACTATGACAGAGACTTTTAATCTGTTTCAGTCTCACCTTTATTACCTTTGCCACTCTTTTTCCAAAATCTCCATTGATTCTACACAGATTTCGAGCACAGAAAAACTATAATGTTTTCATCTCTCCCTTTGGATCATTTCTCTGATTTCTGTATCTGTTTATGTCTCTGTTTTTGAAATGTGCATTCTATAGCAATTTTTAGAGCAAAGTATATCTTAATTTGAGTTTTCTAGAAACAGTTATAAGAGGAGTTCTGCTTTTGTTTTTTATTTGAATGAATCCTTGCCATAAAAATAAATGACAGAAGCAGGATAGAACATTAGAAAAAGACTAAGCAAGGGTGGCATTCTAGCAAGTGTCTGATACCTTGGAGCACTCTGGAATTTATATCCCTGAGTTGATCTCACTTTTCTTTCCTTTCTTTTTTCTTTGAGACGGAGTTTCACTCTGTTGCCCAGGCTGAAGTGTAGTGATGCAATCTTGACTCACTTTGACCTCCATCTTCCGGGTTCAAGCAATTCTCCTGCCTCACCCTCCTGAATAGGTGGGACTACAGGCACCTGCCACTATGCCCAGCTAATTTTTGTATTTTTTGTGGGGGAGATGGGGGAGATGGGGGAGACGGGGTTTCACCATGTTGGCCAGGCTAGTCTTGAACTCCTGACCTCAGGTAATCCACCCTCTTCGACCTTCCAAAGTGCTGGGATTACAGGTGTGAGCCACCGTGCATGGCCTGATCCCACTTTTTAATCCAAGGAAACTAACATTTTGTAACTTCATATCAGTTTGTCAAAGTCTGCCTGTTGCCACTTTGGAGGTGTTGTAGCATAATCTCTCAGGAGAGCTGGCCCTTTTAACCCAGAACAATGCTGAGAGGAGTACAGCAAAAGAATCATTAGAAGGTATCACTATTAGCACCTGGTAGGTAGGTACAACTGGCAGTAAAGAAAATCAAGATAAATAGCTGAGTGCATCCACTAAGATTTGTTTAATTGAACTTATTCTTCATATTCATAATCCATCTAGTTGCATATTTTCCAGAATTGTTGTTGGTCAGATTGCTGGGAATGCTTAGAAGAGACAGGATAGCAGATTTAATTAAATATTTCACTGCTGTTGTTGGTTGCAGGCCACTGCTGCAGTTAATTAGGACAACTGACACTTTTCCTCCATCCCAAATTTTAGACTCTTCTCCATCTGGCATAGCAGCACTTCTTGTCTAGTTGTTGACCTTGTAGAGTGAACCAGACCTGCACTATTGAGGGTTCTGAGACCTGGATCCCATGCCCTTATCAGGCTGTGATTGCTGCACTTGTCCATTTTTAGTTGCAACTACACATAAGAGTAAAAAGAGTCATTCCATTTGGTTACTTAGGTCTCAAGCACATTCCTCCTCTTCCCCATTGTTTGTATCGATGACCTTGAATTGCCATCTAAAGATGATAACTCAGCTGTACTTTAAAAGGCTATTTGTTTAAGCCTCTTTGGTAAGAACAGTAGATCTGTGATCATGAGTACACTGCTGAATCACCATTTCTGTAATGCAGCACACTTAATCTGAAGCAAAGTCATGTAGGATTAATGTCAGCAGATCAGACATTCTCTGAACTGTTGAATAGAGTTACTGCCTGTGATATTACAGTCCCAAAGGCAAACATATTCCAACATGGTGTCAATTCTGAGCAGGATAAAATATTTTTCTTTCAACGTTAGTAAGGGTCTTATGTAATCAACTTGTCATCAAGTGGCTGGTCGGCCTCTTTGGTCTCTGTTGGCTACCAGTTGGACATTCAGCAGCGACAATAGCCAGATATAGCTTGGTGAAAGAGAACTCATACTTTTGGACTCAAGGGCAATCATCATTTTTAATAAACTTGTTTTCTATAATAATAATCCTCTTACAAAAGCGCAGTGTTGACTAAAGATACAGCTAGACTAACTTCTCACTGAGTTATTCTGTCAACATAGTTTGATGTTGCCACTGAAGGATTCGGTGTTCTTGGTGGAATATGAAGGTACTCACACTTTATATGTACATCTCTGAGTCCCTCCACATGCCTCTCTCTGAGACTTCCCAATCTCTCATCTTCTAATCGTACTTCTAGACCCTTGACCAATCATCTAAACCAGTATCCATTATTGATATTGCTTGAGAGATGTGATTAGGCTGAAAAAAAACAGCCCTTTCAGAATTTCTGAACTTTTACAATTAAGTCCTATTCTGGTAGTCAGATAATTCTGCCCTCTATTTGCATATATAGATCCCTTTAAGTACTCTGAAGTCTTCTCATGCTCACTATGCTTTAAATTTCTGATTAGTAGATTTAAACTTACCATTTTTTATCACAAGAATTACAATTAAATTCTTAACAGCTTCAACAATCACTGGCACTCCAGGGTTTCAGTAAACAATAGCTGTTATTATTCCTAAATTTGACCACCATCAATTCTCTTTAATTCCAAACCAGGAGGATGAACTTCCTCCTTTTTCAAGTCCAAGTGTCACCTCAGGGAGCAAGTCTAGAAGACAACTTATATGATTGATGTCAAATCTTTCAAGATTGCCTATTTTTAATCATGTAATAATTTTTATTTTATTACTATTTTATTTTTATAAAATGTTTGGATATTTCTATTTGATTAAAAAAAATATTTTTCATTATATCCCAGCAATACTTTGTAAATATTTTTTACTTCCTGAAGTCCCTCTTTTAGGCTTCACTTTAGGGAAGAAGACTTTGGTATAAATTTTCTCAATTTTTATCTATAAATGTTGAGATTTAACTTTGCTCCTAAATGATAGTTTTGTTCATATGTGTTGACAACTATTTCTCTCAAAATTTGTAGTTATTCTCTACTGTTTTTCTGTTTTCCATTATTTTTGTTGAAAGGTCTGTTATTCTTTCTTTTTTTCTTTCCTTTATATGCAACCTCTCCTTTTCCATTGGTTACCTTTAAGATTTTGTCTTTGTTATCAGTGTTCCTTAGTTCCATTCAACGTATCTGATTTCTTTACACTGATTTTGTTTATAATACTCTGTACTTCCGAAATTAGTGGATTCGTGCTGTATGAATCTAGAAAAATCCACAATTATCTCTTTAAATAATTTCTTTCTTACATTTTTCCCCATTTTTCTCCTTCTCATGGAGAAGGCTTAGAATAACTTCTTCCTCCTTTATCATTACAGGGATCAATAGTCCACACATTGTGTTTCAGGACATCTCTACTTGTTTCTTTGCTGTGGTCCAGGATAGTCTCCTACTCCTCACTCCCACTCCTGCCCCAGCATGTATGGTTCTTGCCTCCAGAGGTCCCAGATTTTTCTCTCTATTCTGATCCATGTTTACCTCTGAGTTTAGCAGCTTGGAATCCTGTCTATCTCTTAGCTGCAGTGGGCTAAGTTCCCATTCTCGGTTTCATTATTACACAGCATTCTGAGAGAACTCTCCTACAGTTTTCTGAGACCAGACACTGGCTTTCAATACTTTTTTAAATGATCCATAGTATAAAATGTATAACATATATTATTCCAGCCTGAAAGTAGGTTCACAAAATATGGATATACTTTTATTCTATTTATATATTTTTATTCTAACCTATCCTTCCCTAACTTATGTTTTCTATTACATTTTAACATGATCATGCTTCTATACTAACTTCAAGTTTTGTAACTGGTAACCAAAATGTTTGAAAATGCATTGTTCTAATAGCTTTATATGTCATATACACTGTAAAGATTTTATTTTTTTTATTTCTAGCCTCATCTTCTTTCCTGAGACTCATATCTTCAAATACCACTCCTAACTTTGCGTATTCACTTGAATGTCTATACATTTAACTTATTACAAACCAAATACTATTTTCTCTCACTAGTATTATCAAATTTCCTCTATTATCCATCTTTTTCATCTCAAATAATGATAATTTTATAATTTCAGTTGCTTAGACCAAATAAATGCAATCATCTTTTTCTCTTGCTTTCACATCTCAAAATATTCAGAAAATTTTCAATGTTCTACTTTTAAAATACCATCATAATCTTATGATTGTTTTTATCTCTCTCTTATCAAACTCTAATTTAAGCCACCATATCCATAGACCACAAGAGGCTTAGAATGGCTCTGTCTGCTTCCATGTGCTCTACATAAGCCCATCTCAACAAGCAGCCATTAAGATATATTGGAAATCTAAATAAAAGTATACAGTTTTTCCACTCAAGACATATTATAGCTTTTCATCTCATTCAGAGACTTTCCATGGCCTAATTGGCCATAATTAATACCCCATTCGTATGCTAACAATGATTTTTTTTGTCTTTCATCACACTTCCATTTGTTAATACTGCTCCAGTTGGTTTGGTTTTCTTGTATTTCCTCAAAATGACCAATCAATTTATTTTAGTGGAAATATTTTTTCCTCACAAACATATGGACAGTCCCCTCACTTTTTCCAGTGTTTCCTTAAATACCAACTTATTACAATATATTTCCTGCCTTATCAATGTAAAATAATATTATTCCCCATAACTCTTTTTCTAATTGCACCACTATACTTTTTCCTTGTAGTTTCTATGACTTCAAATGGGTTTATTTGTTCACTTTTTATTCCTGGCTGTCTTCATTAGAATATAATTTCTGTTTATTGCTGCATTTCAAGACTTAGAAAAAGTGTACCACGTAGCAGGCACTATCCTATACCTATAGATCACTCTTAACTTATTCAGGACTTTTATGTCCTTCAAATGCATTGAATTATTTTTGTTTATGCAGGTTTGTTTCTTGTTACCTTCTCTCTTAAATTTCTTTTCTTTTTTTTTTCTCTTTTTTTTTTTTGAGACAGAGTCTGGGGCTCTGTCGCCCAGGCTGGAGTGCAGTGGCGCGATCTCTGCTCACTGCAAGCTCCGCCTCCTGGGTTCACGCCATTCTCCTGCCTCAGCCTCCCGAGTAGCTGGGACTAGAGGCAGCCGCCACCATGCCCGGCTAATATTTTTTGTATTTTTTAGTAGAGACCGGGTTTCACCGTGTTAGCCAGGATGGTCTCTATCTCCCTACCCCGTGATCCGCCCGCCTTGGCCTCCCAAAGTGCTGGGATTACAGGCGTGAGCCACCACCCCCGGCCCCCCTCTCTCTTAAATTTCACAATTGCAGATATTCTAATAAACTTAGACAAATTCTATTTATTTTTATTTTTAAAAGCTAGTTTATTCTAAAAGCCTGTGACTCTTTGACATTCTTTTGTTTAGGTCTGGTTATATTAAGGTGTAATTTACAAATAAAAATTGTATATACTCAAGATGTACAACATGATGATTTTATATACTTATGCTTTGTATAACTATTACTACAATTGAAATAACCAACATATCCAACATTACAGTTACCCTTTGCATGTGTGTGTGGTAAGAAGACAAGATCTACCTTCTTAGTAAATTTAAAGTAAACAATACAGTATTATGATTGTGACAATTTGTCCATTAGCTCTCCAAAATGTAGACATCTTATAACTGAAAGTTTGCACCTTTGACTATCGTCTCCCCATTTTCCTCATGCCCCAGCTTCGGACAATCATTGTTCTACTCTGTTTCTATGAGTTTAACGGTTTTTACATCCTACACATAAGTGAGATCACACTGTATTTGTCTTTTTACGTCTGGCTTATTTCACTTAGCATGATGTCCTCCAGGATCATGCATGTTACCACAAATGACAGTTTTTTATTTTTATGGATGAATACTATCTTATTATGTAGGTATACACATTTTCATTATCAATTTATCTGTGGGCAGACACTTAGGTTGTTTCCATATCTTGGCTATTGCAGATATTTCTTTGAGATCTTGATTTTATTTTTTTTAAGATACTATACACGGAAGTGGGACTGTTGGATCCTATGGTAGTTCTAATTTTAATTTTAATATTTTTATGCATAATTTGTCTTACCTCCTATTAAATGGTATCATAACAACCATGTATTGAAACTCTAAGTTTAAACTAGCTTTTGCTCATTTTAAAAAATTATATAATAGCCTTCAAAAAGAAACTTAGGCTTCTTTAAGAAGTAAATATGGTTTACAAAGGCTAGAAGTAACAGAGTTTGAGATGCACATTTTAATTCAGAATTGCTTTATTCCAAAGCCTATGTTCTTAATCATTCTAGCATATTGTAATATATGCTAGAAAGTATCTCAAACATGTTCGTGTTTATACTTACTGATATAATTTAATATTAATACTTTTAAATCATTTATTTAATATTCTTTCATGATATCTATTTCATGAGCCATATCCACATAAGTATAAATAACTCATGAATGTATCTAACAAAATTGTTTCATGACACAGTCCTGTAGTTCAATGTGATTTTTACAGATGAACTGAAAGAGTTCACTAGTTGTTAATGGTATCGTTTTTTTTTTCCTCATCTCCACCTTTCATTCTTTCTAGCCTATAAGCTTAATTAAAGTATTTAAAATATTTGTGGGTTTATTTCATAGAAATAAATATATAGGTAATATTTAAAACTAATAAAGATTTTTATGGCTATATTATGAACTTCCACAAGGCAATAAATCATGCTATTATTGGACTTTTAAGTCTGTCCTCAATATTAAGCTCTAAAATAGCAAAAAAAAAAAAAAAAAAAATAGAAAAGAAAAAAATTCCAAAAATAAGCAAAAAAATCCCCAAAACTAAGCAAGATTCTCCCATAAGATTTCACTATTAATTTACCTATTTTTATAACATGATTCTTAATAAAGCACTGATAATACAATATTTTATTAATAAAATTTCATAAAATATGTTGTTTAAACTTAATAAGAATGATGAGCTTTTTTTATTGGCATTCTTATTTAACTGCATATCTCTTTTCTTTTTAACCATAGCGAAGTTTGCAGAACAGATGCCAATATTAGAAATATTAGATTACTAAATGTCAGAATTATTAAAAGTGAATTTCTTTTTCATTTTAATGCATCTTCATAAGGAAACTTCAGAATAATTTAATTATTTTATTAAAATTACATAAATGACATTAATTTAATTATACCACTGTCATCGTTGGACATGTAAAGGAATTTGACAAGATAATTGAATGTTTGTATTTTCTGACTCCTTACTGCTGCAGCAACATATGTAGCTACTTCTTAATCATGATTAAGCTTCATGGTTAGTTACTCTGATCATTATTAAATACTATCATTATTGTGTATTAGGTTTCAAAGTATTAAATTTAAGGTAGAAGAAATGCACCCATGGACAGCCTCCATTACTCAGGCATATGAATTCTATTTAAATGGTGATTAAGTATATTTACAGCATGTATTTTACAGGTGTTAAAAAGAACTCTACTTAAAACTAAAGTAAAATATTTTGCAATTTAAGTTTTCTTTCTTCCTTTCAAGTTACAGTCTTCAGCTAAGACTTACGTGCCTCCATAACACAATATCTAGAGCTTTACTTTTTTTATTTATCCACAATTTCTTCTATTTTTTGTAGTTGTGGTCGTGATGCAAGAACCTCAGTTTGAATTTGATTTTTGTTCTAGATTCATCATGAAATGTATGAAAGTTGACTTTAATGGGAAATTCTCATGTGCGGCCATATGGAAAGAACTACACTGTAGATTTTCAACCTGGTTATATATGCTGCATATCTTGTTTGACTCTAGATGGTCCTCATGTGTCCACTCTGGTCTAAGGAAAACAGAGCCTAGGACCCGAGTGGAGCACGCCTCTGATTACTGACTCCATTGCTATCCTATCATTCTTCCAGTTCTGATACTTTTATTCTTAGACTCCCTCAACGTGTTTGTTAATTCTTCTTCCCCTAATCCCTTTAATATATCTAATTTGAGGGAAAAATGAGATGCTTTCTTTCCATCCACTCTTCATAACCTGTTGCTAAAGGCACAAACTTAATGTCCTGTGTCCTATGTTAGATTAAAAACAAACAAAAAAACCTAAAATAACAAAAAACAAAGGTATTATTTGGAAATGCAAAAATACCTTATCTGATTTTTAGTGCATTTTTCTTCCCCTAGAATTCTGGCTGATTAAAATAAGGTAGCTGTTTGGCAAAAACCTCACTTGGTACCTGTAAATATTAACTTCTCATATATCACTATTATTTAGCACAGTTCCTGACACATATGAAGTGCTGAACAAATTTTAGCTATTATTATTGTTGTTGTCACCGTAGCTCTGAACGAGAGCACCTAGGATCCAAAGAGCAAGTCTTCTAAATGTTGCCTTTTATCTGAAAAAAATAAAGATTCCAAACTATTTTTAATATCCATAAAATTATTGAAAGTGTTTTTTTACAATACAACAAAATGCAGACCAGTCTTGATAAAATATTATATATACCTGATGACAGTAGTGAGAGGGTAGGGAAATTAAAAAAAATACACATATAGTTTATGTTAAAAGGTATTTGCAATTATTTAATTCAGCATTAAGGCTGGAGTCTATTAGAAGCAGTTTTTCCCATTATGGATCTATAGTCATATGCTCTGTGATTCTTGGTACACCAACAAAGAAACATTGAAGAAATAGATTCCAATTAAAGTAAATCACTGTTCCCTTAAATTAAGAAACATGGGTAAGAATGTAACTGTATCTCTGTCAGTAACTGAAGAATTCATATGGTTCAATCATACTTACTTTATATAAAACATTTTTTAATTTACAATTTATTGTATACAGCATTATTTTCTTAGTATCTCATTTATTTTCTGTTTTTATGAAGCAATAAGGTTTTCCTCTAGTAAAATTCATGAGTAAGCAGAAATATGAATAGGGAATAAACTATTGTGTCATAGTTATTCAACAATTTACCTTTTTAAGGGTGGCCAATAACAAATAAAAACAATAGACAGTGACAAACGGAAAAATGTGAAATATTATATTTAGTAAAAAGTACAAATATTTGCAGGTATTATTCATCTTCAAATACTGGCATGACTTATAATAACAATTTTAAGTAGTTATTTGTACTTGTTTTAGACATTCCATACAAGCCATAACAGCATATGTTAGAAATAGTTACCCAGTAGTAAGCAGATAACTCTTTATATGTTTATGGATTATAATGAATCCATATTCCATGTAGGGCTATGAGGTGTTGATTCTGATTCCACAGGAATTAACACAAGTTAGCTTTTTTTTTTTTTTTTTTGCAAAGGGGGTAGAGAGCAAAGGGTTCGTGGATATCCATGTATAATTGACATAAATTATAACAGCTATTAATACCTGACTCCTGATGATTCACCAATAAACATGGATGAGCTTTTAGGGATTTTTAGGTTGTGTGTTTGTTGTTTGTTTTTAGTTTTTTTAGATCTTTCCTGATTACGAATCCAGTCTGCTAATGTGAAGAAGCCTGGACAAATTTAGAGAACTGCCCCACTGAAACTAACTGTGGTGATCATCAAGAAATGAAGATTGAACCTCAAAAAGATACTACAGAATTCATCTTTGTGAATTTGGGGCTCTAGTGGATAATTAATGGTTCCTGATTGAGATTAATTCAAGGACAATTGAATGAATATCGCAGACCTCTTGACTCACTTAAGAGTTCATAAACAAATACGCAAATTGGAGAGCGGTAGCATTTTGATAAATATTATCCAGCTTTTTTATAAGATGTTAAGAGTCTCCAGAAATAAAAAGCAGCAACAACAACATTATTAAGAGTCAGATACTATTAGGACCACTATGATCTATTCATTGGCTGTCATACCTCCATAACAGTTTAAATTACAAACAAAACCAGAAAACAACTGTTAGCTAGCCTGACAGTTATTTAATTACTATTGGCATTGACAACTTAGATTAATTTATTTTCAATAGGTAGATCTTTAACATTCTTCATCATAGTAGGATTTTGCAGAATTTTATCCCAACTCAGATAATTTTCTTTTTCTAATTTCCTATCATTGAGAAAGATGAAAATAAGAATACAAATGCTATATATTTGTGTGTTCAATTTGATCAAGCACTGATTTTGGGGGATAGTTTATTTTAGTTTGAGACGTTTTTAGCCTTATTTGGCAGATATGCACATCGATTGAATAGACCCATCTGTTGTCCCAGCAATTAGTTGGCTTGCATCTAGATAAATCAGGCATGTATCCAATGTGAGAGGAATCTTCTGTGGGAGGCCTTGATTATGAAATTAAGATGTGGCTTCCAAGAGAAATGCCAACTGAATGTAAGCCATGAGCCTGTGCATTCATTCATGGCATTTTGGGAATTTTCTGAGACATACACCGTTTACTCAAAATATTAATTGAAAAAAGTTCATTTGTCAGAATAAAATTGGCTTCAGATTTGCTTTGAGTAATTTCGTGATGTATTAAAACACCCAAATCACAACTGATAAAAGTATGCCTCACTTGTTAGATTTACTTAAGACTTCTAGAGCTTGACATGTTAATATTTGCATAACTATACAAATATTTTAGCAGAATATTTTCAGACAACTAAGCTTTAAAAAATATTTTTTCTAAATGTTAAGGTCAGAATTGAGAACCAGCGTAGTTCAAGTTGTCACCATCTATCTACTGTTTTATGAAAACCAATGGGAAAAAATAATTACTTTTTTACAAAAATTTCTCCCGTGTTAATTAATTAGGGTAGTGGGCAATTTTTATTTTCAGTGCTCAAGATATGAAAACAAATGTCATTAATAAATATAAATACAATACTTATTAGAAAGTATACTAAACTTACATACATCTAGTATTCCTCAATAAAACTGTCCATCCATTCATATAATAAATCCATATTGAAATCCAATTTTGTGCTGACATTCTAAATTCTGGTGAAAAGTAGTAAAGGAAATATTAAAATTTTAATTAAAAAACATTGCCCTTCTTGCAGGTAGATTGTAAATATAATTAATTTATTAAATAATACTTTATTATATACTAGTTTGCTTGTATAAAATAAAATATTTAATTTATTAATTCTATTAATATTTTATATATTTAACTTTATTATATATAAGTGAACTAACCTATAATAAAATATTATTAATTTATTAATTCTGTTTAATTGCTCTGAAGAAAAATAAAGCAGAGAATAAGAATAGCAGTAGACACTGTATGTTCCAATTTTAAATTGAGTAGACAAAATTTAACTGAGAAGGTGATATCTGAGTGAATACTGAAATGACATGAGAGCGTGAACCCAGCAGATTTAGGCAGTTCAGAGTACCAGAATGAGAAATTAGCAAATTCACATGTCATGAGGCAAGAATGTGCCTGGTGATGTTTGGGAATGCCCAGGAGCCAGTCTTCTGTGGCAGTGGTTAGGGAGAGAGCAACTGGAGATGCAGAAAGGGGTAATGGCCTTTGTAATTACTTTGATTCCTATGCAGAGTGGGATACAGATCATTGGACAGTTTTAAGAAGAAAAAGCTATAGGTTGGATTTTGAAAATAGAAGTGTGATTGCTTCTGAAAGAATTATTTACTGAAGCGCAATGGTGGAAGCAGTAGCAGTAGAAGTGGCAATAAATGATTAGAATCCAAATTTTATGTAGGTAGTGCCTAAAGAATTTGATGAAGATGGAATATATTCCAAAGGAAGAAAGGACTAAGCAATTATTTTGAGTTTTTGGCTTCAGCTACTAAATGGATACAGGTCAAGTTAACTGAATGGAATATAATTTAATTTTTTAAAATTAATTTTCATTTCTGCCTCTTAATTATTTTGATAGCAGAAGTGTAGGCCATTTGCATCTTTCTTTCTCCTCAGACACATAACCCTCATTTACATGTATTGAACCTTTGTAACCCAATTCCATGGATACATCCTATACTAGCAACTATGCTACATTCAGTCCTGTTAACAAGCATCTCACTATTTAAACTCCACTTCTCTTTCTCTGGCTCATTTATTCAAATATATCCCTGAACAAATTCTTCAACCTCATTAAGACTCTAACCTGTAGACCTACACAGTGTTTTCACTTCTGTTGTTGCTCATCTGAGATCACATGATTACAGTTTTAAACACTTCTTTACAATCAGCTTTAAAATGTCCTTTTCTCTGTGATCTCATCTTACTTATCTAACAAAATAATAATAATGTTTCAATTCAAATATCAATTTTCTCCCTTTTGTATCTAATCAACTGTAGGTTTTTTTGAGATTTCCAGGGAGAAAATTAGACACATTTATGCATCTATACTCCTACTCTCTGAAATTACTGACTCATTGTACCGCTATTTCTTTAGATAATGAGTCTCCCTAAATGAGTCATTTATGTGCATGGTTTTAAATACATTTACATGTATTTCCAAATATTTCCAAATAATTTCCAAATATTTATCTCTAATCCAAATCTCTCCCTCAACTTTTAATTAATTTAGCCAGTTGTCTTCTTGGTGCCATTAATGTTTCATATGCAGGTGAAACTTAATTCCAAAATAGAATCCACTTTCCAGTACAACATGTAATTTGTCTGTCTTCATGGAAGAATTATTGATTCAGTTAATGAAGCTGGATATCTAGGATTCTTCATTGATATATCTGTTTTCCTCATCACCCACTGTTTGGCTTGTATTAATAAAAATGTCTCTCTCACTCCCAGCATACATACAGCAAGGATTTTTGATACACACACATGTATGTGCCTCTTTCCTTTTGTGCACAAATAGACTTACAAAAGTTTAAAAGTTTTGGTATAGCCTTTAATCTAGTTTTTAACTATGAATATGTGTGTATGGGTGTGTATGATTCTGTTGGAATATCAGTTTAAGGGGAAGTAATGTGGAGAAAATTTCTTTATTCCTAAATGTATTCAGTTTTGAATTCTAGATTTAAGAAGGAAAAAGTAGTAAAATGAAAAATAAAGATGCTTCATATAATATAGGTATTTAATTCTCAGTAACATTTTTTCAAATCTATTTATAATCTATTTTATAATTTTGTGTAGCACATGACTGATTAAAGTTTTTCTGTACCTTAGTGGTTTGTCATATGTGCTTAATTTATTTCTCTTAAAGTAAATCATATGATGTTATTTAAGCACTTTCTTCTGGAGTGGTATGAGTTTATTGATTCACTTAATTAGATATGCGTAGGCCACAACATATATATAACAGCGGACTTATCTTCATATTGGTAATATCATTGATGAGAAATAAAATAATACCAATAAAACATGAAACCAAACAAGAGTGTTACATTAACCCATGAGCATAGTTTATCATTAATTGAAGAATTCAATCAACTTAATTCTGCATACTTAAAGAATTAACAAAGAAGAAACAATATATTTGGAGTAATATTGTAACCTGAACTATTGTAAAATTCAAAATTCTTAAGAAAGAATAATCAACCTGCTATCGTCTTATGAAACACATGCCTAATTTTCCTTTATAAAAACACAAAAATGCTATTTGCATTATAAAAATATCCAAATGCCAACCAGATTTAGTAAAATTAAGAAGCCATGAAATACGTTAATATCAAAGCAAATGCCACCTTCAGAGGATTCATTAGATGACAGAAAAATGAAAAGTATATGCACACATAGGGCCGGGGAACTAATAACTTACATGGATTATTTTCCCAAGAGACTAGAAGACATGCTTACTCACACAAATAACTCCTGAAGTGTGTATTTGTAATGAAGACATTAGACTAACAACAGTCATATGGATATAAACCTATTCTTTTTATTGAACATAAACACATTCACTGATGAAAATTAATTTTTAAAAACTACTCCTGAATATAATAGCTAATAGTACATTTTTTCAGGCTTTGTTTCTATAATGATGTAACCTATATTTCTGATATAATTAAAAGGAAATATGCTAAAAAAGAATACCTGGTATAATAGTTTTTTTATATTAATTTTATTATTTAAATGGCAGCCTAAATTAAGTGATTTTCTTCTCCCCAGACAGTTTGTGTTGCTCCTGGAAAGTATGAAGCTTCAACATAATCGCCATTTAATTGGCATTTCATAAAACCCTTTTCCATCAATAGTACACTGTTTTCACCCTCTTCAGTATTGGTACTATTATAATACAAACTTTAGAATCCAAATTTAAATTCCAAATTTTCTATGTCTTTATTTTAACTTTTCACAATAATCATGACTTCATTCAACAAATATATACAGGCTTATTTTTTAAACACGCACACACACACATACACGCACACCTCTTGAACAAAATGCCTCCAAATGTTTACAATACATATGTTTAAACTGAGGAGTAATGGGTGATTTTCTTTGTGTTCTACGATTATTTGTATACATTTGCTATCATGATCATGCATGTTTTCATATTAAGAAAAAATATAGTAAAATAGCTGACATTTCATTTTCATTCCTTTTTTTTCAGGGGAAAAATATATCGAATTGATAGTACTTATCAAAATCTTTATTGATGAGAGCAATGATTCACAAACTTTTTACATCGTGATACACACAAAGTATAATGTTTTGTGGAAACATTAGGTTAAACTAGACTTCTGAAGTCTAAAGGCAGTCAGCCTAGTGGGCCAGTGTCTCAAATGCTGAGGCAGGCAGTACCTGGGGACACCGGTAACTCAGAACTTGTACACCAATTTGCCACACCTTGGGGAGGACCTCAAAATTATTTGAAGACATACTGTTTTACCAATATTTCAATTATTCTTCAGAGCATTGCAAATACATTTTGTATTGCAGAGTTTCTATTACTAACTTTCTTTTTTGCGTGTTTGGTGATTAGGATTCCAGAATCAACTAAAAAATGATAAAGTGAGATATTTGTCTCCTAGTGTCCTTTACAGAGGTTGAATATAATATCTTCTCTTAGTTTTATCCTTTTTATCTCTCCTTCTTTTTATTTAAATGCATTTTTCAACATATTAAACAATGTTTAATACTGACAATGATTCTAAAAGAAATTGTATGTTCTTGGCACCTGTGACAGTTTCAATCTTAATCTATTTCAAACTTTTAGCTTTCAAATGAATTGATGTATTTATACTGTGCTTTTTTAAGCAAACATTTATAAAATTCAGGACCTATCCCATAAATATAATTTTCTAAGTTACTGTTATATATTAAGTGGTTAAAAATAAATATTTAAAATTGCTATAATCAGTAACACTAACATACACTAAATAAGTACACAATAAATGTATGAATTCCTAAACAGTGCATAATTCAAATCACATTAAATTAGTCTACTTAATAAAAGAAGTAAATCATATTAGACTATACTAGGACTAAAATAGTGAATCAATTTTCTACATTATAAGAATACTGCTTTGTAAGTTATGTTTTAAATAACCCTTTCCTTTTACCAACCTATTTTTTAAGTTGCCATCAACCTCCCAGTCTCAAGGGATCCTCCCACCTCAATCTCCTCCCTACCCCCAGTAGCTGGGATTACAAGCATGAGCCAACAAGCCCAGATATTTCTTTTGAGCTTGTTATGTAGAGATGGGGGTCTCACTATATTGCCCAGGATTTATTTATTTGTTTATTTTACTCTAAAAATATATTGTTAAACAAAACTTTCTAGCTTTTTTTTTTAACCACAAATTCATTATTTAACCCTTGAAATTCTCTGTACCACTTGAAAGAAACTTCTCTGTCAAGGATATCAGTAACTATCTAGTATCTAAACTTCTAGCATATTTTCACTTCCTTTTCTCTTTGATTTCAAAATCCCATAATCCAGCTGCCTTCCTGTTAAATGTTGAAAGTCTATTTCCTTGACTTCCATTAAAACACTTACCTTTTTTTCTTCGTTTTTTACTGTTTTATCTTTCTGTATGTGTATTTGGAGTTTTAGTGCTCCCTGTGTTAAAGATTGTCAATACCATGGTTCCAAACTGTAGACTAATGTTTTCAAATTATTGAATGTTCAATTTATATCAAATATGGTGACTCTAAAACTAAATTAATTCCCATTCAATAACATCACAACTATCCAGTTAGCCAATTTAGGAACCTATACGTTATCTCTGATTCATTTCTCTCCATTATCTCTCATATTCAGTAAGTTACTAAGCTCTCCAAATTTTACTTCCAAAATAACTTTTACATCCGTTCTTTATTTTTATTCTCCCCAGCACCAGTACCATTGTGCTAATTAAGATGCTTATCTGTCTTCAGGGATATCACGAATCTCCTGAATTCTATTTCAATAGACCCTCATGTTTACAGTATTTTCATCCAAATTGTTACTCAAGTTATTTCTAAAATGCAATTCTGATAAGATTAATTATTCTGCCTAAGATGCAGTCATGACTTCTTATTGCCTAAAACAAAGGTCTAATTTTTGTGTAATAGCATAAAACGCTCTACTCACTATTATGTCAGTTTATTATTTGAAACTCATCCTCATTCTCTTTCACCTAATAGAGGACATTTTATTTGTGTTGGTTACCTATTTCACATTAGACATCCCAAAGGGGTCAAAAATTTCCTTCTTGTTTCCAGGAATATTTATGTTCAACAGTTTTTTAATCAAGTGTTGCTATCAACTGTCTGAATCTTAAAGAAATTAAGCAAAGTAACAGGAAAGTTAACAAATGGTGGCAATAATAACAGAAGTCTAGATACAATGGAGGATTAAATACCAAGTTACGGTGGTGTCCCATGTAATACCATGACTAGCTAAATTTTTTTAGTATTCATACTTCCTTATTTCTGGCTTGCTTTATGAAACCGATTCTCTTCACTTCTCATTGGTTCTGTGAGATATCAGATATCTTCCCATCTGAATTAATCAATATCTGCTTCCATTATTTTCAGCTAAGCACTGCAACAGATAAAAACCCTGCCACATAAGAGCATAAAGTACATGCACATACATTGTGAAATATTATACCAAACTATTATACTGTCATATTTCTGAACATTATTTCCTGTTTTTTCATCCAAAATGTTTCTGCTCATTAGTCAAGAAACATTTATTATGCATTTTTTGCTGTAACAACCTTAAAACCATGAAAGTTTGAGTTAATAATTTACTTAGCTTTATTTCTATCCTATGCTTTACATTTCTATATAACATATATTTTATCATACTTACTTGTGGCTTTCATTTTTCCTGTCTTCTAAACTAACTGTCAAGAGTTATGTGTCATCTGTGTGCGTGTATGGGTGTATGTGAAGATTTTCCCGGGTAGCTATTTGAATATAGGCATTTGGTTGAATTATATAATAAAACATCTTATACGTGAATGTTGCCCAATAAATAACATTAGATGACTAAATGTGTACTTATTTAGAAATTTCTAAGATCAGATCATTTGAAAATCTCTGTAACTAGTAAGTTATTAACTATTACCTATCACTAGATAAAGTAATAATGCTGATGAAAAGCAATGGAAGAAATAAACGTTATACATTCTAATTATGTAAATATTAGTTTAAAAAACACTGGAATGTTTAAATTTAAGGAAATTCCTTTTCCTATAGAATTTGAAATGTAAATTATTATTCATGGGTATATTACATATGCACTCAATATAATATGAAAATAATTACAATTATTACATTAGAATCCCTTTGCTTCCTACTCCACATCTGGTCTTTTGATCAAATTATATTAAGTCCCTCTCTTAATATTGCTAAAATTAATTTTTTACAAGCATTTTTCAAAACTTCTCTTAACTCTTCCATTTTTAAAACCAAACCCTGTGTATACATTGATATACATATATATCAATGCATATTTGGAGTTAACATGTAAACTATTATGAACTAGTTGACTGACGTAGTTGTTTCACAAAGCTAATGAATATTCATCTGTCTTAGCATATTTTTATTTTTTCCAATTTTCTTGTGTCCAAATCTACATTGTGCTGTGCCTTCCTAATTGCACATGATGCAAACTGATTTATAAAAACAAAGAATGAAATGCCTTGGAGCTGACATAATGGCTTGATGTTTGATACATGTGCTGTCCATAGTTGAACTGATCCAAGATATATTCATGTATATTTCAGGAAGCCAATTATATCCACTACTTAGAGAAAAACAATGAGTATTATTAGGGAAAGATAGAAATTGATTTGAAATAATTTGAATTAATTAAAAGAATCATTGCCAACCCTTTACCACATTGATTTTACTATTTTTGTGCTAAAAACCAGATATACAAACGAGGAATGGAAAGAGAAGGGGTTTGGGTTTAATGTGTTCATAATAAAAGATTAATAACCTACTAGTGTGTAAAATGCTATTGACTTGTGACTTTATAGAGCTTTTTATTTCCAGTAATAATAAAAGCCCAACTATGTTATACCTACTTAATTGAATATCATATAGCTATTAAAAATCTACTGTAAAAGATAATGTAGCAACCTATAAAGTACATATCAATTAACTATGGAAAAAATCAGGACTCAGAATTATGATAACACATTTTAAATATATAAAGACACATATGCTAAATATTGCCAGAGAATTGATGTAGTTTGTATATTTGTTGCTGCCCAAATCTCATATTGAAATGTAATCCCCAGTGTTGGGCTGGGGCCTAGTGGGAGGTGATTGGGTCATGGTAGTAGATCCTTCATATTTTGGTGCTGTCCTTGCCATAGTGAGTGAGTTTCCTCAAGATCAGATTGTTGTAAAGTGTGCCACCTCCATCCCCACTCTCTCCCTTGTTCCTGCTTTCAGCTTGTGATGTGTCTAATCCCATTTCAACTTCTGCTATGAGTAAAAGCTACCTGAGGCCTTCCGAGAAGCCATGCAGATGCCAGTACCATGCTTGTACAGCCTGCAGAACTGTGATCCAATTAAACCTCTTTCTTTATAGATTGCCCAGCCTCAGTTATTCCTCTACAGCAATGCAAGAATGGCCTAATGCAAAATAAAGCAATATGCTACCATAGCTTGCTTATTAAGATGATGTGGTAATAAGTGAAGTTTTATATTTAAATATTTTGGTATCTTTTTCCACTTTCTTTGTTTCAATAATCTATTTTATCAGAGAACAATTTTCTTTTTTCTTACATTGTTTTTATTATTAGAAACTGAAGCTAAAATACAAAAAAGAGATAAGCCACAAAACATTTGTCTCTCTAAACCCATTTCCATCTTATTATGACATTCTGTATGAGAGAACGCTGACTTGTTATACTTGCAGCAGGAGGTACAGGATTAAATGCCCTACATCATCTAGGACCTTCTTTCTATGAAGCAGGCTTATTTGCCTTGGTAGATAAGAGCTTGGTAGATAAGATCTCTCCATCAATTGGGACTTTTGATGGATAGCTGCTTTTGACTCCCACTGTGTAGCTGGAACCAGACACATCTTATCAGAAGAAAGCACTGAATCTTTTTATAGTAACGAGACACTTTAGCAATAAATCATTTATTTCTTGGGGCATATGTATCCCTAGTGTCATTTGTAAGCAAGTTATTACCTGTAAAAAGATGGGCTTTTCTGAAGAAAGCCAATGGGCTTAGGCACTGCTTTTTGATGACAGCAGGAGCTGCTCTCAGAAACTTTTCTGAAACTCAACTCACTGAAACAGGTACAGGTGGTATGCACTATTTTCTTGAACCTAAAACAAATGAATGCCACCATATTCCAAGTCACCTGTAAGCCTGTTAATAATCTATGCTCAATACATCAGCTAAAGAAACATTTTAAAACACAATCAGATCAAATTACTCCTAATTTCAAAACCTTGAAATGCTCTTTATTTCACTCAGAGTAAAAGCAAAGTCCATTCTTGCTTTATAAACTCCTAGTGACCTGGCATCATTACTCACTGATTTTTTTAAGTCCACAATTCTTTCTTGAACACTCTGCTCCAGTCATAACCACCAGATCATTTACTATTTAATGAAAACACTGCACAGAGTCAAACTCAGGGCTTTTTCACTGGCTGTCTTCTGTAAGTAGAGTGAGATTTTTCCCAGACATTCACATAGTGACCTTCCCTACCTTCTTCCATTAGTAGGAGTCTCTTTTCAATAAAGCATATTCTGAGCACCTTACTTAAAAATGTACTATGCCACTTGGCACTGGACATTCAGTCTCCACACCTTGTAAACTATCATTTTTTTTCTATAGCAACCATACCCTTATAAACTACTGTAAAATCTACTTATTTATTATATTCTTTGTCATTTTTTTAACCTCATACTAAAATTTAATTTCCATGTGACCAGAAAATATTTATCTGTCATATTCATTAATTCATTCCACATAGAGTTTCTGGAGCATAATAAGTGAGCAGTAAAAAAATTATTGAATAAATCAAATCCTAAACTTTTTTTTTTTTTTTTTGAGACAGCATCTTGCTCTGTCATCCAGGCTGGAGTGCAGTGGTGCAATCTCAGCTCACTGCAACTTCTACCTCCCAGGTTCAAGTGATTTGCCTGCCTCAGCCTTCCGAGTATCTGGGATTACAAGCATGCACCACCATACTCGGCTGATTTTTGTATTTTTAGTAGAGACAGTGTTTCGCCATGTTGGCCAGGCTGGGTTTGAACTCCTGGCCTCAAGTGATCCACCTGCCTCGGCCTCCCACAGTGCTGGGATTATAGGCGTGAGTCACCACTCCCGACCTCAAATACTAATCTTATTTTTATGTATTCCAAAAAGTAATCACCTCCTGCTGATTTTCAACTTCTGACTTCACATTACCTTTTTGTTCAATGCTATACTCAAGGACAGAGTCTATGCTATGTTCCTGGTACTGTGTAGGTAAAATCAATTTAAAACATGGTTTATTATATCTAAAGACCAACCAGCTTTCAATTTCCTCTCATCTGATACTATAACCTCTGGTATTTCTGTGAGAAAATATCTTCCTTTTATGTGATGGGGTCATAACACATCCTCAATTAAGCAGGAGTGGCCCTGAGTCCAGAATGAATAATCAGTCACAATAGATGGATCAGTGTAAAGCAAGTGACCCAATTCATGCCAAAGTAACTGAGGCTTAAGGAAAATTATTAACTATTTAAAAAGGTGAAATCTCTTTTACTCTAAGAAACTTTGAAATTTTAACTTCAAATTTTTTATACTCTGATTTTTTGTTCATGTATCTCTAGACCTATTATTATTCTACCACAGACATACTTTAACATCTAGATCTTGGATCAATTAAATTGTTCCCATTCACTGCAACTAGGCGACTGTTTGTTCATTCAAATGTGTGGAATGGTGTTTCTACAGATATTTTGTTTCTATTCTGAAATGGATCTTTAAAATTCCTCTAGGTCTTTCATTTCCCTGGTCAACTTTCTTTCCCATTAAGAATGTAGCTGTTTCCAATATGTTTCCATCCATTTGAATCACTTCCCAATTACAACTCCAATCAGGCCAACAGACTCCTTAGCCTTCTACTTCATGGAGAAAATATGAGTGTTTTAATTTCTCACATACTGTTAATCAATTTACAAAGTTTGTATTTACCTTTCCTTTTCATATTCTATTTTAATGGGATAGGTGCTTTAACATAAAATGCCAACTCAAGGTTTGGATCCCATTTCTAGCCTCTTCTTCATAAATCTCATTTCATTTATCGTGATTTCTCTCTTTTCTAAATCTCTCATCAACAGTGAGACTTCGTCAGAAACTATTGAATTTCTATACTTGACTAGGCAGTGGGCTAGGGACTAGGACTGTGAGAGTCGTTAGAGTTACTCTTAGCTACGAAACATATTACTTGGTTTGATGAGTAATACTATTCAAATAATCAAACTGAAAATGAACATTATCACAATATATTTCTATAAAAATTCTTTGTTTTATGAGATAATTTAATAAATGATTTAATGAAGTAGGACTGCAGAGAGGCTTCCCTGAAGAACTGATTTTCTCTGATGACAAAGGAGAATAGGCATTTTTGAAATGGTTTCAGGACAAAGTGGATGTCCAAGAAAGAAGTAACACTATATCTGTAGGAGGCGTGACAGATAAGACAAACAATAATAAGTTCAGGATGATTAGAATCCAGAAAAATAAAGAGATTTGTTGATATCGGAGTTGAGAAACTATATACAAACCAACTAAATGACGACTTATTTTTATCACCACATTTTAGTGTTTAAGACTAAACCATCCTAGGTATCTCAAACAGGAAGAGAGTCAGCACAGTAAATTAGGAGCTTTCAGTGTTATTGGAATCACAACAGGAGTATGAGTTAGATATACTGCTACATGACTGTACAGATCACCTTGACAACAGCTTTCCAAAGATCAGAAGTTTGCTGTTGCCTCCAATGCTGGTATCATCACCTCAAATAAAACACCTATGTAAATATAAAATGCTAAGTCCAGCCACCACAAACACTGTCTTTCATACTTGTGTGTCAACATTATACATTAGGCTGTATTAAGATATTTTACCTTAAAATCTCCTTTGAGATTTATGAAAACACATCTCACTGGCAGAATATAGTTTATATATTATGCCCGATTGCTAATGAATCTTGAAAATGTAGTGTTTAGATTGATTCATTGCAATTCAGAGAGGTGCATGAATGTGGATGAGAATAGCTGCTAAATGACAATGTACAGGAATGCTTTGTAAAATATGTTGGCCATGTAATTTATTAAATAATTTTAATATATAATCAGACTTGCATTTTGGAAATCTCAGGCTTTACAGTAAGAAAGATGCTTAAAGAGATGCAGAATGAAGGATGAAAAAATAGTTTGGAAGCTACTGCAGTGTTGATCAAGCTGAGAAATAGGGGTAAACTGGGCTTATGGTATGGCCATGCAGATACAATTAACTACAAAAAATTTATGCATTGAGGGAATACAATTTTTAAGACTTTTAAATTTATTAGTTTAGTTTCCTCTGAAGCAGACTCTTAGTCACAGATGTAAGTTCAAGTACTTTTCTGGATGTAATCAAAGGAAGCACTGGTAAGTGAGGTAGAAAGTGAGATATGAAAGAAATGGGAACCAGTTCTTAAGTGTATTAATGAAAAGTTTTCCAGTGTGGGCATCAGGATCTCATTTTTGTTGGAGGTCTTCAGAAGACCATGAAGAGAATTTTTCATGAATGTCCCATGCAAGAGTTAAGGATGCTTGGGAATAAATCTTCCATATTCCATCCACTATTGACTGACGTTGCTTTAAATTATTCATTTCCTATTAGTTCCAACATGCCTCACATGTCAGCTGAGTGTGCTAGGGAAATACCTCAAAGAAAAGTCACAAACACTTTCAGTGGGTAGTTGAGAGCAGGAACAAGAATGGTAAGAACCATGGTTAAATGGACAGGAATGCAACAATATCTAATACAACTGTGGCCTGGATATAGATGTTGTCGGGGAGGGAGATATCAAACCTGGCTTCAAGATTTGTAATTTGAATGGCTGGATAGATGTAGGTGCCTTTTGCTCACAAACAAACAAAAAAGAACCATAGAAAACCATCTATCAAGAGAAGTTGAGAGCACAATATTGAACGTGGTGGGTTTGAGGTGTCATTGATGTATCTGTAAAGAGATATGAGGTAGGCACTTGGATACATAAATTGTGAATTCAGAGAAGTGGCATGATCTGGTCATTAACCTGTTATAAATATTAAAACTGTAAGTGTGCAGGGGTCATTATGGCCAATACACTTAATAAAACAGACACGATGATTCAGCCAGATGATAACTAGTCATCTATGTTGATGAATACATCGATGCTCTCAAAAAGGCACACAGTCATGGTGGCAAAGACAAATACTACAACTCAAAGATTATAAAAATGAGGTTCTAGACATTTTACATTCTGATGCTGCTCTACCAGAAATGGCAGATTGCTCAGATTTCCTTAACCAGGCTTCCACATCTATTCCTAATTGTTACGATTACTAGTGGCTAAGAGCTCACAGCTGTGTCCTTTCATAAAATTGGCCTCAATAGGATTCAGTCTGGTAATCAGGGAATTTGTGCAGCATCTCAAAGATGATCTACAACATTTTCATGTCCATGACATCGTCTTTGTCTCCCTATGGCTAGATGTTTGGAAAAACATTCTTGCCTGTTTTTTTTTTTTTCCTCTCACCTTTTCTACATCATTGTTTGATCCCTTAATAAATTTCCCTTAAGGATACTCTCTCAATAAATCATGTATACCTTAATCCTTGTCTTACATGAGCATATGGCACAGAACCCAGTGTCACCTACCATTGTCTCACTCATGCTTTAAAGTCAACTCACACTTCTGGTCTCATGGAGGGTTTCTTTTGAATTGCTTACAGAAGATAAAATATTCCAGAAAAGAAATTCTTCCTGTTATCAGAGTCATGGACATGCAAACGGACATTAGGGTTTTGTGGAAAAGGGAATTATCTGAATTAAAGCTATCCATGACAGTAGCAAATGGTTAATCTGGCTGGCTAGAGATCTGAAAAAGTAAAGGTTGAAAGATTGAGGATAATGAGGCCAGGACAAAAGATAAATGACTCATCCTACTATTGGCAACAAAAAGTGTGAAGATTTTTTTTTTATGACACCTGGTCCCGCACCATAGAGAAGACACCATGGGAGACATTTAATAAAATAGACATGATGATGTAGCCAGATGATCCCAGTCATCTGTGTTGTTGACTATACCAGTCCTCCCAAAAAGGCACACAGTTGTGGTGGCAGAGATGGATGCTGCGACTGGAAGATTGTACAACATGAGTTCTAAAGTGTCTATATTCTGATGCTGCTCTACTAGAAATGGTCACGAAAGTCAACAATAATTTACTTCTTCTAACAGTGCTTCTATTTCATTTATTATGAGATTTTAATAGATTTGAGAATATTTAACATTTACTTTTGTTCAGTTCTTTACTTTTGGCATTTAATGAATTGTGTAGATTTTCTTTCTTCTTCTTTTGAACTTCTTCATCTTTTTGAATACAGGTGTTTTCAGAATTCTTTGTAGGCTTTTTTGTACACTTCCCCTTTGGAGGTTATATTAATTCCCAAGGTCTTAACCACAGCTGTATTAGAGATAGGTACAGAGATAGATAGATATTCAATATTGAGAGTATATAGTATATAAAGAAATAGGTACTCCTAATTTGTGGTATCATGATTGATTTTTCTTTGGAGAACAATATATTAAAGTTAAAAATGTGTGCACTCTTGACCTAGAAATTTTAATTCTCTATGTTTATTTAGAAAAAGGCATGTACTTGTCTACAGACTAGGCATGAGCAAAATTTTTCCTTGCAGCATTGTTCATAAAAATGACTCTTTAAAAATTAAAATAAAAATTAATAGGGCAATAGCAATAAATAACTGCATTATATTTATATTATGTATTACTATAATTCGGTTTAAAAATAATTGTTTGTGTTTTTCAATAAGCAGATACCAAGAGAGCATTAGACATGCAAAAGTTTTATTGAATAAGAGCCCACAAAGGGTAAATGGGAGGGAACAGGACTAGGCAGAAGGAGTCTGCAAATTTTGATTCAGATCTGACAATTGTGGAAGGAATAAGGGAAGGTTTGGGTAGTAAGAACCTCAAGCAATAGTGCAGCTTTGAAAAAATCTCAACTAGGCTGAGGGCAGACCTAGACCAAACATGGCCTCTAAGATCTAACCCATGTTGGGCAGATATGGTCCAGCTCTTGTACCCCTGCTATGACTGTCATTGATTGAGAGTATTCCAGATAGAAGATGGCTTCCCCCTGACTAATGCAGGGGATACTAAAGGGACAGAAGCTAGAGGCTGTCTGTCAACTATACTCCCCACAGCATGTAGACATAAAGGATTTTCTAGCAGCATATTTCCAGTACCACCGCATTTAATTCACTTCGTTTGTAAAAAGCAATATTCAAAACAATGTGTATAGTGTTATACTATTTATACAAACACATGCACAAGACAAAAATAGCCTTATAAACACAGAACATTTACCAATGTATTAGCAGTAATTGCTGTTTGGAGAAGAACAAGAGTTATCTCTTGTGATTTTGGGGGTCGTGGGGGATGGCATGGGGACAGAGGTGTTCCCACAAGATACTTCTGCTTTATTTATATGGTAATTATGTTGCAATAGTATTAACATTTAAAATATATATATATATCCATTTAAAATTGCAAGTAAATTAAATTAAATGAGAACCCTTATGTGGGCAAATGCATTTTTTAAGAATGGCTGGTTATTGTTAATTTAAATTTTTAAATGATTTTTGTTGTGAAATATGGCACACACACAGAAAACTTTGCAAAACAAAAGTGCAAAGCCCAATTAATTTCCACAAAAAGTTCCTTCATGCAAGCCCCATCCAAATAAGAAAAGGACCATAGCAACTAAGATGGCACCCACACAGCCCCTCTCTAATCACCGCCTTCTTATTTCACAAATAACTTATGCCAGACTTCATAGTTAACTCTTTTCTTTTATTTATATATTTAGATATAGGAAATATATATATATATGTTCTAATTAATTTTATTTCCTGTAGAATAATGTTATAGAACATGCATATAAGAAGTACAATTACTTACCCTCTTTAAAATGTGTTATACCTTTTTTTATGCAGTGCTACTTAATTGAATTAGACATTTAATTTTTATTTGACTTGAAATTCTGATATGCAGCATGATAGTTTATTTGTCTTAGTATATTTCTCATTATATTTAATATATATTATGTGTGTGTGTCTATATAACTATCTATCTATATATATAGGTATGTATATTATAGAGATAGATATATCCAATCCCTTTGTCAGTTACAATGATTAAAAAACCTCCTGCAATTTTGTGGCTTGTGTGCTTACTTTCATAAGGATGTCTTGAGATAAACATGATTCCTAATTTTTATGTTGTAAAATGGATTCTGTTATGCTTTTTATATTTGTGTTCTATTGAAGATTTTTCATCCCACCTCACATCATCTTAAAAATCTCCTATAATTTTTACTAGAAATCATACAGTTTTGCCTTTTTAATTTAGGTTTCCAACCCAAATGAAGTAGGTTTTTGATTTACAATGCATACAGGTAAAGTAAATTTAATTTTTTTCATATTTATATTAAGTTATTTTACTATAATATATTGAAAAGACTCTCCTTTTCACACTGTTCTGTATTGCAACTTGTATTAATTTACAACTGCTGGACATATACATATGATTATAAGTATATATAAATATATAGAGCTATGTATCTAGCATATTACCTGCAAGTTGCGTGGGAAAACATATTCTAATTCATTTATATAACACAAATTTTTATTTCTAAACTGAATTGAACTTTAAAAAATATGATGCCTAAAACCTGCTTTTTTTCATAATATGTATGGAATTTTGACACTCTAGCTGAAGCACATCTCTATTTGAGCAGGCAGTTGGATGAATTATTTTAGATGATTGTTTAGCCTGCAGTGACTCTGCTCAGAGGTTTTATAGGATTTGCAGAACTTATCTTACACTTTCTTATTTTTTGCTGGATTTACTTGTCCACCCTGGAGACTCTCCTAAATTGCTAAAAGCATCTCTTATAATTCCTAAAGGGTTGTAATCATTTATTTGCTTCATATATATAGTCAGAATAGTAAATTATATTTCTCTAAATGCTGCTCAGTTAAACTTTTAAAGAATAGTAAACACTGAGTGCCGAGACCAGCTGGGTCAGGGAGACCCTAACTCAGCTGCACTAGAGGAATTAAAGACACACACACAGAAATGTAGAGGTGTGGAGTGGGAAATCAGGGGTCTCACAGCCTTCAGAGCTGAGAGCCTCGAACAGAGATTTACCCATGTGTTTATTGACAGCAAGCCAGTGATAAGCATTGTTTCTATAGATTATAGATTAACTAAAAGTATTCCTTATGGGAAATAAAGGGTGGGCCGAAATAAAGGGATGGGCTCTGGCTAGTTATCTGCAGCAAGCGGGAGCGTGTCCTTAAGGCACAGATCGCTCATGCTGTTGTGTGTGGTTTAAGAACGCCTTTAAGCAGTTTTCTGCCGTGGGTGGGCCAGGTGTTCCTTGCCCTCATTCCGGTAAACCCACAACCTTCCAGCGTGGGCATCATGGCCATCACGAACATGTCACAGAGCTGCAGAGATTTTGTTTATGACCAGTTTGGGGGCCAGTTTATGGCCAGATTTTGGGAGGCCTGTTCCCAACAAATAAGCAAATTGGCATTTAACTTTTGTTCTGTTGTTCTACTCTTGTTTTTATAGTACATAAATTTTGATAAAAGTAAATTTTGATAAAATAAATTTTGATAGCAGATAATAATGATAATTTAACCACTGCTTTTCAAGTAGAATAACATATCAGTCATTTTCTATTTTGGGCATAGAAGTAGTTGGCTAAGGCTATAACCTTAATTCCTCCAAATGTATTTATTACTAAAATGTTAAGCTGAATTTTACATACTTGGAATTGTCTTTAGCTATAGGTTGAAAAAAACTAAAGATAAAAGATTGAACAAAATCTCGACAATATACTGTCACAGAAAAAAAAAAGGAAGAAGTAACAACTTCCTATAATATTAATTTCCCCTGGCAAATCCAAATTCCTGAATAGGTATGCACACACAACACTCAGAAGATATATATAGGTGAATGTAGGATTAAAAATCCCAAACTTCAAAGCAGCATTTATACCCTTGGGGAAATTTACCGCAAATAAAAAAAACAGTTCATAGTGATATGTAAGCTTTTAGTTGGCCCTTGAGGTACCTTGAGGGATTTCTAAGTTATAAATATATAGGTTTAGTTAACAGCAAGCTAATTATGTCATGAATCCATGTTTTATTTAATTTTATTTCCTGTAGAATAATGTTATAAAACATGCATATAAGAAGTACAAATTACTTAGCCTCTTTAAAATTTGTTACACCTTTTTCTATGCAGTGCTACTTAATTGAATTAGGCATTTAAATTTTACTTGATTTGAAATTCTGATATGCAGCATGTTACTTTGTCTTAGTATGTATTTTCATTGGTGTATTCTTTATAATACAAAGTTATATGCAGCAGAGATTTAATTTACTAAATGATGTACACTGAATGTTTAAGAACTTGACTTTGAGAATGTTAGTGGTTGTTTATACAAGTTTTTAAATTATTAGTTTGCAGAAAAATTGGTTACTTAATTTGTCATGAAACAAATGAGTGTAGAGACTTTACAGCACATATTTCTTTTTTTCTTCATTTGCTTATTTTTAATTTAGTAAATATTTGCATATAACCTACCCCATGCTATATAAAAATATATTCAACCATTTATAAGTTGTGATAAATATTACAACTAACTATGCATTTTCATGAGTAGAAATACCATGGTAACAAGAAATGAAGTTTTTCCTTTACCTTATCTTCAAGCCAATATGGTATGGTCCAGAGTTTACTCTAAAGAAAAGAAAATAGAAGTAATATAAATTTAGTTTCATAAATGTTTATTAGGCATATATTATGTTCAAAACACTAACATATTAATGTATACATATATACATATATATGTACATAATATGTGTATGTATGTGTTTATCTATATGTATACACATAAAAGTATGCAACTATATATACGCGTCTCTCTTTACTTCTTAAAATGAATACAATCCTTATGGAACTGGGCTCTGTATTAAAACAAGCATGGAATAGAATTTGAAAATGTTCATAGGAGAGGTAAACATTTAGAACCATTATTAATCATAACTGGGTTATTATTTTAAAAATCACATGTGGTCAGGGTGATAAAGACATGGTGATACAAATTAATGTTAACATGGCTTTTCAATAACAGAGATAATTTGAATAAGTAGATATGTGGTAAAGACCACTCTAGGTTTAGCAAAACAAAACAAAACAAAACAAAACAAAACCCACTGAGTTTGGTTAGTGGTCAATGTGCATGCAAGAAGGTCTTAGGGTGCAAAATTAGAGTGTGTTGAGTGGCCACTTGTGTTTTTCTATTAGACATGAAAGTCATTGATTCCAGTTTGGCAATCAGGAGAATATCATGATCAAGTTATCCTTTAGGACTACTTAGCTAACTGAAGTGTATGTCATTAATAATATAACTATAATAATGAAACAATTATAATATTGTTTAACAGATAACATTAATAAGTAATAATGTAGAGGGTAAGATTTTGGGAATCTAAAACATTGGTATATAAGAAATTTTCTACAACAAATTATTTTAAACACAAGTCTACAATTCTTCCACTGGTGAAAACAAATGCTAAGTCAGCTGTTAGTAAAAAATATGCATCCAAATATTTCTGAGTGTTTTTTGTTTGTTTTCAATTTAGCAAGTTCAGATTTTAACTAAGTTCAATATTCTCAGCCTCTTTTTCTCATCAAGGCATGGAATGTGGTGCCAAGATCAGGATTTGGTGGGTTTCTGATTATGTCTGTATTTGTACACATCAACATGTTCTGATCATATACCTGTCTGTCAGGTCTCTACGCATGAGGTTAGTAATATTTCCATAAATTGTCCCTGTCCGTGTCTTTGCAATTCATTTGGTTCTAATAATATATTTTGTAAATCTTCCAAGTGACTCTAGGGCCATGAAGTGCCATTGTTTCAATATTGTGTAACTAGTGCCCTATGGATTTTTCTTCCCTAGACTTTTCTCTCAATCTTCCATACCACTAAAATGCTTTCCAAGAATATGAACAAAAAATAGAGATCAGGGCTCCTCTAATATTAGATCACCAAAATAAAAACAGTAACAGTAATATTGTGAATAATACAAATGGCTATTTGTTGTTCATTTGTTGTCGTTCATTCTTTGCTGCTAAACCTGGAGACTTAGAGTAAAACAATGTCTTTAGGGAAATTTCAAAAATAAAATATTTCAAAATAAAAATGACCAAATACGTTTTTAGATAGATATTATTTTCCTGTTTCCTCCTATGACTTTGGAAACACTTTTACAGAAATTTGTTTTTTGCTAACAAGTAGGGAGTAAGATTTCGGGAAAAGAAATACAGCAAAAACAGTCCAAGGACACATTTCAGCCCTTTCTTAATGTGCATGCTAGACTAAAAGAGCAAAATGAAATGTCTATGTTTATTTCTAATTTATCACAACTCACATAATTAAAGATAACATTTTTGTTTGAGGACAAAATCTTATTAAAACTATGAAATAGTAAAGTTTTATTATATATCCTCTAGACATATCGCATGAAAAACTGTAACTGCTAGGTAACTGATTGGAATGTTTCTGGTTTTCAATTTGCCTATCTTCTTTTTCAATTAGTAAAATCAAATTTTGCTATTGACATTTCCATCAGGAATATAAATGTTATTAGCTGAGGTGGCTACTGTGAAATAGTGGGAATGCAGCTTTTGTAATGTTCATTCTTTGAAACATTTTTTTCTATTTAAAATATACTATGTTGAAATATTGAGCTATAATTTAAAATAAATAAATCACATGAAATATTTTAATTTTATTTCCAGGTAAATGTAAGGATAGAAATTCACCTGTATAAATACCTATACATTTAAGATATAGATCATTTTTATCATCCTAAAAAGTTTCTTCATGTCAATCCTACCCTCCATGATGGAATCCAGGGAACCATCAATTTGCCTTTTGTAACTAAAGAATAGGTATTTTTTTATATGTTTACACCAGTGCTGTATGTGTGTATCATTTGTGTCTGGTTTCCTTTGCGAAGCATGATGTTTTTGATATTTATCCAATTTGTTATATGTTCAAGTAGATGGTTTTATTTAATAAAAAGTAGTATTTGATCATACAACTATACCCCAATTTGTTATCCTATTCATATCTTAATGGTTATACATGTTGCTTCAAGATATAAGGTTTATTAATATACCTGTTACATGCATTTATATACAATGTTTATATGGACTTACATTTACATTTATCTTACACAAATTCTAAAAAGTGCAGTTTCTAAAATACACGATAGATATATATGCTTAACTTCATAAGGAACTGCCAAAATCTTTTCCAAAATGGTGGTAATGTTTTACAGTTCCATTTACAATGTATGAGTGCTCCAGATGAGCTGTATCCAGTTAACAGTGAAAGCTTTCAGTCTTACTCGTTTCAGCCATTCTAGTGTATGTGCAATACCACTAATTGCAGTTTTATTTTCAATTTTACTAAGGTGAATTATATAAAAATAATGTGTTTATTGTATATTTGTGTATTTTTGTAAATGTTCCTTTTTTGCTAATACATTTTTTATTAGAAGACTACAATTATTACATAATCTAAAATCATTTTTCACATATATGCATTCTGAACATATTTGTTTAAACTGTGGGTTGTCTTTTCATTTTTTGAATAGGGTTTTCAAAGAGCAGGAGTTCCTTAATTTTGATGAAGTCCAATTTATCATTATTTTCTTTTATTATCCATGCTTAGTTTGTTCAATTAAGGATATATTTGTCTACCCAACATCATAAAGATATTTTCCTATAATTTCAAAAGATTTATAGTTTTAACTTTTTGTACTATGAGATCCATTTTGAATTAATTTTCGCATATGGTGTGAGATAAGGATTAAGTTTATTTTTTCCTAAATGGATACACAGGCTTTTCGATACTATGTATTTTAAAAAATAAACTGCATAATAAATTGCACTAGGGTATCTATCAAAATATTTTCCATAAATGTAAAGGGTATATGTATACATTCCTTACTTTGTTCCTTAGACAAATAACATATCCTGGCATGATTACACTTTTCTTTAACTTTTACTTTGAGTTCAGGGGTACAGGTTTGTTACATAGGTAAATGTGTTTCATGGGGGGTTGTTGTACAGATTATTTCATCACTCAGGTATTAGACCTAGTGTACCTTAGTTATTTTTGCTGATTCTCTTCCTTCTCCCACTTTCCACACTCTGATAGGCTCCAGTGTGTGTTGTTCCCCTCTATGTGTCCATGTGTTCTCAATATTTAGCTCCTACTTATAAGTGAGAATATGTGGTATTTGGTTTTCTGATCCTGCATTAGTTTGCTAAGGATAATGATCTCCAGCTCTATTCATGCCCCTGCAAAGGACATGATATCATTCTTTTTTAAGGCTGCATAGAACTCCATGGTTATGTACCACATTTTCTTTACCTAGTCTATCATTGATGGGCATTTAGGTTGATTCCATGGATTTGTTATTGTGAATAGTGCTGCAATGAACATATCCATGGATGTGTCTTTATAGTAGAATGATTTATATTTTGGGGGGTGTATACCCAATGATAGGATTGCTGGGTCGAATGGTACTTCTGTCTTTAGGTCTTTGAGGAATTGCCACACTGTCTTCCACAATGGTTGAGCTAATTTACACTCTAACCAACAGTGTAGAAGTATTCCTTTTTCTGCACAACCTTGCCAGCATTGCTATTTTTTGACTTTTTATTAATAGCCATTCTGACTGGTTTGATATAGTGTGTCATTGTGGTTTTGATTTGCATTTCTCTAATGATTGGTGATATTGAGCTTTTTTCACATGATTATTTGCTGCATGTATGTCTTGAAAAGTGTCTGTTCATGTCCTTTGCACACTTTTTAAAGGGGCTATTTGTTTTTCTTGTAAATTTGTGTAAGTACCTTATAGATGCTGAATATTAGACCTTTGTCAGATGTATAGTGTGCATAAATTCTTTCACATTCTCTGGAAATTTTCTTTGCTCTGTTGATAGTTTCTTTTTCTGTGCAGAAATTCTTAAGTTTAATTAGATCCCATTGTCAATTTTTGGTTTTGTTGCAATTGTTTTTGGCATCTGTATGATAAAATCCATGCCTGTGCCTATGTCTTGAATGGTATTGCCTAAACTGTCTTCCAGGGTTTTTATAGTTTTTAGTTTTCAATTTAAGTATTTGATCCATGTTGAGTTAATTTTTGTATATAGCATAAGGAAGGAGTCCAGTTTTAATCTTCTGCATATGGCTAGCCAGTTATTTGAGCAACATGTATTAAATAGAGGATTCTTTCCCCATTGCTTGGTTTTGTCAGATTTGTGAAAGAACAGATAGTTGTAGGTGTTCAGCCTTATTTGTTGATTTTATATTCTGTTCCTTTGGTCTACACATCTGTTTTTATACCAGTACCATGCTGTGTTGGTTGCTGTAGCCCTGTAGTATAGATTGAACCTGGGTAGCATAATGCCTCCATCTTTGTTCGTTTTGCTTAGGATTACCTTGGACTATTCAGGCTCTATTTTGGTTCCAAGTGAATTTTAAAATATTTTTTTCTAGTTTTATTAAGGTTGTCAATGGTAGTTTAACAAGAATAGCATTGAATCTATAAATTGCTTTGGGCAGTACAGCCATTTTAACAATATTGATTCTTCCTATCAATGAGCATGGAAAGGTTTTCCATTTTTTTGTGTGTCATCTCTGATATTTTTGAACAGGGTTTTGTAGTTCTCCTTGTAGAGATCTTCCACCTCCCTGGTTAGCTGCATTCCTACATATTTTATTCTTTTTGTGGCAGTTGTGAAGCGGAGTACGTTCCTGATTTTGCTCTTGGCTTGACTGTTGTTAGTGTATAAAAATGATAGTGATTTTTGCACACTGATTTCATATCCTGAGACTGCCGAAGTTGTTTATCAGCTAAAAAAAACTTTTGGGCTGAGATTATGGGTTTTTCTAGATGTAAAGTCACATTTTCTGAAAACAGGAATAGTTTGACTTCCTCTCTTCCTAGTTGGAGGCCCTTTATTTCTTTCTTGTTCCTGATTGCCTTGGTCAGGACTTACAATACTATGTTGAATAGGAGCAGTGAGAGAGGGCATCATTGTATTGTGCCAATTTTGAAGGGGAAATCTAGCTTTTGCTCATTCATTATGATGTTGGCTGTGGGTTTGTCATACATAGAGCTTATTATTCTGAGTATTTTTCTTAATTTCCAAACTCATTGAGATTTTTTAACATAAAGGAATGTTGAGTTTTTTCAAAAGCCTTTTGTGCATTTATTGAGATTATCATGTGTTTTTTTTTGGCTTCAGTTCTGTTTATGTGATTAATCACATGTATTGATTTGCATATGTTGAACAAACCTTGCATCCCAGAGATGAAGCCTACTTGATCATGGGGGATAAGCTTTTTGATGTGTTGCTGGATTTCATTTGCCAACATTTTTTTACTGTATCACTGCAAGGTTCTGCTATCAGGATGATGCTGACCTCACAAAATGAGTTAGTGGGGCATTCCTCCTCCTCAATTTTTTTGATTAGTTTCAGTAGGAATGCTACCAGCTCTTCCTTATACATCTGGTAGAATTAAGCTGCTAATCTATCTGGTCCTGGACTTTTTGGGGTTTGTAGGCCATGTATTACTGCCTGAATTTCAGAGCTTGTTATTAGTTTGTTTAGCAATTAAATTTCTTCCTGATTTAATCTTAGGAGGGAGTATATGTCCGTGAATTTTTCCATTTATTCTAGATTTTCTGGATTATGTATATAGAGGTGTTTATGCTATTCTCTGATGGTTGTTTGTATTTTTGTGGGGTCAGTAGTAACATCTTCCTTTTCATATCTGATTGTGTTTATTTGAATCTTTTCTTCTGTGTTGGTCTAGCTAGTGATCTATTTTATTACTTTTCTTTCAAAAAACAGGCTCAAATTCTTAGATCTTTTCACTTGTCTTTCATGTCTTCATCTCCCTCAGTTCAGCTGTGATTTTGGTTATTTCTTGTTTTTGCTAGATTTCGCATTTGTTTGCTCTTGCTTCTCTAGCTTTTTTAGTTGTGACGATACATTGTAAACTTGAGATCTTTCTTTTTCATGGGAGCATTTCGTGCAATAGATTTCCCTCTTAATACTGCCTTAGTAACACTGCATTAGCCTAGCTGTGTCTGAGAGAATCTGGTATGTTGTATCTTTGTTCTCATTACAAATAACTTCTTTATTTCTACCTTAATTTCATTATTTACCCAAAAGTCACTCAAGACCAAGTTTATCAATTTTTTGTGATTGTATGGTTTTGAGTGATTTCTTAGTCTTGATTTCTAATTTGATTGTACTTGGTACAATAAATTGTTATGATTTCAGGGTGGTTTTTTTTTTGCACTTTCTGTGTAGTGTTTTATGTCCAATTATAATTTTAGAGTAAATACAATGTGTTAATGAGAAGAATGTATACTCTGTTGATTTGGGATGGAGAATTCTGTAGATATCTACCAGGTCCATTTGATCCAGTGCTGTGTGTGGGTCTTGATTATCTTTATTAATTTCTGTGCCAATGGTCTGTCTAATATTGTCAGTGGAGTGGTAAAGTCTTCCACTGTTTTTGTGTGGAAGTCTAAGTCTCCCTGAAGGTTTCTAAGAACTTGCTTTACGAATCTGGGTGGCCCTGTGTTGAGTGCATATATATTCAGCATAGTTAGATTTTCTGGTTGAATTGAACTCTTTACCATTATGTAATACTTTCCTTTTTCTTTTTTTTGATATTTGTTGATTTAAAGTGTTTTGTCAGGTACTAGGATTGCAACGCCTGATTATTTTCTGTTTTCTATTTCTTGGCAGATTTTTCTCCATCCCTTTATTTTGAACTCATTTGTGTCATCCCATGTGAGATGGGTCTTTGAGGACAGCATATCAATGCATTTTGGTTCTTTATCCGACTTCCCACCCTGTGTCTTTTAATTGCTGCAATTAGTCCATTTACATTTAAGGTTAGTATTGATATGTGTGGATTTGATCCTGTCATCATTATGTTAGCTGGTTATTTTGCAGACTTGTTTATATAGTTGCTTTAGAGTGTCACTGGTCTGTGTGCTTCAGTGTGCTTTTGTACTGACTGACAGTGGTTTTTCCTTTCCATAGTTAGTGCTTCCTTCAGGAGCTCTTGCAAGACAAGTCTGGTGGTAGCAAATTCCCTCAGCATTTCTTGCCTGGAAAAGATCCTATTTCTTTATTTATGAAGCTTAGTTTGGCCAGATATGAAATTCTGGGTTGGATTTTCTTCTCTTTAAGAAGGTTGAATATTGGCCCCCAATCTCTTCTGGCTTATAAGGTTTTAGCTGAGAGGTCCACTGTTAGTTTTATGAGCTTCCCTTTGTAGATGACCTGACCTTTCTCTCAAGCTGTCTTTAACATTTTTGCTTTCATGTCAACCTTGGAGAATATGATGATTATATGACTTGGGGATGATCTTCTTGTGAAGTGTCTTACTAGGGTTCTCTGCATTTCCTGAATTTGAATGTTGGCCTCTCTAGCTAGGTTGGGGAAGCTCTCATGGATAATATCCTGCAATATGTATTCAAAGTTATTTCCATTCTCCTCATCTCTTTCAGGGACACTAATCTGTCATAGATTCAGTCTCTTTACATAATCTCATAGTTCTTGGAGGTTTTGTTTATTTCTTTTCATCTTTTTTTCTATAAACTTGTCCACCTATTTTATTTCAGAAACCCAGTTTTCAAGCTCTGAGATTCTTTACTCCATTTGATCTATTCTGCTGTTAATACTGGTGATTGGATTATACAATTATTGTACTGTGTTTTTCAGCTGTATCAGATTGGTTAGGTTTTTCTTTATACTGGCTATTTTGTCTGTCAGCTCCCACATTGTTTCACCATGATTTTTAGCTTCCTTGTATTGGATTTCCATGTACTCCTGTAGCTCAATTATCTTCATTTCTATACATATTTTGAATTATATTTATGACATTTCAGTCATCTCAGCTTCAGCCTGGTTCTGAACCCTTGCTGCAGAGGTGATGCGATCATCTGGAGGAAAGGAGGTACTCTGGCTTTTTGAGTTTTCAACATTCTTGCATTGATTCTCATCTTTGTGGGTTTATCCAACCTTAGTGTTTGAGGTTGTTGACCTTTGAATGTTTTTTTTTTCTTTTATCCTATTTGATTGCCTTGAGGGTTTGACTGCAGTATATGGTGAATTCAGCCAGCTAGCTTTGTTTCTATATTTTACTGGGCAAATTCTCAGTTTCCAAGTCCTGAACTGTGTGCTTTAACTCTAGAGGACTTGTATGGACTCTGACTTTGTTCTCTGAAACTTCGAGGTTTGGAGTCCACTGTGCTGGGGGGCCAAGCTGTGGCAGTTGTAGCAGTTGTTGCATCTAGTGGATGCAAGAGTGCCTGCCTCCCTGTAGGCCTTAACCACAGTAGTGGAGGCAACAGAACTGAGGTAATCAGGGTGGCCCCTGCTGGACACTGTGTGTGCAGTTGTACTGGAAGTGGTGTTGACTTGGGGTGGGGTGCTGGCCTGCACAGGTCTTGCTGCCTTCTCTGTGCCCTGCAAGAAGGACTGCTTACTCAGGGTGGAGGAAGATCTGCCTTTCTCTATGCAGTGTTAGTACAAGGGTGGGGTGCTGGCAGGGGCAGGGCTTGCTGGCTCTGTTCCCACCAAGACTCCATCTGCAATGACAGTCAGTGGGAAGAAGGGGACAGGCTGCACTCTCGCATGTTGACACGGCAAGTAAAGCAAAACCTGCCCATGCAGACACACACTAACAAAGTGATGTGGGGAGTTGCCGTGGGCTAGGTGCAAACTGCAGTATGGGGAGTGAGAATGTGGGCTGGTGCATGAAGGTAGTAACTACCTCACTGGAGCTCTCCACCAGTCAGGCATGGCCCACCAGCCCAGAATCTATGATGTGGGCCCCCAGGGCACCCAAGACTGCCCTGTAAGCAGGAGTGGCCAGGCTGAGGCCCTGGGAAAGACCAGCAGAGCAAGGGATGCTCAGATCAGACTAGCCCCATCTGATGTGCAAGGTCGCCCTGCAGAGATTAGGTCAGGCATTTCCCCTAGAGCTAAAGTCTCTTGTGGGAGCAAGTCAAGCCTAGGGGGGATGATTTCCCTGGCCATGCTCCATTATATAAACTCCTGTACCGAACACTCTGGGATCCACATCAGTTGGCTTGCTGCCCCACCACTTCTCTGAGCAGCTCTCTCTGCCACTTCAAGTGTCCATGGTGGTCAAGAGGTCCCCTCCTGCTGGGGTTCCAGAGGCCTGTAGTGAAAGCAGGTTGCTCCTTGCCACTTCAACTCACCCATCCCCCCAGAACTGTTGGAGTTCAAAAATGAATCTTCATGCACAGTAGCCCATGCGAGGTTTCCAGCTTTCTCCTCCTTCAGCCCAGTTTCTGTATCTGCCTTCCACCCACTCTCGGTGCCTTCCCTCTGAAGATCTTATGAAAGCACGCCTGTCATCTCAGTCCCTCCATGGGAGCTGTTCCACTGGTCTGCATCTCGATGGCCATCTTGTCCTCTCCTTCCAATTACAGTCTTTATAGAGAGTGTTGAAATATTAAGTATATGTGGCCCAACTTTGTATTTTTAGATATTCTCTTGTATATTATAGAGCCATAAAAATTTTAGAATTAGCTGTTTAGTGACTACAAAAATACTAGTGGGATTATTTTGAATTTCTAAGTTGAGTTGGGGAGAATTGAAATCTTAACAATGTTGAGTCTTTCCATTGAACGACATGATGTATCTTCCCATTTTATTCCCTTCATTCTTTCTTATTTCTCTCCACAGTGCTTTATAAGTTTACCATTGTTAAGTATTCCATTACCATGATCCTGAGTATTTCCTGTTTGTTTATTTGTTCTCTTACATGTTATTTTTTTAAAAAAATATTTTCCAGTTTTTGTTGCTTGTATATAGAAATAATATAGACTACTGGCTATGACCCCTGCAAAGCTGAAAAATTTGTTAATGGATATCAAACCCTACAAAGCTGCTAAATTCAATTATTAGTTGTAGTAGCTATTCTGGATCCCTTAGGATTTTCTATGTATGTAAACATGTCCTCTATTAATATGAAGAGTTTTGATTTCCTGTTCTAATGAACAAGTTTTTACTTTCTTATTCCCATTTACCCATGTCCCCAACCCAGCAACTGCTGTTTCCACTATGAGTTAAATAGAGATGATAAAAGTGGTCATCTTTGTGATTTTCTATGCTGAACATTATACAATTCAATATCTAAATACTAAGTACTCTATTAACTGTAGGCTTTTTTTTTTTGTGGAAAACGGCTTAAAGAGATTAAAAGTATTACCTACAATTAATGGTGTGTAAAAAAATTTTATCATTTAAGGGCTTTGATTTATTTAAATGCTTTCTGCATCCATTAAGATAATGACATGATTTTCTTGTTGATAGTTAATATAATGAATTATGTTGATTTATTTATATTTAAATGAACTTTATTCATTTATTTATTTATTTATTTATTTTAGAGATAGATTCTTCCTCTGTCGCCCTGGCTGGAGTGTAGTGGTACTATCATAGTTCACTGTAAACTCAAATTCCTATGTTTAAGCAATCCTCCTGCCTCAACCTTCTGAGTAGCTGGGACCACAGGCATGCACCATCGTACCTAGCTAATTTTTCTAGTTTTTTGTAGAGATGGGGGTCTGACTATGTTGCCTAGGCAGGTCTTAAACTCCTGGGCTCATGTAATCCTCTTCCTTTGTCTTCCCAAAATGCGGAGATTACAGGAGTGAATCGTTGTGCCCAGCCGACTTTATTTATTAGACAGTATTACAGTAAACAAAAAAAATTGAGCAGAAGGTGCAGTGATTTTTGACATACCCTTCTCTCCCTAGACACGTGCAGTCCTGCCCACTATCAACATCCCACATTGGACATTTATTACAATTGATAAACCTACATTAATATATCATTGTTATGTGAAGTCCATAATTCCCAGTAGAGTTCATTCTTGAAGGCGTACATTTTATGGGGTTTGACAAGTGTATAATGACATGTGTTCACCATTCTGTATGATACATTACAGTATCATACAGAATAGTTTCACTGCTCTATAATTATCTGTGCTCTATTTATTTCTCTCTCTCCACTAACCCCTGAATTTTTTTTCTATCTCCATGGTTTTCCTTTTTCCAGAATGTCATACAGTTGAAATCTAATAGTATGTAGCCTTTTCAGATTAACTTCTTTCACTCGGTAATACACATTTAAGTTTCCTCCACATCTTTTTTTTTTTTTTTTTGAGACGGAGTGTCGCTCTGTCGCCCAGGCTGGAGTGCAGTGGCGCGATCTCAGCTCACTGCAAGCTCTGCCTCCCGGGTTCTCGCCATTCTCCTGCCTCAGCCTCCAGAGTATCTGGGACTACAGGCACCCACCACCATGCCCGGCTGATTTTTTGTGTTTTTAGTAGAGACGGAGTTTCACCGTGTTAGCCAGGATGGTCTCAGCCTCCTGACCTCGTGATCCGCCAGCCTCAGCCTCCGAAAGTGCTGGGATTACAGGCGTGAGTCACTGCACCCGGCCCCCTCCACATCTTTTCATGGTTTAATAGCTCATTTCCTTTAACTGTGGAATAATATTTCATTGTCTGGATGTATCACATTTTATTTATACGTTCATTTTCTGAAGAATATCTTGGTTATGTTTGGGTATTTATGATTAAAGCTGCTATACATATTCACATGCAGGTTTTTATGTGAAAATAAGTTTTCAACTCATTTGTTGAAATACTAAGAAACATGATTGCTGGATTATATAGTAAGAGGATGTTTAACTTTGCAAGAAATTGGCAAACTGCCTTTCAAAATAGCTTAACATTTTGCATTATTTTCAGCCATGAATGAGAGTTCCTGTTGCTCTACCTTCTCAGCAGCATTTGGTGTTTTCTGTACTTTGGATTCTGGCCTTTCCAATAGGTGCATAGTGGTACCTCATTGTTATTTTAATTTGCACTCCCCTAAAGACATATTTTTATGTGCCTATTTTCTATCTGTATATCTTCTTTGGTAAGGTGTCTGTGAAGAACTTTTTTCCCTTTGATTAATCAAGCTGTTCATTTTCTTACTGATGAGTTTTAAGTACTCTTTGTATATTTTGGGTAACAGTCCTTTATTAGATGCCTTTGGTAAACACATTTTTCCCCTTCTGTGGCTTTAATTTTTATTCCCTTGACAGTATCTTTTGCAGAGCAAAAGTTTTTAATTTTAGACCAGGCGCAGTGGTTCACGCCTGCAATCCCAGCCATTTGAGAGGCCGAGGCGGGTGAATCACATGAGGTCAGGAGTGCAAGACCAGCCTGACTAACATGGTGAAAGCCTGTCTCAACTAAGTACAAAAACAAAACAAAACAAAACAAAATTAGCCAGGCGTGGTGGCACATGCATGTAATCCCAGCTACTTGAGAGGCTGAGGCAGGAGAATCACTTGAACCCAGGAGGTGGAGGTTGCAATGAGCCAAGATTGTGCCATTGCACTTCAGCCTAGGCAACAAGAGTGAAACTCCTTCTCAAAAAAAAAAAAAAAAGATTTTAATTTTGATGAAGTTCAGCATATCAATTTTTGCTTTAATGAATTGTGCCGTTGATGTTGTAACTAAAAAGTCACTGTCATAACCAAAGTCACCTACATTTACTCCTATGTTGTGTGCTATGAGTTTTACTGTTTTCAATTTAACATTTAGGTTTATGGTGACTTTTGAGTTAATTTTTGTGAAGTGTTTAAAGTCTATGTCTAGAATTGTTTTGATTTATTTTTAAACTTTAAACAACTTTAAACTCTTGAGATAACCCCCCTTTGATCAGAATGCATGTTTGTCTTATATGCTTCTTGACTCAATACATTCAGATGTTTTTATAAATATGTTTTATGTCTATGCTCATGCATAAAATATTGGTTTTAGCCTTTTAAAAATTTTAATGCATTTTCTTGGTTAAGGGTGATCTTATAAAATGCTAAGAGACTTATTCATAGAAATGCTATTTTTTATCAATGTTTCTTAGAATTCACCAGTAAAGTTATCTAACTTTTATATAATGCAAAGAAGTTTTCTTTGTGTGAATAATTTTGTTTGTCTTATCACATATTTTCTGTTTTTAAAAGATACAGGGTTATCAAATGTTTCACTCCTTTATTAGACAGTTTTGTTAGTCTTTACTTTGAAAAGAATTTTTCCATTTTGTCTAACTATCAAATTTATTGGTGTGAAATTTTTGTACATATTTAATTTTTCTTTGGTCTATGTAGAAACTATATTGTCATACTTTTCATTTCTTAATTGAGAATGTGTGTCTTTTATATTTAGTTTCTTTCAATTTTATTGATGTTTCTTCAACTTTGTATTTCTGAGATTTGAAATAACAACACATTTCTAAGATATATTAATTTTAACTCTGCTAATTCTCCTTGACTGGTAGTTTCTGCATATTTCCTGGTAACTATATTTTCTATAGGTATAAATAATAACATCTTTCTTTGTCACAGCCTATCTCATTAAATAATAGCTAAAGAAGGCTTTAACTGCCTCATTCTTTTCCTGGTTGAATAAAAATTTAAATTAAAAAAAGCATCATTTTCCTTCCAACATTAAACCACTGCTGCTCAGAACAAAGACCCCCATTACCTTGCAAACTTGATGTCTGTATCTGCTTTTCTATCAATTGCATCTATCTTATAATTTCCCCAATCCCTAAAGTGTTAATGTTTAAATAATTTCTGGGTTTTTTTTCTTAATTTAAATCTTTTTTTCATTTTTGTCTACACGGCTGCATAATTTCACGTAATTGCTATCATAAGATGTTGCACTCTCATTTTTTTTTTTTTGAGACGGAGTCTTGCTCTGTCACCCAGGCTGGAGTGCAGTGGTGTGATCACTGCTCACTTCAACCACCACCTTCTAGGTTCAAGTGATTCTCCTGCCTCAGCCTCCTGAGTAGCTGGGATTACAGGCACCTGCCAGCAAGCCCAGGTAATGTTTATATTTTTGGTAGAGGTGGGGGTTTCACCATGTTGGTCAGGTTGGTCTCAAACTCCTGGCCTAACATGATCTGCCTACCTCGGCCTCCCAAAGTTCTGGGATTGCAGTTGTGAGCCACAGTACCCGGCCAAAATGTTGTAGTCTTAAAATGATTGTATGTTAAATCTGGATATTTATTAATTTCTTGATCTATTTTATAAAATAGTGGGTAGTTTATTTGGTTTTTCCTGTTATGTATCTGGTATGATTTTCATTGATTTCTGCTCTTGCCTTTATCATCGTCTTTCTTCTTTTATTTGGATTTAATAAGCTCTTTGTTTTTGTTTACCCTAGCTGTTTAAGATAGAATAGTTGCTTTCAACTTTGATTTCAACTTTTCATTCGTATGCATTTAAACTACACATTTTTCTCTAAGCACTGCTGGGGTTATATCTTCCATGTTTTGTTATGCTGGGTTCTCATTTTCATGCCATTTAGAATGTTTTTTTTTATTGTGAATTTTTTTCTTTGCACTTATATATTATTGATAGTGGTTTGTTAAGATTCAGTTCTGGGGACTTTACATATATATTTCTGTCATCCCTTTCTAATTTAATTACATCTTTGTCAGATAAGTTAGAATGATTTATGTCATTTAAAATTAATTTAGATTTATTTATGGCCTAGCATATGACATATTTTGATCAAAATTCCATACGCATTTCAAATATAAACACTGGTTTTGGATATAGTATTTCTAAATATTAATTATTTCAACCTTGTTGCTAATATTGTGTAAGACTTCTGTGTCCTCATTGTTTTTTTACTTGTTCTCTCAGTAACTGAGGGAAGTGTTGAAATCTCCAACGATACTATGAAATTTACTTAATTTTTTTTTTCAGATTTTCTTTCATGTAACTTGAACTTCTTTATCAGGATATTTAAGAATTTATGATTCCTAAGTTAATTAACCACTTTGTAATTTTCAAATGTCTCTCCTTATTCAAGTGAAATCTTGTAGCCCCTCAAGCAGTCATAATGCCTTCCATTTATTGGTTTTATCTTACTTTATTTTTTCCTTTTAACTCATCTAATTTAAGTTGAATGTAGTCAGTTATATTTCAGCAGAATTTGAGTCTTCACAAACAAGTATGATTAAAGGATAAGTGTTAACAGGAATTGAGGTTATTTCAGGGAAATGACTACAATGCCGGAAACTTGAACCCTTGAAATAATTCAAGTTAGAATGTTAAACATAAGCAGTAAGCAGCAGAATCAATGAGCAGTTTGTTTTGCTACAGTTGTAAATATTTAGGACTAAGAGATTAAAATAGGTAAACCTTAAAATCAGGATGTGGTCCTCACCTTGGGGTGCTTGCCATCACAGTTTTGAAAATCATGTAATTATTAGCTATGTCAAGAACTAGGATAGGACCTTGAGAAGAACTGATATCTAGCCAGTACCAGTAATGAGGCTTATCAAGTAATATCCAGTCTGATTGTTCTTTGCTACCAATATAGCTTTAAAGAGTGAATATACCAAAATATTATTGAAAGTGAAACAATCTCAATGTTGTGTGAATTAACTATGTGGACATGGACACTATAATATTCATGACATGGATTTAGAGGAAAAAAAATCAGTGATCTAGATACTAAAATATTTAATGAATCAGGAGACATGATGAGTGTTTAGTACATAATTAAAGTAGGATATAGTTGGTTATATAAAGTGATGGTTTGTATTTCAAAGGAGCCATATATTTACAGGGGATGAAGAACAATGTTCTACAAGTGCCAACTAGTTAAATATTAAATATTAAAATGCCTATTTTATTTTGGAACTAGAGAAAGCATGTAATAATCACAGAAATAACGAAACTAACATTTAATTGAGCTCTATAGGACATATCATTATTAGAAAATTAGGTTCAAGTGATTTCATGAAAGCAATAGAAGCATTCAAAAAAAGGTAGATAGAATAGGGAACTATGTGGATGACAGATTCTAAACTCTATGGCAAGAATAAGCAATGATATCAAATTAGATGTATAGACATTAAAGGAAAATGATATGGGTGATGAAGAAGGGTATAAACATTTTGTTTACATGTAAACAAATTAACTATATAATATGGTTTTTCATGATGTCTTCTTGTAAAACATTGTCCATCAGTTACTATAAAATCTTTAGGATTAGTCACAGGTAGAGATGAGTATAGGAGTACTATGGCAGCATCCAAGACCACACAGAGTTCTGCATAAAATCTTAGTACAAAAGAAGGAGTGCTAAAGAGGTTCTGTTTAAATACAACAGTATTTGAAGATCAACTTATAAAATAATTAACTCATCTTATTGCAAAACATTGCTTTGTAATATTTGCCATGATGCCAATTGTGTGTTATCACAAATGCAGATAGAATGTTTTGAATGTTAGCCATTAAGAAAGAATAATTGGAAGAAAAAAGAAAAGCACAAATATTATTAAATAAACTGAAGTTTGGATTTTAGAGGAAAATGAAGCTTTTCATCAGGATATTTATTAGAATTATACTCTATTATCACTTTTGAAAACATACACATTTTTAAAGATTTGTTATAGTTAATCTTTTAAATATCCTCTTTATACTATGAATTAAATATATTAACCTATATTTACTTTTCTCTTTTCACGTACTGTTTTATGACATTATTTAGGAACGGAACATATGTGTGTATGTATGTCTGCGTGCATGTGTGTATATATTTATAAACATATATGTGTATTTGTATATATATACTTTGCATCTAATTTTATGAACCATTTTTTCTTACATAATGTCTTATGAGATGTGTGTACTCAAGATAATTTACACAGTTACTTTGTATTTTATTGTTTCCAATTTACATTGACTTTTTCATATATTTAATGTGTTTAAAAAGAAAATAAAATTGATTGATGAGCAGATAGACAGAAAATCTTAACCATGTAGTTATCAAACCTAACCTGCAAAGAAATAAAAAGAAATAATTATTGTATAAAGCAACAGTATTGCAAAGCATAACTCAATACATTTGAAATTTATTATTTATTCCAAAGATATTTTATTAATTGGTAGTATAGGCCAGATACTGTTATAAGCTAGGGGATATATCCTGCTCTCATAACACTTATATTCTAGAACAGGAAGAATCATTCATTAAACAAACAAGCAAACATACATGCAATATATCAATATATAATATTTAAATTATCAATGTGTTTTCTATCTAAAAATCATTTTTTATTATTGAGAAATCTAAATGTTATGCAGACTATATACACATGTGTATACACACACATATGTATATATAAATGCATATTTAAAGCATTTCTATGATGTATTTCTATATATGATTTTACTGGTCCATATGTTGTATGATCTATACATAATTTTATTTAAATGAAACATTGTTACAGACAAAAATGAACAAATAGAAAAAATTAAATTTCTATTAGGTGTCATGAATGCCATTTGAATATTTTTCTTTAATACTTCTGCCCATCGTGAGATTCAGCACTTAGTTTTGAGCTGCTTTTTAAGAACTCAATAATTGATGTTGATAACAGTTTCAGTGTATTTGGAAGCCAATATTTTGGAGAGGGTTTCAGACACAATAGGAAGAGTGAAAATGGCATGAGTGAAAAGAAAATGTGCTTTAGTTGTGTTTCGCTTAAAATTATTCAAAACCGAGACAGTGATGGCAAAGTGATGTGGAGACAATCATTAGCCTTATTAACTTGTTAGAAATTTTACAGTGCATAAATGTAGGGAAGGTACATGAAAGAGAAAAATGATGACTCAAAGAGTTAGGGAATTGTAGGAGTTATTTTATTTATCTATTTGTTATTATTTTTAATTAACAAATAATAATTTTATACATTTATGGGGTACAATGTGATGTTTTATATATGTATACACTGTAGAAAGATTAAATCAAGATAATTAATATATTTGGCACCTAGCCATTTAAAACGGCCTCCTTTAGCAATTTTGTAATATACAATGCATTATTATTAAATCTGGTAACCATGCTGTGCAATAGATCACTAAAACTTATTCTTTCTGTCTAACTAAAACTTTGTAGCCTTTGGCCAACAACTCCTCATTCTACACGCCTAGCCCCACAGCCTCTAGTAACCACCATTTTACTCTCTCCTGTGAGTTAAACTTTTTTAGATTCCTCATATAAATGAGATAGTGTAATATTTGTCTTTTTGTGCCTAGCTTATTTCACTTAGCAAAATGCCTTCCAGGTTCATCCATGTTGTCACAAATGACTGAATTTTCATCCTTTTAAAGGCTGTTATATATATATATATACATATATATGTATATATATATATCAGATATATATTTTTTATATATATATACACCAGATATATATATTACATATGTGTATATATATATCCACCAATAGAGTTCCAGTGTTCCTTTTTCTCCACATCCTCATTTATACTTGTCTGTCTTATTTGATAATTGTCATTCTAACAGATATGACATGATATATCGTTGGGGTTTTAATAGGCATTTCCCTAATGATTAAAGATGTTGATTTTTTTCATATATCTGTTCTTCTCCATTTGTATTCCTTCTTTTGAGAAACGTCTGTTTAGATTTTTGCCCATTTTTTAACCAGGTTATTGGTTTCCTTGCCATATAGATTATACACACACACACACACACACACACATATACATACATGTGCATATACACACACATACATATACATATCTAATATTTTATTTATCCATTCATTCGTTGATGGACACTTAGCTTGCTTCCACATCTTAGTTATTATAAATAATGCTGAAATAATGCAAATGCTGATATCTTTTGGATATATATCCAGAAGTGGATATATATGCTTGATTATATGGTAGTTCTATTTTTAGTTTTTTGACAAGCCTCCATACCATTTTCCAAAATGTCTGTATTAATTTATATTTCCACCAACAGAGTTCCAGTGTTCCTTTTTCTCCACATCCTAATTTATAATTGTCTGTCTTATTTGATAATTGCCATTCTAACAGATATGACATGATATGTCATCGGGGTTTTAATAGGCATTTCCGTAATGATTAAAGATGTTGATATTTTTCATATGTCTGTTCTCCATTTGTATTCCTTCTTTTGAGAAATGTCTGTTTAGATTATTTGCCCATTTTTTAACCAGGTTATTGGTTTCCTTGCCGTTGAGTTGTTTGTGTTCCTTCTATATTTTGGACACTAGCCTCTTATCAGATATATGGTATAGAAATATTTTCTCCCGATCTATGAGTGTTTTTCTCACACTGTTAAACGTTTCCTTACATGGCAGAAGTTAGTTTGATGCAATCCAGTTTGTTTATTTTTGTTTTCTTACCTGTGCTTTTGGGGTCCTATCCAAGAAATCACTGCTCAGACCAATGTTGTGGAGTTTTCCTATGCTTTCTTCTTGCAGTTTTACAGTTTGAGGTCTTAAGTTTATCTCTGATCGATTTTGAATTGATTTTTGTACATGGTGTAAGTTAGGATCTAAATGGTGTAAGTTTGATACATGGTGTAAATTTGGATCCTTTCAATTTTTTGTAATGGATCCAAATTTTGGATCCATTACAATAAATTACAGTTTTGTAATTTTTACTCACTGCATGTTCCTCATTGCATGTTCTTGGTACTTTTGTAGAAAATCAATTTATTGTAAATGCATGGGTTAATTCATGGCTTTCTAGTCTGTTTCCTTGGTTGTGATGTCTGCTTTTATGCCAGTGCCATTTTATTTTGACTACAACAGCTTTGTAATAATATATTTTTACATTAGGGAGAATGATGCCTTCAATTTTGTTCTTTCTGGTCAAGATGGCTTTGACTATTCAGAAGTTTTTGTGATTTTATACATGTTTTGAATTGATTCATTCTATTACTGTGGAAAATAATATTGGAATTTTTATAGAAATTGCATTGCATCAGTAGACTGCTTTGAACAATATAGACATTTTAACAATATTAATTCTTCCAATCCATGAACACAGGATATATTTGTGTTTATTTGTGACTTATTTAATTTCTTTCATCATTGTTTTATAGTTTCAGTATGTAAATCTTTCACCTCCTTGGTTGAATTTACTCCTAACTACTTTATTTTATTCTTATATGCTATTGTAAATATTTTTTCAAATTGTTTATTGTTAATGTATCTCTCCTGATTTTAATATATTGATTTTGTATCCTGCAACTTTACCAAATTCATTTGTCAGTTCTAATAATTTATTTTTGATGGAATTTCTTAGGGTTTTCTTTGTATAAGATCATATCATCAAACAATTTCACTTCTTCCTTTCCTTTTTGGATACTTTTTGTTTTCTTTTTCTTGCCTCATTTCTTTGTTTGGAACATCTGGTACTACATTTAATGGAAGTGGCAAGATTGGGCACAATTGTCTTGTTATTTATCTTAGGGGAAAAGCTTTCAACTTTTCACTACTGAGTATGAAGTCAACTTTGAGCTCGTTATATAGATGATCTTTATTGCGTCAAAGTGAAATTTCTATACCTAATTTGCTTGAGGGTTGTATCATGAGAGAATGATGAATTTTTATCAAATGCTTCTTTCTGCATCTGTTCAGATGATCAAAAATAATTTGTTAACTATTACAGAGGTATCAGGTACACAAGTGGAAAATTTGGAATAAGAATATTTAATAATAACCTTTAGCATGCTAAATTTAATAATCACTCCTCAATCTTTAACCAAAATGGTAATCAAACCGCAATCAATGGCTTTTTGTTAGCATATGTGATGATTCCTTCTTTGATAAATATTATTTGTTTGGATTTTAGGATTTTAATATATTTTTCTTTCTTTTTCAATAACTATATTATCCTCCTTAATCGCTTTAGCTAAATGTTCCTTCTTTCCCAGGTGTGTTAGAATCTGTGTGGAGTAATCTGTTTATAATTACTGCCTAGGAGGTCTCATTCAGTTTCACAAGTTTAAATACACCTTTAGTTCTTGCCTCTCAGGTTCATATCTCCTGCTCAGATATCACCCAGTCTCCATTATTATGTATTCAATTGTTTAAACAACAACTCCACCTGATATTTTAATAAGCAAATAACATAATATATCCATAGATTAACTTCTCATATTTCCTCCCAAACTTTCTCTGGCTGTTCCCTTTTGATTTTCAGTAAATTGAAAGTTCATGATTTCTTTTTTTTTATTTTTTATTTTCTCAGGGCAACAAACACAAAGCAAACAAATAAAAAAAAGGAAACAGCAAGAACAACAGAAAGAAAAAAGTTGAATTCTTCAAACTACCTAATTTTGATTTTTCTATATCCAACCCAACCTTGTTAATTTTATCTTAAAATATCTTCAATCTATGAACTCTTATAACCACCATCACCATCTGTCACAGAGATTGTTGGAATTGCTTTCAAAAATCTCTATGTGACTTCTCATCTTTTCCCCAATAAAGGTCTCAATTTCAACAAAGAGATGTTTTAATGCAAAGCTTTACTTAAGCATGATGAATAAATCCTGAAAATCTAATGTAGAGCATGGTGGCTATAGTTAATAACAGTAAATTATATACTTGGAATTTACTAAGAGTAGACCTTAAATGTTCTCACCACACACACAGAAAAAGGTAACTGTGTGAGGTGGCAGACATGTCAATTAGTTTGATTGTGGTAACCAGTTCAAAATACATACATGTATAAAAACATGATGTTGTACACCTTAAATATATATATTTATATTTGTCTTTTTTTGGTTAAATATACCTCAATAAAGGTGGAGGAAAATTAAAAAAGAATAAAAATTAGGTCCAGATACCCTCTGTTCAAAACCCATATTAATTTCTAATTTTACTCCAAATAAAATTCGAAGGTCTTATAATCACTGACAAAGCCCTGCATAATCTGGCCCCTGTTTTCATTTGACTCACCTCTGACTAGTTTCTTCTTGCTCACACCTCTTAATTGAACTGGCTTCTTTCTCATTGTTGAACACTTACCTGAGTCAATGCCCTTGAATTGGCTATTCATATTCACAGAATTATCCCTTCACATGTTGCTTCAAATAGTGAGACCTTTTCTGAACAATCACTGTTAAAATAATAATGTATCCACTTCCCAATTCAGCAAATCATATTCTCCTTCTTTATTACCTCCCTAATTGATAATATCAAGGTGCCAAGAAATAGTTAAGGATAAAATACAAGATACTGACAAAGAAAAAAAAATGCAGCTTATGAAAGCAAATGGCAACAAGTAAACGAAAATTCATTAAGACTTTAAGGAAGTTCCACTGCCACTGCAACCACCTGCCTGAATTAAAATCGTTCATGACCCTGAGACAGATAACTTTGGGCTCGCTGGATTTTAATGTAGAAACTATGATAAGCAACACACATGTATCCCAAGTTGGAAATATCCCCAAATCCCTAATTCAGATGTTACCAAATGGAAAATGATAGCCACTCTAAAGGAAGAACTCGGACTGATGCTGTGCAATAAGCAAGAAGCAGTGTCAGTGCCAAAGAATATTCCCCACTCCCAGGATAGGAGACCTCAAAATGTATATTAAACAGAATTTTACCATTACTAGAAATCCATGTTTGTTTTTTGTCTTCTATTCTTTGCTCTTCTGAAATAGGGTTTTTATTGCTGTTATTTTTTGCCCATGCTTCTTTATTAATAGTATTTCATTATGACAACTCATATTTTAAGTCCATAGATCTATGACCAAGAGAACCACAATTTGAAATCATGTATTGTGTATTATCACTAGTTAAAGACAATTAGAAAAGCAAACAAATGTGATTCATGTACAGATCCTGAACCACAGATTCAAGGCTCAATGTCCAAAATGGACAGGACTTTGAGTTGTCTCTCTGAAAATATTATATGTGTATTTTGCATCAGAAAATAATAATAAATTAAATATTTGGTGACTAGAGTGGTAGTTTCCAATAGTCATTGTAACTATTAAAAATGTGATTCTATTCTTTTCCCAGAAAAAGTAAAATTTTACATTTTGATCAAATTTAAACTTGGACATACTAGCATAAATCAATGAAATATGAACTAAATTAATATATGTCACTCCTACATAGAAACTTTAATATTAAATAGCTAAACAGAATTCTCAACACTGTCTTCCCCTTGATGAGGTGATTGCGGAAGCAAATAATAAATGATTTCCTAATGATTACCTAAGTGGCTAGAATGAGCAGCGCTCTTCAGAAGAGCCAAGCTGAATGTCTAGCTACGACCAGAAATAAACTGGTGTTGCATTAAGCCACTGGCATTTGGAATTTGGCTAGCAGTATCAATATAGCCTATCCTATTTTGACTGATACACTAATATATCATGATAGATGCTCATTTATTTTGTTTATTTGCTGTCTAAGCCTAAGAATGTATATTTCATGAAGTAATCGATATTTATCTATAGATTTGGGAGAAGTTACATTAAATTGCTTCTGTTTGAACAGTAAAAATAAACGGATCTTTACTAAAGGGGTCCAATCAAACTTGGTAGTTGCATGAATTAATGAATAAAATGAAGAAATAAATATGTACCCTCATTCCTGATAGTGCAAAATATCTATGTTAGTCATACAAAGGTGAGAGTATAAAAATGTTTGAAAATGATAAAACTAAATATTGGAAGACAATATAAACATATGATTTTGTGCTTAAATAGTCCACTTTTATTTTAAGCTTGTGATTTAAACATAGGCTATCAAAATTTGTGTTTGCTAGGGTTATTTCTCAAAATAAAATAAATTTAGATTTTTTTGGCAAATAATGATCTAGTAACATAAATACATTCACCTAATTCATTTCTTAAGGCTCATAACATCATTCATTTTCTCTGAGGGACAGAGTGGTTTTTATTAATGGAGCAACATCTGTTCTTTCAGAAGTAAATGAGTTCCCTGAAGGACAATTAATAAAAAATACTGCCAATAAACACAGCTGGTAAATTGTTAATAAAAACACAACAAATTAAGGAGAAAATAACTGTGGATTCAATAAGTATGAAGAGAGTAAAATATATAAATAAATAATTTTGTTATGAAGTCAATTAAACTGGAGTTTTAAATTCTTAACATACATGTAATTTACTTCTCACTAGTAGCACTTTGATTATTGAAACCAGAAATATTCAGTATCATTATATAATTGCACAATGTAAATTGTTGGATTCAATAAACTAAATATAGATGGAGTGTAAAACTGCTATATTAAAAATGATGTTTTACTGCATATGAAGTAGCATAGAGAATGATTAACCAACCAGACAAAAACCACTTACCAAATTTATCTATCTCTTTGTTTACTTATTTGCTCTCTATCAATCCATATGAACAATTATGAACATTGGAAGAGAAAAATGAATGTTACTATATTATGTTTGAAAGGCCTTAACTGTTAGGCTAAAATATTAGAACTAATATGCTAGCCTACTAAAGTAAAGAAAGTAAAACAATTATGAAAGTGCTAGAGGAAAATTATTTGCAGCACTATATAGGAAAAACTTGATAAAGTGGAAGTGTAGAAAGAACTGAGACCAAGTGTTTTACTGAACTTGAAATTTTACTTTTAGCATTATTACAGTAACTTTACAGCAGTGTTTTTTAACCTCAGCACACTTAACATCTAGACCAGATAATTATTTATGTGCCAAAAAAGGTATCTCTTGTACATCGTCAAATGTTCCCTGAAGGCATTGGGTGAGGGAGGTCCGTGCAAAATCGTCCATAGTTTCAAACACTGTATTAAAGTGAAAAATTCTTTGATATATGTACTAATACAATTTCAAGATTCCAATTTTCAAGGACATACATCTAAGGAGGAAAAGCCTCCTTTCAACCCATGTTTTCACTCATAATATATCTTTAATGCTACTGCTTCTTGCTTCTAAAAATTTCACACTAGAGTAAATTTATTCTCTTGTGTTCCCATGTTAATTTGTTTTGTTTGGTGCAGAAATTCATTGTAAGTCTTACATTTAGTTATTTATATGCCAACTTTTGAAAGATAAGGCTTTTGTTATGTTCATCTGCTTCACAGTAGTACTTATCACAGTGTCTGGATATAATAAGCAACAAATATACACAATTGCTGCACTGAAAAATCATAGAAATTTATAAAAATGGAAGATCATGTTTTCTATTTTGTCCCATTGATAAGTTCACTGATGGTCAGATAAGTTGAGTAATTTTTCTGATTATGCATACCTGGTTGCTGAGACAACAATATATAGGGCAATGTCTCTACTTGCATTTCAAAACAGAAATGTCTTACTCAATTCTTCTGTCGTTTTTCATCCTTCTCTTTCAAATAAGAATGTTGTGTTTGTTTCCTAAGCATATATGAAATCCATCTATCCATTTCTCCTAATTATCAAAGACAGTATTATCCTCTCCCACCCAGATTACTGTTGGCACATCTTGGTGGGAGTTCTTGCCTCCAGATTTTTTTTCTTTGCTCCTTGTTGCATCTAATTGGTCATTGACTTTCTTGAAATCCTTTATGGGCTTTCATCGACTCTAGGATAAAGTGAAAACTCTTTTATGTAACTTATAATGAACGAATTTATTTGTCTGTCTGTACAGTTCACATTTGCCATTTCCCATCTGACATTCTATGTTTGATTTTTTTAAATCTTATTTTTTGTGTCTTCAGGATTACATATAACCAATACCTTCTTCTTGAACTACCTACACCCTTTCTGACCACGGCTTCTTCTAGACAACTCCTGTTCACTTCATGTCCTCAACATAGACACCGGTTTCTGAAGAAAGCTTTCCCTGACAGACTCCTACCAGGCCAGCTGGCATTGCTCTCTATTTCATGTTTTATAACACTTGACATGCTGTGAAATTTATTGTTTGTCAATCTCTTTGCACCATAAACTCAGAGGGCAGAGCCTATGTCTTTTATACAGTCTCCCAGCACGGCTCAATTTTATTTGACTTCTAAATAAATAACATTTACTGATAGCAATAAACAATCACTTGCCATTTGTCACACACTAGGCTAAGTGATTTTCATTCATTTTCTCACAAAGAAATTAATGTTTAAAAAGCATAAGTAACTTTTCCAAGACACAGAATTAGTAAGTGGGAAAGGATAAACATAAACAAAGGATCACTGGTCCATCCTTCATGCATCTTATCACTATAACAGTTCTGAAATAACTATAAACCCAGGAAGGAATTTATTTTCATTTGAATAAAATTCTTTTGAAGTTGTTTTTCCCTGACAAGAGCTTTAATTTCTTCTAAATAGTACTTTTATAAACTATCCAATTTCATCATTTTACCACTCTATTCAATAAATATAATCAAGTGATACTGATGTTTTTTGTCTTCCATCTTTTGACATGTAATTTTTACCAAATAGTAAACTATATTTCCCTCCATTTCTGTTAATATAGCACTAAAAAGAATAATTTTCTATGTTTATTATATCCTCTGAATAAATATATTCTTGAAATTTTTTTTTTTTTTTGGAGACGGAGTCTTGCTCTGTCACCCACGCTGGAGTGCAGTGGCACGATCTCGGCTCACTGCAAACTCCGCCTCTCGGGTTCACGCCATTCTCCTGCCTCAGCCTCCCCAACAGCTGGGACTACAGCGCCCGCCACCACGCCCGGCTAATTTTTCTGTATTTTTAGTAGAGACGGGGTTTCACCATGTTAGCCAGGATGGGCTCGATCTCCTGACCTCGTGATCTGCCCGCCTTGGCCTCCCAAAGTTCTGGGATTACAGGCGTTAGCCACTGCGCCCGACCTGAAATGTTTTTCTAGTACCATTCTTCTGGTTCAAATCACAAATTTATAAAATGCAAATCAAATTATTGACTTCCTACCATTTTCTGTGTATAGTCAAAGTGACATCATTAAATTCTCTAAATACAGACAAAATTTGAACTCACACAGATCATTGTCTTATGTTATTAGCATTTTATTTTTAAGACTCTACCATTTTATTGATATATACTTCTTTAGCAAATCTGAAACCAGCCTAATTTCTTCACAGAACTAGTATTTACTGGTTTTTTATACACATAGAAATTAGCCCTCCTAGTCTTAAAATTTGAAACTTAACGTTTGTCTTATCTGAATTCTTTCACAGAAAGCCAAGCCTCAGGCAAGAGACTGAAAATTACTAGATCACCACATCCAGACAATGAAATCCCAGAACTCTCATTCCTTATGATTCCTTCCTTACCTCTCCCCAATTCCTATTTTCCTTCATTTAGTTATATTTCTTCCCAGCTATATAAACCCTCATTTTTAGCTGGGACAACAGAGCATTTTGTGACTTATCTCCCTTTCTCTTCAGCTTCAGCACCTGAATAAAGACTTCTTCCATGGCAATATTGGTTGTCTAAATGATTGGCCTTCTGTGTGGTGAGCAAGGGGTCCAAACTGACCCTCTGGCATTTTGTTTAACAGATCTGTTCCTTTAGATTGTCTCTTTATCTAAAAGTCTTGAAATTTGCTTTTCAAACTCTCAATTACAAACATCTCTGCCCTCATCATTCTCTTTCTTGAGCAAAGTACTCACTTGCTCACTTTCTCAAAAGTTCTTACCACAGGCATGTCCCAAACAATTGGCCTTTTTTGGTCAGAAGTTACAAGAGTGACCATATCATTTGGAATATGTGACTTCTTGAATTCCCACATCTTCTTTACATCATTTTTTGTGACTTTCAATTTTAATCACCAAAGAACCAGATGACAACTAGGATCACATTGGCATTTTTATATTAAGATTTCAAGAGGTTTTTATGTACAACTTTTATCATACAACTTCATGCATAGAAGTAGAATACCTATTGCTCTCATGTTTCTATATTTTTATCTTTTTCTTCAAATTTGGAAGTGTTTTTATATGGATTTTTGCATTTATGCATTTAGCATATAATTTGTCATCAAAGATATTTCTTTTTTTCACTAATCTAGAAAATTACTTTAATGCACATATTAACATAAAGCCAGTTAAGCAATATAAGCATATTTCAGCAATTAAAAATAAATCTGTGAATTTCTCCTTTTTGATATAATAATAATACATAAGTTTTTTATAGTAAAATCATAATTATGACTTCATTATTGTTATACCAGTAAAATGAAGTTTTAATTAATAAAAAATTGAAAATGGGAAAAACAAATCACTTATTCTAGGCTTACTTTAGTCTTCATTGAGAAAAATTAAGTGTTTGTATAAAAATACATCTTTATCTTTGTTTTTGGAGCAAGAAGGACTCTCATTTATTGGTAGCGGGAATGCAACATGGTACAAACACTTTGGAAGATAGTTTAGCAGTTTCTTTTATTTATTTATTTCATTTATATATTTTTTCCTGTACATGAATAAGTTCTTTAGTGGAGATTTTTAAAATTTGGTACACCCATCATCTGAGCAGTGTACACAGTACCCCATGTGTAGTGTTTTATTCCTCACCCCACCCCTTTTCCCCTGAGTTCCCAAAGTTCTTTGTATCGTTCTTATGCCTTTGTATCTTCACAGTTTAGCTACCACTTATGAGTGAGAACATACGATGCTTGATTTCTAATCCTAAGTTACTTCACTTAGAATAATGGTCTCCAATTTCATCCTGGCTGCTGCAAATGCCATTATTTTGTTCCTTTTTATGGCTGAGTAATATTCCATTAGATATATATCTATATATATATATCTCTCACATTTTCTATATGTACTTGTTGATTGATGGGCATTTGGACTGGTTCCTTATCTTTGCACTTGAGAAATGAGATAGCAACACTATAATACTGGGGGACTTCAATACTTTACTGAAAGTACTAGACAGGTCATCAAGACAGAAAGTCCAAAAGTGGGCTAATGACATGAATAGAAAATTCAAAAAGAAGATATACAAATGGCCAACAAATATATGAAAAATTCTCAACATCACTACTGATCAGGGAAATGCAAATCAAAACCACAATGCAATACCTCCTTACTCCTGCAAGAATGACCATAATAAAAAATAAATAGATGTCGGTGTGGATGTGGTGAAAAGAAAACACTTTTACACTGTTGGTGGGAATGTAAACTAGCAAAACAACTGTGGAAAACAGTGTGAAGATTCCTTAAAGAAGTAAAAGTAGATCTACCATTTGATCCAGCAATCTCACTCCTGGAATTTCCCAGAGGAAAATAAGTCATTATATGAAAAAGATACTTTCACACGTGTGTTTATAGCAGCAAAATTCTCAAGTTTTATGAATTTGGGAGCTCCAGTACTAGGTGCATATATACTTAGAATTGTCATATTTTCCTGTTGGACAAGTCTTTTTATCACCCTATAACGTCCCCTTTTGTCTTTTTAATGGCTGTTGCTTTAAAGTTTGTTTTGTCTGACATAAGAACAGCTATTCCTGCTTGGTTCTGGTGTCCGTTTGCATGAAATATCTTTTTCTACCCCTTTACCTTAAGTTTATGTGAGCGCTTATGTGTCAGTAAGTCTCTTGAAGACAGCAGATACTTGGTTGGTAAATTTTTATCCATTCTGCCATTCTGCATCTTTTAAATAGAGCATTTAGGCCATTTATGTTAAATGTTAGTATTGAGAATGTGAGGTACTATTCTATTCACCATGCTATTTCTTGCCTAAATACCTTTTATTATTGTGTTATTGTTTTACAGGTCTTGTGAGATTTATCCTTTAAGGAGATTCTATTTTGCTATATTTTGAGGATTTGTTTCAAGATTTAGAGCTTCTTTTAGCAGTTCCTGCAGTGCTAGCTTGGTAGTGGCAAATTCTCTCAGCATTGTCTGAAAAAGACAAAGAAAATCTGCTAAGAAATCCACTGTAAATCTGGTAGGTTTTCCTTTATAGGTTATCTGATGCTTTTGCCTCACAGCTTTTAAGATTCTCCTCTTCATCTTGATTTTAGAGAACCTGATGACTCTGTGGCAAGATGATGATCTTTTTGTGATGCATTTCCCATATGTTCTTTGAGATTTCTTGTACTCAGATGTCTAGATCTCTAGCAAGACTGGGGAAGTTTATTTGATTAGTCCCTCAGATATGTTCTCCAAGCTTTTAGATATCTCTTCTTCCACAGAAACACCAATTATTCTTAGATTTGGTCATTTAACATAATCCCAAACTTCTTGGAGGCTTTGTTCATTTTTTTTTCAATTCTTTTTTGTCTTTGTTAGATTGGGTTAATTCAAAGCCTTATATTTGAACTCTGAAGTTCTTCCTTCTACTTGTTCAGTTCAATTGCTGATGCTTTCCAGCACATTTTGCATTTCTCTAAGTGTGTCCTTCATTTCCAGAAATTGTGATTTTTATTTATGCTATCTATTTCACTGGAGATTTTTCCATTCATATCGTGTCATTTTTTTTTAAATTTCTTTAAGCTGGACTTCACCTTTCTCTGGCACCTCCTTTATTAGGTTAATAATCAACCTTCTGAATTCTTTTTCTGGCAATTCAGACAGTTTTACCTTGGTTTTGATCTATTGCTGGTGAAATAGTGTGATCTTTTGAGAGCATTAAAGAACCTTATTTTGTCATATTACCAGACTTGTTTTTCTGGTTCCTCTCATTTGGGTAGACTGTGTCAGCAGGAAGATCTGGGGCTCAAGGACTGCTGTTCAGACTCTTGTCCAACATTGTGTTCCCTTGATTTGGTACTCTCCTCTTCCCCTAGAGATGGGGCTTTCTGAGATCCGAACTGCAGTGATTTTTACTTCTCTTCTGGATCGAGACACCCAGCAGAGTTACTGGGCTTCAGGCCAGCACTGAGGAGTGTCTGCAAAGAGTCCTGTAATGTGATCCATCTTCAGGTCTCTCAGCAGTGGATACCAACACCTGCCCTGGTGGAGGTAGCAGGGGAGTGATTTGGACTCTCTGAGGGACCTTGGTTATATTTTTGATAAGTACACTGGTTTTGTGTTGGTTTGCCTCCAGCCAGGAGGTGGCACTTTAAAGAACATATAAGCTACAGTAGTATGGGGGGATACAAGCTTGCCCTATGGTCAGGTGGTGGATGGGGCGATAGAGCTCCCAAGAGGTTATGTCCTTTATCTTTGGCTACCAGGGCAGGTAGAGAAGAATCATCAGGTGGAGGCAGGGTTAAGCGTGCCTGAGCTCAGACTCTCCTTGGATAAGGCTTGCTGCGACTGCTGCAGGGGATGGAGATATGGGCCCCAAGCCAATGGAATTATGTTCCCAGGGGCATTAAAGCTTCATCTGCTGTATCACACAGGTCTTCAGGGAAGAAGGGGAAAGCTGGAAGCCATCGACCTTTCCACACAGCCCAAAAGGCTGGTCTCACTCCCAGCGTGCCCCTCACTCAATAGCACTGAGTTTATTTCCAGGTAGCAGGTAAGCAGAGCTGAGAACTTTCCCCAGGCTACAAGCCTCCCAGCTGAGAAAGCAAGCTGATGCATAGCTCCTTGGCTTTCCCACAGAGCCTATAGTGGCAATCCTCCTTCAAAGGGTCTGTGGGTCTTCTCAGATTTCCTGGTATGTACATGTGGTAGTTCTTAAAGCAAAAGTTCATAATGTGAGTCTCCACCTGCTGCTCTGTCCATCCGAGTAAGAGCTGCAAGTTAGTCCTGCCACCTATCTGCCATTTTTACCTCTCTGTCATTAAAGCTATTTCTAAGTATTTCCCTTTATTATCTGAAATTCCATTAGCACACTCTCTTGATCACATTTGTTAGTTTATTTCCATTCATATTCTTATATATATGATTAGGAACAAAATATATATCATATGCCCATCTCCCTAGTATTTATTATTTTAATGCTCTGTGTCATGATCCAGCAAAAACAAAATATTATTTTTATACAATTAATGCACAATTAACTGTTCACATTCTACACCTTGTATTTAATGAAATAATAATTGCTAGCTCTGAGAAAAGAGAAGACATTTAACCTCAAATATTTCAGCTTTTTGCAATAAAATCCTAGGAATTGTAGTTATATTACAGGTTTCTTGTGACTACATAAGTCATTCCTAGAAACTTCAGTTTATCAGTTACAAAGATTTTTACTAAAATTAGTAAAAGACACAATTTAAAAGGGCTTAAATTAAGAATGTATTTGTTATTTCACATGAGAAGGGATCTAGAGATTGGGTGATTCCAGAAATGATTTCCAACATATGGAAAGCAGCAGCCAAACTCAATATGCCTTCTTTGGTATATAGAATTAAACCCAGAATTTACTAATCCTGGCCACAGATAGGTGCTTTCATAGATTTCACATTCCTAGACAATTTCATCCAAAGATAGGAGGGGGTATTATAATTGTATATTTTGTGTTTTTTTAAATCAACTTACTGAAATTATTCTTAGGTAAATACTTATTCATAAGCAGAAAGGGTTGCTCCACTTTCTGTATTAAGAGGAGACAGGCACTATGAGTGAGAAAGACACGAGTCTAGCTGTTCAATAGGCAACCAATAACATTATTTTTCATAGTCTCTTTATAATTTCTTTGAAACATACTCTAGAAAGGTAGCATATATCCCAACAGAAAATGATTGCAACATATATGTGCATTAACAGAGAGTCACCAATTAATTATTGCAAGCATTATTTATTTTGCCTGTAACATTGCACTTGAATTTTGGCTGAAATTTTAATTTTTTCTCTTTCAATTGTTCTTAAACTTTTGTGTGATCTTAGTATACTTTATGTTATTTATTAAATTTATTACTTGAAGAAAAAAGTGCCTGTAAATATTAACAGAAAATTTCACACACCATTTGAGATAATTGGTTCTACTGTTGAATCTCATCTGTTTATCCTTGGATGTCAATTTAATATGTATCTTCCATGGAGGCAATGATGTAGTTTGTAAATACCTCAGAACACACTCTATAATATAATTCCACAGGCTGTGTTTACTATTCAGTATGCTCAAGGTTTTGGAATTCATCTTAACCTGTGCTTCTGGTTGCCTTGCACAATGACTTTCAAACCTTTCTGTGCTAGATTCTTCTGCTAGTACTCCGCTTCCTTCCTTACTTCCTTCTATGCTCCAACTGTCCTCTCCCATATCTCATGGGCCTAAAAATAAAACGTGTCATTTTCCAGACATCTTTGGATCAAGGAAACAGCTTTTCTGTAGGTTCCTGTAATGAAAAATACTTACATTATTTTGTAAGGTAGAAATAGCAAAAAATAAAATAAAAATGATACCACGCTAAAATGTTGATGTACATGAATGTTTGAAGCAAGCCAGCCTTACATTGCACTATTCACTTACAAGGTTCAAGAGCAAAGAGTTGCTATGGCAGAAACAGTAAGGTAATGGGATGTGGCAGCTGTTTATTTTTTAATTTTTATTTTCATGGATTTAAGAGGTACAAGTGTCATTTTGTTCCATGGATATATTGTGTAATGGTGAAGTCTGGGCTTCTAGTATAGCCATTGCCCAAATAATGCACATTGTACCTGTTAAGTAATTTATCATCCCTCCTCACTGGGCTTACAAGTTTCCAATGTCTATTATTCCCCAGTCCATGTCTGCTTGTACACATTATTTAGCTCCCATTTATAAGTGAGAACATGCGGTATTTGACTTTCTCTTTCTAAGCTATTACATTTAAGATAATGCCCTCCAGTTCCATCATTTTGCTTCAAAAGATATGATTTCATTCTTTTTCATGGCTGAGTAGTATTCCATTGTATATGTAGACCTATTTTAAGTTCTTCAAAAAATCTTCATGTTGTTTTTCACAAAGGTTGCACTAATTTACATTCCCACCAAAAGCATGTAGTGGTTGTATTTCCTCCACATCCTCACCAATACATTATTTTTTGAATTTTTAATAATAGCAGTTCTAATTAGTCTAACGTAGTATCTCATTGTAGTTTTATTTTGCATTTCTCTGGTGATTAGTGATGTTGAGAATTTTTTCATATGATTGTTGACCATTCTTGTATCTCCTTTTGCCTACTTTTTTATGGTGTTATTTTGTTGTTGTTGTTGTTGTTACTAAGTTGTTTGATTTTCTTGTAGATTCTGGATATTAGTCCTTTGTCAGGCACACAGCTTGCAAATATTTTCTCCCATTCTGCACGTTGTCTGTTTGCTTTAATATTTATTTTGCTGCACTGCAGCCTTTTTGCTTATAAAAGTCCCATTTCTCTATTTTTGTTTTTGTTGTGCTTGCTTCTGTGACCTTAGTCATTAATTATTTGCCTAGACCAATGTCCAGAAATGATTTCCTTAGTTTTTTTTTCAAGAATTTTTATACTCTCAGCTTTTACACTTAAGTCTTTAATACATCTTGTGTTAATTTTTATATGTGGTAAGAGATAAGGAACCAGTTTCATTCTTCTGCATGTAGAAATCCAATTTTCTAAGCACCCTTTATTGAATAGTATGTCCTTTTTCAGTGTATGTTTTTGTCAACTTTGTCAAAGATCAGTTGGCTGTAGGTATGTGGTTTTATTTCTGGATTCTTTATCCTATTCCTTTGTTTTGTATGTCTGTGTTTATACCAGTACTATGATGTTTTGCTTATTATAGCCGTGTAGTATATTTTGAAGTCAAGTAGTATGATGCTTCTGGCTTCACTCTTTTTGCTTAGGATTGCTTTGGCTACTTAGGGCTTTTTTTTATTGTTCCATATTTCTTACTTCTAGATTGGAAGGCCTGTGAGGTTATTTTGATGTAGAAATCTATTTTTTCTTCTTCCAACCCTTGTTTCCATTCTTCTAGACTTTTTGATAATTTTGTAAGTATTTATTTTTTATGTTAAATCCCTTCTTTATATACAAGTAGAATTTTTCGCTTTACCTCCTGGACTTTAACTACAAAAGTAAGAACCTGTCATCCTTAAACGCCAATAGTAAAGTTTCTGAGAATATACCTTAGAGAATGAATAAATTTTCCAATTCTTAATGTAGTCATAAATAAAATTAAATAACTTTGATCTTAAACCTTCTGTATCACAAGTCATCTTACTACCACCTTTAGCAGATACAAGCTTACATCAAGTGAAGAAATGAAGCAAAATAAAAAGAGGGCTCCAGAAAAAAAAATGATGATGATAAAGACAAACCTCTGTATTCTAAAATTAAAAGAATTGCTTTAGGAAAAAATAACAGGTATCTGAAAAATGCAAAGATAAGCTAGAGTGGAGTGAGAGTTAACTGAAAATTTTTTAAAAAACAAAATTTAGATGGTAGTATATGTTTTCTAAAAAATACAAATAAAGCGTAATACATATTTTCTGATATTTGGAGCTGAAAGTATTCAATCTCCACGTCTGGGCTATGATCAAAATGTTTCAAGATAAAATGTGGGTTCAAGAAAACACCCATTAAATTTTCAGAGAAAATATATTACCAAATCTCATTCTCAACAGCTAAGATGATTATAAATTTGGTTTCGAAGATTTTTTTTCTTTTTGTTGTAAGCATGCATTGTTCCTTCTTCTGTTAATTGAATCTGCACTTCTACTGTGGAAACCACCCATTCTCCTTCCCAGCTCATGTGAGTGAAATGTACCAAGTTCACTGGATACAAGACCGGACAGGTGGCCAGAGCTTTTTAGAGAACTTACTGAAATTTCTTAGACATGCACACGCAGTGGAAGATTGTCTCATGACACAGAACAATAAAATTCTTCGAGTTGTTCCACTTATTTGTGAATTTTACATGTGACATTTGAAGTTGAGGTTGCTAGTTTAAACATGTTGAGGAATCAATACTGAAATAAACAATGATCCATAATGAAAAAAAAAACTACCTGACTCTAACTTAGTGTGAAGTAATTTCAGTTTCTGTGTAGTCTTTGATGTATAGATACTTAAGTTCGTTGCAGTGATTTATTACTTATAATAAAAAAAATCTTGACTAATACATGTGGTTTCAAATGATTATGAACAACAGGGAGAGCTCTATATTTTGAATATAACTGAACACAGGAGTGGGTGTTGCAAACAAATTGAAACAGGGAAGAGAAAGAGAAAAATTTTCTGCTCAACATGTTCATGTCAGGTAGTTTTCACATTCTGAAGAGAAGGATACCATCCTCCACTTGTTTCTTAATGTGATCATTAGAGCTCAGAAAGAGTACGCAGAAGTAAAATTCAAACTTGGGTTTTCCAGATTTCAAATACCACATGATTTTAACATTGACATTTATTATGACTAAATCGCCTTGGTAATTCTACACAAAGTCTGAGAAAATTTGGTGTCTTCAAAGTTGGTTAGAATACAGTTTCTCGCTTTATGACTTCTATTGAGGAAAAATAATATTTTTCATTAGCACTGAGTATAAATTTCTATCACATAACAGGTTCAAAATAATGTAACGCTTGTAAATTCATTAGCAGGTGAATTTTATATATGTTATATAATGATCATGCAAGCTATAATTTGCATAATGATTAACATTATAGTATAAATACTCAAATAGTTTATAACATAAACTAAATCTGAGGGAGATTATTACTTTTCATACTAAAATTTTATATTTAAAAAACTAAAAATTTTTGTTATTATTTTCTCTAGAGTAAGTTTGCTTCTTTTCCCACTTCTCTTGTGATAGATAATGGGTAGGAAATGATTCAGCTCCTAGAGAAATATAATTTATGGTTGTATAGATATATTCTAAGTAAGCCAACAGCAGTGGATATCTATGATGTCTCAGAGAAGTTTCTCGATCTGGAATAGTACTCATTTAAAATGTAAAGCATGCTACAAAATATGTCTCAGAAAAATGAAATATTATTGATCAAAATAAGAACACCCTTTATAATAAAATGCAGAAGCCCAAAGAAATGCATTTGGGCAATGCTCTTAAGATGTTCTAAAGAAAAAATAAATTATTAGTTCTTACTGTAAACGGAAAGTGAAGAGGAGATGACAGTAAATCTCATTCCTAAATCATCTACCTCAAGCTATACACTAAATGACTGTGTAGAATAATTTGAGGTATGTTAAAATATTGGAAGAATAAAAATGTCAGATTGAGTAAAAGTCTCTTGACAGGTGATTCCTTGGAGAAAATCCAGAAATGAATTTTTGGAAGCATATCTTAATGTAATATTCTCCTTTTACAGTAGCAAATAAGTAAACAGCTCTGTTGTAATTAAGATAACTATACTATGCAATGCAAAAATAAAACACTAAGCTAAATGATAGTTCCTATCTTATTTAAAGCCCCAAATCTTTCAGATTTCTCTCCAGGACATATGAATATTCCTTGATGTGAATAATCAAAACAATCTTGGAAAGGTACAAAGTTCAAGGACTTACATTACTTGACTTCAATTCTTACTATAAAAATAAAAACTAAAGATATAAATACCTTACAATATTCAAAATGGTTAGAAAATAGATCAGTAAGACATAACAGATGTTTTAGGGGTATAACCATACTGAAACTATAAATTGATAATTCAATTTTCAAAAAAAATACTACATAATTCGTTGTGAAAAGGAAAGACTATTAAAGTAAGAGTCACTAACCAACTGGAAAGAAATGTAGAAATAATGAACATTAAATTTGATCTCATACTCTACTCATAAATTTGTTCAAGGCTTTAAATACAGAAATGGAGAAAGGGTCGGATGTGGTGGCTCACATTTATAAAACCAACAGTTTGGGAGACCAAGGTGAGAGTATCACTTGAGGTCAGGAGTTCAAGAACAGCCTGGCCAACATGGAGAAACCCCGTCTCTATTAAAAAATACAAAAATAAGCCGAGCGTGGTGGTGCATGCCTGTAGTCCCAGCTATTTTGGAGGCTTGGGCAGGAGAATCACTTGAACTCTGGAGGCTGTGGTTGCAGGGAGCCGATATCATGCCACAGCACTCCGTCTCCAAAAAAAGGAGAAAATAAATGTATAAATGTTCTTAGATTTATACAAAAATCTAGAAGAATTGTTTTGAAACCTAATAGTAAGCTCTTGTTTCTTGGATAGAATGTCACAAAAAAACAAATAATGTATTAGAATTCATTATCATTAAAGGCTTTTTAGATGTAAGAAAGTAAGCAATTCACAGATTAAGAGAATATTTTGTCATGTATTTGTAGGTATTGTATGTATGCATATAATGTACGTATATGTGTCCGTGTGTATATATGTGAAACATATATACATATATATGAATATTTCTCATAAAAGATCTAAGATCTATTTTAAAAGATAAGAAACTTCTACGCTCAATAAAAACACAAAGTGTCCTTGAAAGTTAGGCCAATTGAACACTTTTCAAAACAAAACAAAATAAAACAAAAAAACCGTGTAAATGGCCAGTAAGGACATTTAAAAAGTGTTCCACATTAGTCATTAAGGGAATGCATATTTAAACAATGATATATCAGTATATCGTTGCTAAAATAGCTAAAGGTTTTTTATGAAACCATCAAAATAAAATACTGATGAGGAAATGAATCTCTTGGAACTGTCATACATTTTTAGTAGGAGAACAAATTATAATTTGACGATTTCTTGCAATACTAAATATACATTCATTCTAGAAAGCAGCAATTGAACTTAGATATTTACCAAAGCCTATAGGAGTATTTATGTCATCTTAATTCATAAGAGAGAAAAACTAGAATGTTCATCAACAGAAGAATAAATAAACGTGACGTAGTCACACAATGAAGATAATTGGTCATGAATAAAAATGATCAACTGATAGATATTACAACATATTTATCACACATATTATACTGAAGTTTTAAGGAAAATGAACACAAAAGAGTGCATATAGTTTGATATCATGTACATAAAATCTACAATGGTTAAAAATAATCAGTGATATAAAAATTGGTAAAATATTGTAGAGGAGTTCATGAGGCCGGGAATTCACTGGAAAAGGAGACAAACAAAATATAATTCAAATTGTACACTTAAGATTATTGAATTTCACTGTATGTATATATTGCTTTCTTAACAAAGACCTATAAACCAACATCACATATGCACAATGTTGTGCATTTGCATTTTTTTTCTTTCTAAGACAGGATCTTTCTCTGTCACCCAGGCTGGAGTGCAGTGGGGTCATCCTACCTCACCGTAGCTTCTAACTCCTGGGCTCAAGAGATCCTCTCACCTCAGACACCCAAATAGCTGGGACTTCAGGCATGCACTAGTGCACTCAGTCCTGTTAGCATTTTTGAAACTGCTTTCAATATCTTTTGTCATAAGCACATGAGTAGAATTTTATTTTTTTATTTTTTTTAAATTTTATTATTATTATACTTTAAGTTTAGGGTACATGTGCACAATGTGCAGGTTTGTTACATATGTATACATGTGCCATGTTGGTGTGCTGCACCCATTAACTCGTCATTTAGCATTAGGTATATCTCCTAATGCTATCCCTCCCCCCTTCCCCCACCCCACAACAGTCCCCGGAGTGTGATGTTCACCTTCCTGTGTCCATGTGTTCTCATTGTTCAATTCCCAACTATGAGTGAGAACATGCAGTGTTTGGTTTTTTGTCCTTGTGATAGTTTGCTGAGAATGATGGTTTCCAGCTTCATCCATGTCCCTACAAAGGACATGAACTCATCATTTTTATGGCTGCATAGTATTTCATAGTGTATATGTGCCACATTTTCTTAATCCAGTCTATTGTTGTTGGACATTTAGGTTGGTTCCACATCTTTGCTATTGTGAATAGTGCTGCAATAAACATAAGTGTTCATGTGTCTTTATAGCAGCATGATTTATAATCCTTTGGGTATATACCCAGTAATGGGATGGCTGGGTCAAATGGTATTTCTAGTTCTAGATCCCAGAGGAATCACCACTCTGACTTCCACAATGGTTGAACTAGTTTACATTCCCACCAACAGTGTAAAAGTGTTCCTATTTCTCCACATCCTCTCCAGCACCTGTTGTTTCCTGACTTTTTAATGATCACCATTCTAACAGGTGTGAGATGGTATCTCATCATGGTTTTGATTTGCATTTCTCTGATGGCCAGTGATGATGAACATTTTTTCATGTGTCTTTTGGCAGCATAAATGTCTTCTTTTGAGAAGTGGCTGCTCATATCCTTTGCTCACTTTTTGATGGGGTTGTTTGTTTTTTTCTTGTAAATTTGTTTGAGTTCATTGTAGATTCTGGATATTAGCCCTTTGTGAGATCAGTAGGTTGCAAAAATTTTCTCCCATTTTGTAGGTTGCCTGTTCACTCTGACAGCAGTTTCTTTTGTTGTGCAGAAGCTCTTTAGTTTAATTTGATCCCACTTGTCAATTTTGGCTTCTATTGCCGTTGCTTTTGATGTTTTAGACATGAAGTCCTTGCCCATGCCTATGTCCTGAATGGTATTGCCTAGGTTTTCTTCTAGGGTTTTTATGGTTTGAGGTCTAACATTTAAGTCTTTAAACCATCTTGAATTAATTTTTGTATAAGGTGTAAGGAAGGGATCCAGTTTCAGCTTTCTACATATGGCAGACCAGTTTTCCCAGCACCTTCTATTAAGTAGGGAATCCTTTCCCTATTGCTTGTTTTTGTCATGTTTGTCAAAGATCAGATGGTTGTAGATATGCGGCATTATTTCTGAGGGCTCTGTTCTGTTCCTTTGATCTATATCTCTGTTTTCGTACCAGTACCATGCTGTTTTGGTTACTGTAGACTTGTAGTATAGTTTGAAGTCAGGTAGCGTGATGCCTCCAGCTTTGTTTTTTGGCTTAGGATTGACTTGGTGATGTGGGCTCTTTTTTGGTGCCATATGAACTTTAAAGTAGTTTTTTCCTATTCTGTGAAGAAAGTCATTGGTAGCTTGATGGGGATGGCATTGAATCTATAAATTACCTTGGGCAGTATGGCCATTTTCACAATATTGATTCTTCCTACCCATGAACATGGAATGTTCTTCCATTTGTTTGTATCCTCTTTTATTTCATTGAGCAGTGGTTTGTAGTTCTCCTTGAAGAGGTCCTTCACATCCCTTGTAAGTTGGATTCCTAGGTATTTTTTTCTCTTTGAAGCAATTGTGAATGGGAGTTCACTCATGATTTGGCTCTCTGTTTGTCTGTTACTGGTGTATAAGAATGCTTGCGATTTTTGTACACTGATTTTGTATCCTGAGACTTTGCTGAAGTGGCTTATTAGCTTAAGGAGATTTTGGGCTGAGACAATGGGGTTTTGTAGATATACAGTCATGTCATCTGCAAACAGGGACAATTTGACTTCCTGTTTTCGTAAATGGATACCCTTTATTTCCTTCTTCTGTCTAATTGCCCTGGCCAGAACTTCCAACACTATGTTGAATAGGAGTGGTGAGAGAGGGCATCCCTGTCTTGTGCCAGTTTTCAAAGGGAATGCTTCCAGTTTCTGACCATTCAGTATGACATTGGCTGTGGGTTTGTCATAGATAGCTCTTATTATTTTGAGATACGTCCCGTCAATACCTAATTTAATGAGAATTTTTAGCATGAAGGGTTGTTGAATTTTGTCAAAGGCCTTTTCTGCATTTATTGAGATAATCATGTGGTCTTTGTCTTTGGTTCTGTTTATATGCTGGATTACATAGAAAATCTACAGGAAATGGATAAATTCCGTGACACACACATCCTCCCAAGACTAAACCAGGAAGAAGTTGAATCTCTGAATAGACCAATAACAGGCTCTGAAATTGTGGCAATAATCAATAGCTTACCAAGCAAAAAAAGTCCAGGACCAGATGGATTCACAGCCAAATTCTACCAGAGGTACGAGGAGGAGCTGATACCATTCCTTCTGAAACTATTCCAATCAATAGAAAAAGAGGGAATCCTCCCTAACTCATTTTTTGAAGCCAGCATCATCCTGATACCAAAGCCTGGCAGAGACACAACCAAAAAAGAGAATTTTAGACCAATAGCATTGATGAACATTGATGCAAAAATCCTCAATAAAATACTAGCAAACCGAATCCAGCAGGACATCAAAAAGCTTATACACCATGATCAAGTGGGCTTCATCCCTGGGATGCAAGGCTGGTTCAACATGCACATGAGTAGAATTTTAAGGAAAATACGAGTTCATTATCTGACTATGAGGGAAGTACAGAATTAGAAGTACTGGAAGCTAGAATAGACCCTGAGCTATTAGAATTGCACTACACAATTATGGAATCCTGGTTATTGATATAGAAAGGTAAATATATAAATAGATAATAAAAATGAGTGTATGTATATATACATGTATAGATATGATGATATAGATAAAGCCACAAAGACAAAGATACACAATAAGAAATATACATAAAATATAAGCATACATAAAAATATACACATATATATGTTTATACATATATGACATAATATGTTTATATATTATATATAGATATATTTGTACAATATGTAGTATATTAATATATTACATATATTATATATAATACAAACATATTCATATATATTATATATTGTATATTATTTATTATATATTTATATATTATATAATTATATATTAATATTATAATATTATCTAATATTAACATATTATATTATAATATTATCTAATATTAACATATTATATTATAATATTATCTAATATTAACATATTATAATATTATCTAATATTAACATATTATATTATAATATCTAATATTAACATATTGTATTATACTATTATATAATATTAATATATTGTATTATAATATATAATATATTATATTATAATATTATATAATATAATATATTGTATTATAATATATGATATATTGTATTATAATATTATATTGTATAATATATTATATTATATTATATTATATATTATATTATGTTATATTATATTATATAAGATATTATATTATATTTATGTATTAATATATTAATATGTTTATATATTATAAACATAATATATAAACATAATATATTGTAAACATAATATATGGTTTATATATAATATATATTATATAATATATATTATATTATAATCATATATCATATATTATATAATATATATTATATTATAATCATATATTATATATAATGTAATTATATACAATATTATAATTATAATTATAGATTATATTATTATATAATAATTATATAATTATTATATAAATATTATATATTATTATATATATTACATATATATTATATATATTACATATATAATTATTATATAATTATATATAATAATTATATATTATATAATATTATTATATAATTATATATAATAATTATATATTATATAATATTATTATATTGTATTATATAGAAATATATTATATATAATATAATATAAAATATTACATTATACATTATATGTTATCTTTATACTATGCACTATATAATATATATGTTATATATTACATAATATATTATATAATCTATTATATTATCTATTATATAATCTATTATATAATAGATTATATAATAGATTATATAATATATTGTACTATATATAATAATAGATTATATAATATAATATGTATTATATATTATGTAATCTATTATATAATATAATATGTATTATATATTATATAATCTATTATATAATGTAATATATATTACATATTATATATTATAATATATATTATATATTATATAATCTATTATATAATATAATATATAATATAATATATAATATATATTATATAATCTATTATATAATATAATACATATTACATGTTATATAATGTAATATATATTACATATTATATAATCTATTATATAATATAATATATATTACATAATATAATATAATATAATATATATTACATATTATATAATATAATATATGTTACATATTATATAATATAATATATATTACATATTATAAAATATAATATATAGTATATATTATATTATATCTATTAGATATTATATTATATATTATTATTATACAATATATTATATAGTATATATAATGTTATATATTATATATATTATATAATATAATATGCATTATATATTATATAATATATTATATGATATATATTACATATTATATAATATATTAGATATTATTATATTATATATTATTATACAATATATTATATATAATACATAATATTATATATTATATTTTATATAATATATAATATATAATATATAATATTATATTATATATAATATATTATATATAATATATAATATATTATATTATATATAATATATTATATATAATATATAATATATAATATTATATATTATATATTATATATAATATTATATAAATATATTATATAATGTTATGTTTATAATATATTACACATAATATATACATATATATGTTTATACATATATGTGTATATTTTTATGTATATATTATTTAAATCTGCATTCCCTTAATGACTAATATGGAACACTTTTTAAACATATATCATATATAAAAACATAAAATATATAACATATATAAACATAAAACAAAAAAACATATATATATTTATATTTAGATACAGATATCTTATTTTGATAAACATATGTGTGTTTCTGTGTGTATGCCTGTGAGAGAGACAGAGAGAAAAGGAGAGTAAAATAGGAAATTACTCAAAGAAAGAATAAAAGAACATCAAAAGCATAGATAGCCATCTGACATGTACTTCCCAAGTCAGAGAAAATTGAAACATTTAAAAAATGAAAAATATGTGATCTGTTAAGTAAAGATTTATAAATTCCCACAATAATACACAACTCAATAAACATGCAAATAGAGAAGATACAATTCTTTTCTACAATAAGTTGTTTCTTGACCAAAGTAGCAGATTAATAGAATTAGAAAATCATCAAATAATGGCAAAATAAAGGGAGAAATTTTCACAGATTAATTATATAATCTCAAAATAATACTGAGAAATTAGTTATTAATTTGCCAACCCAAAGAAACTCTTCTTTAATATCTTTATTGTGGTATGTTGGCTTCAACCTTACATTTTCCAGGTGATTAATGTTGAAAAGAATAGAAGAACATACACAACACACTCACATACACATAAAGTAGAAGAAAGAAATCAAAGGAAAAAGAAAATTGGCAAAAATAGTACTTGGTGTGTGTGCGTGCATGTGTGTATTTGAGAAAGGGGGAGAGGTGTTTATTTTTTGAGTTCTGTAAATTTTTCTGTGAAATTTAACTTATATCATCATGAAATTAAAATAAAACATGTAACACCTTAATATAGACTATTCTAATAGCCAAACAAAATACTAATGGTATAAATTGAAACATAGACATAATAAAGACCAAATGCAGGAAAGTAATATATGTGTGGCATGGAGATACTGAAGAAAATGCTATTGCGGAGATTGCCACACTGGGCTTCCAGAATATATATATAGGATATCAAAACTCACCAGTAAAAAAACAAATAACACAATAAAATTAGGTAAAAATTTAAACAGACACTTAATTTGCCCCCCCAAAAACAGTACAGGGATGACAAGTAGTAACATAAAAAGGTGTTCTAAACTATTAATTATTAGAAAAGGTAAATTAGACAGTAAGTTGGATAATAATACACACTTAGTGTAATGCCTAAACTGTAAAAGATTGACCGTAACAACTAACAGCAAGGATGTGGAATAAATGTGAGTGTCATATAATTATAAAAATAGCTATCATCATTGTAATTTTATGTAAAATTGTTCTATCATTTTGAAAAAGAGCTGGAGGTTTATGAAATATTTAAACTTATACCTGTGTATAAGTCTGCCGTTCCAATGCTAGGAGTTGCCTAGCCAAATTGAAAGCATATACCCCACAAAAGTATTTTTACACAAATGTTTACTGTAGCTATTTTTAATAACCACACTTGGAAAAAAACAAAATACCTACCAACACTGAAGAAATAACCATGGATAAATCATACTGGGTGAAAGAATCCAAATAAAATAATATATACTGTATGATTCATTTATATAAAATTTTTGGAAATGCAAACAAATCAACAGTAAGAAAAGGTATGTCATTGTTTTAGTCAAGGGGGAGGAAAGAGGAGAGAATTGTATAAGGGCATGAGGAAACTTACGGGGATGATGGTTAAATTTTTTATTTTAATTTTGATGGTTTCACAGTTACATGCATGTTAGTATGTATCATGTTATACAATTTAACATGTCGAGTTATTTTATAATCATGCCAATTAAAGCTATTAAATTTAAAAATTTTAATGTTAGTATGTATCATGTTATACAATTTAACATGTCGAGTTATTTTATAATCATGCCAATTAAAGCTATTAAATTTAAAAATTTTAATTTGTTACATGTCTCATGAATTTATTAAATAATAATTATTATATGTACTGCCTCAGAAATTACAATTTTTACCAAGAAAAAAGTCACAAAGTGGGGCAAGGCGCATTACCCCAAATCTATGCAATCCACAGTAAAGATAAATGTCAAATATTATTTTATTTTATTGTAGTTAGAACACTTATCACTAAGTCTATCTTCATAAAAAAATTTGGTTTGCAATACAGTATAGTTAATTATAGAGAAAATATTGTACAGCAGATTTCTAGAACTTATTCATCTTGCATAATTGAGATTTCATGCCAATTTATTAGCAACTCACTATTTCCCTCTTCTTCCAATATTTATTTATATTGTGCATCTATTAACATGTTTTAAATACAGTTATTATAAATATATTTGTGTTTTGACTTTTATACTTGAATCAAGTGATTTACCCAACACCATAACAGTATATGATATTCTGCATTTGTCTACATATTTACCTTTAACAATGAGTTTTATATTTTCTTATGCTACTGTATTGCTGTTTAGAGTCTTTTGTTTCAAACCGATGAACTCTCCTTAGCATTTCTCTTGATTCATGTCTAATAGTGATAGTGTAACTTTTGATTGGGGAAAATTTTTGTCTCCTTCATGGTATAAGAATAGTTGTGGCAGGTGTAATATTCTTGGTTAGCAGGCTTTCATTTTATTTATTTCAATACTTAGTATTGTCCCGCTTCCTTCTGGCCTGTACAAATAGAAAAAAAAAAATTGCTGCTACCTTTCTGAAGCTATCTTGTATATAATGAGTTACTTTTCTCCTTCTGCTTTAAAAATTGTGTGTCTAAATTTGATAATTTTATTATAATGTATCTTAGTGTGAATTTATTTGGGCTTATTTGAGTTGGGGGCTTTTGGGCATCCTCAGTCTGAATGTTCATTTTCTACCCCAGATCTGGGAAGTTTTCAACCATTATTTCTTAAAAATATTTTCTGTTTTTGTTTTTTTCTTTTTCTCTTCCTCTGCCTCTTCTATAACCCCTTAATGTCTTTATCAGTTCACTTGATGGTGAAACATAAGTCTCTTACACACTGTTTTTTACTCTTTTTTATTTATGCTTCTTTGAATAATTTTCAGTTACCTATTATTTCTTTATTTATTTATTTTTATTGTTTTTGAGATGGAGTGTCGCTCTGTCGCCGAGGCTGGAGTGCAGTGGCGCCATCTCGGCTCACTGCAAGCTCCTCCTCCCGGTTTCAGGCCATTCTCCTGCCTCAGCCTCCGGAATAGCTGGGACTACAGATGCCCGCCACCACACCTGGCTAATTTTTTTTTGTATTTTTAGTAGAGACGGGGTTTCACCGTGTTAGCCAGGATGGTCTCAATCTCCTGACCTCGTGATCCGCCCGCCTCGGCCTCCCAAAGTGCTGGGATTACAGGCGTGAGCCATCACTCCCTACCAGCTACCTATTTTTCAAGCTTGTCATTCTCTCCTGCTTTGCAGATCTAGGCTTCTGTTGGACACTTTAGTGATTTTTTTCTCAGTTATTATATTATTCTTCAACTCCATGATTTATGTTTGGTATCTTAAAATATTTTCTCTCTTTATTTATATTTTCTGTTTATGTATGCATTGTTCTTCTTATCTCAGCAAACAAGGACTATGTGATGTTTATTTTGAATTCTCTGTCATATATGTCATAAAATTCTGTTTAATTAGGGTAATTTCCTAAAGCTTTTTCTCATTCCTTTTTTTTTTAGAATATATTGTCCAAGTTCTTCATTTTTCTTGAATCTCTGTGTTGATATTTGCTCAACTGACAGAACATTTATCTCTTCCATTCTTTATGAGCTTGTCTTATTTATGAAAAGACCCTTACTAATCAGCACAACCAAAAATTATGGGGGCCTCTTCAAACTTAGTGCTTCAACTCACTTTCTCTATCTTTAGAGACCCTGGGTCTAGTACATGCCAAGTCAAATCAGCAAACACTCACAAGCGAGATTGAAGCCAGTTCCCCAACCAGTCTTGAGAAAATTGGTATTATTGGTTATTCTGTAAGGCTCTTTTCCTCCACATGGAGAAGAACAGATCTCATTGTTTTTGGCCTATCAGCCTGTGCTGAGCAAGATGGAGATATTTCCAGTGACTAGTTGCATGTTATATCAACCACTGCCTCTGTTCTCACTGGAACTCAGTTGGCTAGATTATTCCAGGTCCTATCAGCACTCCAAGACAAGCTAGACAGAATCCAGTCATAAGGGTAGCCCCTGGGAAAGTCAGAATTTTGGACACAGAATACATCTCTCCTTGCATTGAGAGAAGATGGAAGCTAGGGATTTTTATCCATTTTCTCTTTAATGACCTGGGAGAGGAGTTCTGACTACTGCCAACCCAAACTGCAATCCCTGTTCTCACCTGTCCAGGCGAATACATTATGCTGAGTCCTGTCAGCATTCCAGGACAGACTATACAGAAGCTAGTATTCTAGGTAGGCCCTGTGAGTGTTGGGTCACTGGATAAGTGGTACACCTTGTTCTCTCCCCAGGGAAAAGCTAGAGCTGAAGATTTCCACCCGATAAGATGGCGCTATATTTGCGGGTAAATATTGTAGCGAAAATAGTCTTACATTTTCCTACTGCTTTCAATGTGGGTACTTTTGCATTCACCCAGGGTGCAGGAGCCTCTTAACTAATTTCCGGATTTCTCACAAAACAAATTTTTACATGATTTTTTTTTTTGTTAAATTACTGTGTTTATGGGAGGAAAGGAGTATATATGGATTCCTACTCTGCCACTGCAATCCTTCTGACATCACTCTGTCAAATGTTATTATTAATAATTATTTTTTAATATACTTGTTGGCCACACGTATGTCCTCTTTTGAGAATTCTCTGTTCATATCATATGCCCACTTTTTAATGGAGTTGTTTTATTCTTGTAAGTTTTTTAAGTTCTTTATAGATTCTGGATATTAGACCTTCGTAAGATGTATAGTTTGTAAAACTTTTTCTCTCTTTCTGTAGGTTGTCTGGTTACTCTGTTGATAGTTTCTTTTGCTGTGCGAAAGTTATTTGATTTAATTATATTTCACTTGTCACTTTTTGTTTTTGTTGCAATTGCTTTTGGCATCTTTGTCTTGAAATCTTTGCCTGTGCCTACATTTTAAATGGTACTGCCTAGGTTGTCTTCCAGGATTTTTATAGTTTTACACTAAAATCTTTAATCCATCTTGAGTTAATTTTTGTGTATGGTGTAAGGAAGGGGTCCACTTTCAATTTTCTGCATAGGGCTAGCCAGTTTTCCCAGCACCATTTACTGAATAGAGATTTTTTTTTCTTTTTTTTTGAGACGGAGTCTCCTTCTGTTGCCCAGGCTGGAGTGCAGTGGCACAATCTTGGCTCACTGCAAGCTCCACCTCCTGGGTTCATGCCATTCTCCTGCCTCAGCCTCCCGAGTAGCTGGGACTATAAGCGCCTGCCACCACGCCAGGCTAATTTTTTGATTTTTTGTATTTTTAGTAGAGACAGGGTTTCACCATGTTAGTCAGGATAGTCTCAATCTCCTGACCTCGTGATCCACCTGCCACGGCCTCCCAAAGTGCTGGGATTACAGGCGTGAGCCACCATGCCTGGCTGAGATTTTTTTTTGCCATCGCTTATTTTGTCAGGTTTGTCAAAGCTCAACATTACTGATCATTAGAAAAATGTAAATCAAAACCACAATGAAATACCAACTCACACCAGTCAGAATGGCTGTTATTATAAAGCCAAAAAATAACAGATGCTGCTGAGGTTGCAGAGAAAAAAGGAACATTTTACACTGTTAGTGAGAGTGTAAAATGTTGTGAAAGACAGTGTGGTGATTCCTCAAAGACCTAGAGGCAAAAATTCCATTTGACCCAGCAATCTCATTATTGGGTATATACCCAAAGGAATACAAATCATTCTATTATAAAGATACATGCACACACATATGTTCATTTCAGCATTATTCACAACAGCAAAGACCTGACATCAACCTAAATACTCATCAATGAGAGACTGGATAAAGAAGATGTAGTACATATACACTATGGAATGCTATGCAGCCATAAAAATGGACAAGATCATGTCCTTTGCAAGGACATGAAGGGAGCTGGAGGCCATTATCTTTAGCAAACTAACACAGGAACAGAAAACTAGGTGCTGCCTATTCTCACTTACAAATGGGAGCTAAATGAAGAGAGCACATGGCCACATAGAGGGGACAGACACACACTGGGGCCTTTTGAAGAGTGATGGGTGAGAGGAGAGAGAGGATCAGGAAAAATAACTGATGGATACTAAGCATAATCCCTGGGCGATGACATGATCTTTACAACAAACCCCCATGACACATATTTACCTATGTAACAAACCTGCACATCCTGCACAGGTACCCCAAACTTAAAATAAAAGTTAAAAAATAATTATTATTATTATTATTATATTTTAGAGACAGAGTCTTATTCAGTTCCTCAGGCTAACATGCAGTGGCAAGATTACAGCTCACTACAGTAAACTCCCGGGATCAAGTGATCCTTTTGCCACAGACTCCCAGGTAGCCAAGACCACAGGTGCACACCACCACACGTGGCATTTTTTTTTTTTTTTTTAGAGACAGGGTCTTGCTATGTTGCCCAGGCTGGCCTTGAAATTTTGACTTCAAGTGATTCTCCCTGCTTGGCCTCTCAAAGTGCTGGAGTTATAGGCATGAGCCACCATGCCCCACCCAAATATTATTTTTTGAAGAAATCAATTGGAAGATGTAAAACCTTAGCTATTGCAGATATTCCCACCCATGGTTACATGTTTTAGCAAAACAAAATTATTCAGGTTATGAACATAAAGTTAAATTAAAGGAAAACTAATTTAAATCTAGAATATCTTACCAAAAATATAAAACATTTGACATTGCTTAATTGGCAAAAATTGTGAATAAAGAATGTAGGGATATTTGAGATCAATAACTGTATTAAGATCATGGACTTAATGAAATTAAACAGAATTTTATTATATTTGCAACTACTACCTAGTAGTCAACTATGAAAATCATAATATTTAAGAAATCTAATAAAATATGAGAATTAGTTCTTAAATCAAAATAATTCAGTAAAAATACCACCTGGATTTAATAAAATTCAGCTTTTTTTAACTGATTTAAGTAATTAACTGGCATTTGGTTAACTTTTTAGCACCAAAAATATGTATTTAAATATTATTGGAAAAGTGGTATATGTTTTAAAGATTATTGAATAATGGTCTATATAAAAGAAATAATCAGAGTTATTTTCAACTGACTGGTACTTGAATGTCAGAATCATGAAGAAACTAAGTATTACACAGTTCATACTTATAATTTTATAGAGGGGGAAACTGTAGTGCAGAAAATTCAGTTTATGGTGGCTTAAACATATCTGGTACCTGAGTCTCATAACAGCCAGTAAATTTGTTCTATCATTGCATGCAGCCTTTATAAGAATAATGTACTACTTTAGAAAATAACAGTAAATAACTTTTCATTGTTTAAAGAGTTTATTTAGCATTACTACAGTCATTTTTCATATTAATACTTCTCCTAATTCTAAATATATATGAAATTACAAATTGCATATCCCACTGAGCTGTTCAAAAGAAAGATATTCTCTAATTAGAAGAAATGACTCATCTCAAAAAACTGCTTTATTCTGCATATAGTAATTATTTTTAGAAGGCACTTTGACAAGAAATTCCAACAGGTAGTCATATAAATCCTATTCCTAAAGATTTATTTTTCTATTCTAAGACTATATCTCTCATTTGTATCTTTTTTCTTTTTTTAATCCTGCTCCTTCCATAAGTACTATATTTATTTTGTTTCATTTAGTCATTTTTATTAATCCACCATATTTTAACACCTTAATTTATTTTTAGCAGCTTTCATATTTTATATACAAAAACTACATTTATATTAATGTATACAATCTGATGAATTTGGACATACGCGAACATCCAGGATACCATATAGTCACCACAATCAAGGTAGTAGATATACCCAATACCTTCCAAAGTATACTTTTGTCTCATTTTGTATGTGTGTGTGTACTAAGAACACAACATTAGATTGACTCTCTTAACAACTGTCGAAGTGACCATGCTGTGTTATAAACTGTAGACATTGTGCTGTCAGCCAGATCTCTATAACTTACTCATCCAGCATAACTGAAACTTTACAGCCTTCGAGCAACAATGCCTCATTTTTCCTAGATTCCAGACTCTGGAAACCACTGTTGTACTCTCTGCTTCTATGAGTTTGACAATTACAGACACCTCATATAATTGGAATAATTGCAGATTTGCCCTTCTGTGACTGGCTTGTTTTATTTAGTAAGTTGTTCTCCAGACTCATCTCTGTTGTTGCAAAAGGCACGATTTCCATCTTTTTAAAAACTGAATGGTGTTTCAAAAATACCATAAGTATCCAGAAACATTAATATATGTAATTAACATTTAATATAAATTTGATATGTTCTTCATCAGTGATGTTTTTCTCTTATATTGTCAATGATTTTCCAGGATGTAAATGACTGGAGACACATAAAAATATAGAATTGAAGGTAACTTCATTTTAAGTAATTTTGATGGACATCAGAATATCTGCATTTATTTTGTGATTTAAAATTTATTATAATTATGTTATTTTTCCACAGAATTCACAGATTTCCATGTATGTATGCAAATATACACATATATATGTGCAGTGTCTTTCTCATTTTTGCCATAAATTTTTTTCTATTTTTTTGTTGTTTGTTTCCACAATACTGACTCCTGTTATAGGACATGTATGTTTTAGTGTGAGACAATGTTTACTCAACTGCAGTGTCTCAATGTTTCTTTTACCCATATGTTTTTCCTCTCTCTTTTGCTCTGATTTGATTGTCATATACTATTTCCTTTATTTTGGGTATATATGGTATCCCTTCTGCTTAATAGTAAAGCCATGTCTTTTATTCTGTACCTACCTTGCCTATCCTGCTTAATGCAGAATATAACCATTATGTGCATTATAAATGCAAGTAGAGAAACCCCCAACAATACCTTTATTTTTTTGAATGTATACAGACAAACCTAGCCCCACTCTGATTTATCTGCCATATTGGATGATCAGATATTATAGTAGGTCTAACTCTTGGAACCCCTGTCTGAAATCACTTGGTCGATATAACGATAACCCAATGACCACACTGCACACCTAGGCTCACTGGACTAAAATGTGGACGCTGGCAACAATTCAGAATGAATATCTTACTTTACCAAACACTGTACTCCACCATCACATATGGTTTTTACTCTTTTTGTGGTTTTACACTTTTTACAAGTTTCATATATTCTTTTTATTTTTCTGGATTTTATGACTTTTATTCAGATGATTTTCTATGATTCTTATTATTTTTACTTGGACATAGTTTGTACGATCAAATCCTCTATATTAATTTTTACCCATTAGCATTACATTGAATAGGTGGGCCATGTAGCAAGTAAACAGAAAACAATTTTATTTGTCTCTTGCCATGAGATGCAGTAATTATTCACTCCTTTGTTGACATTTAAAGAGGGCCCTATGATTTTTCTGATTACGAAGTTCTACCCAATTTAGTTTCAATAATTGTCTCACTTTAGCAATTAAAATATTCAGAACTGTTCAACAGTTAAATCTCTAAACATGATTTACAATTTTGCCCTTCCCTGACCTGGAATGTTTCAGGTTGAAAAGTCTGTAATGGGAGTATGAGTGCAAGAAATAGTCAATTTCTCTACTACATCATTCATTCTCCTTAAGCTTCTTCTTCTCCCTTCAAATTTCAGCTTCCTAGAGCAGGTTAGGGTTGCACTGCATAAAGATTAGTAGGAAGAAAGAGTGAGGAGCATAAAATATTTTACTTATTGGCACACACTCGTTGTGTGGAGATTTCTCCTCTAAGGAACTAATATATTGCACAATAAATACTTTAGTATTTGTTTATTGATGTCTTCCCATCTCAGCCTCATAATATAGTCTTAAGATATATACATATACTATAAATATAATACATATACTATATATGTATTATACATATACTATATATGTATTATACATATACTATAAATATAATAAAATTCTATATATATTTATATATAATATATAATGTATATATATTATATATACATTATATATAATATATAAATATAATACTATAATGTCAACTATGAGAGCAGTGCATGTTGTCACTAATGTTCACTATTTTATCATGAGTACATAGGCAAGTGCCTACTTATGCTAAATATCTGTTAATAATGAATGTCCAGTGAAAGAATAGGCACATTTTTAATATAGATGTAAAACTATATTAAAATGAGATTGAAATTAGTTATACATTGGCTTATAATCCCACATATGCATTTTTTTGTACTTTATTTCTTATAGGACAATATCAGAATAACACAAACTCATATAGTGTTGTGTTTCCATGGATACAGACTATCTAAATAGAAAAGACATTGTAGTTTTAATTACTTGCTTTTGGCAAGATCAAAGATAGAGTGTTCTTCAGACACTCATTGGGAATATATATTTCTAGCATAAAAGTAATGTTCAAATTTTGCTTAATATTTTTAAATGCTTGCATTCATCAAATACTGAAACTTGCAAAGCTAAACATTCAATTATGATTAATCTGTAAAGTATGCTTATGTCTTTCTGTACAAGATTTCCTTAGTTTGTTAATAGGATATGTAGAGATAAATTTAATAATCAATTTAATAAATTTGTTTCTCAAATCCTTAAAAGTAACTTTTATTTTGAGATGTTCTTAGGAATAGACAATACCAACCAATTTATATTATTTTTAAATATTCAGTGTTTAATAGTGTAAATTGTATATTTTCACTAAAATACAAAGTTCAATTAAGAGTTTATCCTCCTCAATATTTATTTTACTGCTATGCTGTGAAAGGCTATGCATTTTTCAAATGTATTTAAAACATGAAAATAAAGCAGAAACAGCACACACTGTAATCATGAGAGAACGCTATATTTCTAAGAGTTTTCTCAAGCTATTTTCTTTAAGAGATCACAGTATATCGTAGTTTTACACCTGAATAATGTGCAATAGCAAACTCACCCAAGAGTAATTCAGCATGTCATTTAAAGAAATGTGAATTGCTATCTTGTCTCCTATTATTCCAATCCAGTCCTGATCCTTTATACAAAGCAGAGTTGTTCGTTCATTTATTCACTAAATGCTTACTGAGTACCTGCTGGGTTAAAAATTTGGATAAAATATATGTAGAAGCTACTGTTCTGGAAAGACACATAATAAAATGTCTCCCTTCATGATTTTATTTGGATGCCCAGTAAAATATTTGAAAGTGGTAGCGTGCCCCAGAGATGACTCTTAATGGAATACTTTTTAACTGTTTGGTGCTCAACAAAGTTGAGTTTAACTTATGGTCATCATGATGATACTACTAATATGGCACTTCACAAAACCCTTAATATGGCACTTACAAAAGTTATGATTATACTACTACTATATATCTAATATTATAATGTAACGGCTATGGTCTAAATATGTGGGTCCCCCCAAAATTCTTAGGTCAAAATGTAATCCTCAATGCGATAATATTGAGAAGCCAGGCCTTTAGAAGGTGATTAGGTCATGGGATGGAGCCCTCGTGAATGAGATTAGTTCCCATATAAAAGAGGTCCCAGGAAGCTTATTCCCCTTTCCACCATGAGAGAACAGAGCAAGAAGGCACCATCTGTGAAAAAGTGAGTGAACATTCATCAGAAAGAGAACCTGATGGCACCCTCATCTTGAACTTTCTGGCCTCTAAAACTGTAAGGAAAAAATTTGTTTGTAAGCCACCCAGTTTAATGTATCTTAACGCAGCCTGAATGGACTAAGACAATATCTAATACCACGTGAGCTTACAAAAGATATTAGATCTGAACATCGTTTTTGTGATATAATAAAATAGATTTAATGATGATTACTTTGACATTTTTTTAAACCATAAAAGAGGTAACATATAGAAACACACATGTATCTAGGACATAGTGAACAAAGCAGACTCAAGTTTGCTCTCTAGATATGTGATCCTGAGGTATTTCATTACCCTTCCTATGCTTTAGACATTTTCTAAAATAGCTACGATACAGATTATTTTATTTTAAAATACTAAATAAAACTTTATAACAGAAATTTTCAAATAATTTGCCTATATTAAAATAAAGAACATCTGTTTGTGAAAGCTGTCATAGAAGTAGAAAAATACAATACATAAAGCAAAAAAAGCTAGTACAATACACATAACCAATAAAAGATTAATATTCAGAATTTATAAAACATTATTCAAGTAATTACTAAAAACATATAAAACCCAAAATAGAAATGGACAAAGAACTTTTATATTCATCTCATAAAATTTAAATCGTCAACAAATCATTGATATAAACAAAAATGGTTTCAATTCCATAAGTAATCAGGAAAGGCAAATACATATAGCAATTTGAGGAATGATTAGACAGTTACAGAGAAACAATTGAAATATCTGACAATAGTTTCAGAAGGAGTGGCACCAGCTCCTCTTTGTAACTCTGGTATAATTTGGCTGTGAATCTGTCTGATCCTTGACTTTTTTTGGTTGGTAGGCTATTAATTACTGCCTGAATTTCAGAATTTGTTATTGGTCTATTCAGGGTTTTGACTTCTCCTAGTTTAGACTTGGGAGGGTGTAGTGTCCAGGAATGTATCCATTTATTCTAAATTTTCTAGTTTATTTGCATATAGATGTTTATAGTATTCTCTGATGGTAGTTTGTATTTCTGTGGGATCAGTGGTGATATCCCCTATATCATTTTTTTATTGCATCTATTTGATTCTTCTCTCTTTTCTTCTTTATTAGTCTGGCTAGTGGTCTATTTTGTTGCTCTTTTCAAAAAACCAGCTCCTGGATTCATTGATTTTTTGAAGGGTTTTTTGTGTTTCTATCTCCTTCGGTTCTGCTCGGATCTTAGTTATCTGTTGTCTTCTGCTAGCTTTTGAATTTGTTCGCTGTCGCATCTCTAGTTCTTTTAACTGTGATGTTAGGGTGTCAATTTTAGATCTTTCTTGTGGGCATTTAGCTTTTTCTTGTGGGCATTTAGTGCTATAAATTTCCCCCCAAACACTGCTTTAAATGTGTTCCAGAGATTCTGGTACGTTGTGTCATCGTTCTCATTGGTTTCAAAGAACATCTTTATTTCTGCCCTCATTTCACTAGTTACCCAGTAGTCATTTGGGAACAGGTTGTTCAGTTTCCACGTAGTTGTGTGGTTTTGAGTGAATTTCTTAATTGTGAGTTCTAATTTGAGTGCACTGTGGTCTGAGAGACTGTTATGATTTCCGTTCTTTGCATTTGCTGAGGAGTGTTTTACTTCCAATTATGTGGTCAATTTTAGAATAAGTGCGATGAGGTGCTGAGAAGAATGTATATTCTGTTGATTTGGGATGAAGAGTTCTGTAGGTGTCTATTAGGTCCACTTGGTCCAGAGCTGAGTTCAGCTCCTGAATATCCTTGTTAATTTTCTGTCTCGTTGATCTGTCTAACATTGACAGTTGTGTTAAAGTCCCCCACTATTATTATGTGGGAGTCTATGTCTCTTTGTAGGTCTCTAAGAACTTGCTTTATGAATCTGGGTGCTCCTGTATTGGGTTCATGTATATTTAGGTTAGTTAGCTCTTCTTGCTGCATTGTTCCCTTTACCATTATGTAATGGCCTTCTTTGTCTCTTTTGATCTTTGTTGGTTTAAAGTCTGTTTTTATCAGAGATTAGGATTGCAACTCCTGCTTTTTTTTTTTGCTTTCCATTTGCCTGGTAAATATTCCTCCATCTCATGCCAGTTAGTATGGCAATCCTCAAAAAGTCAGGAAACAACTGATGCTGGAGGGAATGTGGAGAAATAGGAACACTTTTACACTCTTGGTGGGACTGTAAATTAGTTCAACCATCGTGGAAGACAGTATGGTGGTTTCTCAAGGATCTAGAAAGAGAAATACTGTTTGACCCAGCAATCCGATTACTGGGTGTATATCCAAAGGATTATAAATCATTCTACTATAAAGACACATGCACACGTATGTTTATTGTGGCACTATTCACAATATCAAAGACTTGCAACCAACCCAAATGTCCATCAATGATAGACTGGATAAAGAAAATGTGGCACATATACACCATGGAATACTATGCAGCCATAAAAAAGAATCAGTTTGTGTCCTTTGCAGGGACATGGATGAAGCTGGAAACCATCATTCTCAGCAAACTATCACAAAACAGAAAATCAAACACTGCATGTTCTTACTCATACGTGGGAGTTGAACAATGAGAACACATGGACACAGAGTGGGGAACATCACACACTGGGGCCTGTTGGTGGGTGGGGGCTAGGGGAGGGACAGCATTAGGAGAAATACCTAATGTAGGTGACAGGTTGATGGGTGCAGCAAACCACCAAGGCACATGTATACCTATGTAACAAAATTGCACATTCTGCACACATACCCCAGAACTTAAAGTATAATAAAAAATAAAAATAAAAATGAGCAAAGGATCTAAGTAGACATTTCTTAAGAAATACTAATGGCCAACAGATGATATACATGAAAAAATGCCCAACATTTCTAAACATCAGAGAAATGCCAATTAAAAACCACAATGAGAAAAAAAAGAAATGTCTCACAATACTATTATAAAAAGGTAACACTAATTCAATTTTAAATAGTAATGTAAACTAGGAAAAATATTCCCTTATATTAAAATCAAATAAACTTATAATGCATGACCCCAAAATTGCATTTCTGTATCCATAGACCCAAATAATTTGCTCACATATGTACATGGGTACACGTAAAAGAATACTCAAAGCAGCTTCATGTATCCTGTAGGGAAAACCAACTGTCCATCAGCAGTGGAATGGCTAATTAAACTGTGATGTACTCAAATGATTAAATGTTGCACAGCAGGAAAAAAAAAAAAGGAGTAAGAGCTGGTTACACCATGTGGACGATGCTAACAGAAAAAAAAATATTGAAATAGCAAGACAAAAATATGTATAACATAATTTAATGTACATAAAATTTGAAAAAGTGTAAATTAAACCATTCTATTTAAGAATACATACATAGATGATAAAATTAAACAGAAAGAAAAGTATATGATTGTCATCAAATTCAAGATATTGATTATCTCTTCATGGGAGAGGTCATGTTTTCCAAAGAGCTGGTGATGGCTTCTAACAATGTTTTATTTCCTGACCTCAGTGGTGGACATGTGCATGTTTTTTTATTTGTTTGGTGTATTATACATTTTAATGTTATATACATTTATGTATGTGTGTTATATTTCAAAATAAATAAAAATGTTTATAATCTGATGCAAAAAAAGAATCTTCCTTTTGACTGCCTTAAAATCTTAAAATCCTTCTAGTTAAATAGCTTTTCACTTCCTTTTGTCTCTCATAATATAGCCCAAACCCAAATTTCTCGCCTACAGTTATCAGCAGCCATTCCACTACTCTTACTCACATTCATCAGGAACTCCCCAGACTATCTCTTGGGTATTTGAACAAGCGAACTCTTTCCCTTGTATTTAATAGCATCCTTTGTCCTGTTTCTTAACTTCAAGTCTAACTTAATTATCATGAAACTTGTGAAGTACAACATCTCTAATTTTAGATATGTTCATATACCTGTTTTAGTATTCAGAAAGGCCTGTTATTAATTACCTATTTACATCTTCTCAACCTATTAAATTATAAAGATTTATACGAAGAACTATATTTTAATCATTATTCCCTAAGGCTAATTTGTACCTGAATTTCTTGGCTGCGAGTCAGAAAAATCTCCCTTTTAAAATCTAAAGTCTCTAGCCCAGTAAAGTTAGTTTTCTTTATTATGAAAACAATAGGTTTTTCACAAAATAGGTCAGTATTAATGTACAACTTTCTATAAGATAGCTAGCTACCTATCTACCATACAGGAAAATGAGGCCTGGGTATGTAAGTCCTTGATCCAAATCAGAGCCATTTATCCCTGGTATAACCAGGCAAGTAACATTAATTTTGTGGTTCAGAACCATTCAAACTATTGACAATTTCCAACTTAAGTCAGAGAATTAAAAGAATGTGAATGATTTAGATATTATATGTGTTCTGAGTTTAAGAAAATACAGATAATGTGAAATTGATTGCCACTCTCATTCAATATTTTAAAATTTGAATCACAGGATAGAGAGATAAATATTGTCCTGGTCAGAGAGTGGAGGAATTTCTAAGTCTGGCGGACTCTAAAATACCAGCATGTCTTCATCTAAGCATCCCTAAATGCCCATTAAATGAATGAATGCTTGCATACATGAGAAAATTAAAAGGAAGGCAGAAGGAATTTCAACGGATATTCAGAAGTTTTAAAGATAAATTTTAGTTTTCTGTCTTGAAAAAAAAGTGTTTTCTTAATATTAGAAAGCAGATAACAAAAAACACAGGGGGAAGGAAGTGACATGAAAGGACAAGCGATGCTTGTAACCATAATGTGACCTTAACGGTTCAGGGTGACAGAGATAATTTCATACATTCAGGAGCAGGTGCTGATGAGCTACACATTAAGTGCTAATGAGCAACGTATTAAAGACAATTGAGGAAGCCTACACCAAAATTTCATCAACAACTGGCCTGCTCTAACCAAAACCTTATATTCTTTAGGTAATATTTTAAAACAAAACAAAAATAGAATAAAACAAAAAAAAACTTAGATGAGGTTTACATAAGGTTTGCATAGGTTTATATAAACATTTTATTTAAGGTTATCTTTTAGTTAAAGGATATTTTATTAGGTTGAGAAAACAGAAATCTCTAATACAAAATAATTACTAAAATGTTCTGTGTAGGGTTATAGCTAGTTCTATTTGCTTATGAATTTCTAAATCAATAAATAAATTTATACTCATAATCATGTATCTAGTATATTTCTCAGTATAGAAAGAGTTTGCTTTGAAGCTTAGCCAACAAAATTTTAGGCTGAGGCACTCAAATATGAATTTCAAACTCAAAGACGAATAATGGTTTATTCCAAACCTGTTTATGTAGAATTATCTAAAGTATTTATTAAGGCCTCATGCAATGAGCTACATCTTGAGAAACTCTACCATACTGGGTTACTTATTTCTCTAATGAATTTTCATCTTGCTACTTGTTTAAAAATGCACACTCTGTGCCAGTTCCATTGCCAAGTGTTATTAAGGCTTGTTATTTTAAATAAACTGTTTAGATTTTTTTCACCTGTACAAACCTGTTACAAAAATATTGTGCAACAGACGTATTTCAATTCTTGCATTTAAGTGGGCAGTTATAATTATTGCAGAAAAGTATAAGGATTTTTAAAAAGCGAACATATAGACATTCCAAGTGAATTATTTGTGTATTTATACATGTTCTTGTGAACATCATTAATTTTTCCTCTCTATTGGATCATTCACGTTGCCATTAAAAAAATCTTGTTTGTCCCCTCACTTATTTCAAGCAATGACTTCCACTCCATTCTCTTCTCTTTTTTTTTGCATTACTCCTTTAAAGGGTTGCTATAATGCCTGACTGCAGTTGCTTCTTCCCATTGTCCCCCCTGCAATAAAAAATTTGCTTCCTTCAATCCAGTGACATTATGTATATATGTCTTAATTTGACTTCCACATAAGAAAATTTTATGGGTAATTTATTCTCACAATATTTCATCAGCATTTGACACTCTTTATAATTACGTTATTTTAGAAATCTTTCTTTAGAATCCATGAAGATTTCTTGTTCATGTCCTTCATAGGACATCACTTTCAACCGTTTTGCTGGTTATTTCTCAAAATGATGAGAAGGCTCAAGGGTAAGCCTTCAAACTCTTATCTTCATTGTCTTCACTCAATTGTCTTTGCTCAATTTAGAAATGATCTCATCAATTGTGTGCTTTTATTTACCATGTTTATGTTGATGGGTTCAAAATTTATATATTTGTTGTTATCTAATCATCAAATATTTTTGCATAATAGGCATTACAAAGTAAATGTGTCTAAAAATAAACTCCATTTCCACACGCCACTACATTCTGCAAATCTCATATCGTTCATCTTAGTAAACACATTTCCCCTTATATAACAAAGACAAAAATACTCAAAGCTACATTTTATTTTTATTTATAATTATCATTCTGCCTTGCATTTAATACATCAGCAAATCATACTGGATTCATCTATAAAGTGTATAAAAAAATTCAAATTTCTTATATTTATCCATGCTAAATACTAGATTTTTAATATTCGATGACTTGACTCCATGTTCTCAATGCCATTTTCTAAATGCATACCATGGACCTCACAATCACTGTGATACAAGTCTCCTATATCAGTTTTACCTGTTTTTGGAGGATGAGCCTATCTTTTCTGATATCTGTAGAATTCTACACAGGTAATTTTTGCCTGTGTTGCCTTAATTATCTTTTGTTATTGGACTATCTCAGAAATGGATCAGACTCTAAAAAATGTCAAAATTAAATCATTTAATTCGATGCTATTAAGAAAAATAAATGCAGAGAATGTGATTTTGATTTTTTATCCCAGAGTGATAGTTTGATATGCCAATCATGTAACTTGGAAAATAATAATAATTTGACAATATTTTACCTTGGTGTTTTGTATTTCTTTTTCTTTTATTTTCTTCCCAAATTCCCTTTCTTTGGCAGCTAACTTTAGCATTTTATTGCTTTATTTTGAATATTTCTCACAGATGTGTGTGTGTGTGTGTGTGTGTGTGTGTGTGTGTGTATTATATATATATATATATATATATGTTTGTGAATCTGACCTAAATTTGAATTGTAGTAAAAAACTGCCTCATTTTTACCATTTAATTTCTGTAACTCCCTAACTGACTAAATAATCTGGATAACTTTCAGATCCCTTAAAATTAGTTACTTTCTAGTTTGAAATTTTCATTTATAGTTTGATTAAATTTATAAATGTTATTTTGTTTGAAATCAAGTTTAACTTACTGCACTTCAGTCACTTAAATATTAATACTTATGTTCTAAGAGACTCTACTTTTGCTAACTTGAGCAAAAAAAAAATAAAGATATTTTTGAGAAAGGAAGGATATGAATTAGAGGCTTTCTTTTCCATAGCCCAAACAAATATTACCAGCTTATGGTTTTTATAACAAATGAAATGAACAGGAGTGCAAACTATATTAAGGAGGAATTCTATGAGACATGGATGGGTGAATAGCAGAAAATGCTGTTTTGTGGTCCAGATGGCTTAATATCATGTCACTGTTAGAGAAATGGAGTTTTTAGTTTCCGTGGACAACAAATTGTGGTTGAGACATTTAATACTTAAGTTAACTAATATTTAATTGTCATATTTATAATTTGCAATTTTGGATAATTAGGAAATAGCACCATGGACAGTGTTTCAGACTTTATATAGGGAATATCACCATTGTTGAGGCAGCATATTTTTATACCTTGGAGTGTTGCGTAAGTATCACAAAATGGTACCTTGTGACTTAAACAAATGAACCCCTTTTTTCACAGTTTTGCACACAAGAAATCCAAGGTCAAAATGTCAACATGTTTCATTTCTTTTGAGGGCTGTGAAAGAGAATATGTTGTATGTCTATCTTCTAGCTTCTGGTTTTCTGGAAATCTTTGGTGTTCCCTGGCTTATTGATGTGTAAACCTAATCTCTGCCTCCAAGTTTACATAGTGTTCTCCCTGTATGTGTGTTTCTGTATCCAAATATCCACTTCTTCTGTAGTAGTCTTCTGTAGTATGTCAGTAGTGTTGTATTACATGCAGTATGATATAACTTCATCTTAACTAATTACATCTACATCACCTTCATTTCCAAATAAGTTCACGTTCTAAGGTTTTGTGGGTTAAGTCTTTAACATATGAATTTCAGAAGGATGTAATTTGTAATGGTTAATTTAGTGAGTCACCTTTACTGGGATATGGCATGACCAGATATTTGACTGTCCTTTATTTCTGGTCTATGTGAATGTTTCTGGATGAGATTAACTTTAGAATCAGTAGACTGAGTAAAGCAGATTGAGTAGATATTTTCCTTTCTTACTAAAAACATAGTTATATAAAGACTTCATGTCTGGAACTTCCACAATAGTCTTAAAATCATAAAAGGAAACAGTATAGCCACACTGAAAACGCAAATATAAAAATTACACATATTTTTGAGGATGCTGTTAAATCACTTGAAAAAATTCCTAGAATCACGTTTTAATGTTCCTGTATGTCATAAGATAAAGGTCCTTAGTATTTTAGCTGAATTTAATTTGTAAAATATATCTGTACATAGAACAGTGCTAGGTTTAATCTTGCTTTATTTGTTTATAATGCATAGCATAATTTCTTTGGAGATTAATGTAGAGGATAGAAACATATATGATTAATGAATATTATTTACACACTTCGGTCATTTAACAATAGCTATACATTAAACTTTTCCTTACAGTTACTTTTCCTCTTAAAATTAATATCATTACACAGACCTTGTCTCTACAAAATAAACAAATAGGGTTAAGAAATATTAAGTATTTTGAAGAGAGGAAAATAAAATTATGTTGTGAGTTTTTCTTAGGATGCAGTTTATTCTTCACACAAACACAAAGTAGACTTGTAATTTAATAATATCAATGCTATTAATTCTGGAAGTAAGTGTTGAATATAAAATAAATTATGTAGCAAAAAATTCCAAATAAATAAACTTGGAATAAATAACAGTTTCAGGTTAAATTAGTAGCTTGGTAAACACTTCCAAATTAGAAACAATCAAAACTATAGTCCTTGCAAGAAGACATCAGAACAGTGTTTATTGATTTTGGAAAAAAGATATAAAAGAAATAAGACAAAACTACATTATCTTTTAAATACCTATAGTGAAATCTATAAAGATAGAGACACACAATAAAATCTATAAATATCTAAGGTAAACGAGAATTTACCTTTTTTTTAGTTATATTTTGTATACCCAGGAAATTATTTAGTCATATCTGTGTATGAGAAATGGAAAATTTCTATTTCATATCAAAATGTCAAGTTGTTATGCTTTAAAAAATCCCTGCCTAATGCACTACTAACCACATTATTCTTCACCTATTAAAATATATGTATATATGTCATAAAATTTATGCTATTGCTTAACACAATAGTCTTACAAAATTTTTAAATTTTACTACATACTGCTACAGTAAATTTGAACCGTTTAAATAAACAAAATAAAAATATCACTTTTATTATCTTTTTAGTTAATATTTTTGAGTACCAACACATACTTTATGACTGTCTGATATTTCTAGAGGTACATAACATGCAGTCTAATAAAGCTCAAAATCCTTCATAGATTATTTTATTCATGTTAACTGAGGAATCTTCTTACAATCATTCAGTTTCTTAAATATCCAAAATTGTAAATATCTTATTACAACTGCAGCAAAACTAAAGCTCATAAAGAAGAGCTACATGTACTCATTCTTTCAACATAATTTTTCTAAATTTTGTCATTAATTGGTAGTCATTAATTTAAAAGTAAAGCTAGAATAAAAGACTTATTTTGTAGCCAAGTACACACATGAAAATTCTTTCTTGAAGGAAGTGTTTACTTATGTTTTAAAATGTAGCCTTTATTACTAATCAGGTAAAATATGAGGTCAACAGATTGGGGGTTGATTGCCGTTGAAAAAATAGTTTGTTACTCACAGTTTCCAGAAATTGAAGACTCACACTACTACATCATGCCCAGCCATGTAAGGAAGCACCAAGGTGAATCAGGAAGCATAAGGAACAAGAGGAAAACATAGGCAAGGACTTTTATTACGGTTTCAATGGGAAGAAAGACGAGACACGGCAAGCAGCTTTAGGATGGGCTAGTTTGAATAATTTCAGTGGGCTCTAATGTATATGGGTTTTCCCTAGTGGTCTGGTACTGGATGCTGGCATGATTAGTACAGAGGAATAGCTAGAGGTATGATGTGTAAAACCTCTATAAAGGAGGCAGTTGGGGAAGTATGGGTTCTGCTGGGTTATTTTGCATATGAAAGGTATACTCAAAGCAGAGTCATTATTTGCTGTGTCTCAGAATTAGCCATTCCTGGAAGGGGCAGTCCTTTCTGCAAGACCCAGTCGTCAAAACATTAGAAACACATAGTTAAGAGTGTGTGTAGTTGTTTGTTTGTTTATCGTTTTCACTACACAGCCATATACAATGTCTCTGTTTTTGACAATTGGAATAATAAGATATAATAATTTTTAATTATGAATTCTAATTGAATTACATTTGAGTTGCTTAGATTATAGTGAAAAGTTACTTATAATTAAATAATCTTTGTGTGCCGTTAAACTTATGTAATTTTAAAGCTTCTAATGAATTTATTTTTTATTTATTTTTTATTTTTATTTATTTATTTTTTTTGAGACAGGGTCTCATTCTCTCACCCAGGCTGAAGTGTAGTGGCACGAACATGGCTCACTACAACCTCCACCCTTCTGGCTCAATGGAACCTCCTGAGGATCCCTGCTGCCCCAGCTTCTCAAATAATGGGAACTACAGGCATGTGCCATCAAGCCCAGCTAACTTTTACAATTTTCTGTAAAGAGGTGGTCTCACCATGTTGCTCAGGCTGGTCTTGAGCTCTTGGGCTCACATGTTCCTCCTACCTTGGACTTCCAAAGTGTTAGGATTAGAGGAGTGATCCAGTTGTAGTATTGAGAAGGTCAAAATTAGTGGTCAATATAGTAGGTTTTTTGGTTCCCAATACCATAATACAGACATTGGTGGCAAAGAGAATTGCATTTTTGTTTATTCACTTTTCATATAGGACTGATAAGCACCAAGAATTTGATATGTATATCCGAACAATTACAAAAGAAATGTAGGTATAAATCGTGTTTCAAAATTCACATTTATTGAAATATTATTTATATTAGGTGTACAGTTTGATGATTTATGATACATGTAAATGATTGTATAATCACCACTACAAATAAAATATTGAAAATTTGTATTACCCATCCCAAAGTGTCTCATTCTGCTTTCTATGTGTCTTCTATTTCTAATTTAAATTCTTTACAAACACTAATATAATTTCTATCCCACTAATTTTTTTCCATAATGTCATATAAATTAAATTATGCAGTTAGCAACTATGTGAATTGTGTCTTTTTCTTCAGTTAGCATAATGCTTTTGAAAGCCAATCATGCTGTTGAATGCATGAGTATTTCATTTTTTTGCATTGCATAATATTTAGTGATATGGATATACTGAAATTTCATTACCTGTTTACTCCTTGCTGGGCATTGCAGTTACTTCCAAGTTTTAGTAATTATGGATCAAGCCGTAATACACATCCAAATACAGAATTGGTGTGGACATATGGTTACCTAAATTCCTAAGTGTTAAACTTCTGGTTTTTGCTAATGTTTAAGCCAAGCCATTTAAATAATAGGTAGTGGTATTTCATTATGATGTTCTTTTATATGTCTCATGTCTCAAAAACCATATGGTACTTAGCAGCTTTCACATACTTATTTTTCATGCAATTTTGTTGGCATTGTGTCTGTTCAAGTCCTTACCTCACTTTTATTGTTTGTGTTATTATTGAATAGTGAGGATCTTTTATATATTCTAAATACAACTCCATTATCAAATATGAATTTAAAATAATTATTTTTTTCTAAGTCTGTGGCTTGCCTTTTCATTTTCTTACCAGTGCCTTTTGATAACAAAGTTTTGATGAAGTTCACTTCTTATCTTACATTTTTAACTTTATGATTCATGCATTTTCTGTCCCAACAATAAATCATTTCTGACCTAGGAAATAATGTATACTTTCCACTTTATCGATAGGTAAGTTTTTATTTCGACAGTTAAGTTTAATTTCTATAACTTCAAAATTAATTATAAAAAATTTGGTATCTTCTAATATGGTATTTCAATATATGTATTTATTTTACATTACATATCTACTAATTCCCAAATTTGACATATTTTGTACTTCTAAATAGATCATTTCTCATTTCTGCATTTGTTTTTCATTTATGATGTCTAGTCTTCTAATGCCTTCTCATTGTTCTTGCTTTATTTTGTGGCTTCTGTCACAGTTTTGCAGAACTAATATGGGAAGCCATGACCACAACCAGATTTTCTGTTACTTAAAAGGGATACAATCCCATCTCACATCCACATTATATTCCCTTTACAATTTATGTTCAGAACGTAGATCTAGATCCAGCTTCTCTCTCTGGCTTCTATTTGAAGGTTGAGTATTGACAAATATATGTAACTCTAGGAATATGATAGTTGATTAATCCTCTCTCCTAGTTACCTGCAGATTCACACAATGAAACTCCTGCTCCACCTCTCAAAAGCTTAAGTCCAGCCCATTGCCCCTAGCCTGACCTCCAGCTATTTCCATAGCTTCCTGGGCTTCACCCTGCCTCCTATCCAATGAAGACCAACTGAAAATCAGCTTAGATTCAGGGTGATAATATTCTGATGAAGGTACCAAGTTATCGTAAAGTATAGTTATGTGACATAAAATTAGTTTTCATAGCCACTTTAAATTGATAGGACCCAGTTTGCCTCTCTGTAAAATTGGAATATGTCTCTGGATCTCTCCAAAATAATTTCCAGACACTTAGGTATTTTAAATGCGGATCTGGGTCACATTTTTTTCTTTAATTTTTGGTTTGCAAATGTTTAGCACCTGATAATTGAATGATTTTACTTTTTACACATACATAACAAAAACATATTTCCTTGTGTTATTTCCTTACTGATTTGCCAAAAAGAAGTATTATAAATCTATCTATCTATCTATCTGTCTATCTAAAATATATCATATATCATACTTGTCTTTGAAAGATAACCACTAATATGTTTTTCTCAAATATTTAAGTTTGCTAATACTTCCATGGGGGATTCAACAGAAATTGAGACTCAAACATTAAAATATTCAGGGAAATCAAGCTGGGTGAATATACTAGTCCAGAGTGACTCCAGCTCAAAATTTTGAGGGTGGTGAACAAGAGCAATTTACTTCTCAATTTTTCTTATTCTTTGTGAAAACAATTATTTTAGCTTTTTTTCTTTTTCTTTTCCTAATCTATAAGTTTCCTCCAAAATGGACTGCAGTATTATTTAACTTGGAAAACATACTCTATTAAACAAATATTGTTGACATCATTTAGGAAAATTAGAAAATCAAAACCATTTTAATTAAACAAAAATTATGAATTAAATACATAAAAACCTAAATTCAATAGCCAAAGAAAACTTAAAAATTGTGATACTGAAATTTAAGAGGCATGTAAACCAGAGCAACTCCACTTAAATAGGGGCTGGATAAAATAAGGGTAAGACCTGCTGGGCTGTCTTCCTAGAAGTTTAAGGCATTCTAAGTCACAGAACAAGATAGGAGGTCAGCACAAAATACACATTATAAACATCTTAATGATAAAATGGGTTGCAGGAAAGAAGCCGACCAAAACCCACCAAAACCAAGATGGCCACAAGAGTGACTTCTGGTCGTCCTCACCGCCACACTCCCACCAGCACCATGACAATTTACAAATGCCATGGCAATGTCAGGAAGCTGCCCTATATGGTCAAAAAAGGGGAGGCATGAATGATACACCTCTTTTTAAGCAAATAATCTATAAATAACCATAAAAATGGGCAACCAGCAGCCCCGAGGGCTACACCATAGAAAGAGACATTTTTTTCATTCCTCTTCTTTCTTAATAAACTTGCTTTCAGTTTACTTTGTGGACTCGCCCTGAATTCTTTCTTGTGCAAGATCTAAGAACCCTCTCTTGGGATCTGGATCAGGACTCCTTTTCTGTAACACAACTAAGTACTGTAACTTTTGGAAATTCTAGTTGAGAACAAGCTCTGCAGGGAAATACCCAGGTGTCTTTGGACAAGTGAAGCAACCTATCACTTTTTCACTTTTAAAAAATCTACATTCAGGAAATTGGCTCAGATGATATTTAATATGACCTGCAGAGGTCCAGCTTTCCTTAATTCTAAGTAACTCATTTTTAAACATATGTTAGGCTAAGTCTTTAGATCAATTAATAAGTGCTATATCAAGGTTTGTAAATTTAAAAAAACATACAGCATAATGACAAAAATAGTTATTTCAGGTTTTGTTGCCCCTCGAAATAGTTAAGCACATTACATACTTTCATACAAACTTTCTCTCATTAAACTACAGAAACCATACGTAACTTCAAGTTGAATTATCAGTATATGAAGAATAAATTTAAGTATATGACTTTAAAATGAATTTTTGATACATCTTCATTCATTCAGGCCCCTTCAAGGTTATTTAGAGGTATAAAAGCACATACATACCTCTCTTAGAATGATAACTAGAGGACATTCATTCGTGAAAATGAGGAAATGAGGTTGCAACAAATTTCATAAAACAGTAAGTAGATGAAGAACAGTGATTCTAGAAAAGGCAAGGGAAGCAAAGAAAGAAAAAGCTCCAAGAGAGTGTCAGGGGAGGCTGCTGCCGTTCTGAACCTGAATATTGTGCGCTAGAAAGTTAGAAAGCCAATCTAGCACTAGAAAGCTAAAATGCCAGGCAAAAAATGTGTTATAGCATAATACTCATATTGATCTAAGAAAGTGACTAAGTCTCTTTCTCTCTCAAACACAGATACACACACACACACACACACACATACACACACAAACATACACACATGCCTTCCTCTGCCCGCCCACAAACAAATCATTCAGAAAAAAAGAAGTGAACATTAAAATTCTAATCCCCAAATCCCAAACTTGGATGAATTAATCTACAATGGTTTTTAGAAGCCATTAAATACATAAAATAAGAGACTATTCCAGAAATGTATTTAAAGTTGAAGAAATTGATCTTAGATAAAGAACATACTTCTATTTATATTGTTATTTATGTCCAAAACTTGAGCTGAAAAATAAAGTCAAGGAAGCAGTTCAAAAAAAAACCAAAGTAAATGAACACAAGGTAAAGCGTAGATAAAGCATGGAGGATTCACTGGAGACTTAACATTTGCCTCCTAGAAGCCCCAGGACAAGAAGACAAAGAATGACTTTACAAGGATTGGAAGGACTCACCAAGTGCTAAAAGCAAAAAAAAAAAAAAAAAAAAAAAAAAAAAGAGAGAGAGAGAAAGACACACATATATGAAAACATCTGCAGGGCTTTTATGACACCAAAGCAAGAGAAAATGAGAAGTATAAAAATCAGCTAAAATCTTCCAAAATGTAACATGTAGATACTAAGAAAGAAATAAGTTTGGAACCTACTACCTTTTCAACAACATAAGATATCAGAAAGAAAAATGTTACAATATTCTAAGAAAAATATGTTATTTATTGTGCATATTTCCAGAGAATGATTAATAAACTATATGAAGGCAGAATTATGACATTTTCATATATACAAGTGTTCAAAAATAAAACTTTCCCTATGCTGTTTCTTAGGATGGCATTTAAGAATTAACTCCACTATACTGAAATCATACCAGAAAAAAACACATGGTGACCTATGAATGGTGGCTCCATTCAAAAGAGTTGCACAAAGAAGTACCGGGGTACCGTGCCTCCAAATTTTAGATTATAAAAGGAAAAATAAGTAGTCAGAAAAGAAATGGAGAGAGAGGGACAATAAGAAATAAAAGTAGATTGTTTTTATTAATAATAACAATATTGTTAAAGAAAACACATTTTTTTAAAGAAATCTCAGATGTCTTAGTCAGCTCAGACTGTCTCACCAAAATACCACAGACTGGGTGGACTAAATAACAGAAATTTGTTTCACACAGTTTTGGAGCCGGCAAATCCAAAATCTTGGTGGCAACATGGTCAGGTTCCAGTGAGGGTTCTCTTCTCAGCTTGCAGTCAGCCACCTCCTCACTGCATCCTCACATAGCAGAAAGAGAGAAGATGCCTACACTGAAAATGTAGAACAACTTCAAATAAACAACCCAACAATGCCTCTCCAAGGTCTAAAAAAATAAATCCCACTAAAGTCAAAATTAGTAGAAGAAATAATAAAAATCAGAGCTGAAATAAATGAAATTGAGACTAAACATATATATAAATGATCAACAAAATGGCAAGTTGATTTTTTTAATAAATAAACAAAATTGACAAACTTTGGCCAGACTAACTGAAACAATTTGAGAAGACCAAAATAAATAAAATCAGACATGCAAAAGCAGACATTATCACTGATACCACAAAAATTCAAAGGATCATTAGAGACTATTATGAAAAACTACATGCCAATAAATTGGAAAACCTAGAAGGAATGGTAAATTCTAAGACATACAAACCAAGATTGAACCATGAAAAAGTCCAAAACTTGGATAGACCAGTAACATGTAGTTAGATAGAAGCAGTAATAAAATATCTCCCATCAAAGAAAAGCCCAGCATGGGATTATCTCCCTATTGAATTCTATGAAGCATTTAAAGAAGAGCTATCCCCAATCTTACTTATATTATTTTTAAAAATTAATGAGGACGTAATATTTTCAAATTCACACTACAAGGCCAATATCATCTGATTGATTGTTAATCTTTTTGCAGAATGGGGTAGCTCAATGGATTAAAAAATAGAGTGGGCTGATCTCAGTGGCTCATGCTTGTAATCCCAGGACTTTTGGTGGCTTAGGTGGGCAGACCACTGGAGGTCAGGAGTTTGAGACCAGCCTGGCCAACATGGTGAAACCGCATCTGTACTAAAAATACAAAAATTATCTGGGCGTGGTTGCATGCACCTGTAATCCTAGGTACTGGGGAGGTTGAGGCAGGAGAATTGCTTGAACCCCGAGAGGCAGAGGTTGCATTGAGCCGAGTTCACGCCACTGCACTCCAGCACTCCAGCCTGGGCCACAGAGTGAGACTCCATCTCAAAAAAAAAAAAAAAAAAAAAAAAAAAACAGTGAAAAATGTGTGTGTATACACACACACACATTCCCACACACGTACGTTCTCACACATGTCCATGCACACATACAGACACAACATCCACATGTATAGAATATAACAGGTAAAACTATGTTTATATACTCTATATTCCAATGCCAAATAACTTAGATTAATATTACAAGATGGGCCGGGCAAGGTAGCTCAAGCCTGTAATCTCAGCATTTTGAGAGGCTGAGGTGGGCGAATGTCCTGAGGTCAGGAGTTCAAGACCAGCCTGGCCAACATCGCAAAACCCCGGGTCTCATAAAATTAGAGAAATTAGCCAGGCATGGTGGCACATGCCTGTAGTCCCAGCCACTCAGGGAACTGAGGCACAATAATTGCTTGAACCGGGAGGCAGGGGTTGCAGTGAGCTGAGATCATGCCACTGCACTCTGACCTGAACAATACAGCAAGACTCCGTCTTAAACAAGAACAACAAACAACAACAAAAACTACAGAATGACTTCAGCAACTTTAATCAATCTTTCAATCCTCACAGATTAATATATTATAGAGAGATAAAAAATAAGGCATGTTTTGTTCATCTCCTTCTTGGTTTTTATTATAGATTGACCTGCTGGAGTAAGTGAGTTGTCAAACTTGTATATTGCAAAGTTTTTGCAAAACTTATATATTGCAATATATTCACTTATGACTCTTTGTAGACATCACTTGATCACTTGATGAATACATATTCTTAGTTGTTATGCATTTTTATTACATATTTGACTGTATCTATTTTGATTTCCTTTAAGTTAGTGATGCTTCTGGTCTTGTTTAAATGAAAAACACAATCCTCCTCTTAAAGTTATAATTATGACATTCTACATTACTTGAAGGGACAATGTGAGAAAGAGGAGAGAAGGTAATTGAAAGACAAGCAAAGGGACCAATTTTTTTTTAAGGCTCTGCATTTCATAAATATGAAAAAATTTAAATACTCAAATAACAATAATTTATGTAGATATATTTGTATCAAACTAGTTAAAATTAAGGCCAGATTTTGTTACTAAATTTACTCCTCATCTCTTCATATTATTCCACTGGAATAACAGTAATTAAAACTAATTTGTAGCAGTTTAAAAACTCATTGAGTGTAATTTTTAGGAGGGCTGTGTCTGAAATTAGACAGATTAGTATTCTAATTTTGTCCCATTTAGTCTCCTAATCTGAAAACTCAAAAAATAAAAAGGAGTATTTCATGCATAAAGTTACAAAAATGATTCAATACTAAGTTCATTATAATAAATATATACTTTTTTCTTTGCAGAATATTTTAGTGTTGGAAGTACCTCTCCTCTACTCTTTAATTTCGTTGTGCCTTCCACTTAGGTAACACTATCTCTTTCACCAGTTAGGAATATTTAACTCAATTTGAGTACTCAAATTATCCTGGGAAAAGTTTTTTCAGTATCTCTTCTTTTGGCTTCAATGTTTCAATTTCACAAACAAATAAAAGTCCTATATTATTTTACTTGGTTTAGATTCAGTTTTCTGTCTCTCTCAAACAGGCAACCCTTAACAAATATATGCCTATAAAGCACTTAGAAAGTGCTGATACACACTAAGTATTTAGTTAATATCAGACACAATTAATATAAAAAAGCGAATTGCAGCTAAGTAATAACAAGGAGATTGGAAATCATTCTGAAGATATATTAGCTTTGCTATAAGATATAACATCACTGAAATGCATTCATTCTTTATTAATTAACATAGTCATTTAACAAATATCACTTGAGCCACTACAAAAGTTAGGAACTCCAATAAATATTAGGATTAAAAATATTCAGTATTCTTAAAATATATTGAGCTTAGAGAATTAACAGCTCTTCCTCTCATTGTCTGTTTATATATTTCTATATTCCTACTCATTCCTTTACAAATAGAAATAATCTCAACATAAAATCAAACATTCTAAATAACATCTGCAAGAGCTTATAGAAAAATCATAGAAGTAAGCCATTCATTTTCCAATTTCAATAAATCAATAGTTTAATGTAAATCAAAAAGTCTGTTGTTATATAATGTACACACACAAACTCACACACATACAAATAATGCAGGAATACAAAAAAATCAATAAGGAAACACTACATTTTTGATATGGAAATCAGTACTTTTTAAGATATCTATATGTTCATAAAATTTTATATTTTCAACATCATATAGCTGTGTCTATTTAGGCACATATTTAAATAAGAATAAATTTACTGGAAGGGAAGTGCAGCTGATATCTTCTCACATATGTGTATTAACTACCACTAAATGCTTCTATGATCTGAATTTTCACTAGTATGCAAAGTTGTTTTGATTATATATGGTCACAATTGATGACACTCTATATTAAGCAAACACAAAACCACCACGATATTTCACAATAAATTTTTTATGTTTATTTTTTTGCCTAGGACCTTATGCATTTGCAGTATGGTTCTTCTTATCCAGGTCAAGATTAAATGATCTCTATTTGGCTTACTTAAGTAGTTTAGTGAGAAAGAGGATTGGCTGGCCTAGGAAGGTATTGGCTGGGATGGCTCAGCAGTACTACATGTAATCTCTCATTCAATGCCAGATTAGTCTGGGTGTATTTTTATTACCGGGCCAGATTACTAAATGTGAAAGAACTGAAGCACACCAGGCTTGTGGATCTTTTCAAGTTCTGAAAGAGCACAGTGTTAATTCAACTGTGTTAACACAACATTCAACTGACAATGTAAGTCACAAGTCAAACTGAGATTTAAGAAGTGGGGAAACAAACTCTATCTATTGGGATGGAAGGAGCCACATCGTCACGAAGCAATGTGCACATACTCAGGGAAGTGTAGAATGTGGGGGTATTTTTGCAATTCTACCATGTCCTTTTTCTCAGTTATTGAGAACTCCAGTTACCCAGTTAAATACACAGGGGCTCATATATATGATATAATGTGGTATTGCAATAAGCTGAAATCATATTTTTCTTGGAAAATGCACTATTTGAGAAATGCTCAAATTCTTTAATAATCCAATGTAATATTTTTAAAAATCTACAACATGTAAAAGTACTCAAACTATCTGTCCTACTAAATAAGCAGTAGAAAATTCATTTTAATTATAATTGTATTGCAGCCTGCAAACCCTGTATTTTTGTCATTAGAGTCAATAAAGCAATTTAGAAATTAATAAGCATTTGTCTGTGTGGATGTGGCTTCATGAATTTTAAACAGGATAAGAAATTGCTGTATTACATCTTTTGTCAAACAATGGTTTCCTGCTATTAGCAGTGACAAATTAAAACTAGCTCTGTTTTTATGAATAATACACATGTAATTTCTTAGCAGTTAATATCTGAATGTTTAGTGAAATGGTTTACCATATTTTCTCAAGTGTAATTAAATAGAAGTATCAATTAATATTTCAATTTTATTGAATGCTTGAGCAGGTATAACATGTGTCTAGCACAATAGGTCAGTAGTAATTATAGAGCTACTCACAATAGCCTGTTTGTGACTAAACTTCAAAAATAATTTATATTATGCATATATGATAATTCATATTGTTAAAAGTAATAACGTATCCTGTTACAAATAATACATTAAATTATAATGACTATGTAAATACTATCCTATGTTTGAGCAAGTAGGGTGTTGGGATTACACTGTCTTCCTCCTTTAGCTTGTTTCACACAAAGATCAAATGGTAACTTACAGTCATCTGCAACTTCAAATGTGTGTTATTTCAGTTAACTTTAGCTTTCAGCAGTGTATAGAAATGAAAAGTTATACAATCTTGTTTCCTCTGAACTATGGACTAAATTGTGTCCCTCTAAAATTAATATGTTCAAGCCCAAACCCCCAATGTAATGGCATTTGAGAGACAATTAGGTTTAGATGAGGCCATGAAGGTGGGGCCCACATGATCAGATTTGTGCCTTTATATGAAGAGGCATCAAATATCTAGCACTCTCTTTCTCTCTCCTTCCTGCCCGCCTCCCCACCCCCCATCCCCTTCCTCACATAGCAGAGAGAAGCATATCGTTTAATTTCTATGTATTTATATAGTTTTCAAAATCCTCTCATTATTAATTTATAGTTACATCCATTGTGACCAGAGAAGATTATTGATATTATTTCAACTTTTTAAATGTTTTAAGACTTGTTTTGTGACCTAACATATAGTCTAGTCTTGAGAATGATCCATTTGCTGAGGGGAAGAAGGTGGATTCTGCAGCTCTTGGATGAAACGTATATATTAGATTCATTTGGTTTACTGTGCTGATTAAGTCTGATGTTTCTTTTTTGATTTTCTATCTGGAAGATATGTCCAATGCAGAAAGTGGGGTGTTGAAGTCTCCAGTTACTATTGTGTTGGAGCCTCTCTCTCTCTTTAGCTCTAATAATACTTCCTCTATATATCTCAGTACTTCTGTGTTTGGTGTATATATGTTTAAAATTGTTGTGCCCTCTTGACACCTTTCTCTATATTTAGTGACCTTCTTTGTCTCTTCTTATAGTTTTTGCCTTGAAATCTTTTTGTTCTGATATAAGTACAGTGACTCCTGTTCTTTTTTGTTTTGCATTGTCATGGATTGTTTTCTTCATCCCTTTATTTTAGTCTATGTATATCTTTATAGGTGAAGCTTGTTTCTTGTAGGCAACAGACCAGTACGTTTTGTTTTTTCAACCATTCATCCAGTCTATGTTTTTTGATTGGAGAGTTTAGTTCATTTATATTCAATGTTATTATTGATAAGACAAGATAAGACAAGACTTACTTTTGCCATTTTCTTTGTGTTGTTCGTATTTATATCTTACTGTACTAACTGTATTTGAAAGTTGTTGTAGGTATTACTTTTTATTGGTTTAAAGTTTGGTATTTCTATTTGGGATAAGAGTAGTTTATACATCATATTTACAGTGTTACAATATTCTGTGTTTTTCTGTGTACTTACTATTACCAGTAAGTTTTGTACCTTCAAATGACTATTTATTGTTCCTTAATGTCCTTTTCTTTCTGATTGAAGTATTCCCTTTAGCATTTCTTCTAGGATGAGTCTGGTATTGCTGAATTCCTTCAGCTTTTGTTTGACTGGGCCAGTATTTATTTCTCCTTCATGTTTGAAAAAGTTTTTTTATTTCTTCAGCACTTTGATATTTCATGCCACTCTCCCCTGGCCTATAAGGTTTTCACTGAAAAGTCTGGCACCAGATATGTTGGAGCTCCATTGCATGTTATTTGTTTTTTTTCTCTTGTTGTTTTTAGGATCTCTCTTTATCCTTGACCTTTGGGAATTTGATTATTAAATCCCTTGAGGTAGTCTTCTTTGGGTTAATTCTGCTTGGTGTTCTATAAGTTTTTTTTACTAGATATTGATATCTTTCTCTAGGTTTAGGAAGTTCTCTGTTATTATTTTTTGAATACATTTTCTACCCTTATGTTTTTCTCTACTTTCTCAGCACACTGTCTTATCATCAGCAGGAAGCATAATAGCCCGAAGAAATTGGCAGCCTCTTTTCAATATTATAAGAAAAACAATTTTCAACCAGGAATATCATACCCCACCAAACTAAACTTCTTAAGCAAAGAAGGAATAAGGTCCTTCTCAGACAAGTAGACACTAAGGAAATTTATTAAAACCAGACCACCCTTACAAGAGGTACTTGGACAAGTACTAAACATGGAAACAAAAGATTGAAACCTGTTTCCTAAAAAATACACCCAAGCGCATGGCCCACAGACACAATAAAGCAACTACACAATTAATTCTACAAAACAGAGCCAACAACACAATGGCAAAAACAAAATCTTGCATATCAATACTAACCCTGAATATAAATTGTCTTAATGCTCTACTTAAAAGGCGTAATGTTGCAAGCTTGGCAAAAGACAAGACCCAACAGTCTGCTATCTTCAAGAGGTGCAACTCATATATAATCACACACACAGGCTCCATGGAAACAAATGGAGAATGGCCCCACCAGTAAAATGAAAAAAAAAAAAAAAAGAACAAGAGTCATAATTTTTGTATGAAATAAAACAGATTTTAAACCAAAAACCATCAGGAAGAACAAAGGAGTGCAATACATTATGTTAAAGATTTCAACTTGACAAGAATATTTAACTGTCTCAACTATGTGTCTAACATAAGCATACTTTGATTTATAAAACAAGCTTTTGTTGACTTGTGAAAAGACTTAGACAGACATACAATAATAGTGGGGGCTTTTAAAAACCCACTCTCGGTGTTAGACAAATCATCCAGTCAGAAAACTAATAACGGAAGTCTAGAGTAAACTCAACACTTGACCAATTAGACATAATAGTTATCCACAGAGTACTCCAAGCAACAGTCACAGAAGATACATTTATCTCATTGGTACACAAAACATTCTAAGAGTGACCAATTGCTCAGCCATAAAGCAAGTCTCAATAAATTCAGAAAAAAAATTGTATCAACCATGTTCTCAGACCACAGTGCAATAAACATAGAAATCAAGATCAAGAAGTTCTCTCAAAACTACACAAAATATGAAAATTCAACAAGTTGCTTCTTAATAACTATTGGGTGAACAATGAAATTAAGATAGATTAAAAAGATATTTGGCATTAATAAAAGTAGAGACACCACTTACAAAAACATTGGGGATGCAGATAAAGCAATATTAAGATTAAAAAGTAGTGTTAAATGCCTTCATCAAGAGATTAGAAAGTTAATGAACTAAAGACATAACTGGAGGAATTAGAAAAAGAAAGAAAGAAAAGGAAAGAAAGAAAGAAAAGGAAAGAAAGAAAAAAAGAAAGAAAGAGAGAGAGAGAAAGGAAAGAAGGAAGGAAGGAAGGAAGGAAGGAAGGAAGGAAGGAAGGAAGGAAAGAAGGAAATGAGATAGTATGAGAAACCATGATAGTATGAGAAACCAGCCCAAAGCTAATAGAAAAGAAGAAATAACTAAAATCAGATATTCACTGAATAAAATGGAAACCAAGAAGTCCATATAAAGATCAATGAAGCTAAGAGTTGGTTCTTCAAAGGCATAAAAAGATTGGTAAATCATTAGCTAGATTAACAAAAAAAAAGATAATATCCCAGTAGGAACAACCAGAGAAGGACAAAGATGACATTACAGCCAAGCCCACAGAAATACAAAAGATTCTCAGAGATTATTATGAACAACTCCATGCCCCAAATTAGAAAATTTAGAGGAAATGTATAAGTTCCTAGAAATACACAATATCCCAAAATTGAATCAAGAAGAAAGTGTAAACATAAACAGACCGATAATAAATTCAGAAATTGAATCAGTAATTAAAAACCTACCAACTAAAAAGAACCCTGAACTAGATGGATTCACAGCCAAATTCTAGCAGAAACACAAAGAAAAACTGATTCAACTAAAATGATTCCAAAAAATTGAGGTAGAGGGCCTGCTCCCAAACTAATTCCATGAAGTCAGCAACATCCTGATACCAAAACCTGGGAAAGACAGAATCAAAAAAAAATATTTGGCCAATATTCCCAATGAACATAGACACAAAAAATGTGCAGTAAGGTACCAGCAAACCAAATTTAGCAGCATATCAAAAAGCGAATTTACCATGGTCAAGGCTTTATTTCTGTGATGCAAATTTGGTTCAACATATTTAAATAAATAAATGTGTTTCACTCACGAAAACAGAACTAAAGACAAAAACCACATGAGTATCTCAATAGATGTAGAAAAAGTCTTCAATGAAATTCAACATCCTTTTATAATAAAAACCTTCAACAGATTAGGAACTGAAGGAACATACTTCAAAATAATGAGAGCCGTCTATGACAAACCCACAGCCAGCGTCATACTGAATAGACAAAAACTGGAATCATTCCCTTGAAAACTGGAAAAGGAAGACAAGGATGTTCGGTCTCACCATTCCTGTTCAACATAGTATTTGAGGTCGTAGACACGGTAATCAAGCAATAAAAGATATAAAAGGCATTCAAATGGGAAAAGAAGTCAAACTATGTCTCTTTGGCAGCGATATGATTCTATAGCAAGAAAACCCCAAAGACTGCCAAAAGGCTTCTAAAACTGATAAATGAATTCAGTAAACTTTCAGGATACAAAATCTATGTATAAAAATCAAAAGCATTTTAATACTCCAATAACATTACAGCTCAAATCCAAATCAAGAATACAATCCTATTTACAATAGCCACAAAGAAAACAAAATACCTAGGAATTCATCTAGCCACTGAGGTGAAAGACTTCCACGAGGAGAACTATAGAACACTGCTGAAAGAAATTAGAGATAGCACAAATATATGGGAAAAAATTCTGTGCTTATGGATTGGAAGAATCAATATTGTTAAAATGGCCATACTTCCCAAAGTAGTTTACAGATTCAATAATATTCCTATCAAAATACCAATGTCATTTTTCACACAACTGGAAAAATCTATTCTATATAAAACATCACCCCCCCCGCCACTGTTGCTAGATCATTTTCATCAGCCATAACTATGTAAACTTTAAACACAACAAAATCACAACAATCAAATAACAACACAAGCTGAGACCCAGATGCAAAGATGCTGATTCAATCGCTTTAAGGAAAGAGACATATACTTACATTTACAGTGAAATTGTTAATGAGTATTCATCACCTAAGTTAAAAATAAGGTGTTTGTAAATCAATGATTTTTATGTTTTAATCAGATTTGTGTGTTTTTACTATGCATCAAAATCTTATCCAAAAATTTGCTCAGTAATCTTTATTGGAAATTGCAATGAATCTTGATACAAAACGTTTGTGAACTACTGCCAATGAACATAGTTTGATAATTTCATGGAAAATTTTTCTTATTTATAGGCTTTCTAGTAAATATAGCGTATTACTCAGTCCTATAAAATACACATGCTAAAATAACACTGTTCTTAAAGTGAGCAGGGTACAAATGTAATGCAGGCGAATACTAGAACTACTTCCAAAGTATAAAGCGAATATGACATATAGCTAGGTAAATTTTATATATTTCTAAAATACAAATTAAACCAAAGTAAGAACATAGTGAAAATCAATAAAAAAATTTTAGATTTAGAAAATATAAATTATATTAGAGTTCCATTTTCAAATAAGATAAACTCATTGATATTTTGAAAAATTCACTATATCATTAGACAATTAAATATCTAAATACTTAACATTAAAGAAATTAATATGATTGTTAAAAATTTCTATATTTCCAATGAGCTTTTAAACAGATGATGTTTATACAGGATTCTAGTGAAATTGTGGTAAATTATTAGGCCTTGGAGTCAAAGAAATTTATTACTTCATTTATATAAAAAATTTTGACTTCTTCTCAGAAATCTGATTACTCTTATTGAGTAACCTGGAAAGAAAAAACGATTAATTATATATTCAAGTTTTTCACCTAATTGTTCTGTACATTTTTGAGGTTAAGATATGTGCCTGCCTGGGCATGGTGATTCACGCCTGTAATCCCTCCACTTTGGAAGGCCAAGGGGGTGGATCACGAGGTCAGGAGTTCAAGACCAACCTGGCCAAGATGATGAAACCCCATCTCTACTAAAAATACAAAAAATTTAGCTGAGTGTGGTGGTGCATGCCTGTAATCCCAGCTACTCAGGAGGCTGAGGCAGGAGAATTGCTTGGACCCCAGAGGCGGAGGTTGCGGTGAGCCAAGATCATGCCATTGCACTCCAGCCTGGGCAACAAGAGTGAAACTCTGTCTAAAAGGAAAAAAAAAAAGATATATGCCAAAATAACTTTCCCTCAAGTGCAAACAGGGCTGCAAAATTTTGTCATCGTTTGCAGACTTGATTCCTAATATATAAATAACATTAATACAACTGGTATATTTTTCTTATATTGGCTAAGTAGCCTGAAATAGCTTTCTTTGTCCCTCCCTTTTTTCCTTCCTTCCTTTTTTCCCTTTGCTCCATCTCTTCCTCCTTCTTTTTTTCTTTTTCTGCCTTATTTACGCTTTGACAAATGCCCCACCAGTTGCTAGACACTGGGATATGTACTAGAAGCAAGATACACATGCTATCATATATCTTAGAATCAAGTGTTGGATACATACATTTAAAGGGCTATTAAAAAACTGAGGAGACATAGGAAATGCAAATAACATTGGTAACACAAACAACTCTCAGAGTATTTTTTGAGGACATTGTGCCTATTTGCCATCTAACATAACAGTGGTAATTACCTAGGTAAATGATAATTTAGATAAAGCAGGAAGTGAGGCTTGATTGAGGACAATGCAACAAAATCATTTAGGCAAAAGATACAAAAAACAAACATAAATTGTAAACAAAACCATGGAATATCAAAGTGACAAGCCTTCCTCACTGAGGAAAGGAAGAATGGTTAGCATAAGTAGACAATTAGAAAAACTTTAATTATGATTGAAATTAGAAAACCTATGGGGGGCCAGACCATATAGACTCTCAAAACAATGCTAGATTTTAGGTTTTATTGCAGCAATAACAGAAGGGATGCAACTGAAAGATTTTAAGCAAGGAAAAGACCACCATATCTGAAATTCAGAAAGATCACACTCTTGGAGAAAGAATGATGAGATGATTGGAATGGGTAAGCAAAGATTAACAGGAGAAACAGGTTATGGGGTATATGGAACTTTGCTATCATCTCAAATTTTCTGTAAATTAAATCTAATTTAAAATAAAATATTTACTTAAAAATGTGACCTCTAAAAAAACAAATTAGCATTACAATTCCATTCTAGCCTTGGACACATGTCAAATGCTTTATTTGTCTTCAGCTTTTCTCTCCCCATGATAGTTTGAGTAACCTTTAATTTTAACACTCAGTGCTTACCACTGTAATTATCTGACATTCGAAATAATTCTCTAATACTGGGTTAGTTTGGATGCCCCAAAAAAGCAGATGACAAATTGGTACTAGATATAAAAGAGATATACTAGTGAAACCCCTGTGAGGGAAAAGGATCAAGAGACAAAAGAGATGAGGAGAGCTTTCAGACCGTGATGCTGGCCTGATGCCTATGAAAGATCAGAAGAAGAACAAAGCGGTGAGTAGAAAGAGTGCCACACTACAACATTGTTGTAGCCAGGCCAGGGAGGGTTCTTAATTCACTCTGGAAGAGGAATCAGGCATCTCCAATGAGATTAATGGAACTCATTCATCCTATGAATCTCCCATTCATATCTCTATGGAGGTCAGTTTCTTAGCTAAAAGCCCAGAGGAAGCATAATCTCAGTGCCAACAAGGTGGTGAATTTGGAGTGCCCACATTTTAGAAATCACACAGATTCTCCTCTCTACCACTAGGGTTTACTATTTCATGAATCTGTGGGCCAGCCCTGGGATAACCACGGAAAAAGGCTGGCTGAACTCAACTAAAGGAGTCATTCCTAGGTTGCTTTGTTGCTCCTTCTGTCATGAATGCTCTCAGATGGACACTGATCTAAGAAACAAGAATCCATAAATGTGGGGTTTACGCCCACAGATTTATCTTCATGCTATTTATCTGTCTTCTAAATTCTCTCAACAGAATGTTTGCCCTCACCAAAACTTTCAGGGATTCCCCAAGGGGTTCTATAAAGTAGCATCAGTTTAATTTCACTCATATTGATTTATTGAGCCAACCCACCCTTGACTCAAACTTCATTTTTTTTTCAGCAACAAATGACTATATTAAAACCACAGAAATTGGTGTAACTTGATCAGAGAACATCAGAAAATTAGAGTTAGGGGATATAAGTCTGGGCCACTTATTACTGTATATTGTTTGTGCTCTTCAATTTGCTCCAATACCAAACCACCCATTTTCACTCATGTTTTCTATGTTTCTACTGCTACACATTATCTAGGTCCTATAGGTCTTTTGTGACTAGACTTAATATGTCATTTCTATTAAACAATAAATTGCTTCTATGGATACCTGATATTATAACCTAGGAATTAACAATACCCATCTCTTGATGAGTAGCACCAGTTGCACAGTCAACTAGACATATCATCGTTAGGAACTCAGTCTCTACTAGTTGAAAGAGCATCTGACTTTTTATATTTTTGAATGATGAAAAGACTTCTAATGCAGCTTACATGATTTTTCTTTTTTGAGACAGAATCTGGCTATGTCACCCAGGGTGGAGTGCAGTGGTGCCATCTTGGCTCACTGCAGCCTCCACTTCCCCGACTCATGCGATCCTCTCACTTCAGCCTCCCACATAGCTGGGACCACAGACACATGCTACCATGCCCAGCTAATTTTTGTTTGTTTTTTGTAGAGACAGGGCCTCACTCTGTTGCCCAGTCTAGCCTCAAACTCCTGAGCTCAAGCAATCTACCTATCTCAGCCTCACAAATTGCTGGGATTACATGAATGAGCCACCACACCTGACCCAATACGATCTTTTTTTTAGAACCCTAGGTGACTGAAATGTGACTCTTCTATAGGGGTTTGCCAGAAACTCCTTGTAATCCTTATTTGCAACCATTATCTTTATCACCATATGACCTATGAGATTATGTGGACCAAATGGCAAAGCCACTTGTATTGAATTCTGGATCTGCTACAGTTCTTCCTTGTTCCAGCCCCTACTCAAAACTGGCAGTTTCCAAGTCTCCTGAGACTACTGTCAAAACAATATTTGCTATATGCAAACTTCAAAGGAGTCTACCAAGTGTTCCATCTCTTTCTTGGTGGTGACAATGGCAAGGTGCAACAATACATCCTTTAACTTGTAGGGAATATGCAGGTATGTTCAATAGCACTAAACCCTAAAAATTACACTAATGTTTCAGTTTCCTAAATCTTTATATTTTACAGTATCACATCTGTGGCATTATGGGTCTAACTAGGGTTATCAAAGCATTTGCTGTTATTACTCTAATGTCTAGTGAACATTATTACATGCAATTTTTTCAGACAGATAGCTGCAAAATCTGTATTAATCTGTTCTAGTAAAATATCACTTTTGATAAAGCAATAGCAATTGGTAGTATACTTGTGTAAGGTCATAGTACTCCTTTGACAGTCACTGTAATCCATAAGATTGTTATAGGGACTGGTGAGTTGAAGAAGGGTACATCAATCCTTAATTGTTGAATGCTGTAAGAGTGGCACTTATCTCTCTCATTTCACCTAAGTTGAAATGTTGCTTCTGATTTCCCAACCTAGGCAGGGGCAAGAAAGTTTCAGGAGCTTCCATTTGATGTTTCTTACCATAATGGCTCTTTTCCTCATCTCAGGGGGCTAATGAGAGGGTTTGGCTACTGGTTAAATATATCCATCCTGATTATGACCTTAGACTAGTGAATAAGTACAGTGTGGAGTCATAGGCCAACTAGTGAGAGGTGGATTTATCACCTGGCTTCCATATATATCCCCATGTTAATGTAATACAACAATATTTTTGTTCTCCTGTTGTCTTTGTCAGCTTTGTTCTGGGCATTATTTTTCCTTAGCAAATAGTTATTCTGATAAACGGCTATGGGCACCTTTAGAGAATAATTGAGGGAAGTTCCACCATATATAGTTGCTGTGATGTTTTGTTGATTTCCCTCAAGGTGACTGAGACATTTCTTCAGTTCATTTGCTTTAGTATTGAGATTTGTAAACTGAGTAGAGTTGTTAATTTTGTATCCAGGTAGCTGAAAGTAAACTTGGGTTAATTAGCCCTTGAGTGCATTTCGTTATATAGCTCAAGGAATACCCTTACTGGCTGCTCCTCAACATCACCCCTAGGAACTCCATGGTCTATTAATCATTCCCCATAAACTTCTGTGAATCATTCAGCTTTCCTACTAGTTGAAGTTACTGTCAAATCCTGCCACCCAGCTTCTGCTTTCTAAAATCTTACTGTCCCTGTTAACGCTTAGTAACCCAGTTTCATAACAACGTCTCCTATCATCAATCATAATCTAAAAAGGACAAAAAATTATGACTTTTTAAGGATACCAGGAACACTCTCATTAGTACACTACTTATTAATTTAGAGAAAGAAATATCCTCTGGGACCTCCAAGAGAATCGAGATAACAATAGTTTATCTAGGTTTGTGTAATATGTCTTTTTTTTAACATGGGACTAAGCAGACTTTGACCCAGTCCTCAATAGTTTGCATATTTTGCATTTGCTCCTCATTTACTGTAAACCATTGTTTTTTGTTTGTGTATTTATTTTTTTGCCTTTATTTTGTTTACATTCAGACAAATTCATTTAAGGAACCACCCACGCATTATATTAAGACTAGCTTAAGGATGCTAAATCCTATGTTACACAAGGATGATTCATATTAGTAACTTTCTTTCAATTATATTTTGCATTACCCCTTCACTCCAGTTTTTCAAAATCCATTTCTAATTACATATTTCTTCTTTGTATATGAATATATTAGGCTAGACTTGCAGCTTTTTTGCAGGTTAATTACTTTCCCCCTGAAATAGTGTAATGATTGCAGAGATAAGCAATGCTGAGACTAGATCCTAGCAATTAACCTAAAACACCTTAAGGAATATGAGGGCCAATTTTGAGGAGTATCATTATCGGAGGAATGTATTTCAGTTGAAGCTTTTGCATATTATCAAGAGATGAACGGCTTCTCTACTAATGTAACAGTGTTTAGAGATCCAAGTTCTCAAGCACATGCACTAGATGTCTCTATTCCAGGTGTCAGGATCTATCAGTCTATTAAAGCTATGGGTTTAGTTTGTGAAAATTGCCAGAGCTTTGAACAAACCTTCTCTGCAATTCTTCTTTCAGAAAATCAAGTCCTGTGCCTTGTTTCAGGCAATAGTTATGGGGTTATCTTTAAATCTTCTCATAAGGAATTGCAGCTTTCATAGACCTTCTGGTTTTCACATAATTTACTGACTTTGGGGTTGCCTGACTTAAGCCTCTAATTTTCTTCTTGAGTGCATTGACAATGCTTAACAAAAACTAACCAATCAACACTAGCATCCCCACAACTATTATTTCCACTATTTTCACAAGTGGAAGAAGGATTGCCTAGGTCAGCACAACTCCTTTTGTCTGTAATCCCATCCTAATTTCACACATGTAGGAACCTTAGTGACTGTAATGCTACAGCATATTAGCATTTATAACATCTGTTCACCATCAGAATGTGGTTTTATTGTCATTTTGCTGGCAAATAATTTAATTCCAGAATCTCTTCATGAGTATCTGTTTCCTTGGCTTATTTCTAGTAAAAATATTATTTGGGTTTTCCCAGAGGGAGACTGTAACTCAAGTATTTAAGTCCAGATCATTTATCTGAGAGCCACAGAAAACAAACAAACAAACAATTACCAGGGTTGTGAAGAAGTGACACAGAGAAGAGAAGGCAGACAAAAACAGATGAGTTTTTTGGCCAGTTATCAAAATTGCTGATGGGCTCAATACTGTGTAGCACCATGGAAGTTGTATGATATGATTATTGGAGTCAAATGAGGTAAATATAAAAATAATCATCAGTGTCTCTAGTAAGACAGCATTGAAATTTCTAAAACTATTTTATTCTTATATCAAGAATAGAACTAGAGCTCCGATAATACCAACTAAATTATTATTGTCTTTTGTTACATGAAGAGCCTTAGAATGCCTAATTGTGCTTTATAAAATATAACACTGTCAGCTGAAGTTGAATGTGCTCCAAGGCTTAATAATTCTGAGAAAAACAGCTTATATTAAAGAATGTCTATGTACTCTCTTGTCCAGCCTCTTTTTAAGTCACAAGAAAGGGCTTAATTAGACTTTTAGGTAGAAAGAGTTTGACACAGAGGATATTTTAATATTTGCTGGTGCAAATTTGTTTCAGAAAGTATTGAGACTATTCAGTTCATATGTGTCTAATTTCATTTTTTAATGTCTGCTAATATAAATCACTTTAAATAATTTTTATTGTAAATACTTGCTTACTTTGTTCAGGAGAATATATATTTAACAATATATTCAGTATATTATTGTTACGTTTTGGGAAATGTCCCAAGTTCTCTGATATTGAAATTTATTTTCTACCTGGCTTTGCATTATTTTTCTCTCTCCATGTTTCTCTTTTCTTCTCTTCCTCTAATATCCTTCTATAATTTAGTTTATTTTCCCTCCTACATGTGTACAAAAAATATGCATTTGTTATATTGAGTACATTTTTGAAAAAAAAATGTATTTGTATTAGTTTGTTCTCATGCTGCTAAAAAGAATTGCCCAAGACTGGGTAATTTATAAAGGAAATAGGTTTAATTGACTCATGGTTTCACATGGCTGAGGAGACCTCAGGAAACTTACAATTATGGCACAAAGTACCTCTTTACAAGGTGGCAGGAGAGAGAATGATAGTTGATCAAATAGAGAAACGTCCCTTATAAAGCCATCAACTCACGATTCAATTACCCCACACTGGGTACCTCCCACGACACGTGGGGATTATGGGAACTACAAATCAAGATGAGATTTGGGTGGTGAGACAGCCAAACTATATCATTCCCCTCCTGGCCCCTCCCAAATCTCATGTTCTTACATTTCAAACCACAATCATGCCTTTCCAACAGTCTCACAAAGTCTTAGCTCATTTCAGCATTAACCCAAAAATCCAAGTCCAAAGTTTCATCTGAGGCAAGACAAGTCCCTTCCACCTATGAGCATGTAAAATCAAAAGCAAGTTAGTTACTTCCTATATACAATGGGGGTAACAGGCATTGGGTAAATACACCAGTTTAAAATGGGAGAAATTAGACAAAATAAAGAGGCTATAGTCTGCATGCAAGTTGGAAATCTAATAGGGCAGTCATTAGACCTTCAATTTCCAAAAGAATCACATTTGACTCCATGTCTCACATTCAGGTCACCCTAATGTGTGTAGGCTTCCACAGCCTTTGGTATCTCCATCCCTGTGGCTTTGCAGGGTACAGCCACCCTCTCACTGTTTTCACAGGCTGGCATTGAGTGTCTGTGGCCTTTCCAGGCACATGATGCCAGCTGTATCTACCATTCTGGGGTCTGGCTGACAGTAGCCGTCTTCTCGCAGCTCCGCTAGGTGCTCTAGTGGAGCTCTGTGTGGGGACTCCAACCAGTAGGGACTCCGTGTGGGGACTCCAAACCCACATTTCCTTTCTGCATTGCCCTAGCAGAGGTTCTCCATGAGGGCTCTACCCCTGTAGCAAACTTCTGTCTGGACATTTAGGTAATTTCATACATCCTCTGAAATCTAGGAGGTTTTCAAATCTTAATTCCTGACTTCTTTGTACTCACAGGCTCAACACCATGTGGAAGCTGCCAAGGCTTGGGGATTGCATGCTCTGAAGCCATGAACCGAGCTGTACCACAGTCCCTTTTAGCCATAGGTGGGGTGGCTGGGAGTCAGGGCACCAAGTCCACAGGCTGCCACATTGGGGGACCCTGGGCCTGGTCCATGAAACCACTTTTTTCTCTTAGGACTATGGGTCAGTGATGGAAGGGTCTACTGTGAAGATCTCTGACATGCCCTGGAGACATTTTCCCCATTGTCTTGGTGATTAACATTTGGCTCCTTATTACTTACACAAATTTCTGCAGCCAGCTTGAATTTCTTTCCAGAAAATGTTTTTTTCTTTTCTACCTGCATCATCAGGCTGCAAATTTTCCAAACTTTTATCTTCTGTTTCCTTTCAAATGCTTTGCTGTTAAAAATTTCTTCTGCCAGATACCCCAAATCATCTCTCTCAAGGTCAAAATTCCACAGATCTCTAGGGCAGGGGCAAAAAGCCACCAGTCTCTTTGCTAAAGCACAACGAGAGTCACCTTTTCTCCAGTTCCCAACACCTTTTCTCCAATTTCCTTATCTTCATCTGAGACCACCTCAACCATTGTCCATATCACTATCAGCATTTTGGTCAAAGCCTTTCAACAAGTCTCTAGGAAGTTCTTAACTTTCCAACATCTTCCTGTTGTCTGAGCCCTCCAAGTCTCTAGGAAGTTCCAAACTGCCTCATGTTTTCCTGTCTTCTTCTGAGTCCTCTAAACTGCTCCACCCTCTGCCTGCTACCCGGTTTCAAAGTTACTTCCACATTTTTGTATATCCTTATAGCAGCTCCCCCAACCCACCAACTCATGGCACCAATTTACTGTATTAGACTGTTCTCATGCTGCTATAAATAACTGCTAGAGACTGGGCAATTAATAATGGAAAGAGGATTAATTGACACAGTTCTGCATAGATAGGGAGGCCTCAGGAAATTTAAAATCATGCCTGAAAACACGTCTTCACAGGGCAGCAGGAGAGAGAATGAGAACTGAGCAAATGGGAAATTCCCTTTATAAAACCATCACCCCTGTGATTCAATTACCTCCCACCATGTCCCTCCCATGACACATGAGGATTATGGAAATATCAATTCAAGATGAGATTTTGGTGGATACAAAGCTGAACCATATCAGTGTTCCTTTACTCTTGTCAAATATTTGGTAACTTAATGTTTCAATTTCTTAAGTAATTTGTATATAGTGACATAAAATGGAGTTGTAGTATTATAGAAAGAATCACGTCATCATATGTTATAATTGTGTTCCCTTCCATCAATCAAGTCTTAAGGGAAGTACATACACTTAGCAAAATATTTGAATGTAAGTAATTTTAACGGTTAGCCATAGATGTTACTTACAGGGAGTCTCATTTTTGCCACATGAAAAATATTGTAATATGCATCTTCATGTTCTGTGTTTGAAATAAATATGAATCTGATAAGCCCATTTTATTGCTTTAAAACCTTTAGTGGGTCCAAGAATCAGTTCTAATATCCTTAATATAGTGGCCTGCACTACTTGGTATAATCTAGCACCTGTCTAACTCTGGAGCCTCACCTCCCACCACTCACTCTGATTATACCTTCTGGATTCTGGAGTCCTAAGCATTTAAAAAAAAAACAAAAAAAACAAAATTAACTTAATTTAGAAGTGTTCAAAGGCTTTACAACCCACACAAAAACGAAAATCCAAACTTCTTGCCATGAAGTTAAATGCCTTACATGCCCTGGCTTCTGTCTCATTATCCACTTTTTTTTCTGCTCTACATTATTTTGTGTTCACTCTGCTCCAGCCACACACAACTTCTTTCAGTTTCTTAAACTAATTTAACTTCTTTTACCTAAAAATATTTGCATTTGCAGACTCGTGGCATGGATTCTTCTCTAGTGGATCTCAAAAGTCATTTATTCAAAGAAAACTTTTTTGATCACTCTGTTTAATGTAGAGCTACCATGACCCTTTGTATTTTCTTCACAGAAAATTATGCTTTCAATGGTATTTATGTGCTATGTATTTGCATGTGTGTGTCAGTTTATGTCTAGGCACATATACCATCTACTCCCTTTATGGCATATAAAATAAAGGAGGGCCTGCCTATGGGTAAGCATTTTTTCTGTATTGTCCACTAATATACATCCCAGGCCTAGCAAAGAAGGCACTTATGATAATATTAGATGGGTGAAAAAAATGATATTTAAGGTTGGACTCAGTTGTTGCTCTTTTATAAATCATGGTATTTATTATATTATCATATATATAGGATTACATAAGTTAAAGCATGAATCAAAAAAGTGTTGAAATTGTCATATTTTCAGAGTTTATGTTTTACATTTCTGATTAACTGACAGTTAAATTATGATGAATTTAAATCCGTAAAGAATTTTGTGAGGTCAAAAATGTATACAAATTTAAACTGTTTAATCAAAATTAGTGCAAGTGTATTTATCTAAATCATTTTATTAATACTCTGTCATATACAGGAAAAGAAGAATATATTCCAAGTATATAGTGATTATTTATGAATTTGTAAAAGCTAGTTAAATGGATTTCATTATAAGTAAGTTCTTGATAATAAGGGTAGATGGCTCTTTGACAATGAAGATCAAAATACCCAGTCAAGAGCACAGATGGTTCAATTAACAGAAAAAATAAGTTTCTTTTATTAAATGCATCTTCACCCTATTCATCTGAATTTTGCCCTAATTCCATAAAAGTTGTATTCATCCTAACATGGGGATAAATTGGCAAGATATGCTTGAAAGTCTTATGCAGACTTTAGAAAGCCACATCTGTTGGTGCTCCCATGATCTTATTTAGAAAGATTACCTCACAACAGATGTTCATGGGTATTTTGGAGAATAAAATACTACAATCATGTAATGTGTACTTCCATAAAAATTTAGGCCAAAAAAGTCTATTATAGATTGTTTATATGTCTAAAATATCAAGAAAATTCATTATTCCCAAATACCTTAGAATATATTCCCTGCAAGTAAGTACATTTTTTGTATAACTGAAATGCAATTGTCAAAGTCAGAAAATCATTAGTAAATTACTACCATATAATCCTCATCTATAACTCATACTTTGCCTAGTTTTCTAGTAATGTCTTTAAGGGAGAATATTCCAGACTAGAGCCATGTATTGCTTTTATTTATTATTTCTATGTAGTCTATCTTTAAAAATAGTTAATTTTTTTAACTTTAATTTTTACAATCTTGGAAGCTTTGAAGATTATAGGTCAGATATTTTTACAAGTTCTTGTATTTAGATTGTCAAATGCTTCTTCATAACTACTTTAAGGTATGCATATTTAGTGGAATATCATAGAAGTGAATTTTTTTTCTAATTATATGCTATTATTTGACACACATAGTGGCCACACTGTTTCTATTAGACACACTATTAGTGATGTTAACTCCAATTATTTGATTAAGGTAAGTTGACCAATCTTCTCCATTCTAAAATCGTTCTCTTCCCCTTTGCCATTAATAGCTAATATTGAAACTGTGTATTATATTACGTTCATCATTAAAATTTAATTTATTTATTTATGGATTCAATGTTTTCTTTTATTTGTAATGTCTCATAATTTGTTACTAATATTTTCTTCCCCTGGTGAAAGTGTTCTGATTTTACGAGTGAGAGTCCCTTAAAGCTGGTTTCTGTGTCGTCTTTTTTTTTTTTTTTTTGGACAGAATCTCACTCTGTCGCCTAGGCTGGAGTGCAGTGGGGCTATCTTGGCTCACTGCAGCCTCCGCCTCCCAGGCTGAAATGATCCTCCCATCTCAGCCTCCCGAGTAGCTGGGACTACAAATGCCCGCCACCACGCCAGATTAATTTTTGTATTTTTAGTAGAGATGAAGTTTCCCCCTGTTGGCCAGGCAGGTCTCAAACCCCTGATCTCAAGTGATCTGCCTGCCTCAGCCTCCCAGAGTGCTGGAATTACAGGCATAAGCCACCATGCCCAGCCTGGTTTCTGTGTCTTTTTGATGTTTCCCTGCATTCTTTGAGTACTGCCTTGATATTTTGCAAAAAGAACATTCTAGGAAAGATATTTTCTCTGCCCAGCCTTCAAATCAGATATTTTACCAAAATGTCCTTGTTACTTTAAGTGGAGAAAAACATTGTGAAACCAAGTTCTATAATCCCAAGTGTGTCCATTGTTACTAAATTGTCACTGCCTCAGGTCGTCTTATTGAACAAAATGAAGGAAAATATGTATGGGCACACATGCACACATACATTTATATGTTTATTTACATTACTGCTGTCCAATACAATTTTTTTATTATTGTTAAATTTTTTTTAAATTTTACATTAGTAAAAACACTTAACATGAGATCTTCCCTCTTAGTCGATTTTTAAGTCTACAATACAGTGCTAGCTTTTGCTCAGGGCAACAGGCTGAGTTTCTCCAGCATTCAGTGGACTCCAATCCTATCATTTTCAACAAGATCTGAATTCCAACCTTGGAGAGTCCATATTCTCCTTTCCCAGTTTATTCCTTTTTTGAGCACTACATCCCAGCTCTAAGGGTTTATTTAGAATTTTATTTGTTACTTTATATTAATTATCCTCTGTTCAAGTCACTGCAGAGTTTATATCTCCTGACTGGACCTTAATTGATAGAGCAAATAAATAAATACAGCTCTGCTGGGGTACTTGGGTGTATTTACAGGAATGAGCTGTGTGTGTGTGCATGCACGTGTGTACACACATACAGACACACAAACGCACACTATCTGTATTTATATCTATTTACATTCTATGCTGTTCAATACACTACTAACTCACTACTAACCACATGTTATTATTGAATACTTAAAATGAGGCTTTCTTGAGATAAAATTAAATATTTAATTTTAATTAATTAATTATTAATTAATATTTATACACATTGCCATAAACATATCAATTTAAAACCACATTTATTTGCATATCTATCTGTAAATTCAATCCAATGCCATAGGGATTTTTCTAGTGATCATGGTTTCCATATTTGCACTCCCTTGCTCACCACATCCTTACTCATTTACATACTCAGTCAATCCCCTTGTGTGTACTCAATCTCTTGTCATTCTCTCCTCACTTCAACTGTGCTTTTGAATCACTCATTGGGTTGCCTCGTTTGCACTTTAATAGATGCTGCTGCTCTCAAGCAGGTGATCTTCTCACTCTGAAACATATCCAGAGCCATGCTAGTACAGCCTCATTAGCCCACTTGTTCTCTAATACACTACACTTAGAAGCCTTCATAAGGACATAAGATCCTAATTCTTCTCAGTCTCTAATACTCCATCACAATGGCCTTCCACGTGGACACACTTCTCACTGCACTTAGTATATTTTATGATGTACCAGGGTGCCTTTCCTTAGAGATGTCATCCTCATGCCGGTTGGATTGTATGCACAGAGGCATCCTCTTTTGCAGATGCCCTCCTTACCCTAGACTTTTATACCTTGTGCTGGACTGCCCATCATGCATACTCTACTAACCTTGGTCAGGATTTCACACCCTGTTCTGGGCTATGATATATTTAGCCTCTGTTTTGGAGACAGATCCTTCTGTTACTGTCTCTCAAATAATGTCTTCGGACTTAATTTTTCAGCGTGGAAATGAAAAGGGACGAAAAAATCGGCAGAGTTATTCTTGCTATTTTACTTTGTTGTCATTATTTTTGATCTATTATTGTATTAGGCCATTCTTGCATTGCTATAAAGAAATACCTGAGTCTGGGTAATTAATAAAGAAAATAAGTTTAATTGAGTCACAGTTCTTCAGACAGTACAAGAAGCATGACAGTAGCATCTGCTTCTAGGGAGGGCCTGCAAAGGCTTATAATCATGGTGGGAGGCAAAGGGGTAGCAAGCGTCTCACATGGTGAGAGTGGGAGCAAGAGAGAAAGGGGAGAGGCACGACATACTTATAAGCATCCAGATGTCACAGGAACTCAGAGAGAGAACTCACTCATCATAAAGAGGATGGCACTAACCCATTCATTAAGGACATGACCCCAAGATGAAAATACCTCCCAGCATCTCCACTTCCAACACTGGGGATTACATTTTGACATGAGATTTGGAAGGGCCAAAAATCTAAATTATATCAATCACTAACTGACATATCAATATTATCAATGTCATTAAGCTATGATGGTGGGTTTATCTATTTACTTTTTCTATTTTATCAATTTATTTTCTCTATATTTTGAGGCATTTTATTATTAGTAGCATACAGGTAAAATATAACATTTTCTTAGAAAACAAAACTCTTATCATAGAGTGACTGTCTTCATTTCAAATAATTTTGTCATAAAGTCTATGTTACTTGATTAATGAACTCTTCCAATTCTATTTTCTTTATATATATACACATATATTTTTGTTACTATAGTTTAAGTTCTAGGGTACATGTGCACAAAGTGCAGGTTTGTTACATACGTATACATGTGCCATGTTGGTTTGCTGCACTCATCAACTCATCATTTACATTAGGTATTTCTCCTAATGCTAACCCTCCACCAGCCACCCACCCCACGACAGGCCCCAGTGTGTGATATTCCCCGCCCATGTGTCCAAGTATTCTCATTGTTCAGTTTCCACCTATGACCAAGAACATGTGGTGTTTGGTTTTCTGTCCTTGTGACAGTTTGCTGAGAATTATGGTTTTGAACTTCATCCATGTCCCTGCAAAGGACATGAACTCATCTTTTTTAATAGATGCATTGTATTCCTTGGTGTATATGTGCCACATTTTCTTAATCCAGTCTATCATTGATGGACACTTGGGTTGGTTCCAAGTCTTTGCTATTGTGAATAATGTCGCAATAAACATACGTGTGCATGTGTCTTTATAGTAGCAATACTATTTTCTTATTATTAGTCTAAATGTCTTTTTTTATCTTTTTAGTTTGAATTTTATGGCTAATTATCCTCTAACGTTTTCACTGAAAATAGAATACATATGAGTGCTTTCTTTTCTTAATCTAGTTTGAAGATTTTCACTAAGTTTTCAATGATTGAAGATCTTTATAAACAAGATCTTTGTTCTTGTTTAGTTAATATTCACTCCACCATTCCATCATGCGAGGAGTATGCTTTTCCACTCCATTACATAGCTTGGCTATGTGATTTGCTTTGGCCTGTGGCATTGTGTGGAAATGACAGTCTGCCTAATTCAGTAGAATTTTAAGAAGCCTGGTATCGGGGAACCTGCCCTGACTTCCTTCAACAGCCTGGAAGTGTTTATTCGTCATTGCCCTCTGACATGAGAGCAACAGGTTCCATATAGCAGCTGGTTCTTCAGCTTACTTGTAGAATCAAGGAGGCCTAGGGACCACATCTGGACCCAATATGATACTCAAAGAAGGGTGTCTCCAATCAGCAGCAAGGTCAGTGAGCTCATACTAATAATGTTTGTTATTGTAAGCCATGTTTTTTTTATTTTTATAAACAATATAAAACAGCAGAAGCTGAATAATTTAGTATTTGATAGAGAAGTGATAAAAGAGAAAATGAGGAATCCAGAAATTCTGATATTTGAAAGACAAACTCTCAAGACAAACATCACATGTTGTATTAAGAACTATTATATTAAGACACCTCTGATTGTATTGATTTGTTCCCCAAAGAGATATGTTCTTTTTTAAAATAAAGCTCAAGTAAAAGGAACTGAGGACATGCTAACACTAATGTCTTCTACGTTTAAAGAATCTGTATTCAAGTGAGGAGAACAACATTTACTGAAAAGAATTATGCTTATGGTCTGACTGGAATTAATAAAATAACAAATTATAATAATTAAGGAAAAATTAATTACATTTTCAGACAGATGGATGACCAAAATCACAATCTTAGATGAAGTAAGACTGACAATTTGAGATGGAAATTTGCTTTTGCACATTCAGTACTTTACGGCCAGAATCAAACTGAAAAAGTTGCTCAGTGAGCAAAGAACAAATATTCTCTAACACATTTTCAAATATGTTGAAGTAATATAATAAAACAGAAATGCTCAGAGGGTGGAGCCCAAACCCATAAAGAATAATGTCCTGGCAAGCTACTATCAACGAACAGTATTAGGGCCTAATCAGAAGACTCAGGATTTCTACAGATTTCAGCTGTGCGATTTTATCTCTTCCACTTCTGGAACAGGACCTTGTTTCACAAACATTGTATTGCATATCTTTCTTTTTCTCTCCTTTTTTTTCTTTACTTTTTCCTATATATTTTCTTTCTCTTTTTCATTTCTTTTTTCTTTTTTCCCATTTTTTTGTTGTTGTTCTTAAATTTCAAGTTCAAAAGGGGTGTCTTCTAGATCTTATGTAGAAATTATTTTAAAAAAGACTCTGAACTGTAATTTTGATTGGTTGATACTTTTGGAATATCATTCTTAGGTTTAAATAATTGGTTTTTATATAGAAGGGCAGAAACTAAATATGTGTGACTCAAATAGAAGCTTTTGCCAAATCTATTATTTTGTAGCAAAATTCACTCTTCCTCCCTGTAATCTCAACAAAAGTCATATATATTCCCTGCCTTACTGATGTGGTTTCTCATTGGGAGTTGTTTTGACAGTGTGGAAGGAGTCAAGAGTGTGCCAGTCCTAAATAGAGATGTTAAGATGTACTATGAATTGGTTTGCTAGGGCTGGCATAACAAAAGACCACAAACTAGGTGTCTTCAACAACAAAACTTTATGTATTTATAATTTTACAGCCTGGAAATACAAGATCAAGATGCTAGCAGGTTTAACTTCTCCTGAGGCATCCCTCCTTGGCTTGCAGAATGGCTGCTTCTGTGTCCTCATATGACCTTTCCTCTGTCAGTATGCATTTCTGCTGTCTCTTCCATTTTTGTAAAGGGAACTAGTCATACTGAATTAAGGGCCCCACTCCCGTGACTTCATTTAACGTTAATTATATTTTTAAAGGATCTGTCTTCAAATACAGTCACATTGATAATTAGGACTTCAGCATATGAATTTCGAGGTGACAAAATTAAGTACATAACACATTACAACCATCACTTTGTGTGTATGCCAAGATAGAAGATTTTTTTTTTTTTCATTTTGGGAACAGGAATGAGAACACAAATAGAGCAAACCAAACATGCCTGAGGTCTTCTGAAGTGGAGTCATTGTAGCCAAGTGCAATTCTTTTTTTTAAGTTTATCACCCAGCCCAAAATGTCATAACTGCAAAATTTTGATTGAGAAAGAAATGTATAAGTCAATGGTAATTTTTACAAAATGTATTAGAGCAAAATTAACATTTATTATTTCTATTTGTCCTAGTTTTCTATATGTAATTTTTCATCTATTTTAATTTTTATTAATATTTTGTGTTAAAAATTATACTTCCTCTCTATTGAGAAAATTGCATCGAGTTAATTTGAATTCCATTTTGTAGCTATAGTATAATTAATATCTATATTGATAAGTTTTAATAATATAGCACATATGCTATTTGATATGATATATCAATATACTCTATTTTTTAGTAAGCAAAAATTAACATAATATTATATAATGTGAAATTTTTACACTCATGGTTAATACTATCATTTTTAATAACCTTTCTTTTTCATTGTTTAACTGATAATAACCCCATTGTTTAACTGATGTCTAATCTTCACTTTGATACTATGTTTATCTCTCAGTGATTAAACCATCTACTTCTATATTTGAAGCAAAATATCTTAAACCAATGTCATCTACTGCAAGCAGTTAAAATATTCCCACATTTAGTCAGTAGAATTTTCAACTTGTAAACTCATTCTGAAAAATAAAAATAGGCATGACAGAATATGCTGTGAAAACATTTCAATATTGGTAATTATTTCTCTCTTGCAAGTTATAATAGGTTTTCAATGCAAGCATCTATTCTTCAGTATATAAATTCTGTTTATGTATTTCTCACTTCCATTTAGAGTTAGCAGATGATTCCCATTTCTTATTTTCAGTAATGAGACTTCTTAAGCCAGAGTAACATTTAACACTAGTTTTTCTATTTTATAGTGATACTTACAAAGGCACAGGCAATAATCTATGGGACAATCGATGCTTTCTACAATATTATACTGAGCTAAACAAAGGAATCTATCAAGTATTCCTGGCTTATAGGTCATTCCGGTTTACAAATTTTGGAATCAACAATTAATTATGTTCACCTATTTAATAAAAATACATCTTAAAAAGAAAATTTTATTTGTGTACACTGAAGAAAATTATGTAACATTTTACATATTTTATTTGTTTCTTATTATGGGATTTAATCTATACATGAAGATTTGAAAGCTAAAAGTATTTAATATTAGACAAGAAATCATTTAAGCAACTGCATCTGCAGTCTCCATTTGAACATCCTTATTTTTCTCTTTATGAAATATATGATTTATTAGACCAAACTTTCTCTCCCTGAAACTGTAGTTTTACCAGGCTAATGGATAGGAATGATAGGAACTGCATCCTCTTTCCTATTCTGTGTAAAGCAAACAAAGGAAAGAAAAGCTGACAGGATTTCAATAGTGTCAATTAAGGAGCAATTGCAATGATGAAAAGCATAAGGCAATGGCATTCTTGACAAGCTGACAATACCTACGACTCTTGATAAAAATCACTTTGATTCTGGGTGACTAGCATAAGGTGATGTCTGACAGCTGATTTATACAAGCAACTAAAGAAGACAGTAAGAGAGAAGTGAACATATTAAAGACTAAGAAATTAATAGACCGTAAGGAATGGTGATGGAAATCTAATTTTCCCTGCAGCCTCCATAATAACACTTCCCCTTGTATTTAGAGTTCTTTCTTACATTTCTAAAACAAGTAAGCCTGGGAGAAAAAAATGATATAATTAGCTACATAATCATTTCTTTAGTTGTGTATTATTTATTATTTCCTTTCACTGGAATGTTATCCCCAAAGGTCAAATATTTTTTGTCTGATTCATTGAGCACCGTAGCCTTAAGCAATGGAATAGGACCTTGTATATAATACATATAATAAACATTTTTATTGGATGAATGAGGTAAAAAAAATGGTGAAATTGTACTCAACTGTCAATTATTTTACAAGGAAGTCATGTCAGTGGTATATGTAAATGTTTAAGACAATATATAAACAGGCAATGAAAATTTAGTTTCTGTACAGGTGTTGAAAATATATAGGTAAAGTATTAGAATAGTCTATATATCCTTATTATCCTGTATGTGTGCTATATTCAATATGTTAATGATTGTATTATGGAACTATACTTTTTTTTAAGTGTTAAATTTCTCAGTCCAGAAAGTGAAAGCTCTTGTACCCCAATAACCATGTCACCATTCCTTCTTGAATACATAAATGACTAAAATTCTCAGCCCTTCTATAGTCAAGTAAGATTATGTGATTAATGCAGACCAATGAGCAATGATAAGTGGTATTAATTGTATTAACTATCTCAAAAATGACATTGATGTATTATGAACTTTAAAAGAAAAAACATTGCAATTATTTTTGAAAATATTTCCTGGGCATGATATCTACTAAGATGCAACTACTAGTTTAATTTTTGAATTATTCTTTTTTCCTCATAATTTGTATCACATTTCATGTTCCTTTTTAATGGGGAACATTGCAGGAACATTTGCATTTGAGTTCTTCAAAATTTGGTTAAACTTTGAAAAGAATGAAAAAGAGTTATTCAGTTGGAGCTAGTGTGTGTTTAACTGCATCTGAATGTGGATACCGCAACAATCATTTGTAGTACATATGGAAACAATGTCAACATTTGTCAACAGAACAACACGTTTTTAAAAAAGAAAAGAAGAATGAAAGAGATTATTACAGCAGATAAGTATTCAAGAAATCAAACAATGATTTAGTGTGATTCTATGGGAATTACTAGAAAATAAGGAAAAAACAAGATCTGTGTTTGAGATGTGAAGATAAGGGAAGTTGACTATGAAAAATAGTGGAGGTTTCTAAATTTGATACTCTGTGTAGTTGAGTATGTAGATACATGTGTGAAAATACATTTCTGGGAAAGATGCAATCTAAAGATACTATTCTGGATTTTAAATGTTTATTATTACATTCTGAGTGGACATATTTCCTACAGCAGGCACAGAATGTTGGTGCATAATCTTTTTAGAACTTCCACAGAATGACAACAAAAAGAAATATAACAGATAACCACTTTGACGCGTTTCTATTCATTTCTTTTTCTTTTTGTATGTTTTGTATATAGACGTAACTTAAATACTAATTTTAAAACATACATTGAACTCAGCAAGCTCTTCTTGTATTTTTTAAAACCTTAAATTCAAAAAGAAATCCCAGTATAAAAATGTTGAACAGTCAATGTAACAAAACATGTCTTTGTAGTTAAAACTCTTGACCCAATTTTAAACTTTAGCATCTTATTTTCATTGATTGCCAATTGAACTGTGATAGTGAGCATATTAGTTAGTATTGCTTATATATCTGTATACACTCACACACATATACAGATATACACATACATCTTATTGGTTCTGTTTTTTTTTTGCTCTGCACACACACAGACACAGGCATACACACAGAGAGAAATGTTTGTTTTAAAGAATTATCTTACACTGTTGTGGAGGCTGGCAAGCCCAAAATCTCAAAAGCAGGCCAGCAGACTGGAAATTTAGCTAAGAGTTGATGTTGTGATCTTAATAATTGCTTTTGGTGGGGGAACCTATTCCTTGCTCTTTAAGACCTTCAACTAATTGGATGAGGCCTACTCATAGAGATATTTCAGTTTACTAAATCTATTCATTTAAATGCTAAAGATACCTTCACATCTTCAGCAACTAGACTGGTGTTTGCTCAAAAAACTAGGTATCATATCCTGGACAAATTAACACAAAAATTAACATATACATTTTTTCTATTTTCAACTTAGCACCCTTGCAATCCTCCTTAAAACATACTAAATCTCCAAATAAGGATGACAACTACCAGCCTGACACAACTTACCCTGTGTAAAATAAAAAATTCACTGGCTCTTTCCCTACAAGAGGATGCGAAGTTCTTAATGCTCGTCTCTTCTTGATATCCTGTAACTTAAATACTATGATGTAAATTTAATTCTCATATACATGAGATATAAAGTTAATGCATCTTATGTAAAATGAGGGGATAAGACAAGGAAAAAAGAAAACATGTAACACACATAAACACAAAAACATATTCATAACAAATTAAGAAAGATGTATTCTTAACAATTACAGTGTTCATTTCTAGAACTATCAAGTGGCTATAGCTATTATTTATAATTACCTTCTTCCACTACTTATTCAATATTTCCTTTGCCTTCAGAAAGTACATCAGCTGGTCATTGTTCTTTACTTGACAGGGTTACCCAAACTTTCATTCCTGAATGGCTTAGACATTAGTAGCTCTGCATGAATTGATTTATAGTTTTTCATTGACTTTAATCACAGTGTATAATAATAGGAAGATATAACTTACGGGATTGCCTGTATTGAAGAAATACTCTTCCTTACCTTCATTGTATAAAAGTAGTTCAACTTCCTCTTAGTAATCAGAATTAATCACCTTATCTAGTACAGTATGTCTATTCTAAGCATGCATTTTGGAACTGGGCAAATATTCACAGGATGTATTTGGGAACCACTGAACCCATATTTAGATAGTCCTAAGCTAGAACTCTATTTATCTCTTAAACTCCATCAGCCCTCCATCAGCCCTTACTCTGACTGTTGGACCACAGTGATGTTCTTGGTCTCCTGAAATTAGAGTTTGTCAGAATGGGTGTCCAGTGATCCCTCCAAAGCTTGAACATTTCTTTTTCCCCTCTGGACAGTCACCCTGTTACAAGGCCCTTAGTTCCTTTGTGGAAGACACGGAGAAGGATTGAGTATAAATCTGGCAGAACAGGGGGCTTCTTCCTCAACATGACTAAGCCACCCCTTCATTCAAAAGATTTTGGATTTGCAAACTGGCTCAATTCTGAAAACTGAATGAGAGTCTGCGACTCTGTTTCTATGATCCATATTTCACTTATTTTCATTTGACCTAGAACTTTTCCACTTATCAAGTAAAATGATGAGTATACTGTCCCAACTTCTAGGGACACAATGATCGTCTAGCCAATGCTTTAGGGTTTTGCAAGTGAAAATAATTAGATTTTTTCTCTGGCTCTTTTGTCCATTACAGTAACCTCATCCACTTTGTCAATTAAATGCTGCCTTTTGGCCCCTGTTACCCTAAGATACAGTTATTGCATTTAGGTTTCTCAATCAGAGACAGCAGTTTCCACTGTAATTTCTGACTTAAAGAGAAAAACGAATAACAAAGGAAACTGTACAACTAAGAGATCCACTTGGTAGAAGATAATGTGAAAATCAATAGTTATTCACCATGTTATATTTTTATATTTCAAATGAGATTAATATACAAATAACATTCGTATGATTTTCTACGTGATAATATTTTCTATAATAACATTTAATATTAAAATATTCCATGTTTTTCTTTGAAGTTTTGAATTTCAGTTTGGTTAAAATTACCAATTGCACTAATTAGTCTAATAATTTGGTGTTATTTACTATTATATTTCATTTTAATGCAAATATTTTAAGTCCATAAAAGATATAGAATTTATGTAAGCAGACAGCTAAAATTAGAATTTATTTTAAAACATTTCTTTTTGTGATTTCATAGAAAATGTGGAAAAGTACACAAATATCAACAGAAATTCATAGACTAAAAATTGGATACTAAATAGAGCATTTAAAAATGTTTCTTAATAATAGTTTTTTCTTTTATTTTAAACATATCTTGTCTTGAAATATTTAAATAATTGATATAGAACAAATCCATCAATACCCTATTGAAATAAACATACATTTGTGACTGTATATATATATATATAAGTATATGTGTGCAACTTACTATATATACAAATCTTATGTATATATACTATGTAGCTGATATATATAGATAGAGATCTAATATCTGATATATATTATATATACTGATAGAGATATAATGTCTGATATATATAATGTAATATATATATATAAAATATCTGATCGTGTGAAAATTTTAGATTCCATTAGGAGTTTATTTGTAACCAGGTTTCTTAACCTGAAATGTTGTGTTTGTTATTCAGGAATTTTGTAAAACTTAAAATTTACATACAAATACTTGCATGCATGTATTTTCCCTTTGTGGAGGGTTGTAAGTTTCTTCAATTTACTATAATTCTATTACAAAATGTGGAATTAAACATTTTTTATAAAAGTAATACTGTTTATTCTTTTCTCATCTTGGAAAACTGGATTAATGAAATCAGTTAAGATTGCCTTTATTACATACTGCTACAAGCCACTTTAAAAGGAATGTTCATGGGTAGTCAGTGTATATATTTACGGCATATATGAGATATGGTGATACAGGAATACAATATGTAATAATTTTATCAGGGTAAATGGGATTAACCATCACCTCAATCATTCATCATTTCTCTGTGTTACAAGCATTCCAATTATACTCCTTCAGTTATTCTAAAAGTTACAATAAATTATTGCTGGTTATGGTCACCTGGTTGTGCCATCAAATACTAGATCTTATTCATTGTATATAATTATATATTTTTACCCATTACCTATTCCCAGTTCCCACCTACCCCACACACTACCGTAATCAACCTCTTGTAACTATTATTCTGCTATCTCCATGAGTCAACTGTTTTAATTTTTAGCCCCCTGATGTGGTTTGTCTCTGTGTCCCCACCCAAATCTCACCTTGAATTGTAATCCCCATTATACCCACGTGTCAAGGGCGATACCAGGTGGAGGTAATTGAATCATGGGAGCAGTTTCCCCCATGCTGCTCTCGTGATAATGAGTGAGTCTCATGAGATGGATGGTTTTACAAGCCTCTGGCATTTCCCCTGCTTGCACTCATTTTCTCTCCTGTCACCCTGTGAAGTGGTTCCTTCTGCCATTATTGTAAGTTTTCTGAGACCTTCCCAGCTATGCAGATCTGTCAGTCAATTAAACCTCTTTTCTTTATAAATTACCCAGTCTCGGGTATTTCTTCATAGCTTTGTGAAAGCAGACAAATACACCGTCACAAATGTCTGAGAACAAGTGAAGTTTGTCTTTCTGTGCCTGACTTAGTTCACTTAACATAATGTCCTCCAGTTCCATCTAAGTTTTTGCAAATGCAGCATCTCATTTCTTTTTTACGGATGAATAGTACTCCATTGTGTATATGTATCACATTTTCTTTGTCCGTTCATCTAATGATGAACACTTGAGTTTCTTCCAAATCTTGGCTAGTGTGAATAGTGCTGCAATAAACATGGGAAGGCAAATATCTCTTTGATTTGCTGACTTCTTTTATTTGGATATATACAACTACCAGTGGGATTGCTGGGTCATTTGGCATTTCCATTTTTAATTTGTTGAGGAACTTCTGTACTGTTCTGCATGATGGCTATACTAATTTACATTTCCATTAACAGTGTATGAGAGTTCCCATTTCTCCATATCCTTGTCATCGTTTGTTATTGCCTGTCTTCGGATAAAAGACATTTTAACTGGGGTGAGATGATATCGCCTTATAGTTTTGATTTGCATTTCTTTGATGATCAATGATGTTGAGCACCTTTTCATGTACCTGTTTGCCATTTGCGGGACTTATTTTAAAAAAAATAAAAAAAATAAAGAAATATCTAATCAGAACTTTTGCCCATTTTTAAATCAGATCATTAGATTTTTTTTCCTATGAAATAGAGCTCCTTGTATATTCTTACTAATCCTTTGTCAGACGGATAATTTGCAAGTATGCTCTCACATTCTGTAAGTTGTCTCTTCACTTTGTTGATTGTTTCCTTTGCTGTGCAGAAGCTTTTTAACTTGTCATTCCATTTGTCCATTTTTGCTTTGGTTGTCTGTCTTTGGGGCTATTACTCAAGAAATCTTTGACCAAACCAATGTACTAAAAATTTCTGCAGTTTTCTTTTAGTGGTTTCATAGTTTTAGGTATTAGATTTAAGTCTTCAATCCACTTTGACTGGATTCCTGTATATGGAGAGAGATAGATCTAATTTCATTCTTCTGCATATACATATGCAGTTTTCCCAGAACCATTAATTGAAGATACTGTCCTTTTCCCAATGTATATTGTTGGTATCTTTGTTGAAAATTAGTTCACTGTAGATGTATGGATTTATTTCTTGTTGCTTTATACTGTGCCATTGGTCCATGTGTCTGTTTTTATGCCAATATCACACTGTTTTACTTACTACAGCTCCGTAATATAATTTGAAGTCAAGTAATGTAATTCTTTCAGTTTTGATCTTTTTTCTCAATAAGGCTTTTGATGTTGTAAGTCTTTTATGATTCCATTAAATTTTAAGATTATTTTTCCTATTACTATGAAGAATGTCTTGGTATTTTGATAGGGATGGCACTGAATTTGTAGATTGCTTTGGGTAGTACAGACTTTTTAACAATAGTGATTCTTCAAATATATAAACATGAAATATCTTTCCTTTTTTTGTGTGTCCTCTTTAATTTCCTGAATCAGTGTTTTTTAATTTTCATTGGAGAGATCATTTACTTTTTTGGTTAAATTTATTCCTAGCTATCTTATTTTATTTGCAGCCATTGCAAATTGTATTACTTTCTTAACTTTTTTCAGAATCTTTACTGTTGGCACATAGAATAGCTACTGGTTTTTGTATGTTGATTTTGTATTCTGGAACTTTACTGAAGTTGTTTGTTTATCAGTCCAGATAGCTTTTTGAAGAAGTCTCTAGGTTTTTCAAATTACAACATCATACCATCTGCAAAAAAGGATAATTTCATGTCTTCCTTTTTGATTTCTCTTGTATGATTGCTATAGCTGGGACTTTCGGTACTTTCTTGAATAACAGTCGTGAAAGTGGGCATCATTGTCTTGTTTCACATCTTAGAGGAAAGACTTTCAGTTTTTTTCTCATTTAGTATGATATTAGCTGTGAGTCTGTCATACATGGTTTTTATTGTGTTGAAAAATGTTTTTTCTATGCCCAGTTTTTAAAATTTTTTTTGTTATTATATATGGGTTTAATTTTATCAAATGTTTTTTCAGCATCATTGAAATTGTTTTATGATTTTTGTCCTTCATTCTGCTGATCTGATGTATCACATTGATTTTCATATGTTGAAATATCCTTGTATCACTGGGATGAATCCCAGTTGGTCAAGATAAATAATCTTTTTAATGGGTTGTTGGATTTAATTTTCTAACATTTTGCTGAGGATTTTTGCATCAAAGTTTATCAGAGATATCAGCCTGTAACTTTCTTTTTTGATGTTTCTTTGTCTGGTTTTGATACAATGGTAATACAAGAGATATGTTTGGAAGTATTCCTTCCCCCTCTATTTTTTATATAATTTGAGTACAATTGGTATTAGGTTTTCTTTAAATGTTTGGTAGAATTCAACAGTGAATCCATCAAATATCATGATTTTCTTTGCTCGGAGATTTTTATTATAGCTTCAATTTCGGTAACTGTTATTCATCAATTAAGGTTTTGGATTTCTTCATGATTCAACCTTGGTAGAATGTCTTGGAATCGATTCATTTCTTCTAAATTTTTCAAATTATTGGCATATAATTTCTTAGTCTCTAATGATCCTTTTGGTATCAGCTGTAGTGTCTCCTTTTCACCTCTAAGTGTATTAGATGTCTAATATTAGGCTCTTCTCTATTTTTTTTTTTTTTTAGTTTGGCTAAAGATTTGTCATTTTTTGTTTTGTCAAAATTTTGTACTTTTAAAATTTCAACTTCAACTATATTTTCTCTAATCTTTATAATTTTATTATTCTATTAATTTTGTACTTGCTTGATCTTGCTGTTCTAGTTGTTTAAGATGCATTATGGAATTGTGTATTTGAAGGTTTTCTATTTTTTTCTATATGTGCATTTATTGCTACAAATGTTTCTCTTAGTACTGCTTTTGCTGTATCCCACAGGTTTTGATATATTGTGTTACAACAAATTTTTTAATTTTCTTCTTAATTTCTTCATTGTTACAATGAATTTTTTAATTTTCTTCTTAATTTCTTCATTGTTACAATGAATTTTTTAATTTTCTTCTTAATTTCTTCATTGTTACAACGAATTTTTTAATTTTCTTCTTAATTTCTTCATTGACCCATGTGGTAGTTAATATTGAGTGTCAACTCGATTGAATTGAAGGATGCAAAGTATTGTTCCTGGGTGTGTCTCTGAGGGTGTTGCCAAAGGAGATTAACATTTGAGTCAGTGGACTGGGTAAGGCAGACTCACCCTTAGTCTGGGTGGGCACAATTTAATCAGTTGCCAGTGCGGCTAGAATAAAGCAGGCAGAAGTTGGAAGGACCAGATTTGCTATGTCTTCTGACCTTCATCTTTCTTTGCTTCATCCAGCATCATGCTTGATGCTTCCTGCCCTAAACCATCAACTCCAAGTTCTTCAGCTTTTGGACTCTTGGACTTACACCAGTGGTTTGACAGGGGCTCCTGGGCCTTCAGCCTGTGGCTGAAGGCTTCTCTGTCAGCTTCCCTACTTTTGAAGTTTTGGGACACGTACAGGCTTCCTTGCTCCTCAGCTTGCAGACGGTCTTTGTGGGACTTCATCTTGTCATTATGTGAGTCAATGCTCTTTAATAAACTCCCTTTCATATATTATGCATCTATCCTATTAATCCTTTCCCTCTAGAGAACCCTGACTAATACAAATTGTTTGTTATTCAGAAGCTTATTGTTTAATTTCCATGTGTTTATATAGTTTTCAAATTCCTCTTATTATTGAATTTTAGTTTTATTCTATTGTGGTCTCAGAAAACACTTTATACAAGTTCAATTTTTTTGGAATTTTTGATGGCTTGTTTTCTGGCCTAACATATAGTCTATCCTTGAGAATGATCCATGTGCTGAGGAGAATAATGTCTGTTCTGCAGCTATTAGATTAAGTGCTCTGTAAATATATATTAGGCCCATTTTTTTCTGTAGCACGTTAAGCCTGATATTGTTGTTGTTGTTAATTTTCTGTCTGCATAATCTGTCCAATGTTGCAAGATAGGTGTTGAAGTCTCCAAATATTTTTTTTGGGGGATTATGTCTTTTGCTTCAATGATATCTGCTTTGTATATCTGGGTGATCCAGTGTTGGGTACATTATAATTGTTATTTCCTCTTGATGAATTGATCCTTTTATGATTATATAATGATATTCTTTACCTTTTTATAGTTTTTGTCTTGAAATCTCTTTTATCTGCTAAAAGTATACTTCTGCTCTTTATTGGTTTCCATTTGCATGGAATATCTTTTTCTAGTCCTTTATTTTTAGTCCATTTCTGTCTATATAAATGAAGTTATGTGTAGGAAAAAGACAATTGGATCTTGTTTTTTCATTCATTCAGCCATTTTGTGTCTTTTGAATGGAGTACTTACTGTATTTATATTCAATGTTATTATTGATATATAAGGACTTACTACTACCATTTTGTTGTTTCCTGGTTGTTTTTAGATATTTTTGTTCCTTTCTTCCTGTCTTTCTTTTTGTGAATGTGATTTTCTATGGTGCTATCTTTTAATTTCTTGCTTTATATTTTTGTGTATCTGTTGTTGGTTTTTTTATTTGAGGATACCTTGAGGCTGGCAAATTACATCTTATAACCTCGTATTTTAAACTGATGACAACTCTAATCACAAAAATAAACTAACAAGCAAAGTAAAAACTAATAAAAACTCTATGCTTTAATTTCATCCCTACACTTTTTAACTTTTTGTTGCTTTTATTTATATCTAATTATATTGTCTATGTCTTAAAAAGTTGTGGTTATTATTGTTGCTAGGTTTGTCTCTCCGTCTTCCTACTTGAGATATTAGTAGTTTTCACACCAGAGTTAGTGTTATAATTTTTGGTATTTGTCTGTGTAGTTACTGTTACCAGTGAGTTTCATACTTTCAGATGATTTCCTTCAGCTCATTAACACCCATTTTTTCAGACTGAGTAAATTCCTTGACCATTTCTGTAATACAATTCTAGTATTGATGAAATTCTTCGGCTTTTATTTGTCTTGGAGAGTATTTATTTCTTCTTTATGTTTAAAGGATATTTTCACTGGATATAATATATTAGGATAAAAGCTGTTGTTGTTTCCTTCAAAGCTTTAAATATGTTGTGTCACTCTCTCCTGGACTGTAATGTTTCCACTAAGAAATCTGCTGTCAGTCATATTTGAGCTGCTTTATAGTTTTTTTTTTTCTTTTCTATTTCTGCTTTTAAAATACTTTCTTTTCCTTTACTTTTGGTAGTTTGATTATTAAATGTCTTGAGATAGTTTTACTTGGGTTAAATCTGCATGGTATTCTCTATAACCTTCTTGTATTGGAATAGTGATATATTTCTCTGGCTTTGGAAGTTTTCCATTATTATCCCTTTAAATAAACTTTCTATACCTAACACTTTTTCTACCTCTCCTTTAAGGCCAATATCTTTTTTTTTTTTTTTTAAAGGCAAAAGTACCATTTTTATTTTTTTTTTTTTTATTTTTTATTTTTTTTTTTTAAATTTATTTTTTTATTGATAATTCTTGGGTGTTTCTCACAGAGGGGGATTTGGCAGGGTCATGGGACAATAGTGGAGGGAAGGTCAGCAGATAAACAAGTGAACAAAAGTCTCTGGTTTTCCTAGGCAGAGGACCCTGCGGCCTTCCGCAGTGTTTGTGTCCCTGATTACTTGAGATTAGGGAGTGGTGATGACTCTTAACGAGCATGCTGCCTTCAAGCATCTGTTTAACAAAGCACATCTTGCACCGCCCTTAATCCATTTAACCCTGAGTGGACACAGCACATGTTTCAGAGAGCACAGGGTTGGGGGTAAGGTCACAGATCAACAGGATCCCAAGGCAGAGGAATTTTTCTTAGTGCAGAACAAAATGAAAAGTCTCCCATGTCTACTTCTTTCTACACAGACACGGCAACCATCCGATTTCTCAATCTTTTCCCCACCTTTCCCGCCTTTCTATTCCACAAAGCCGCCATTGTCATCCTGGCCCGTTCTCAGTGAGCTGTTGGGCACACCTCCCAGACGGGGTGGTGGCCGGGCAGAGGGGTTCCTCACTTCCCAGTAGGGGCGGCCGGGCAGAGGCGCCCCTCACCTCCCGGACGGGGAGGCTGGCCGGGCGGGGGGCTGACCCCCCAACCTCCCTCCCGGACGGGGCGGCTGGCCGGGCAGAGGGGCTCCTCACTTCCCAGTAGGGGCGGCCGGGCAGAGGCGCCCCTCACCTCCCGGACGGGGCAGCTGGCCGGGCGGGGGGGCTGACCCCCCCCACCTCCCTCCCGGACGGGGCGGCTGGCCGGGCAGGGGGCTGACCCCCCCACCTCCCTCCCGGACGGGGCGGCTGGCCGGGCGGGGGGCTGCCCCCCCACCTCCCTCCCGGACGGGGCGGCTGAAGGCCAATATCTTAGATTTGTCTATTCTGAGGCTATTTTCTAGATTCTATAGGCATGCATCATTATTTTTTATTCTTTTTTATTTTGTCTCCTCTTACTGTGTATTTTCAAAAACTCTGTTATCAAGGTCACTGATTCTTTCTTCAGCTTAATTCTGCTGTTGAGAGCCTCTGTTGCATTCTTCAGTTTTTTAACAAATTTTTTCAGCTTCAGAATTTCTGCTTTATTCTTTTTAATTATTTTAATCTCTTTGTTATATTTATCTGATGAGATTCTGAATTCTTTCTCTGTGGTATCTTGAATTTTGTTGAGCTCCCTCAAAACAGCTATTCTGAATTATCTGCCTAGAAAGTCACATATCTCGGTTACCCTGGAATTGGTCACTGGTGATTTATTTAATCCATTTGGTAAGGTCATGTTTTCTTGGATGGTCTTGATGCTTGTGGATGTTTATCATTGTTTGGGCATTGAAGAGTTAGGTATTTATTGTAATATTTGCAGCCTGTGTTTATTTGTATTTGTCCTTCTTGAGAAGCCTTTCCAAGTGTTCAAAGGGAATTGAGTGTTGTGATCTAAATATTTGGTTCTGCACTCATACGTACATTAGGGGGAACCCCAAGCCCTGTAATGCTGTGACTCTAGCAGACTCATAGAGGTACCTCTTTGATGGTCTTGCATAAGGTATAAAAGAATTCACTGGATTAAAAGGCAGAGTCTTTTCTTTTCTTTGCTTACTTTCTCCTCCCCAAAACAGTCTCTCATCCCATGCTGAGCTGCCTGGAATTGGGATAAGAGTGTTACAAAAACTCCTGTGGCCACAACACTGGGACTGTGCTGGGACACACCTGAAGCCAATACAATACTGAATATTACCCAAGGCCTGTGGTGACTTGCGGCTCAGCTGGTACTAAAGTTTCAAGACAAAGTCTCCTTTACTTTTTTCTTTACTTTCTGCAAGCAGAGGTAGTCTCTCCCTGTGACTACCGCAGCTGAAAATGTGCTGGGTCACACCTGAAGCCTGCACAATACTAAATTTTGCCCCAGGCCTGTGGGGACTGCTGCCTAACTGTTGCTGATATTTATTCAAGGCCCAAAGGCTCTTTTGTTAGCAGGTGGTGAATTCTGCAAGAACAGAATCCTTTTCAGGGAAGTGGTTTCCCTTCTGGTCCAAGGTAGGTCTAGAAGTGTAATCCAGGAGCTATGGCCTGGAATGGGGGCTTCAGGACTCTGCCTGGTGCTGTTTTTCACTGTAGCTCAGCTGGTATCCCCAGTGTCAAGACAAAGTACTTTAGGCTCTTTCCTCTCCTTCTGGAGCTATAAGCTGCACTGCCTGGAGTTGGAAGAGGGGTGATGCAAGCACTCCCTTGGCCACTCCAACTCATGCCTCACTAGGTTGTGTGCACCCCAAATCCACTGGCTCTGAGCCCAGCAGAGCACCATGACTTGCCCAGGAATTGCAATCCTTTTATCTTGATATGATGTAAAAACCAGGTACTGAGATCACTAACCCAATTTTTGTTTCTTATGAAGGTACTTTCCTGTGTGGATAGTTGTTAAATTTGCTGTTCCTGTGTATGGGATGATTGCTAGAGGCTTCATTTTGGCCATCTTGCTCTGCTTCCCCATATGGTACTTTTTAAAATTCTAAACAGTTGTCTGCCCAAAGAGCCTTGGGCTTGTTTGAGGTGTCATATTTAGTGTAAGTATTTATCTTCATAGTCTGAGACCATGTAAATAAACAGATCAGGTGTGTGAAAAGCCAGGATTGTCTTTATTACCTACTGTCATAAGGTATTCTTTTTTTTGAATTCTAAATATTTGTCTGCTCAAAGAGTCATGGGCTGGTTTGAGGTATTATATTTAGCCTAAGTATTCATCTCCACAGTTTGGGACCATGGAAATAAACAGATAAAGAGAGTAAAAGGCCAGAGTCAGATATAATAATTTCACACTGAAGCACATAAAAATGCCTATATTATGTAAAGTAGGACTCTGTCCTCTCTAAATCTACAGTTTTATGACCTATAATTATTTCATATGGGTGGTAGAAATAGTTTGCTAGAATATCATTCTTTATAGCCAGAAAAAGAACTCTCAAAATTCACAGAATAATTTAAAATTAGCATATATTTAAAGCATGTAAATGGCAACATTATTGTTTGAAGCAAAACAAATTTTTTCTGTTTAAAATAGTTATTTGAAACAACATCAATTTTCATGCATATTGGCAGCATACACAGGGCAAAGATCTTTTCAGTACTTCTTAATCTAAGAGTGCTAGTGTCAGAGTGATACTTCATGAAATGCACCATACTGGGGAGTATGACCATGTTTGATTTTCAGTAGTATCATTGAGTCTCCTGTTCACCAGCACTCCCAAACCACTATCTAGAAAGAATGCATTTTTACTAGCAGTTTGTTTGCTTCTATTCCTTGTTTTTACACTTTCCTTTTCTCTGTTCTGATTTTTTCTGCTTCCTCACAAACATTAGTAATTTATAGTTTACTTACATGTTCCACATAATTCCACTAATAATATCTCTA